>NC_000002.12:62917625-63542625 GCF_000001405.40 Homo sapiens | reverse complement strand
TAATGCAAGCCAGTTTTAGACAAAATGTTACAGAAATAATTTGTGGAATTGTAAAATCACTATTTTTGTAATAGTTGGAGCCTTTATAAAGTTACTTGCTGCTTTGCAGATATAACCATTATCGCAATTGCCACTATTTAATGGTACCCATGGTAGCTACATTACCCAGGGGGCTGAATAGCCATGAAAATGGGAGTAACCTCTGACCTCAGAAATCGTTCTTTTAAAAGAGGATTGAAACATTGGTGATAGGAAATTTGAATTGCTCTTGCAGCTGCAGTGTTTGTTCTGTGAATACTTAATTTAGTTTAGAGCTATACTTTCTCGTCCAAATCTGTCAGTCTTTCAGAAGCATCAAATTCACTTCAGGAAGAAAAAAAAAATGCTTCCTTCCCAGGCCTGTATTATTGAATGCAGTATTCAGGCTTCAAATAGTTTCATTTAGGTAATACATATAGTCTCAAGAATGGGAGTCCTCACATTTGACACGCTCTGTTAAATATATAGTTCATTCAAACCCCGTCCAAGATATTGCTATGCAGTCACTTATTTTGGATAATCCTTTTAATGACTATAACTCAACTCCTTAGCTATATAGAGAACTGATAGAGAGTGTGTGTGTGTATGAATTAATATATAAACATATATGTGTACATATACATTATGTAAATATGTTTAGGCTTTATAAAGAATTTAGATTTTTTTATAAAATTTGAAAGATAAACTATGTATAAACTGTGAAGGCCTTATGTTGGGTGCATAGAGAGTTACACATAGAATACTCATTAAGGTAATGGGATTGCTATGATTAATTCTTACATGCTGACTGAAAATGTAGCCCAAAGAGATTTGGAAGTGATGTCAAAAAAGCAGGTTGGTCTGTGGTCTTATTAGTTTGATGTTATTAACTAGTTGGTATGGCACTGGCTTTTACATGACTCTTATCGCCTTACCTTTAACATTAAATAATGCATTTATTGATAAGAGAAGGGGGAAATAAGGGCAGAAACCCAGCATTTGCTGGTTTAATAACAAACGGGCAAAATGGAAACATTTGCTATATACTTCAATATTTGTTATTTTACTTTTCATTATGATAAATGGTTTTGAAAAAACAAGAAAGGATGTTATGGTGGAAAAACCAGTATTTATGAGAGTAATCTGAAATATGCTTCTTTTTCAACATTACACAATTAAGAATAATGTGAAATGAAAAACCATGTATAATTGTAACTTATTTTATTATACACTGTATTGCATTATAAATCTTGATAGTAACAAGCCATTTGTTTACATGCAGTTTTGAAAAAAACAAAGGACTACTGAAGCCCATTTGGGTTAAAATGCTTATTAGGCTGGGCATGGTGTCTCATGTCTGTAATCGCAGCACTTTGGGAGGCCAAGGTGGGTGGATCACTTGAGGCCAGGAGTTCAAGACTAGCCTGACCAACACGGCAAAAACCTATCTCTACTAAAAATGCAAAATTAGCCAGATGTGATGACACATGCCTGTAGTCCCAGCCACTCAAGAGTCTGAGGGAAGAGAATCACTTGAACCTGGGAGGCAAGGTTTCAATGAGCCGAGATCATGCTACTGCACTCCAGCCTGGGCCCCAGAGGGAGAGTCTACCAGAAAACAAAAAAACAAAAACCACCAGCCTGGGCAACATGGTAAAACCCCATCTCTACAAAACAAAAACAGAAAAACACAAAAATTAGCCAGATATTGTAGTGTGCACCTGTAGTCCCAGCTACTTGGAGGGAGGATCACTTGAGCCTGAGAAGTTGTGGCTGCAGTGAACTGAGATCGCCCCACTGCACTCCAGCCTGGGCAACAGAGTGAGACTCTCAAAAACAAACAAACAAACAAACAAACAAAAAAACCACTATATCAAAATGGATCCAATTAAAAACTGAAATATAGAATTTAATCGTTTTAATTAGGAAAATGTATAACAGTTCTAGTTTGCTACTTTTTGCATTTCATATTTAACATAAGCAGTTACATACAGAGACACGTTTATAAACACATATAATATAAAACAGTCTCATATATTTTCTGGCACATCATTAGTATCTCCTTATGTCTTAAGGTTTAGAGGTGCTTCTTGGTGAACACTGAGTGCATTCCTTAGACAACCATAAGGGGGGTCTTCTATGTCAACAAGTTGCTCTCATTACTCTCCTTATCCCACCATGAGAGGAGGTCTTTATACCAACAAGCTGCTCTGTTTGAACAGTGTGTACATAATTATCTACTCTGAAGGTGAACGTTTTGTGTAATGAATTTTCTGAATTCCATAACTCTTAATTCATTAGAATAATTGTGTTTGCACTAATTGTTTATACTCTGACTTTATATGAGTTTAAATAACCTAGTAATAAAACAGAAATATTTTGATGTTTTAGAAGAATATTGAGGCCAAATAAATATTTGTCTATTGTTTATAAAAATAATTAGTAAATTAAATACTATTTCTAATGTAGAAAACTTGTTTTTGTCTTGAATATACTTATACATAGCATCTTTAAGTCACCTTTAAGTAGTGATACCGAAAAGTTTCTATGTAGTTAATAAAAGTAATTGTTTTTAAAATTTAATTCTCAAGAGACTATTCATTGCATAGCTCTTGGAACATAACCTTTTAATGGAATATCCTGCTTTTATTTAACATTCCAATGAGAATGGCGAAATTATTAAATTAAGTACTAAAGAATGCAAAACATGTCCTGAATAACTCAAGAGATGACTAATTATTATTTATCTACTCATCCATCTATCTATAAATAAATGGCAATACTTAATAGAATTATTGGTTCACATTCTGTGATTATCTATAGATGATAGAATAGTTTACTGGAAAGAAATATATTACTAAAAACTTAAGTTGATACATAATCAAAGTTTTACCTGAGTTTTATTTTTTTATTATTTTTTTTGAGACAGAGTCTTGCTATGTCACCCAGGCTGGAGTGCAGTGGTATTATCTGAGCTCACTGCAACCTCCTCCTCCCAAGTTCAAATGCTTCTCGTGACTCATCCTCGCAACCAATTACAGGCATGCGCCACCACACCTGGCTAATTTCTGTATTTTTGAGACAGGGTTTCACCATGTTGGCCAGGCTGGTTTCAAACTCCTGGCCTCAAGTGATCTGCCCTCCTTGGCCTCCCAAAGTGCTGGGATTACGGGCATGAGTTGAATTTTTTTTTAACCATCATTTGTGGAACAGATATTATTCAGTGAAGTCAGTTTAGTTTAACTACATGTTACAGAAGCATTGGCAATGCAAAATAATTTCTGTCTGCTTTCACCTTGTAATATCTGTACAATTTTTACTTCAAGTGAAAAAGGGGCTTTAGCTATCAAAAGCCAGATTATGATGAGATAATGCAGTTTTTCACATAAATGTAAATTATGGGTTAACTGTCTTAGTAGAAAATATAAATTTTTAAAAACTAATCTAATTGCATATTGGGGAAAGTTTCACTTTTCATCAAATACTATTTTTGATAAAATATGTTTAAATATTTTAGCAACAAACATTTAAACAATATTCTTTAATGGTATGTTAAAGGTCTAGGAGACTTGGATTCAAGAATTGCAAAGGAGAAAATTGAGAAAAGTCTGAGAAATAGACACCAGCTGTGAATTTTAATGACTGGTGTTATATTGTTTTGAAAATATTTTCACTAACCACAGTTATTTTGCAAGTCACCTTACATAATTTTTCAGAAGAGAATAAAAGTGACTGATTTCTATTGATAGGATACTGACTCTCAGAGCTATTATATAATGAAATTCTATCAGACTAGTTTTATCTTTTCTGCTACTTTATTACTCTGAAAAATATAAGTCTTTATAACTGCTGAGTTCTTGTCAGTTTGAAAATACATGTCAAAATATATATGCTTTAAAAATATTTTCCTTGAATGATGCATGAATGTTTTTAAAGGAGGTGTTGACACTAGTGATTTTGATGGTTGATATTAAGCTATAAAGAAAATATACAGAATGATGCAATATATTTAAAGCAGATTTATGTTAGTATATGCTAAAAGTTAGGATATGGAAATCATCTTTATAGCTGGGCAAACTTGCTTGTATGAATTTCTCTCCCATAGAATGTGCAAAACAATTTGTCAAAGGCAATTTTTTTATTATAAAGGGATGGCTTCAAATATTTTAAAGTTATGAAAGCTCTAAACTCAAGTAGATTTCAGCATTCTAATTCTGTGGGATACTCACATTTCTCAGTGTTTCTTCTTTTTCTACACTAGCATATTAATGAATTCATGTAGAGTAAGTCAATTTTTATTTTAATATCTTATTTGGGGTTCTGTACATCTAATTTTGTAATTTTTCATGTTATTTTTAATAATATTGCTGACAGTAATTTATAAATACTTGATTACAGCTGAGGGATTATCTTTTATTTGTTTAAAGGCAGGGGCTTGAATTGTGTTACTCTTGAGATCTCTTTCTCAACATTATAAGTATACTTTTCTATTGTACATAATGTTCTTTAAAGTTTAAGATTTATTTTGACCTATCTGAAATTAAAAAAACCCCAAAACCTTGTTTTTTAGCGCATATTATAAGATGATTGCAAATTTATCAGATTCAGATTTTGCCATGCGGGACTTATGCTCTTGTTCGGCAGAGATGGCATTTGTTTATTCATTCATTGATTAATTTATCTGACAGCAAATATTTATAGAACATTTACTATGTTTAAGAACCTGGGTATAAAATAGTAAGTTACCTGTTATGGCTCAAGTTGCTTACAGTTTTGTGCAGGAGACAAACAAGTAAATACGTAGTTAAAATCTTAAGTGTGTAAGATGATGTTATGATTGAGGAAAGCACAACCCATCTAACTGAATCCTAGTGGGGCCTGATGTTGGGGAAAGCTCCCTGGAGAAAGTTTTGGCTAATCTGAGGCCTAGCGTGTGTAAGCATTAGTCAGGAGAAGGGTTGGAAGAGGGAGGAAAGCAGGGATAGGTAAGTGCATTTCAGATTAAATGATATGTAAAAAGGCAAAGAGTCTAGGGAACATGGTATGACTCATAGGACCCTAAGACTTCAGTGTTCAGAGGTGAGGCCAGAGTTGTGAGTAAGGATCATTTCATGCATGGTCTTGTGTATCATCAGAATTTCATCCTTGGTGCAATGTGTAGTCATTAAGGCTTTTCAGAGAAGTGACATAATTGTTTTTTGGAAAAATTGCCCTGGCAACAATGTGGAGAATGGATTCGAAAGAGTCAAATTAGAGGCAGGGATACAAACTTTCTGAGTTATTACTTGAGAGGCATTATCAGCATAAACTATGATGGTAGCAGTAGGGATGAAGAAAACTAGATGTATTTGTGAAATATTTAACTAGTAACAGCAAGAGAGTTGATTTACTAGATATGGAGGTTTGTGGAAGAAACAGTAGTAAAGGCGGCACAAATTTTTGTTAAAGATAACTAGGTGGTTGGTGCTTCCATTCAATGGGATTGGAACCAAGGAAGGAGTCTGAAAGCAAAAAATGTGAATTCAGCTTTAGAAATGGTGAGCTGGGCTCCACAGCTCAGGCTCCTAATTCCAGTACTATGGGAGGCTGAGGCGGGTGGATCACTTGAGGCCCAGAGTTTGAGGCCAGCCAGGCCAACATGGCGAAACCCCATCTCTCTTAAAAATACAAAAAAATTGGCTGGGTGTGGGGGTGCATGCCTGTAATCCCAGCTACTTGGGAGGCTGAGGCACAAGAATCATTTGAACTTGGGAGGCGAAGGTTGCAGTGAGCCAAGATCGCGCCACTGCACTCCAGCCTGGGTAACAGAGATTCCATCAAAAAAAAAAAAAAAAGCATGAAGAATCTGAGATTTTTACCATTTTTTTTTGGTTGTTTGTTTTTATCTTTCCATTTATTTATCTTCCACCTATCCATTAATCCGTCTTATGTTCTGATGCACTTCTGATGCACTTCAAAGTATATTACAGATAATTTTTTTTTATATTTAATTTTCTGTCCTTGCGATAGTTTGCTCAGAATGATGGTTTCCAGCTTCATCCATGTCCCTACAAAGGACATGACCTCATCCTTTTTTATGGCTGCATAGTATTCCATGGTGTATATGTGCCACATTTTCTTGATCCAGTCTATCATTGATGGACATTTGGGTTGGTTCCAAGTCTTCGCTATTGTGAATAGTGCCGCAGTAAACATACGTGTGCATGTGTCTTTATAGCAGCATGATTTATAATCCTTTGGGTATATGCCCAGTAATGGGATGGCTGGGTCAAATGGTATTTCTAGTTCTAGATCCTTGAGGAATCGCCACACTGTCTTCCACAGTGGTTGAACTAGTTTACATTCCCACCAACAGTGTAAAAGCGTTATTTCTCCACAGCCTCTCCAAGACCTGTTGTTTCCTGACTTTTTAATGATCGCCATTCTAACTGGTGTGAGATGGTATCTCATTGTGGTTTTGATTTGCATTTCTCTGATGGCCAGTGATGATAAGCATATTTTCATGTGTCTATTGGCTGCATAGATGTCTTCTTTTGAGAAGTGTCTGTTAATATCCTTCGCCCAGTTTTTGATGGGATTGTTTGACTTTTTCTTGTAAATTTGTTTAAATTCCTTGTAGATTCCAGATATTAGCCCTTTGTCAGATGCGTAGACTGCAAAAATTTTCTCCCATTCTGTAGGTTGCCTGTTCACTCTGCTGGTAGTTTCTTTTGCTGTGCAGAAGCTCTTTAGTTTAATTAGATCCCATTTGTCAATTTTGGCTTTTGTTGCCATTGCTTTTGGTGTTTTAGATATGAAGTCCTTGCCCATGCCTATGTTCTGAATGGTATTGCCTAGGTTTTCTTCTAGGGCTTTTATGGTTTTAGGTCTAACATTTAAGTCTTTAATCCATCTCGAATTAATTTTTGTATAAAGTGTAAGGAAGGGATCCAGTTTCAGCTTTCTACATATGGCTAGCCAGTTTTCCTAGCACCATTTATTGTAATAGGGAATCCTTTCTCCATTTCTTGTTTTTGTCAGGTTTGTCAGAGATCAGATGGTTGTAGATGTGTGGTATTATTTCTGAGGGCTCTGTTCTGTTCCATTGGTCTATATCTCTGTTTTGGTACCAGTACCATGCTGTTTTGGTTACCGTAGCCTTGTAGTATAGTTTGAAGTCAGGTAGCGTGATGCCTCCAGCTCTGTTCTTTTGGCTTAGGATTGTCTTGGCAATGCCGGGTCTTTTTTGGTTCCATATGAACTTTAAAGTAGTTTTTCCAATTTTGTGAAGAAAGTCATTGGTAGCTTGATGGGGATGGCATTGAATCTATAAATTACCTTGGGCAGTATGGCCATCTTCACGATATTGATTCTTCCTATCCATGAGCATGGAATGTTTTTCCATTTGTTTGTGTCCTCTTTTATTTCATTGAGCAGTGGTTTGTAGTTCTCCTTGAAGAGGTCCTTCACATCCCTTGTAAGTTGGATTCCTAGGTATTTTATTCTCTTTGAAGCAATTGTGAATGGGAGTTCACTCATGATTTGGCTCTCTGTTTGTCTATTATTGGTGTATAGGAATGCTTGTGATTTTTGCACATTGATTTTGTATCCTGAGACTTTGTTGAAGTTGCTTATCAGCTTAAGGAGATTTTGGGCTGAGACGAGGGGGTTTTCTAAATATACAATCGTGTCATCTGCAAACAGGAACAATTTGACTTCCTCTTTTCCTAATTGAATACCCTTTATTTCTTTCTCCTGCCTGATTGCCCTGGCCAGAACTTCCAACACTATGTTGAATAGGAGTGGTGAGAGAGGGCATCCCTGTCTTGTGTGAGTTTTCAAAGGGAATGCTTCCAGTTTTTGCCCATTCAGTATGATATTGGCTGTGGGTTTGTCATAAATAGCTGTTATTATTTTGAGATATGTCCCATGAATACCTAGTTTATTCAGAGTTTTTAGCATGAAGCGCTGTTGAATTTTGTCAGAGGCCTTTTCTGCATCTATTGAGATAATCATGTGGTTTTTGTCTTTGTTTCTGTTTATATGATGGATTATGTTTATTGATTTGTATATGCTGAACCAGTCTTGCATCCCAGGGATGAAGCTGACTTGATTGTCATGGATAAGCTTTTTGATGTGCTGCTGGATTCAGTTTGCCAGTATTTTATTGAAGATTTTTGCATTGATGTTCATCAGGGATATTGATCTAAAATTCTCTTTTTTTGTTGTGTCTCTGCCAGGCTTTGGTATCAGGTTGATGCTGGCCTCATAAAATGAGTTAGGGAGGATTACCTCTTTTTCTATTGATTGGAATAGTTTCAGAAGGAATGGTACCGGCTCCTCTTTGTACCTCTGGTAGAATTCGGCTGTGAATCCACCTGGTCCTGGAGTTTTTTAGTTGGTAAGCTATTAATTATTGCCTCAATTTCAGAGCCTGTTATTGGTCAAGTCAGAGATTCAGCTTCTTCCTCATTTAGTCTTGGGAGGGTGTATGTGTCCAGGAATTTATCCATTTCTTCTAGATTTTCTAGTTTATTTGTGTAGAGGTGTTTGTAGTATTCTCTGATGGTAGTTTGTATCTCTGTGGGATCGGTGGTGAGATCCCTTTTATCATTTTTTTTGCATCTATTTGATTCTCCTGTCTTTTCTTCTTTTTTAGTCTTGCTAGCAGTCTATCTGTTTTGTTGATCTTTTCAAGAAAACCAGCTCCTGCATTTATTGATTTTTTGTAGGGTTTTTTTGTGTCTCTATCTCCTTCAGTTCTGCTCTGATCTTTGTTATTTCTTGCCTTCTGCTAGCTTGTGAATGTGTTTGCTCTTGCTTCTCTAGTTCTTTTAAATGTGATGTTAGGGTGTCGATTTTAGATCTCTGCTGCTTTCTCTTGTGGGCATTTAGTGCTATAAATTTCCCTCTACACACTGCTTTAAATGTGTCCCAGAGATTCTGGTATGTTGTGTCTTTGTTCTCATTGGTTTCAAACACATCTTTATTTCTGCCTTCATTTCGTTATGTACCCAGTAGTTATTTAGGAGCAGGTTGTTCAGTCTCCATGTAGTTGAGCAGTTTTGAGCGAGTCTCTTAATCCTGAGTTCTAATTTGATTGCACTGTGGTCTGAGAGACTGTTTGTTATAATTTCTGTTCTTTTACATTTGCTGAGGAGTGCTTTACTTCCAACTATGTGGGTCAATTTTGGAATAAGTGTGATGTGATGCTGAGAAGAATGTGTATTCTGTTGATCTGGGGTGGAGAATTCTGTAGATGTCTATTAGGTTCGCTTGGTGCAGAACTGTGTTCAGGTCCTGGATATCCTTGTTAACTTTCTGTCTCATCGATCTGTCTAATATTGATGGTGAGGTGTTCAAGTCTCCCATTATTATTGTGTGGGAGTCTAAGCTCTTTGTAGGTCTCTAAGGACTTGCTTTATGAATCTGGGTGCTCCTGTACTGGGTGCATATGTATTTAGGAGAGTTAGCTCTTCTTGTTGAATTGATCCCTTTACCATTATGTAATGCCCTTCTTTGTCTCTTTTGATCTTTGTTGGCTTAAAGTCTGTTTTATCAGAGACTAGGATTGCAACCCCTGCTTTTTTTTGTTTTCCATTTGTTTGGTAGATCTTCCTCCATCCCTTTATTTTGAGTCTATATGTGTCTCTGCACATGAGATGGGTCTCCTGAATACAGCACACTGGTGGGTCTTGACTTTTTATCCAATTTGCCAGTCTGTGTCTTTTAATTAGAGCATTTAGCCCATTTATATTTAAGGTTAATATTGTTACGTGTTAATTTGATCCTGTCATTATGATATTAGCTGGTTATTTTGCTCGTTAGTTGATGCAGTTTCTTCCTAGCATTGATGGTCTTTAGAATTTGACATGTTTTTGCAGTGGCTGGTACCATTTGTTCCTTTCCATGTTTAGTGCTTCCTATAGGAGATCTTGTAAGGCAAGCCTGGTGGTGACAAAATCTCTCAGCATTTGCTTGTCTGTAAAGGCTTTTATTTCTCCTTCACTTATGAAGCTTAGTTTGGCTGGATATGAAATTCTGGGTTGAAAATTCTTTTCTTTGAGAATGTTGAATATTGGCCCCCACTGTATTCTGGCTTGTAGAGTTTCTGCTGAGAGATCCGCTGTTAATCTGATGGGCTTCCCTTTGTGGGTAACCCGACCTTTCTTTCTGGCTGCCCTTAACATATTCCTTCATTTCAACCTTGGTGAATCTAACAGTTATGTGTCTTGGGGTTGCTCTTCTTGAGGAGTATCTTTGTGGCATTCTCTGTATTTCCTTAATTTGAATGTTGGCCTGCCTCACTAGGTTGGGGAAGTTCTCCTGGATAATATCCTGAAGAGTGTTTTCCAGCTTGGTTCCATCTCCCCATCACTTTCAGGTACACCAATCAGACGTAGATTTGGTCTTTTCACATATTACCATATTTCTTGGAGGCTTTGTTTGTTTCTTTTCACTCTTTTTTCTCTCAACTTCTCTTCTCGCTTCATTTCATTCATTTGATCTTCAGTCCCTGATCCCCTTTATTCCACTTGATGGAATAGGCTACTGAAGCTTGTGCATGCGTCACGTAGTTCTCGTGCCATGGTTTTCAGCCCCATCAGGTCATTTAAGGTCTTCTCTATGCTGGTTATTCTAGTTAGCTGTTCGTCTAATTTTTTTTCAAGGTTTTTAGCTTCCTTATGATGGGTTCGAACATCCTCCTTTAGCTCGGAGAAGTTTGTTATTACCGATCTTCTGAGCCTACTTCTGTTAATTCATCAAAGTCATTCTCTGTCCAGCTTTGTTCTGCTGCTGGCGAGGAGCTGCGATCCTTTGGAGGAGAGGAGGTGGTCTGATTTTTAGAATTTTCAGCTTTTCTGCTCTGGTTTCCCCCCATCTTTGTGGTTTTATCTACCTTTGGTCTTTGATAATGGTGACCTACAGATGGGGTTTTGGTGTGGATGTCCTTTTTGTTGATGTTATTCTTTTCTGCTTGCTAGTTTTCCTTCTAACCATCAGGACCCTCAGCTGCAGGTCTGTTGGAGTTTGCTGGAGGTCCACTCCAGACCCTGTTTACCTGGGTAGCACCAGTGGAGGCTGCAGAACAGCATATATTACAGAATAGTAAATGTTGCTGCCTGATCCTTCCTCTGGAAGCTTCATCTTAGAGGGGCACCCAGCTGTATGAGGTGTCTGTCAGCCCTACTGGGAGGTGTCTCCCAGTTAGGCTACTCAGGGGTCAGGGACCCATTTGAGGATGCAGTCTGTCCATTCTCAGATCTCAGACTCCATGCTGGGAGAACCACTGCTCTCTTCAAATCGTCAGACAGGGATGTTTAAGCCTGCAGAAGTTTCTGCTGCCTTTTGTTCAGCTATCCCCTGCCCCCAGAGGTGGAGTCTACAGAGGCAGGCAGGCCTCGTTGAGGTGTGGTGTGTTCCACCCAGTTCAAGCTTCTGGGCTGCTTTGTTTACCTAGTCAAGCCTCTGCAATGGCAGATGCCCCTCCCCCAGCCTCGTTGCTGCCTCACAGTTCGATCTTGGACTGCTGTGCTAGCAGTGAGCAAGGCGCCGTGGGCGTGGGACCTGGCGAGCCAGGCGTGGGATATAATCTCCTGGTGTGCGGTTTGCCAAGACCATTGGAAAAGCACAGTATTAGGGCGGGAGTGTCCCGATTTCCCATGTACTGTCTGTTACTGCTTCGCTTGGCTAGGAAAGGGAATTCCCCAACCCCTTGCACTTCCTGGATGAGGCAATGCCCGCCTTGCTTTGGCTCACACTGTGTGGGCTACACCCACTGTCCAATAAGTCCCAGTGAGATGAACACGGTACCTCAGTTGGAAATGCAGAAATCACCCGTCTTCTGTGTCGCTCATGCTGGGAGCTGTAGCCTGGAGCTGTTCCTATTTGGTCATCTTGGAACCTGAGCTGACCATATTTTCAAACCAACAATTTGGCCTGCCAGTTGCATGGATCCTGTTAGAAAATATGACCTTGGGTCAGAGATGAAGGACAGTTTATTACTCACAGTAACAGAGTAGCTGAGGTATCAACATTTTTGCACTGGCTCTCTGAACCTTAATTACCTTAAAGTGACATGAAAAGGGCCAGATAACACATGTACATACAGTGGGCTGCATTATAGGAGGGGAACTCCAAGCTTAAGAAACCCAAGTCTTTTATACCGTACATAAAGCATACCTGCCCTGAAATAAAGATGTTCTTTGAAACCAATGAGAACAAAGACACAGCATACCAGAATCTCTGGGACACATTTAAAGCAGTGTGTAGCAGGAAATTTATAGCACTAAATGCCCACAAGAGAAAGCAGGAAAGATCTAAAATTGACACCCTAACATCACAATGAAAAGAACTAGAGAAGCAAGAGCAAACACATTCACAAGCTAGCAGAAGGCAAGAAATAACTAAGATCAGAGCAGAATTGAAGGAGATAGAGACACAAAAAACCCTACAAAAAAATCAATGAATCCAGGAGCTGGTTTTTTGAAAAGATCAACAAACTTGATAGACTGCTAGCAAGACTACTAAAGAAGAAAAGAGAGAAAAATCAAACAGATGCAATAAAAAATGATAAAGGGGCTATCACCACCGATCCCACAGAAATACAAACTACCATCAGAGAATACTATAAACACCTCTACACAAATAAACTAGAAAATCTAGAAGAAATGGATAAATTCCTAGACACATACACCCTCCCAAGACTAAACCAGGAAGAAGTTGAATCCCTGAATAGACCAATAACAGGGTCTGAAATTGAGGCAATAATTAGTAGCCTACCAACCAAAAAAAATGTCGAGGACCAGAAGGATTCACAGCCGAATTCTATGAGAGATACAAGGAGGAGCTGGTACCATTCCTTCTGAAACTATTCCAATCAATCCCTAACTCATTTTATGAGGCCAGCATCATCCTGATACCAAAGCCTGGCAGAGACACAACGAAAAAAGAGAATTTTAGACCAGTATCCCTGATGAACATCAATCAAAAAATCCTCAATAAAACACTGGCAAACCGAATCCAGCAGCACATCAAAAAGCTTGTCCACCATGATGAAGTCGGTTTCATCCCTGGGATGCAAGCCTGGTTCAACATATGCAAATCAGTAACCGTAATCCATCACATAAACAGAACCAAAGACAAAAACCACATGATTATCTCAATAGATGCAGAAAAGGCCTTTGACAAAATTCAACAGCGCTTCATGCTAAAAACTCTGAATAAACTAGGTATTGGTGGGACATATCTCAAAGTAATAAAAGCTATTTACAACAAACCCGCAGCCAATATCATACTGAATGGGCAAAAACTGGAAGCATTCCCTTTGAAAACTTGCACAAGACAGGGATGCCCTCTCTCACCACTCCTATTCAACATAGTGTTGGAAGTTCTGGCCAGGGCAATCAGGCAGGAGAAGGAAATAAAGGGTATTCAATTAGGAAAAGAGGAAGTCAAATCGTTCCTGTTTGCAGATGGCACGATTGTATATTTAGAAAACCCCCTCGTCTCAGCCCAAAATCTCCTTAAGCTGATAAGCAACTTCAGCAAAGTCTCAGGATACAAAATCAATGTGCAAAAATCACAGTCATTCTTATACATCAATAATAGACAAACAGAGAGCCAAATCATGAGTGAACTCCCATTCACAATTCCTTCAAAGAGAATAAAATACCTAGGAATCCAACTTACTAGGGATGTGAAGAACCTCTTCAAGGAGAACTACAAACCACTGCTCAATGAAATAAAAGAAGACACAAACAAATGGAAGAACATTCCATGTTCATGGATTGGAAGAATCAATATCGTGAAGATGGCCATACTGCCCAAGGTAATTTATAGATTCAATGCCATCCCCATCAAGCTACCAATGACTTTCTTCACAGAATTGGAAAAACAACTTTAAAGTTCGTATGTAACCAAAAAAGAGCCCACATTGCCACGTCAATCCTAAGCCAAAAGAACAAAGCTGGAGGCATCATGCTACCTGACTTCAAACTATACTACAAGTCCACAGTAACCAACAGCATGGTACTGGTACCAAAACAGAGATATAGACCAATGGAACAGAACAGAGCCCTCAGAAATAATACCACACATCTACAACTATCTGATCTTTGACAAACCTGATAAAAACAAGAACTGGGGAAAGGATTCCCTATTTAATAAATGGTGCTGGGAAAACTGGCTAGTCATATGTAGAAAGCTGAAACTGGATCCCTTCCTTACACCTTATACAAAAATTAATTCAAGATGGATTAAAGACTTAAATGTTAGAGCTAAAACCATAAAAACCCTAGCAGAAAACCTAGGCATTACCATTCAGGACATAGGCATGGGCAAGGACTTCATGTCTAAAACACCAAAAGCAATGGCAACAAAAGCCAAAATTGACAAATGGGATCTAATTAAACTAAAGAGCTTCTGCACAGGAAAAGAAACTACCATCAGGGTGAAGAGGCAACCTACAGAATGGGAGAAAATTTTTCCAATCTACTCATCTGACAAAGGGCTAATATCCAGAATCTACAAAGAACTCAAATTTACAAGAAAAAAACAAATAAACCCCTGAAAAAGGGGGCGAAGGATATGAATAGACACTTCTCAAAAGAAGACATTTATGCAGCCAACAGACACATGAAAAAATGCTCATTGTCACTGGCCATCAGAGAAATGCAAATCAAAACCACAATGAGATACCATCTCACACCAGTTAGAATGGCGATCAATAAAAAGTCAGGAAACAACAGGTCTTGGAGAGGCTGTGGAGAAATAAGAACGCTTTTACACTGTTGGTGGGAATGTAAACTAGTTCAACCACTGTGGAAGACAGTGTGGCGATTCCTCAAGGATCTAGAACTAGAAATACCATTTGACCCAGCCATCCCATTACTGGGCATATACCCAAAGGATTATAAATCATGCTGCTATAAAGACACATGCACACGTATGTTTACTGCGGCACTATTCACAATAGTGAAGACTTGGAACCAACCCAAATGTCCATCAATGATAGACTGGATTAAGAAAATGTGGCACATATACACCATGGAATACTATGCAGCCATAAAAAAGGATGAGGTCATGTCCTTTGTAGGAACATGGATGAAGCTGGAAACCATCATTCTGAGCAAACTATCGCAAGGACAGAAAACCAAACACTGCATGTTCTCACTCATAGCTGGGAATTGAACAGTGAGAACACTTGGATACTGGAAGGGGAACATCAGACACCAGGGCCTGTCGTTGGTTGGGGGTGGGGGGAGGGAGAGCATTAGGACGTATACCTAATGTAAATGACGAGATAATGGGTGTAGCACACCAACATGGCACAGGTATACATATGTAACAAACCTGCACGTTGTGCACATGTACCCTAGAACTTAAAGTAAAAAAAAAAAAAAAAGCATGCCTGCCCTTTGCTCTGTTAGTAAACTAGCTTGATTTTCTAAGACTGCTTGCTATTTTTGAAAAAATAGTCAAGAACAAAGCAGTGCCTTGCTTGCAGGAATGTGAGAGACTTCTAGAGAATTATTGTCCAGCACCTCAAAACATAATTTTTATCCTTATTTCACTCATATTCTTAAAAATAAAAGTTATTTCTTTTCATGGCTGACACTCTAAGTTTATGAGGAAGCCTTGTTTCATTGGCTGTGTGTTCTTTTCCCTAATCTCCGTTCATCGAATATTTATTGAATACTTTGATACATTGGGGAATATTATAGAGCAAATTTATGTGGCATGCATTCTAGTTCATGTACTCAGATGAGTAAGCAAAGAAATAATCAAGGTAATCCTGGACTAGGATAAGCTCAATAAAGTTAAAACCAAAACAGAATGTGACAAAAAACTGGGATTGAAGTATGGGGGTTATTGGAGAAGACTTTTAGGAAGAAACAACATTTGCAAAGAGATCTGAATCATGAGAAGCAGCCAGCCATGTAAAAACCACAGGGAAGAGATTTCTACATAAAAGAACATCAAATACAAAGGCTCTGAAGCAGGAATGAGCTTGATATTTTTTGAGGAATAGAAAGCACAGGTTTCTGGAGGATAGTCAGCTATGGAGGAAAATGGTAAAAGGTGAATTTGGAAAGGTAGGTCATGGCAAGAGGTTTGAGTTTTGTTCTGATATCTTTAACCTTTGTTACTCCCCTGTATCTTTCCTCTTAATTTACAAATATTTTAGGCCTTTTCCCTTTAAAAAATTCCTTTTCAAACAGTTGCCACTGCTTCTCCTTTTCACCCCAAATATTTTAAAATAGAGGAGAATGAAAAGATACCCATAATAGTGTTGGACAACACGAAATAGTGCCATCAAAAATTGTGAGGAATTCCTGAGAGACAGAAGCAGAAGGCTGGAAAACAAGTACTCAAAATGACACACAAGAAAAAACAACTGTACGTGAAAGTAGAGCCTCAAAAACTTCAAGACTTGGTTATAGGGATCTGTGCCTTAAATAGAAGGGCTGGTATGGCTTTTTTTCTCAGTTCCTCCTCTGTTCTCAAGTTATGCACGTGCATGGGAGAGCACATGTATGTGTGTGTACACACACACACACACACACACACAGTAGCAACAGCAACAACAGAAGTATTTGCCCTTTCCTGAAATTCAAAAGCCGTACATACATAAGGTAAGCCACTTATCTGGGAAAGACTTCTGGTGTGGCTGTTGCAACCTGAGGAAAGCATAACCTGAAGTGACTTGGGACTTACCTATATTACAGACACAGATGGGAGGAAAAAATGAAAAGGAAAGGCAGCCTTGCCCAGGAGGAAATTACATTAAAGTACTCCAGTGTACTTTACCAGTGTAAAGCTCTTCTTTTTTGCAGTTACGGTGCCCTCAACTTGCCTCCCTTGGCCCACACATCTTAATGTGGCCACGGCCACTAACATAACGGCAGTCAGCCCTTCTCTCTAGGAAAGAGACCAGATGGAGGAAACAGAGCCCTGTGTACTCATCAACTTAGACCTTCATTTATAAATATGAATGATAGCCCAGGATCATCAGACACTAAGAAAACCAATAGCTGGAAAAAGAAGAGCCAAGATGAGCAGACAATGGATTTGGATGAAACTTGGAATTTAAAGAATAGAAGAATACATAAAATGTATTTTAATCAATGATTCCAGAAGTGAATAAAATAAGAACAGATCACTATCCAAAAGAAGCAATGAGAGAAAGAGACTTTTTATTCTTTTTAGTTTTTATTTTTTTAAATTTTATTTTAGGTTCAGGAGTACATGTGCAGGTTTGTTATATAGGTAAATTGCATGTCACAGAGGTTTGGTGTACAGATTATTTTGTCACCCAGGAAATAAGTATAGTACCCAATAGGTAGGTTTTCTGTCCTCACCCTCCTTCCACCCTCCACCCTCAGGTAGGCCTTGGGTCTGTTGTTCCCTTCTTTGTGTCCATATGTACTCAATGTTTAGCTCTCACTTATAAGCAAGAATATGTAGTATTTGGTTTTCTGTCCCTGTGTTAGTTTGTTTACGATAATGACCTCCAGCTCCATCCATGTTGCTGCAAAGGACATGACCTTTTTCTTTTTTTTGGGCTGAGTAGTATTACTTTGTGTATCTATACCACATTTTCTTTATCCAGTCTACCATTGATGAACTTTTAGGTTGATTCTCTGTCTTTACTATTGTGAATAATGCTGTGATGAACATAAGCATGCATGTGTCTTTGTGGTAGAATAACTTATATTCCTTTAGGTATATACCAAATTGTGTGATTGCTAGGTTGAATGGTAATTCTGTTTTAAGTTCTTTGAGAAATCATTATCTCCCATTGTGTAGGTTGTCCATTTACTCTGTTGATAGTTTATGTTGCTGTGCAGAAGTTCTTTAGTTTAATTAGATCCCATTTGTTAATTTTTGCTTTTATTGCATTGCTTTTGCCATCTTCATCATGAAATCTTTGCGAAGTCCTATGTCTAGAATGGTATTTCCTAGGTTGTCTTCCGTGGTTTTCATAGTTTTAGGTTTCACATTTAAATCTTTAATCCATCTTGAGTTGATTTTTGTATGTGGTGAAAGGAAGGGGCCAAGTTTCAATCTTCTGCATATGGCTAGCCAGTTATCCCAACACCATTTATTCAATAGGGAGTCCTTTCCCCATTGCTTGTTTTTGTTGACCTTGTCAAAGATCAGAGAGTTGTGGTTGTATGGCTTTATTTCTGGGTTCTCTGTTGTGTTCCATTGGTCTCTCTG
Source organism: Homo sapiens (assembly GCF_000001405.40). Taxonomy (NCBI): domain Eukaryota; kingdom Metazoa; phylum Chordata; class Mammalia; order Primates; family Hominidae; genus Homo; species Homo sapiens. The sequence goes on along the minus strand of NC_000002.12, from coordinate 63,524,403 downwards.
TCTGTTTTTGTACTAGTACCATGCTGTTTGGTTACTGTAGCCTTGTATTATAGTTGGAGGTCAGGTAGTGTGATGCTTCTGGCTTTGTTCTTTTTGCTTAGATTGCTTTGGCTATTCTTTTTTGGTTCCATATGAATTTTAGAATAGCTTTTCCCAGCTCTGTAAAAAATTGTCATTGGTAGTTTGATAGGAATAGCACTGAATCTGAACATTGCTTATGGGCAGTATGGCCATTTTAACAATATTTCCTATCTGCAAGCATGGAATATTTTTTCATTTGTTTGTGTCATCTCTGATTTGTTTGAGAAGTGTTTTGCAATTCTCATTGTGGAGGTGTTCCACTTCTCTGGTCAGCTTTATTCCTAGGTATTTTATTCTTTTTGTGTCTATTGTGAATGGGATTGCATTTTTGATTTGGCTCTCAGGTTGGATGTTTTTGGTGTGTAGGAATGCTACTGATTTTTATACATTGCTTTTTATTTTTATTTTTTTGAGACAGAGTTTCACTCTTGTTGCCCAGACTGGAGTGCAATTGTGCGATCTTGGCTCACCACAACCTCCACCTCCTGGGTTCAAGCAATTCTCCTGCCTCAGCCTCCCGAGTAGCTGGGATTACAGGCATGTGCCACCATGCCCAGCGAATTTTGTATTTTTATTCGAGATGGCGTTTTGCCACATTGGCCAAACTGGTCTCGAACTCCTGACCTCAGATGATCCGCCCACCGCGGCCTCTCAAAGTGCTGGGATTACAGGTGTGAGCCACTGCGCCCAGCCTGTTGATTGCCTTTGTATCCTGAAACTTGCCCAAGTTGTTTATCAGATCAAGGAGCTTTTGGGCAGGGACCATGGAGTTTTCTAGGTATAGAATCATATCATCTGCCAACAGGAATATTTTGACTTCCTCTCTTCCTATTTGGATGCATTTTATTTCTTTCTCTTGTCTGATTGCTCTGGCTATGACTTCCATTGCTATGTTTAATAGGAGTGGTGACAGATGACATCCTTGTCTCCTGGTTTTCAAGGAGAATGCTTCCAGCTTTTGCCCATTCAGTATGATGCTGGCTGTGGGTTTGTCATAAATGGCCCTTATTATTGTGAGGTACATTCTTTTGATGCCTAGTTTGTTGAGAGTTTTTAACATGAAGGTATGTTGACTTTTATGGAAAGCCTTTTCTGCATTTATTGAGATGATCATGTGGTTTTCATTGTTAGCTGTTTATGTGATGAATCACATTTAGTAAATTTACATATGTTGAACCAATCTTGCATCCTAGGGATGATGCCTACTTGATTGTGGTGGATTAGCTTTATGATGTGCTGCTGGATTTTGTGTGCTAGTATTTTGTTGAGGATTTTTGTGTCTCTGTTCATCAAGGATATTGGCCTGAAGTTTTCTTTTTTGTGTGTGTCTCTGCCAGGCGTTGGTATCAGGATGATGCTGGCCTCATAGAATGAGTTAAAGAAGAATCCCTTCTCAGTTTTTGGAGAAATTTCAGAAGGAATGGTACTAGCCCTTCTTTGTACATTTAGTAGAATTTAGCAGTGAATCTGTCTGGTCTAGGGTCTTTTCTGGTGGGTAGGTTTTTTATTACTGATTCAATTTTGAAACTACTTATTGGTCTTTCCAGGGATTTAGTTTCTTCCTGGTTCAGCCTTGGGAGGTTGTATGTTCTCAAGAAGTTACTCATTTCTGGTAGATTTCCTAGCTGTGTTCATAGAGGTGTTCATAATAGTCTCTGAGGGTTTTTGGTATTTCTGTGGGGCAAGTGGTGACATCCTTTTTGTCATTCGTGATTGTGTTTATTTAGATCTTCTCTCTTTTTCTTTATTAGTCTAGCTAGTGGTCTATCTATCTTATTAATTCTTTCAAGGAACCAGCTCCTGGATTCATTGATCTTTTGTATGTTTGTGTGTGTGTGTGTGTGTGTGTGTGTGTGTGTGTGTGTGTCTGTCTGTCTGTCTGTCTTGATTTCCTTTAGTTCAGCTCTGATTTTGGTTATTTCTTGTCTTCCGCTAGCTTTGGGGTTTGTTTGCTCTTGTTTCTCTAGTTCCTCTAGGTGTGATGTTAGGTTGTTAATTTGAGATCTTTTTAACTTTTTGATGTGGGTGTTTAGTCTTATAAACTTCCCATTTAGCATGTTTTCACTCATAAGTGGAAGTTGAACAATGAGAACACATCGACACAGGGAGGGGAACATCACCTGCCGGGGGGTGGGGGGCTAGAGGAGGGATAGCATTAGAAGAAATACCTAATGTAGATGACAGGTTGATGGGTGCAGCAAACCACCATGGCACGTGTATACCTATGTAACAAGCATGCACATTCTATACATGTATCCCAAAACTTAAAGTATTAAAAAAACCAAAAAAAATTGCTTTGGCTGTGTCCCAGAGATTTTGGTATGTTGTATCTTTGTTCTCATTAGTTTCAAAGACCCCCTGATTTCTGCCTTAATTTCACTGTTTACCAAGAAGTCATTCAGGAACAGGTTGTTTAATTTCCATGCAATTGTGTAGTTTTGAGTGATTTTCTCAGCAATAATTTCTATTTTTATTGCGCTGTGGCCCGAGAGTGTGGTTGCTGTAATTTTGGTGTTTTTTAATTTGCTGAGGGTTGTTTTATGCCCGATTGGGTGGTCAGTTTTAGAGTATGTGCTATGCCCAGATGAGAGAAATGTATATTCATTCTTTTGGTTTTGGGTGGAGAGTTCTGTAGATGTCTATTAGGTCCCTTTGGTCCAGTGTTGAGTTCAGGTCCCAAATATCTTTGTTAGTTTTCTGCCTTGATGATCTGTCTAATACTGTCAATGGGGTGTTGAAGTCTCCCAGTATTATTGTGTGTTTATCTAAGTCTCTTTGTAGATTTCTAAGAACTTTACTTTATGAATCTGGGTGCTCCTGTATGGGGTGTGTATTGAGCCTTTTACCATTATGTAATGCCCTTCTTTGTCTTTTTTGATTTTTGTTGATTTAAAGTTTGTTTTGTCTGAAATTAGATAGCAACCCCCTGCTTTCTTCTGTTTTCCATTTGTTTGGTAGATTTTTCTCCATCCCTTTACTTTGAGCTTATGGGTCTAATGCCATGTGAGACGAGTTTCTTGAAGACAGCATATCATTGGGTTTTGCTTCTTATCCAAGCTGCCACTCTATGCCTTTTAATTAGGGCATTTAGCATGTTTACATTCAAGGTTGGTATAGATATGTGTGGATTTGATTCTGTCATGTTGTTAGCTGGTTATTATGCAGATTTGTTGGTGTGGTTGCCTTATAGTATCACTGGTCTATGAGTTTAAATGTGGTTTTGTAGTGGCTGGTGACAGTCTTTCCTTTCCATATTTAACACTCCCTTTAGGACCTCTTGTAAGGCAGGTCTGGGGGTAACAAAATTCCAAATTCCCTTAGAGTTTGCTTGTCTGAAGAGGATCTTATTTGTCCTTTGAGTATCAAACTTAGTTTGGCTGGATATAAAATTCTTGGTTGAAAAATCTTTTTTTTTTTTTTTTTTTTGAGATAGGGTCTCACTCCATTGCCCAGGCTGATGTGCCGTGGCACAATCATGGCTCACTGCAGCTTTGACCTCCCCAGGCTCATGTGATCCTCCCACCTCAGCCTTCTGAGTAGCTGGGACCACAGGTGCATCCCACCATACCTGGCTATTTTTTTATTTTTATTTTTGTAGAGATGGGATTTTGCCATGTTGCCCAGGCTGGTCTCAAACTCCTGGGCTCAAGTGATCCATCCATCTTGGCCTCCCAGAGTGCTGGGATTACAGGTGTGAGCCATCACGCCTGGATGAAAATTCTTTTTTTAAAAAATGCTTAATGTAGGCATCCAATCTCTTCTGGTTTGTAGGGCCTTTGCTGACAGATCTGCAGTAAGCCTGAATGGGATCCCTTTCTAGGTGACCTGCTCCTTCTCTCTAGCTGCCTTTAACATTTTTTCTTTCATTTTGACCTTGGAGAATCTGATGACTATTTGTCTTTGGGATGATCTTCTTGGGTAGTATTCTGCAGGAGTTCTGTGCATTTTCTGAATTTGAATGTTGGCCTCTCTAGTGAGGTTGGGGAAATTTTCATGGATGATATCTTGAAATGTGTTTTCCAAGTTGCTAGGTTTCCCTTCCTCCCTTTCAGAGATGCCAGTGAGTTGTAGATTTGGTCTCTTTATATAATCCCATATTTCTTGGAGGTTTTGTTCATTCTTTTTTATTGCTTTTTTCTTTATTTTTGTCTGACTGAGTTATTTTGGAGAACCAGTCTTCAAGCTCTGAGATTCTTTCCTCAGTTTGGTTGATTCTTCTGTTAATATTTGTGATTTAATTATGAAATTCCTGTAGTGTGTTTTTCAGCTCTGTCAGATCAGTTTGGTCTTTCTTACAATGGCCATTTCACTCATCAGCTCCTGTATTGTTTTATTATAATCTTAATACTCCTTGGATTGGGTTTTGACTTTCTCCTGAATGTTGATAATCTTTATTCCTATCCATATTCTGAATTCTGTATCTGTCATTTTAGCTAGTTCAGCTTGGTTAAGAACCATTGCTGGGGAACTAGTATGATGATTTGGAGGTAAGAAGACACTGTTTTTTTGAGTTGCCATTTTTTGTGCTGATTCTTTCTCATCTTTGTGGGCTGATGTTCCTTCAATCTTTGAAGTTGCTGACTTTTGATTTTTTTTTTCTTTTATCCTCCTTGATGTCCTTGGGGGTTTGTCTTGTGGTGTAAGGTGGGTTCAGTTGACTTCTGGATAATTTTAGGGGCCCAAGGCTCAGCTCCTGATTCCTGGGCTGCATGCTCTGACTCTGGGGAGCTGGTATCAGGCCCCCAGATTTGTTCTCTCACCCCTTGAGGTTAGGAAACTTCTGTGCTGGAGGGGCTGAGGTGTTCCAGACTACTGATCACTAATGGTGGTGCCAGCCAAAGCTCTTTGGGCAGTGTCAGTGGGATCCATGCCCGTTTGCATTTGCCAGCCACATGGCAGCATGTACTCTCACAGTCTGTGGCAGGGCACTGGCAAGTGCAGGAGTGCCAGCCTCTCTGTGGGCATTTGCAACAGTGGTGATATTGGCATGGGGGTGACCCAGGGCACTGGCAGGTGTGGGGTTGGGATTCTCCATGCCAATGTTCCTGCGGGTGGCAGTGGCTCTGCAGGGCAGAGGGCAGGGCTACTGGTCTCTGTGCGCAGGTTTACAGTAATGGTCGACATGGGGCGGGGCGCTAGTGGAAAAGAGTCTGGTGATCTCTTTGTGCATGAACGTGCTGGTGACAATGATGGTGCAGTTTGGGGGCTGGGGCAACTGGTTTCCTTGTGTGCCTTTAGGTTGGCAATAGCAACATGGGGGGGGGGTGGCAGGATGTGCACATGCTGACAGTGGTGGTACAGTGGGTGCATGTGTACCATGCACTGGCAGTGAATGGGAGGTGAGGTTTGCCCAGGTGCACATGTACCAGCAAAGTGATATGGGGGTGGCCATGGGCGAAGGGGAGTCTGTGGGTGGGAGGTGGGCATGAGCAGGTTAGTGTGCATTTGTGGGGGCCGCTCTGCTGGAGTGCTCTAATGGTCAGATCCAGTTTGCCCCTGCAAGAGCTATGATGCGAGCCCACGTGGTACCCTAGTGGGGTATCCAAGGCTGCACTGTAAGCAGGCGTGGTCAGGCTGGGGCCCCAGGAGAGGCCAGGTGAAGGGGGCTGCTCAGGTTGGACTGGCCCTGTCTCATGGGCAAGATTGTCCTGCACTGTTCAGGTCTGACAGTTCCCCTAAGGCTAAAGTCTCCTAGGGGTGCCTGGTGAGCTTTGCGGGGTGTGGGCATCCATGGCCATGCTCCACTACAGATGTTCCCACACCAAACCCTCTGGGCTCCCCACTGGCTTTAGTTCTGCCCCTACCACTCCTGTATGCAGCTCTCCCTGCCAGTTCAAGTGTCTGTGGGGATTATGGGGCCTCCTGCTACCAGAATTCCAGAGGTTCCTGGTGAAAGCAGATGACCATTTACCTGCTCAACTCACCCTGTCTCTAGGAGTCACTGGGGACCAGGAACAGGTCCTGGTGTTGGTAGCCATGTGCTGTGTTCCCAGCTTCCTTCCCCTTCAGATCAGGATTTGTGTCTTCCCTCTGTCCACTCCCAGTGCCATCCCTTCATCCACCCAATGCCTTCCCTCTGAAGATCAGAAAGAGGTCTTTGAAATTAAAAATATAATTTTTTAAAATATGAAACTAGGCCAGGCGTGGTGGCTCATACTCATAATCCCAGCACTTTGGGAGGCCGAGGCGGGTGGATCACTTGAGGTCAGGGGTTCGAGACCAGCCTGGCCAACGTGGTGAAACCCCATCTCTACTAAAAGTACAAAATTAGCTGGGTGTGATGGCACATGCCTGTAGTCCCAGCTACTCGGGAGGCTGAGACAGGAGAATCGCTTGAACTTGGGAGGCAGAGGTTGTAGCGAGCTGAGATCACACCGCTGCACTCCAGTCTGGGCAAGACAGAGGGAGACTCATCTCAAAAACAAACAAACAAAAAGAAAAGAAAGAAACTAAAAATAATGCTGTGTGTGTGTGTATGTACATAGAGAGCAAAACAATGTAACAGATCTAACTACAGATTGAAGTAGTAATATGACATGTAAAACAAAGAAACATTTACAGATTTAAAGCTAAAAGACAAAATGTGACAGGGAAGTTGAGACTTAGAAGGGCCATCCTGTAAATGCAATACAACTAGAAATTAAGAAATAAAGGATGGCTTCCTGCATCTAACCTAAGGCCTTAGGGAACTATTCATATTAGTGGTTGGAATGGGGCCCTGGACCTTGCTTCAACCAGTCTTTACTTGTACAAGTTTTATATATTGGAGTCTTATATAATGTTTTATTATAAGAAAAAGTGTTCTGCTAGAAAAAATGTTTGAAAACTATTCATCTGTGGGATACATTTAGACTTATTGCATTTTATCCTAGGTTCTTTATAATTTCACCCCAATTTGTCTTTTTTGGGGTAATAAAGGGAGATTATGTACAAGAGACAGGCAGAGGCAATCTCACATGGGTATATAAGCCAGTATAAGGACTTGAAACATAGGAAATGAAAATCTTTTGAAGGGCCTTAGACAAATGATCTAATTCATATATTTAAAATATACTTTTTATTAAATATTATACATAATATATGAACATATAAAAGTGTTATATTTTTATAGGAAATGGATTATAGGTACTCAAAAGTCAAAACGGGAGTCTAGTCAGAAAGCTATTGAAGTGCTCTAGGCAAGATAAGATGAGGGCATAAACTACAGTGGTAATAGTAGAGATGAAGAAATAGAAAGATTAGGATGTAGTTTAGAAGAAGACGAGCCAAGAAGGGAAAAGAGGACATGAAGTGGTGACGGATAGTGAGATAGAGTTCAAAGGGTAGGTTTTTGTTTTTCTTTTTTTCTCTTTCACTTCTTTCTCCCACCTTCTTCCCTACCTCCCTGTTTCTCTCCCTGTCCTCATCCCCCTATATAAAAGAGTAAGCAATTTTATGTAGCCACCATGTTGCTGGGAAAGGAAAAAGAGTTTGTGTTAAGAGTGGGAAGATTGCTCACATTTAAGATGCATTACTCATATTTTAGAAAAGAATATCAGAACTTTAAAAAAAAACCCATTATCCTCACAGTTTCTGTGCATCAGGTATTTGAGAATGGACCAGATAGGCCATTGTGGCTCAAGATTTCCTATGAGGTGGCAGTCATCTGAATGCTGGCCTGGAGCTGGTGGATTTCCATCCAAGGTGGCTCATTCACATGGCTGACAATGATGTGCTGGTCATTGGCAAGAGTCCAGCATCCCCTCCTCTTCACATGGGCTTCCCCACAGGCTGTTTGAGTGTCCACAACACAGTGGCTGGCTACCCCTCTCACTCTGGTCAGAGGAGACAGGTGTGTGTGAATGAAGGCTCTGAGCCTCACAGAGGGCTGTAGCAGCCCCATCATGAGGCAAAGTAGTCAGAACTTTAAAAGTAGGTAGAAGAAATAAGACTAGTGTTTAATAAATCAGTAGAGTGACTAAATAATCTATTGTATATTTCAAAATAGCTAGTAGAGAATAATTTGAATGTTCTCAGCATAAAGAAAAGATAAATTTTGAGGGTGATGGGTATCCCATTTACCCTGACTTGATTATTACACATTTATGAATGTATTGCAATATCACATGTACCCCAAAATATGTCTATTATGTGTCAAAAAATTGTTCTAAATACCTTACAATGAAGGAAGCATGTAGTGACAAAATGATGGGCTTTGGAATTAGACAGATTTGTGTTAAAAATATAGCTACATCACTTTTCCACTTTATAAAGTAGGGAAATACTACCTTATATGGTGATTAGAAAATCTTTTTTTTTTTTTTGAAATGGAGTCTGGCTGTATCGCACAGGCTGGAGTGCAATAGCGTGATCTTGGCTCACTGCAACCTCCGTATCCTGGGTTCAAGCGATTCTCCTGCCTCAGCCTCCCAAGTAGCTGGGATTACAGACGTGCACCACCACGCCCAGCTAATTTTTGTATTTTTAGTAGAGATGAGGTTTCACCATGTTGACCAGGCTGGTCTCGAACTCCTGGCCTCAAGTGATCTGCCTGCCTCGGCCTCCCGAAGTGCTGGGATTATAGGCGTGAGCCACTGTGCCCAGCGGTGATTATAGAATCTAAATGAGAAAATGCATGTAAAGCATTCAACACATAGTAGGGGCTCTATAAATAACTGAGAAGAGAACTTTCTCCTTGATCAAACATAAAATGGTAACATTAAAAGTTTTGGCGATTTTCCAAATTTGCCAAGATTTAGAAACAAATAAATGCAATCTCTAAAGGCAAATTGCACTTTTCCTAGCACAATCAGTTATTTAAATTATAAGTGAGAGGTTAACAACACCTCACACAAATGCAGTTTTTAGGAATTGACCATTTCTTTGTAACAGCATTCAACCTTTTATTGAGCATCTTTAATAGAAAGTACTTTTGAGTGTGCCACATATTGGATAACGTGCAAGTCACACAATGAAGTTTATATTTGAGATAACTAAATCATGTTCAGATATCAATTTTGTAAATTAGGCACTTTACGTAAGTCTAAATTGGAGTGTTCATCAAAAGAGAATGTATAGTTATCAGTGCTTGTGCCAAATCTACCACACACTCATATGTATTAAGCTGTACCAGAAGAAATTAATACTCCTCTGGTATAGCTTACTGTAAAGCTTTTAATTTATAAATATATTAAAATATTTTACAGTTAAAATATGTATATCATCTAATTTTCATTAGAAAATAACTGACAAACAGTATTTATTACCTATTGAAAAAATGGCAAACTGTCCTTTGAATACCTAGACATCTTCTCATTGGCTGGAACCAACTGTGATGATTTACAGACACACAGCTGCAGCCTGAATTGGCACCAAAACCAATTACTGATGCTGTGTTATTTGCAGCCCTGGCCCTGGCTAATTTTTCTTGAAAGGAGGGTATGGGAAGAGAGGTTGCAAATACAGGAGTGGCAAGAATAATTGATAGTTCATATCTATTCTGTCTTAAAATATAAACCCTCCCTTTGTCTTGAGAATCCTCTAGCTATCACTCTCTCTCTATCCACATCTGTGGCTTCAATTGCAGGGTTGGCTCCTAAACCCGTATTTTCATTCCAGATCTAACTCCTGAGCTCTATATCTGTATTTAGGTGTTTAACGTCTATCTAGAGCTATAACTTAGCCTGCCATTCTACAGAGCATGTAACTCCTAAATAATAAATGCTAACTGTGGGCAGCCCAGCAGTTTTGTACCTATTTTTAAGTGCCAGGTGACATCATGGAATGTTGCAAAGCCAAAGTGCTGAATTATCCTGGAAAAATTCCTGGTTGCACTTCTAATAGAAAATATTCTTTCATGGAAAGTGCCTGTCAAGGTAATATGATTAGCTGTATCAATGGTGCAACCCATGTAGTTAAACGGACCATCAGTTTGAAGGAAGGATAAGGGATGCTCACCAAGACATTAAAGGCATTAGCACAGGAGAGGGCAAAGCACCTGGGATGAGGCATTTACTCAGTGTTCACTGCTATTCCCATCTTCTAATGTGTTCTGAGTGAACTTGGTAGGAGGTGGGGCACTTAAAAAAATCCATATAGCCCATATATATAGTATAAAAGGCCAAAGAGTTCTACAAGGCTCATTACTAGCAACAGCATTCATCTTTCCCAGCTCTCTCCAGAGGCAACCAATTTTAATTCTTCAGTTATTTCTTCTGGTATTTGCTTCCATGTTTATAAACAACATGCATATACTTATTTCATCATTTTTAAAATTTTAATTTTTAACCGATTACCTTCTTACTTTGAAAGAAGAGAACTTAACTCTGGAGAGAGAGCAAGGGGTGATACTTTTCCTCACCCATTATAAGAGTTATAGCCAACACTCCTTTAACAAAGGACAGGTAAACAAGAGAAAAGCACAGTAAATTTATTTAACCAAAAGTCTTATGTGACACAAGAGCTTTCAGAAATGAAGACCTAAGGATCCAGGGAAAACTGTCTATTTTCATGCTTAGGTTCAATGAAGAATGGACAGTTGTGTAGAAATGTGACTGGACATAGTGGGGAATAATGGTAATAGACTGAGAGGGGAAACCCAGCAAGGCTTGTCTGTTCAGATTTATCTTGGCCTCTCTGTGTAGCATTCCTTCCTTAGAAGTATGGGGCAGGACCCCTGTGGAATGAGGGTCTTCAAGAGAGAAAGGAGATAGTAACCTTTCTAGGTTTTATGGCTTGCTTTGAGGCAGAGGAGTTCTAGTGTCTATGACACTTGAGGAAGAGGAATTCTGGTTTCCGTGAATCACTTTTGGGGGAAAAAGAGGAGGGAGACAGGAGAGCAGTAGAACGTCTGAGATACCTTGCTTCAGAGACCTTCAAATCCCCTTTAAAGTGCTCAGCATGCCAGAGTGCCATACTCTGGGGTCTAGTGGTCTGAGCCTCAACAACCCCTACTTCAGCACTCATCCTCTCCCCAACATACTTCCTTTCTCCCCTCCAACATGGTTATGCCACCATTTTTGGTTAATCAATATTGTATGTTTACATTTTTCTAACGATGTAAATATTCAAAGCAAAGCCCATATAATCATGTAGCATACTATATTTTTTGTACAACTTTTTTCTCTGCAGTAAATAATTGCCTTTACTTTTTAAATGTGCTTTTTTAATAGACCTATTATTTCTTCATTCCCAACTTCCCCAGAAGTGTAAGTCTTCTTTAAGTAAGTTCAGAAGCCTCAGGCCTCTATTACTCTGTAAATTTTATTTTTCCTTGAAGCTATCCCTCTGAAACTTCTTTGCTCTCCTGCTTAAACCTGAATTTACTGTCTTCCTCATGAGACACAGATATCCTTGTAGGATTTCCTTTCATCATTATTCTGGAAATTCTTTTTTCTTTGTTCTTGTGTTGAATCCCTTATTTCCTGGATTCTTTTTTTTTTTAATTTTTAAAAATTATACTTTAAGTTCTGGGATACATGTGCAGAACGTGCGGTTTGTTACATAGGTATACATGTGCCATGGTGGTTTGCTGAACCCATCAACCCATCATCTACATTAGGTATTTCTCCTAATGCTATCCCTCCCCTTGCCCCCCAACTCCCAACAGGCCCCAGTGTGTGACGTTCCCCTCCCTGTGCCCATATGTTCTCATTGTTCAACTCCTACTTACGAGTGAGAACATGAGGTGTTTGGTTTTCTTTTGCTGTGTTAGTTTGCTGAGAATGATGGTTTCCAGTTTCATCTATGCCCCTGCAAAGGACATAAACTCATTAGTTTTTTATGGCTGCATAATATTCCATGGTATATATGTGCCACATTTTCTTCATCCAGTCTAACATTGATGGGCATTTGTGTTGGTTCCAAGTCTTTGTTATTGTGAATAGTGCTGCAATAAACATAGATGTGCATATGTCTTTATAGTAGAATGATTTATAATCCTTTGGGTATATATCCAGTAATGGGATTGCTGGATCACATGGTATTTCTAGTTCTAGATCCTTGAGGAATCGCCACACTGTCTGACACAGTGACTGAACTAATTTACACTCCCACCAACAGTGTAAAAGCGTTCCTGTTTCTCCACATACTCTCTAGTATCTGTTGTTTCCTGACTTTTTAATGATTGCTATCCTAACTGGCGTAAGATAGTATCTCATTGTGGTTTTGATTTGCATTTGTTTGATAACCAGTGATGATGAGCTTTTTTTCATATGTTTGTTGGCTGCATAAATGTCTTCTTTTGAAAAGTGTCTGTTTATATCATTTGCCCACTTTTTGATGGGGTTACTTTTTTCTTGTAAATTTAAGTTCTTTGTAGATTCTGGATATTAGCCCTTTGTCAGATGGATAGATTGCAAAAATTTTCCCCCATTCTGTAGGTTGCCTGTTCACTCTGATGATAGTTTCTTTTGCTATGCAGAAGCTCTTTAGTTTAATTAGATCCCATTTGTCAATTTTGACTTTTGTTGCAATTGCTTGTAGTGTTTTAGTCATGAAGTCTTTGCCCATGCCTATGTCCTGAATGGTATTGCCTATGTTTTCTTCTAGGGTTTTCATAGTTTTAGGTCTTACGTTTAAATCTTTAATCCATCATGAGTTAATTTTTGTATAAGGTGTAAGGAAGTGGTCCAGTTTCAGTTTTCTGCATATGGCTAGCCAGTTTTCCCAGCACCATTTATTAAATAGGGAATCCTTTCCCCATTGCTTGTTTTTGTCAGGTTTGTCAAAGACCAGATGGTTGTAGATGTGTAGTATTATTTCTGAGGCCTCTGTTCTGTTCCATAGGTCTATATATCTGCTTTGGTACCAGTACCATGCTGTTTTGGTTATTGCAGCCTTGTAGTATAGTTTGAAGTCAGGTAGCATGATGCCTTCAGCTTTGTTCTTTTTGCTTAGGATTGTCTTGGCTCTACGGGCTCTTTTTTGGTTCCATATGAAATTTAAAGTAGTAGTTTTCTAATTCTGTGAAGAAAGTCAATGGTAGCTTGATGGGAATACCATTGAATCTATAAATTACTTTGGGAAGTATGGCCATTTTCATGATATTGATTCTTTCCATCCATGAGCATGGAATGTTTTTCCATTTGTTTGTGTCCTCTCTGATTTCCTTGAGCAGTGATTTGTAGTTCTTCTTGAAGAGGTCCTTCACATTCCTTGTAAGTTGTATTCCCAGGTATTTTATTCTCTTTGTAGCAATTGTGAATGGGGGTTTGCTCATGATTTGGCTGTTTGTCTATTACTGTTGCATAGGAATGCTTGTGACTTTTGCACATTGATTTTGTATCCTGAGACTTTGCTGAAGTTGCTTATCAGCTTAAGGAGATTTTGGGCTGAGATGATGGGGTTTTATTTATTTATCTATTTTTTGAGACGGTGTCTTGCTCTGTCATCCAGGCTGGAGTGTAGTGGCTTGATCTCAGCTCACTGTAACCTCCACCTCTCAGGTTCATGCCATTCTCCTACCTCAGCCTCCCAAGTAGCTGGGACTACAGGCACCCGCCACCACGCCTGGTGAATTTTTTTTGGTATTTTTTAGTAGAGACAGGGTTTGCCATGTTGGCCAGGCTGGTCTTGAGTACCTGAACTTGTGATCTGCCTGCTTTGGGCTCCCAACCTGTTGGGATTACAGGCGTGAGCCACCATGCCAAGCCAGATGATGGGGTTTTCTAAATATACAATCATGTCATCTGCAAACAGAGATAATTTGATTTCCTCTCTTCCTATTTGAATACGCTTTATTTCTTTCTTTTTCCTGATAGCCCTGGCCAGAACTTCCAATACTGTGTTGAATAGGAGTGGTGAGAGAGGGCATCCTTGTCTTGTGCCGGTTTTCAAAGGGAATGCATCCAGCTTTTGCCCATTCAGTATGATACTGGTTGTGGATTTGTCATAAATAGCTCTTGTTATTTTGAGATGTGTTTCACCAATACCTAGTTTATTAAGTGTTCTTAGCGTGGAGGAGTGTTGAATTTTATCAAAGGCCTTTTCTGCATCTATTGAGATAATTATGTGGTTTTTGTCATTGGTTTTGTTTATGTGATGAATTATGCTTATTGATTTGTGTATGTTGAACCAGGCTTGCATCCCAGGGAGGAAGCCGACTTGATCGTGGTGGATAATCTTTTTAATGTGCTGCTGGATTCGGTTTGCCAGTATTTGTATAAGGATTTTTGCATTGATGTTCATCAGAGATATTGGCCTGAAATTTTCTTTTTTTGTTGTGTCTCTGCCAGGTTTTCGTATGAGGATGATGCTGGCCTCATAAAATGAGAGGGAGGAGTTGCTTTTTTTTTCTGTTGTTTGGAATAGTTTCAGAAGGAATGGTACCAGCTCCTCTTTGTACCTCTGGTAGAATTCGGCTGTGAATCCATCTGGTCCTTGGCTTTTTTTGGTTGGTAGACTATATATTACTGCCTCAATTTCAGAACTTGTTTTTGGTCTGTTCAGGGATTCAACTTCTTCCTGGTTTAGTCTTGGGAGGGTATATGTGTCTAGGAATTTATCCATTTCTTCTAGATTTTCTAGTTTATTTGTGTAGAGGTGTTTATAGTATTCTCTGATGGTAGTTTGTATTTCTGTGGGATCAGTAGTGATCTTCCCTTTATCTTTTTTTATTGTGTCTATTTGATTCTTCTCTCTTTTCTCCTTTATTATTCTGGCTAGTGGTCTATCTATTTTGTTACTGCTTTCAAAAAAACCAGCTCCTGGATTCACTGATTTTTTGAAGGGTTTTTTGTGTCTCTATCTCCTTCAATTCTGCTCTGATCTTAGTTATTTCTTGTCTTCTGTTAGCTTTTGAATTTGTTTGCTCTTCTCTAATTATTTTAATTGTGATGTTAGGGTGTCAGTTTTCGATCTTTCCTGCTTTCTCTTGTGGGCATGTAGTGCTATAAATTTTCCTCTAAACACTGGTTTAGCTGTGTCCCAGAGATTCTGGTACATTGCATCTTTGTTCTTACTGGTTTCAAAGAACTTATTTATTTCTGCCTTAATTTTGTTATTTACCCAGTAGACATTCAGGAGCAGGTTGTTCAGTTTCCATGTAGTTGTGCGGTTTTGAGTGAGTTTCTTAATCCTGAGTTCTAATTTGATTGCATTGTGGTCTGATAAACTGTTTGTTTTGATTTCCATTCTTTTGCATTTGCTGAGGAGTGTTTTACTTCCAATTATGTGGTTAATTTTAGAATAAGGGCTATGTGGTGCTGAGAAGAATGTGTATTCTGTTGACTTGGGGTGGAGAGTTCTGTAGATGTCTATTAGGTCCGCTTGGTCCAGAGGTGAGTTCAAGTCCTGTATATCCTTGTTAATTTTCTGTCTTGTTGATGTGCCTAATATTGACAGTGGGATGTTAAAGTCTCCCACTATGATTGTGTGGGAGTCTAAGTCTCTTTGTAGGTCTCTAAGAACTTGCTTTATAAATCTGAGTGCTCCTGTACTGGGTGCATATATATTTAGGATAGTTAGCTCTTCTTGATGAATTCAACCCTTTACCATTATGTAATGCCCTTCTTTGTCTTTTTTGATCTTTGTTGGTTTAAAGTCTGTTTTGTCAGAGACTAGGATTGCAACCCCTGCTTTTTTTGCTTTCCATTTGCTTGGTAAATATTCCTGCATCCCTTTATTTTGAGCCTATGTGTGTCTTTGCATGTGAGATGGGTCTCCTGAACACAGCACACTGATGGGTCCTGTCTCTATTCAGTTTGCCAGTCTGTGCCCTTTAATTGGAGCATTTGGCCAGTTTACAGTTAAGGGTAATATTGTTATGTGTGAATTTGATCCTGTCATTATGATGTTAGCTGGTTATTTTGCCCATTAGTTGATGCAGTTTCTTGATAGTGTCAATGGTCTCTAGATTTTGCTTTGTTTTTGCAGTGGCTGGTACTGGTTTTTCCTTTCCATATTTAGTGCTTCCTTCAGGAGCTCTTGTAAGGTGGGCCTGGTGGTGACACAATCCCTCAGCATTTGCTTGTCTATAAAGGATTTTATTTCTCCTTCACTTATGAAGCTTAGTTTGGTTGCATATGAAATTCTGGGTTGAAAATTCTTTTCTTTAAGATAGTTGATTATTAGCCCCCAATCTCTTCTGGCTTGTAGGATTTCTGCAGAGAGATCCGCTGTTAGCCTGATAGGCTTTCCTTTGTGGGTAACCCGACCTTTCTGTTTGGCTTCCCTTAACGTTTTTTCCCTCATTTCAACCTTGGTGAATCTGACGATCATTTGTCTTGGGGTTGCTCTTCTCGAGGAGCATCTTTGTGGTGTTCTCTGTATTTCTTGAATTTGAATGTTGGCCTGTCTTGATAGGTTAGGGAAATTCTCCTGGATAATACCCTGAAGAGTGTTTTCCAACTTGCTCCCATTCTCCCCATCACTTTCAGGTACACCAATCAAATGTAGGCTTGGTCTTTTCACATAGTCCCATATTTCTTGCAGGCTTTGTTCGTTCCTTTTCATTCTTTTTTCTCTAATCTTGTCTTCACACTTTATTTCATTAAGTTGATCTTCAATCTCTGATATCCTTTCTTCCACTTGACCAATTTGGCTATTTATACTTGTGTATGCTTCATGAAGTTCTCGTGCTGTGTTTTTCAGCTCCATCAGGTCATTTATGTTCTTCTCTAAACTGGTTATTCTAGTTAGCAATTCCTCTAACCTTTTTTCAAGGTTTTTAGCTTCCTTGCATTGTGTTAGAACATGCCCCTTTAGCTCGGTGGAGTTTGTTAGTACCCACCTTCTGAAACCTATTTCTGTCAGTTTGTCAGACTAATTCTCCATCCAGTTTTGTTCCCTTCCTGGATTCTATATCATCCGCCTTCTTGGGTTTATTTCATCCTTTGGTGTGACACATCCTCCAGTAACTTCCTTAAAAATAATACATGATTGTTAATTTTTGAGACTTTGGTCCTCTGAATGTTTTTTTCTAACCTCACACTCAAGTGACAATTTGGCTAGATATAGAATTATAGGTAGGAAATAATTTTCTTTCAGAATTTGAAAGCACAACTCCTTTGTCTTCTAACAACTCCCAGTGTTGCGATTGAGAAAGTCTGTTGCCCTGATCCTTTTTATGTGACCTATTTTTTTTTTCCTTCTCTGCAAACTTTTACTATATTTTATTTATCTCCAGTATTTTGAGATTTCACAATAATATGCACAGGGATTGTATCTTTTGTAATTCATTGTATTGGGTACTTAGTGATTTCTTTCAACAGAGAAAATCATGTACTTCAGTTCTGGGGAATTTTCTTGCATTATTTCTTCATAATTTATTTCCTTCCATTGTCTCTGTTTTTTGTCTTAGTCTGATGTCTGACTAAGAATCACTGTGACTGATCACCCAAACTCCTTCTCTCTCTCTCTTTCTCTGTACGTTTCTTTTTTTCTTCTGGGAGACTTCTTCAAAAGTATCTTTCAAGTCTTCTTTTGTCTGTTTTTGTTTTGGCTCTCATATTTTTATTTCCAGGAGTTCCTTTTCTCCCTGTTTTCAGCATAGCCTTCTCACTCTCAGCAATGTTTTACTTCTAAAGATGCTCTGATATAACCTCTCACGAGTCCATTTTCAATTTTCTTCTGTGGTAGGGAGAGATCATTGGCCAACTGTGTTGGCAGGGAAGAGCACCTAGAATTCTAAGTATTATATCCACAGACTTTCAAACAGTTCTCTTGTTTTCAGTTCTAAGCAAAGCCATTTCTTCAGAAGTACTTGGTGCTTCCAGTTTCTGAGCTTTTCTAGGGTTCCAGTACGTGTGCTTTTTGACTTCCTCCACCCCGCCATTGGTACTTGCTTTCTGCTTTCTCAGATCTATTGTCAGTTATCTCTTGCCCATCTGCTTTTTACCCTCCAAAATTTTTATGACATCTGTTTTGTGGTTATCTTGCCACTAGTTCCTTTGCCTTTTTTTTTTCTCCTTTATCATTTTTGTGAGAGTTTGGGAGGGAGTGCAAATAACTACATGTGCTCAATCCCCCATCTTTTCTTGGATGGTCCTCTGTGTAGGACTTTGTATATGTTGCCAAGTTATTTGGAGCCGGTCTTGCTGCCAAAGGAAATCAAGCATTGGCATATACCATGTTTCCTTGCTTCTAATCTACTATTGGTTGTAAGGTACTGTTCATTTAGGTGCAAGTTTGATGAAAAAAAGCAACACTATATTAAATGTACACCTTGATTATAAGATACATAAAATTTCAGAAACTATCAAATGTGAATTACAGTGACTTTAGAATTAGTAAATTTGTGTGGATCACATGCTTGATATTCATTTTCTTTAAGGAAGTTTCAGGTTCTGAAAATGAATATATGATTTCTATTTTTATTGCGATAGAGATTTTGTTAAATGCTAGAAATTTTAACTCTCTTCTTTGTACTAAATTCCTGGACATGGTTCTGTTTTATTTGCCATACTCTGATGTAATTGTATTCATTATTTTTCTCCTCCATCCCAAGCTCCCCACTAAGTTTTGATATCCTCAAGAACAAGTTCTTTGGTTTGTTAACTTCATATTGTGAATGCCTAGCATGGTGCCACTCAGTGGTTGCACTTAGTAGATGCTTTGTAAATGTAGGTTGAATCATACTAAAAATAATTAGAAGATAAAATGATATCCAGTGAAACTCCTTTTTTTCAGGTAGGTATTTTTGAGATCAGACTCATTATTTTAAGGATATTGAATGTTCATGAAAGAGAAGCACATTTATTGAACAGTTATTTGCCACAAATTTTCAAATATGTTTTTCCATTTACTCTTCTATGTCTTAATATAGAATTAAAAAAGCATAGGAAACATTTTTTATTAATCTGTAACTTGTTTGGGCTTTAGGGCAAAACATGGTCATAATCTAGAATCTTCCTTATTTTATTCTACTGATTTTTAAATATCAGGTAATAATTTCCTACTATATTAGGGAATTAACATTTTAAGCTGTGATGATGTATGCCTGTGTTAAATATAGTACGGCGAAATTGATCTCTTCTCAGGGGACCTTGGTGGTTTATTCACAGGCTTTCATTTCAATAAGAAAAGGCTGTTCTTTCCTAAGTTATCTACTTTGGTTCTCTATTCAACCATTGAAACAAAATACTAAAAATTTTATGTAAGTACGAACACTGTGACAAACCGTTAGTAAAGTTGAAAGCAAACAATCAGGGAAGAAAGAGTATGAAGGAAGATCCAATTACAATATTAAAGAATTCACTGCAGAATTCTTATAAATTGTGACTATTTAGGGCTTGTTTACATTTCATTAAGAACTTGTCATAAAGACTAAGGGGCTGAGAACTTAATGGGTGCCACTACCAAATAAGGGTAGTCAAAATAGAAATAAAGCTTCTGTGATGTAACACAATAACTTAACAGGAAGACCTTAATTTATTGACCAATCGGCCATAAATATTAATAATTCATATTGGAGCTTACTTTTATATCATCTGTGAAGTTTGCTAAGCAATAGTGGGAAGATTCTTTAGGGCATAAGAAATATCAAATTTAATCTGATATTTAGATACATCAATTTACTTATAAACTATTGATATACTAATTTAAAACACTCCTTAGTCATTCAGTTAACTTTCTCCAAGAGCTTTCTAAGCAAAGTAAATTAAAGTAAAAGTTGGTCAGAAGATAGTTTCCATCCATATCCCTTTCCATGGATTAATTATACAAGTCTAAACTGACATTTGTCTCAGGGGTCAAAAGGCTCCATTTAGCACAGCATTTAGGCAGAGGGAGAGAGAGTTGAAAGAGCACTGCACAGATAATTTGTGGACAGAAATTTTAGTCCTAATTGTTCCTCTAATGAGATGATTGAATTTGTGCAAATTACTTTACCCTCATAGATTTCAGTTTCCATATTTATAAATTAAGGGGTTTAGGGTCTCTCAGAGTTGATTTATGGGAGAGGAGATACATGGACTCTGGAGAAACTGCTATTCCCTGCCCAGAAAAATATTTTTAAGAATATGTGAATAAAATACATCACACACACACACACACACACACACACACACACACACACACACAATTTAGTACGTAATTTCAGAAGGCTCTTGTGAGGATTAAATGAAATAATGAATATAAAGTGCATTTAGTAGGTATTTTAAAATGTTACCCACGTTTCTATTCCCCATGTTAGGAGGGTTCTTTAGCTTCTAAGTTTTTCTAGAAGCCATAGAAAAAAGGTTTTCAGGTCTCTTTTGGAAAAGAAATATTTAAAAGTATACAACTATCAAGTTGCATGAGATATTTCACTTTTTATAAGAAGCCATTTCTTTCAGCAGTTACTAGAGTTTGTTTTTCAGAGGAGTGGGTAGCAATCTGTCATCAAAGTGTTGACAAGTGAAATCTGACAAGGTAGAGGTGGTATAGCTGCGGGCCACTCCAAAATTTTCCACTATCTTTTCTATTTGTAGATAAAGGATTTCTGTTTTTTTTTTTTTTCATTTGAGCTCACTTCATAGCAGTCTTTGATTTCTAACCTTTTCAAAACAATAACCCTGAATTGACAAATTATTTTGGTATTTAAGCATTGGTTTAGATAAGAGCATTTCAGTGTTCTCTTGCCTTTATTTTAGCTATTTAGGAGTTATTCCTGAAATTCAATTTATTTTCTCTTCAAAGTTACGTTTTTTCAATTTATTCAAGTATGGCATAAAATTATATTTATAGAGTTTTAATCTAGAATTAATTATCATTGTTACATTGCTAACATTTCTGTTTTCCTTGTCCTTTTATTGTTGTGGTTGAGGTACATCCTAAAAAGAATGAAGTTCATATTTTTGAAGATCAGAAAAGTAGGTATCTGTGTTGAGTGGAGGTGGTGAGAGGTGATGATGATGATGATTATTATTTGCTTATGCAGGCATACCTCCCCCCAATGCCTGATATAAACTATTGCAATTATTTTTTGAGGTCATGGAAAAAATGCACTTCAACTAGATACAAGTCTCTTTGGGATAATGGAAAATTGTGTGCAGCAAAATATTTAAAATGAGCATTAGCAAACAAGATGTTTGTATTAATAGGAACCTAGAAAATGACTATGCAAAGGTCAGCACCGATCTTTAAATATTAGTGAAATTTAATTTGTTGCATGTAATGAGTAGAAAGAAGAGGAAGCAGACCACAATGAAGAAGCCATTGATAAATTGTCTAAATGTCAAAACTGCTTATAATACGGAAAATGTTAAATTGACAAGATCTATTTAACTAAGTGAATTAAACCGTTTGAACAATGCCCTAGAGAAATATTTTCCAAATTTAACTAAAACAAAAGATTTTAAAAGATTTTTGCCACAATTCTTTGATGAAAGTGAAGGGATTCCTACTTTTCTTTCGAGGCATAGAATTTGTTCTAACCTCTTTTAGTAAGAACGGTGCACAGATTATCTTGGAACATAGAAATCTGTCACCTTTTGCTTCATGTTGAAATAGCATCATCTGACCAGTGGTTAGCAGCTGTGAAGAACCACAGTCTGGCTGGGGTCTAAATCTCTTTGGCACTTTGCACAGCACTAGCTTAATTGAGTTTAAAGAGCTTTTTATGTTATGCCCAGTTTTTTTTTTTTTAAATCAGATTCTACATTCTCTTATTTTCTTCATATATGTTAGTGAAAAAAATTTTAAATGACTAAACATGCACAAACTTCATAACAAAGGATTAATATTATTCATACACACATAGGGATAAAGAACTTAATAGAAAGATGAGCAAAATATAGGAACAGGTAATTTATAGAGGGAACAAATTGTTTTAAAAATCCATGAAAAGATGTTTGGTTTCATTAATGAATGGAAAAATGAAACTTAAAATTACAAGATAAATTTTCACCTACCAGGTTGGCAACAACTTAAAACTTGGATAATGCTGCATGCTGTTGAGGATATAGGAAAAAGTACAGTCATGTTTTGGGTGGAAATGTAAATTTACCAATCATTTTGGAGGCTAATTTGGCAATACCTATCAAAATGTAAAGTGTGTATGTATATTTTCATGGTTATATTATTTGTAAGGTAAAAATTAGAAACAGATGGTTATTTATTAAGAGAATGGATAAGTCAATTATGGTCACTATTCAATTGAACATATTGTGGCTATTAAAACATCAGGTAGATCTATCTGTTTATGCTAACAGAGTATCCATGATGTGGTGTTCAGTGAACAAAGCAAGTTGTATATATAGTAAAATTTTATCTTTATAAAAACACAAAATGAACAAGTCAGTATGGGTGTGCACGTGTTGTAAGTACATTTAGAAAGTCTGGAAGGCCGCATGCCACACTGTGCAATGGCTTCCTTCAGAGTGAGGAGGGCAGCTTGGAGGAGAACACATTAATTTTTACATCAAATACTTCTGTATGTTTGCATTTTTTAAAAAACAATAAGTATGTGTTGCTTTTGTAATTTTAAAACCTGAGAAGAAACAAAAGACCAGTCAGGCACGGTGGCTCACACCTGGAATCCCAGCACTTTGGGAAGCTGAGGCCAGTGGATTACCTGAGGTCAGGAGTTCGAGACCAGCCTGGCCAACATGGTGAAATGCTGTCTCTATTAAAAATACAAAATTAACCTTATGTGGTGGCTCACGCCTGTAATCCCAGATACTTGGGAGACTGAGGCAGGAGAATTGCCTGAATCCGGGAGGTGGAAGTTGCAGTGAGCTGAGATCGCGCCGCTGCACTCCCGCCTGGCTGACAAGAGTGAAACTCCATCTCCAAAAAAGAAAGAAACAAACAAAGGACCAGACAGAGGCCTAATGCATTTAAAAGTTTTTTGTTTTTTTGAAACTTGGTCTTGCTCTGTCATCTAGGCTGGAGTGCAGTGGCAGGACCATAGCTCATTGCACTCTCCAACTCCTGGTCTTGAGCCATCCTCCTCTGTCAGCCTCCTGAGTAGCTAGGAGTACAGGCAGGTGCCACCACACCTGCCTAATTTTTATTTATTTTTTGTAGAGACAGGGTCTGACTATGTTGCCCAGGCTGATCTTGAACTCCTGACTTAGAGCAATCCTTCTACCTCGGCCTCCTAAAGTCCTTGGATTATAGATGTAAGCCTCTGCACCTGGCTTTCTCTCTTCATTTTTTGCACACTTTTAGGTTCTAAAGCTTGTTTTAAAAATAGGGACTTAGATAGTATTTTGAACATAATGCTTTGTGCTTTTTGCATTTTGCTTCTATTTAGTTGCTTAGTGTTTTTGGTAAATCTGAAATTTTATAATTAAAAATACTACCTTTGGTATTTATTGAATACTTGCAGTGGGTGCTCATTTTCAAATAAATATGTCCTGAATACTTACATTTAATATTTAGGTTGAAAAAGTGTCCTAGGCTTCTGAACTGATTTAGAACTTTATATGCCATGAGATGACAGTTGTAAAATAGATCTAGATACACATTCAATAATAAATTTAATATTAACATTAGAAGCTAAATGTCACTAAGGGAGCTAGAACATTTATTTGATAACTGCTATTTGCCTAAACTTAAAGGATAACATTTTTAGTATTATAGACAATTAGTTATGTAATACTCACTAATAATGCTCAGCACTTTTAATCTTCAAAGCATTATACACACTAGTTAATCCTTACAACACCGTTACAAATGTAGGTCAATATCATTATCCCTGTTTTTGCAGGTGGGGAAATTGAGGCAGAGGTTAAATGATTTGGAGTAAGTTTGTCATAGCAGGATTAGAATGAAGGCATTTTTGGCTTACAGCCCAGCATTCAGAACAGTAGAACCACACCTTTAGCAGACTTAACCTCTATGTACTTGATAAAACATTACTTCTCATTAAATCATATTGAGGTCATCTCTGCATTAAAATTCAGAACCAACAAGTTTGATCACTGTATAACCACTTTACACACACACACACACACACACACACACCCCCACACCATTTTCTCTTTCAAGGCTTTCTTGACACTATATTATCTTAGTCTGTCTTTTAAATTGACTCTTTATTGGAGAATTACCAGACTATCTATCTTTGACTTTATTTTTCTTCTGTGATCTTACTCAATGGCTTTACTCTCTATTTAGAAAATTCCAAAGTAGTTTTTATGTAGTCCAGGCCTCTCTTCTGTATTTCTAGCTACCAGCTAGACATATCTACCCAGAGCATTTCCTTGTACCTTTATCTCCCACTGAGTCTAAAATTCAACTTATTAACAAAACTTGCTCTTCTTCTAGACTAACCTGTTTCTATGTGTGTTTCAATCCAAGTCCTGCCCTTGAAACTAGGATCAACTAGGTGGGAACAAGTCTGGGTAAGGGGTTCCTGGGAACTTGATGTGGCCAAGAAGAACAGTATTCATGGGTCCTTTGACAGGATGAAGAAGTTGAATCACAGTTTAAGAAGAAGAGCCAGAGTTACAAACTGAGGGGCAAGGCAGAAGTAAAACAGGAGACCACGTAGCCAGGTTAGTAGCTAGGAACATTGATGTGTGTGGGTTCAGTAGTTGAGGCAGTCATTGTGAACAGATGGAATGCACTGGTACCCATTTACTGGGCACATGATGATGCAGGCATGCCTGTTCAGTGACGGCATGGTCAAGGCAAGGGTCACTATATGAGCAGTAACCAGATCCCCATCCATTGATGGTCACTCCAGATTCTTCTCTCTTACTCCCTTACACTGTCTCTTACAAATCATCAGTGCCCATATGCTGTCGATTCTTTCTTTACAAGATCACTTACATCCCTTTCTTTTGTTATATTCCAGCTGCCACCACCCCAATTCAGGTCCTTGTTACTGAATATTAGTGTTGTCTGTTCCTTTAATACCTTTCTAACAGGTCACTCATATCAAACTTTCCTTCACTCCTCCAATATTTTACCCACCAGTTAATCTTCCAACAATAATTCTGATCTATTAATTATTCTTTTTAAAAATACCTTCCCAGATCAGAAACTTCATTGTTCCTAATTAGCTACCTAGCAAATACAAAGTCCTAATTCCTGAGCTTGGCAAAGACTTCCTTATTATGGCTCTGATTTATCTCTTCTACCTGTGCATCAAACCAGATTGCTTATTATTCCTCAAATAAGCCTTGCATCTTTCTAATTTATTCTTTTGGGTATTGTTCCCTCCTTTTTATCTATTTCCCTCTAGCAAAATCTGACAATCCTCAAATGCCCTTTGAACCCCCCTAGCCCATTGTGTATGTTACCATATTAGCACTTACTACACACTTCGTATTGTTTTTGTGATTATTTTATCTGCTACCCTGATTATATGGTGTTTGATAGTAGAGGCCCATTCTATAAAACTTTGTATCTATGACTCAGTAAACATATACATAAAGTGCTCAAATTGTGATATTTAATTGGTATTTAGATCTCATAAGGCCCTGTGAGGTACAAATGAGCCATTGTTTCTAGTACTCCATTCTTTGGGTACAATAGGTTAGTCCAAGCTTGAGGTCTCCTTATTTACCTTAGGTTCTTTGCAGTCTTCTGCTCATATACCTCCATGTTAAATGTCTTATGGATGCCATGCTATCATTTATCCTTATTATAACTACAGCAATGTCTTCTATTTCTTAATTCTTTCTTTGCTATCATGTTTCACATTTGGGTTTTCTTTGCCCTCAAGCTTCCTGTCCTTCCCATGGCTACCAAAATAGCTGACTTAAGAAACCGGGGAACTGCATAGCATACTTTACCCGGGCAGAGTACAGGTATTTTGCAGATTTATTCAGTGGCAAGTAATCTCTACTTCTAAAACATTTATTTTTCAAAAGGAGATTATCAACAGTATAGTAGTGAAACTATTTCTATTTTGCATGTTACTTTCTCAAAATTTAGTCTATATGGTAAAATTATTCTTAAGACAAATAAATATTAATTTACTCTAGTGTAACCCAAATTGGAGTGAAGGTATTAAAAATTGAAATTTTTTAAGGATGTAAGTATAAAGTGAAAAGGGGCTTTCTAGAATTCTTACATCTCTGTCCTCAAAATTTGGGCAATCATAGATTGTCCCCTGTATAAAAAAGAGCAGTCATTCTAAATGTATGTGAAGCTCAATTTAAATCATGCTGTTTATTGTCTCATGTAGGAAGCTTGGATTCAAAATGGCCTTCTGAGACTGTCATCAATGCCTTATGTAATTAAAGAGGAAATTGTAAAAGTTAGAAAGGTGTTTAAAAATAAATGAAGTTACATTATGGGTGATTTTTTGTTTGGGTTTTTCATTCTACTATTTTCATTTGGATAATTCTTTTTCTGATTCAATATTTAATAGTTGGACAACTTGCTATATATTTTATTCTTTCATTCTTTCATTAATTTCTCCCAGTACAGCTACTTTTATTACAGTTCTATGCCATGTGCATTGGGTTATATTGCTCAGGGAAATGTACAAGGGCACTGAGTGGGGCAGCATTGCTCAGCTTACTTTGGTAGATGCCCCCTGACTATTTCACTACCTTTTTAATCCCTGCCCGCACCCCCTTCTGAAAATGCAGAATCCAGCATTCTTCTGACATTCTTTTCTTCTCTCCTTCAAAACAACTATTTATGCATGAATACAATATTTGAATAATACAAGCTCAGTCTTGACTACTTCCTCCAGGCGTATTTTTCAAACCAGGAAATTACCAGCATTCTTTTTAACTGGTGGCACACTTGAGTAAGATTCAAGATGTTTAGAGCTCTTTAAAAAACTTGTGTCTTTCAGAAAACCTGCATGACATATAATGCTTGAAGACTAAAAAGGATGTTGATTTGGTCCTCTCCCACCTTGCCCATCTAGTTATTATTAAAGATTTTTACAAACTTGTTTTATTTACTCCATTGATTTTCTTTAGTTTTACCTGGTTTTCTTGGCAGATAGTTGAAGTTAAGGAAAAAAGAAGGATGAATAACCCACATTTGACTATCTTCCTCCCGCTCCCCTGTTAATGCATGACCACTTGCAAAGCCCCCTCCTTAATCACACAGATCTTGGGGAATCCACAAGAGTTTTGACATTTTGTTCACAAACCAGTCCAGTTATCTACTAATGGACATTGGCCATTTTCTTCTCATTGATGTACCCAATACTTGCTAATTATTGCTGCTGTTTCTTCAGATGATACAGGGCACTCCTTGACCACCCATGTCTGCTTTTGCTGGATACAGATTCTGCTTTGTCTGTATACCACCACATTCACCATTCCTGCTTACTTTCTGCTGCACACCACTTCCTGCAGCCACTTCTCCATTCTTTTTTTTTTTTTTTTTTTTTGAGATGGAGTCTCACTCTGTCACCTAGGCTGGAGTGCAGTGGCATGATCTTGACTCACTGCAACCTTCGCCTCCTGGGTTCCAGAGATTCTCCTGCCTCAGCTTCCCAAGTAGCTGGGATTACAGGTGCATTCCACCATGCCCAGCTAATTTTTGTATTTTTAGTAGAGATGGGGTTTTGCCATGAAGGCCAGGCTGGTCTCGAACTCTTGGTCTCAAGTGATCCGCCTGCCTCAGCCTCCCAAAGTGCTGGGATTACAGGTGTGAGCCACTGCGCCTGGCCTGCTTCCCCATCCTTATATGATAGATTCCCTGTGGGGCCACAAAAGGGTCATTTTTAAAGTAGGAGAAGAATGTCTCTCTCCTTCTTTTGTCCTGTGCTTTTTAATGGGAAACTAGAGCAGTGTTGTTTGTACATCAGAGCATTTTGAGAAATACCTTGTACATTTTTCTCAGTCCTCCCACCACCATTGGTCCTAGATATGGATCGTTTGGTGCTGAGCTGGAAGACAAGTCCAGGTCATAGACTCTATACTGTACTATGCTCAGGATTTCCCATGTTCAAATGTAGAGAATTAATGGTTTGACTCTTGGCTTTGAAGCTCTTCACAGATCTCATTTTGCTTATTCTCCTTGAAACACTGTAATTTTTGATTAATTTAGGACTTTCAAACTTAGTGAAGATATGGGGAGTGGACCTATCAGTTTTTCAAGTAAAAGGTGTTTTTCTGCCTCGTAGAAATAGTCAGTGTAGACTATAGTGGAAACTACACTACACTCTCCAGTTCTGTTATCAGGAGGAAGTTTTGACAAATTATTACTAAATTGACTTAAACTGAAATACAGAATTTCAAGTGTTGTCTTCTTTTGATATGTAAGTAAAGGTGCAGTCTTTTGGTTTCATCTATAAAATTTTATCTGTATTTAATTTACATAAGACATTTTTATATAGCAACAAACAGCTAAACTTCAGCCTTGTCTTATGCAGATTGTCATAAATTAGTATTACTGGTATCTGAATAAAAACTAAATTGAAGAATATGATTTTTATTTTTCTAGTATAGTCTAGAAGTTGGTGACTTTTGATGCTCAATGTCAGAGGAAGTATACACCTGTTTTACCATCTCTTTTCTTTCTTACTTGCAATGGAATATTAACCAATTTGCATGTCCTAATTCAAATACCTTCTCTTGTGTAGTAACTTCTCCACTTCTGGATGTTTTTCCTTCATAAACCTCCTGTTGTGCTTAGTACTTATTTATTTCATACTGTGAGATTACCATATAAGGTCAGAGATCATATTTATTATTTTATTTTTTTCCATACAAATTTGCGTAGTGATGGATATACTGAGTAATAGCAAGCAGCAACTGCAGTGTTAAGGTAATTGAGTAAGTGTACCTTGAAAGCAGTCCTGATGTAGGTACTTTATTATACCCATTTTATAGCTGGGGACTCTTAGAAATAGAGAAGTTAGGTAATTAGTCCAAGTTAGCTACTAAGCTGAGAAATTAGAAAAGAGGCAGGCAGATTCTAGAATGCACACATTAAGCTAAATAGATGCAAAATAAATATTTAATTCACTAACTGATATTTTAAAACAAACATTCCAGTCCTCACATTTCCATATGAAAAGTCTGCAGTTTACTTATTCTAATACAGTAAGTATTTTAGTTAAGAAAAAAACTTAACTGTAAGATGACAATTCTAAAATAAGCCTCATAAAACTAACTGAAAGCAATTCCAAAGAACACTGCATTGGAAACATTTTGAGTAATAGTAGGCTTACTAGAGTCACTTCCAAAGTGATAATACTGAAAGATAATACTCAGTTGAACTGAAAAATTAGTAACTAGTTTAATATCCCTTTTTCTCTACTGCTTGCTGATAATGAACTGCATTCTTTCTCTTAGTAATGCATTCCACTAGCTTTCCAACTTCATACCTGTATACAATGGCAGCCAGCATCTAGGCACAGCAGGGCAGATCTGGGGATTGAGGGGTTCCTTATTTCATCTCTTAGCTTTAAAGGCATTTAATGCACGGAAGAAAGTAAATTCAGATCAACCCAAAATTTACTATTGTAGCCTGTTTCCTCCTTACCCTTTCCTACTTCACCTATCACTATCCACTGTGCACTTTAATCTACTGTCATACTTGGGTCATGCCATCTTTTTTTTTTTTTTTTTTTTTGAGACGGAGTCTCGCTCTGTCGCCCAGGCTGGAGTGCAGTGGCGCGATCTCGGCTCACTGCAAGCTCCGCCTCCCGCGTTCACGCCATTCTCCTGCCTCAGCCTCCCGAGTAGGTGGGACTACAGGCGCCCGCCACCACGCCCGGCTAATTTTTTGTATTTTTAGTAGAGACGAGGTTTCACCGTGTTAGCCAGGATGGTCTCGATCTCCTGACCTTGTGATCCCCCCGCCTCGGCCTCCCAAAGTACTGGGATTACAGGCATGAGCCACCGCGCCTGGCCGGGTCATGCCATCTTTTTACTCAAACATCTGTATATACTCCCTCCCACAACTCTGCCTACCCCAATACGGTAGAGTACTGTGGTTGCAAACAGACTCCGGAGCTAGTCTGTGTAGATCCAAAGCCTGCCTCCACCACCTGCTAGCTATGTGACCACTCTGTGCCTAAGTTTCCTCATTACAGGAATGCTGATGGTATTACCTCAAAGAGTAGCTATGAGGATTAAGAGAGTTAATACATGTAAAATGTTTGGAACAAGTAAGTGTTATCTGTTGTTATCACCATCATTTTCTTCCTCATCTTTTTCTCCATCATCATCATCATCGTCATCATCATTGTCGTCGTCGTCGTCATCATCATCATCATCATCATCTGGTGAAATCTTATCCTTCTTTGAGGACCCACTAACGTTTCACAACTTGTCTGAGCTTTCTCACAGCCCAGCTGTTCAGGCAGGATTGGGCCCCTCTTGTGTGCTGCCACATTTTTCACTCTGCCATTTCAGTCCGTAGCATACTATATCTCATTAGTTCAACATGCATCTGTTTCTTGATTGTAAGTGCATTGAGGTCAAATAAATGTAAGGATGAAGGGCGGGCCGAGGAAGTTTGTACTATGTCTGAAATTATTTTAGATTATCACCCATATGGATACTATGGGAAATATTTTTAGTCACTCCTAATGTTAAAGAAGCTGAAGGATTTTTCCTCCATTAAAATATGTCTTAAAATATTTTTCAAACTTTGTCATTCGGAAGTTTACTGGAAAGAACATTTCTTTCCTGATTCTATAAAGAAAATGTCCATAGTTTAAATTATTGTATATATTTCTAATATGTAGTATAACATAAATACAGTATAGTACTATGTTTATTTCCAAGCAAACATTTGAAAATTATATAAATTCCTTTCAAACTTTTGTAAAATGTTGACCTTTTTTCTAATGCAGACTAGCCTTCTCCCAATCAGTCTAAATCGATGAGGTAGTACTTGATTAAAAAAAAAAAGTATTCATAGTGTCCATCCCTAGCCCCTGCTAGGGGGAAGACAGGATGTATATTATTACCATTTTGTTTTTTCAAAAAAAAAAACCCCATAGAATAAAATATCTGGATCCATCATGACATGCAGATTAACATACTAAGTTGAATGCTAATGTGGTTTCAGAGTTTACTTTTAAGTAATTATGTTTCTTATAATAGTATAATAGTAACTATATACCATTTACCTTGCAAATTCCACTTTAATTAGCCTGTTTGTATGTAGGATATTGTAAATATTTGCTTTATATACCAAAAATGCACCACAAAATGTGCTCGTACTTAATAACTACCAACAGATGTTTCCTTTCCTTAAAATAAAACTTAAAAAAATGCTTAAATACTAAATAATTCTAAATATACTCAGAGCCTTAACCAAACATATGCTATTGAAAACCCAAATACTATATATATTCTTCTTACCACATTTCTCAATGTGATGACATACTAAATCCAGGAAAAGAAGTGTATTTTTCCTCTTTCTAGAGTTTATTTCTGGATGGTTAACCAAGGATACACTAGAGTATGTTTATTCTAATGGGCCATATTTCAAATAACAGTTGTGGCGAATGATTCTTTTTACTATTTCTAAGGTATCTTGGTTTTATTGGCAATAGAAGATAATTAATTGGCACCTCTTTTTAATTATTTTTTAAACAGGATAGAGATTCCTTCTGCCATCAGATGTCTTTCTGCTTGACTGAACTGCACCTGTGGTCTTTGAAGAATACCTTACACATTGCGGGTAAATGAGCTCTGGATTAATTTCAATATTTTTCAAATATGTTACACCATTATAAATAAGTACTAGCAAAGGTTAGAGCCTGAATTCTCCAGCTGGAGTTGCATTCTTTCTTTATTCTTAATGAAAAATTGGTTAATGGAAAATAATTCCTTTTAATTACTCTTACTAACAATATTTACAGCTTGAGTTAGGTTTTCAGTTTTGAAAATTAATCTTATTGGCTTAATATTTGTTCTCTCTTAAGATACACACGAGCCTAGGAGGTTGACGCTGCAGTGAGCCAAGATCGTGTCACTATGCTCTAGCCCAGGTGACAGAGCGAGACCCTGCCTCTAAAATAATAAATAAATAATAAAATTTATTGAATGGTAAAAAAAAAAGATACATATTCAATTTTTTTTCTGGGATTCTTCATAATAAGATTTATATTCATAAATATTTACAGGATAGCTAATGGTAAAGGCATTTCTATTTGATATTAAAATAACATTTCAAACATATAGGTAAGATGTACGATTATTTTCATGTTCTTTGTTTTTCACAATTTTGGGGGGGGAGAATAATATGTGTGTTTTAACAATGCTTATTAACATACGATACAGTGTACTTTATAAGAAATATCTTTAAAAAATCTTTATACGAAGTAACACTTGTATTTAGGAGAAGAATATTATTTATATCTTTTAAGCATCATTACTAAGAAAATGATTTACCTTACAAAGTATTGTTTCTTCATATTAAATATAGAATTAAGGATGACTTTGATATTTTCATCAAGTTTATCTGCTTTAAAATGTATAAAGATTGAAATTTCAGTTAAAGTAGATTTAACATTTGTTTGCTCCCTCCTAAAACTCTTCTAAGATGCCAATAAAGGAATAAAAATAAAGAAGGTATAAACCCTTTCGACAGAGGGGACAACTGAAATTGGACAAATTTTGGAAGATGGGAGGGAAAGAGGAATTAGCAGAGATGAAAAACCTGAATATAAATTGCCTGCAGAGGAGAGTTCCAATGACAGCCAATTTATGACTCAAAATTCTGGAAAGATACAGAAATTTGAGGAGCCAGATATTGTAGAAGATGGTATGTGTCATCAGAGTGACAGTAAAGGGACATGAAAGTTTGCAGAAAAAGTTGTGAGATACCTTTCATGCTGTGGAAATATTTAATTAAGGAGGCTCTAAAGTTGGGAACACCAGGGGCAGTAGAAGACGACCTGCTGAACTGAAAACAGGCACGAAATGGAAGGAAGCCTACATACTGATGGGTGAGGTCTTCTTAATCCCACTTGGTTCTGAGAATGTCATACCTATTTGTACACTTTCCAAGAAAGAAGGAGCTTGAGATATTCCTCTCTGGAATGACTGCAAGACCCGAGAAAGAAGACCTAGTATATAGACGTTTGAGGGAGTCCTTTGGTGAAATACCCCAGTCCTTGGCTGATCAGTGAAGCCCACCAGTTGGCAAGCTCTATGTGTGTACACAGGGCTTCCAATCAGTTTTTTAGTGCCTCACTTGTAAATACAAACAGAGAACTAAGGATCACTAGATATTTGAGGAATATCTTCAACAGGAAAGAAAACAAAATGAATAGGTGAATGGGTCTCTGAAGAAACAGAGATAATGTAGGAAGGGGGGAAAAAAGTACAACAGAGACCTAAGGAAAAATACTAAATCCATGAAGCAAGAAACAAAAACAGAAGCTTCAGAAAACATTTGAAGTTATACAGGTCTCTTGGAAATTAAAAATATGTTGCAGAAAAAATTCAAAATTCAAAAGTGTAAAAGAAATCTCAGAAAATAGAAAAAAGAAATCCCAAAGTGAACTTATTTTACTGCTGGTCAAAATTTTTAATTGAAATGTTTTCTTCTTTAATCATAATTGCCCATTTTTCATATTATTCCCTTATTCTCATATAACTAGGTTTTATGCTTCTTTGAGATGGTCAACCTTTTAATCACTTGACATTCTCCTAGTCCATTGGGTCTTCTTCACTTATCTTCCTACCCAGCTTGGACCCCATGGTTGGAAGTCTGAGCTATTCCATCTTGATCCCCTTTTACCCCTTGTCCTCTGTTCATGCCCAGCAAATTCCTTCCCTGTCCCTCCATGTGTCCTCAAGTTTTCTGTCCCTGTTCCTTCTATTCTGAGTCAGTGAATGGTTTTTAGAGAAGAATCACACAGTGGTGCACAGTAGCCCCATGAGAATAGTCTTCAACCCCAACTGCATTTTTGCAGGGCCTACCCATTCTCTCTATTGGGACATTCTTCTATTTAACCTTTTATGAATCCTACTTCTTTAGGGCTCGGCTTTATTAAGTCACTTAGAGAAGCCTTTCCTGCTATCTAGACTAAATTAGTAACCCTGTTAATGTGCTCTCATTATGCTTGATGTTTATTTTTTAAATGTTTGAAATAATCACAAACTTATAGAAAAATTGTCAGTACAGAGAATTTTTTTTCTTGAACCGTTTGAGAGTTGTAGCCTGATGCTTTATCACCTCCAAATACATTCATGTATATGTCCTACAAAAAGGATTTTGTCCTGCATTACTGTATAAGCCATTGAAATCAGGAAATTAACAATGATGTACTTCAGTCTAAATGGACCAGTTTACCAATTGTCCCATCATTGTTCTTTTTTTAGGAAAAGGATTTTTGTTCACAGTAACATATTGCATTGTTATGTTTCTTTAGTGTCCTTCATTCTGGGTTATTCTTCATCCTCCGCCTTTTTTTTTTTTTTTACATTTTCATGACCTTAATATTTTTGAAGATATTAGGTGAGTTATTGTGTAGGATGATTGTAAATTTGGTTATATTTGAAATTTCCTCACAATTAGATTCAGGTTATGCATTTCAATGCATCCTATCAGGTGGTGCATAATTTCAATTTGTCCCTTTCCTGATGATATTCATGATTACCTGATAAGATAGTGTCTGCTCGGCTTCTCCACTGCAAAGTTACTTTCTTCTTTGTGATTAGTAAGTATTTCATAGGGAAATACCTTGAAATTATGTAAATATCCTGTTCCTCATGCTTTAAATATATTATTATATATGATCAATTTATTTTATCTCTGTGGACTCAAGTTTTCCACTTTATGGAGTTGTTATAGTCATATCATTATTTTATTTCATTATGTATTTTGATGTTTAAATTGTCCCTGATGTGGCCAGAGGGACCCTCTTCAAGCTGGCTTCTGTGTCTTTTTGACATGTCCCTGTCAAAATCTGAGCACTTTAATTCTTTCTGGTACAACAAATGTTCCAGACTCATGTTGTAATTTCCTTTCCCTAGCCTAGGAATCAGTCACTCTTCTAAGGAGCTTTGTTCCTTTTAGAGGGCAAGGGTTCTAGAAGCCAAGTTCTGCTTTAGGTGCACTCATTATTGGAACATTGCTGCTCCCAGGCCCTCTCAGTGGACAGAGCTTGCAGAATGTATGTATCTATGTATACACACATATTTACATCCATATTTATTTCTGTATCTATCTCTCTATATTGAAACCATGAGTTTACATTGGTACATCTCATTCCTATCTACCACCATAGGGTTCATTCTAATTTTCTCCCTTTCCATATTTGTATTTTTCTTCTCAGACAGTGGGAAACCTGGAGCTCCCCTATTTTTTATTTATTGACTTATCAGTCACCCTGTTTGCAGTCAATCCCCTATCTCTGTGGCTACTCCTTCCCTGTATAGATACCCTTCTCACCCCATGTGGGATTTGATATACCATGTTGGGTTGCCCCCATATGTAAATGTCCTCCTTACCTTGTTTAGCCTCTAATACCCTACACCAGGCTGTTGCTTCATGTGAGTGTTCTTACCCTGCTGGAGTTCTAACACACCATGTCAGGCTGACTCTCTGAATGGACACCTTCCCCATCCAGCTCTGGTACCCACTGTAGGGCAGGTTTTCTTAACTGGATGCTCTCCTTATTCTGCTTGTGTTTTGACAGTTTCCACTCTGGGCCAGATGCAGTAGGTCAGACTTGTGCACATAATTCAGGATTCTTTATGATCTTCATAGTTCTATTCTAGAGTTATGATATATATTTGGATGTATGGAATGATGAGTATAATTATAGGGTGGAATATTTTAATGGAGATATTGTCTGCATATGTAGTGCCTGTGGTTCTTAGATTTTTTAAAAAAGCCTTTTTATTGAAGTATAATATATGTACTGAAAAGTGTAAAGATCATAAGATTATGTTGTGAACCATCAGAATATGAAAACACCCATAAAATCACCATCCAGGACAACAAATAAAATATCAGTATCCAAGAAGTCCTACTCATGATTTTTCGCAATAAATCCTTATTAGATATATTCAGTCTAACCAGTAGACATAAACTGCATTCTTTAAAATTGTATGCCTCTACTAATGGCATGATGAATAAAATAGAGCTTTAACAAGTACACGCAATTGACTATTTTGAAAGACTATATTTGAAAAGTTAATTATAGCAGTAATACTTTTTTTTGAAGTTTTATCATTCAGTTTGAGAAAGTCTGGAGCAGTCAGTCACTAGGGGGCAGCCTGTACTGCTTCCACCTCTTTAGAAACAGTTGTATACTCTTTATCCTTATGTTAGTAACTGAGAATTATTTTGCATTGAAGAAAACAAATGTTCCTTCAATGAAAGAAATATTTTATTATTCATAGATATGAAGAAAATGGACAAAATTATTTTGTTCTCTTATATTTAAACTGGAATAATTCCTTGGTTAAATGAATCTTGACATCTGGGAAGCCCAGCTTTGCTTCTTAGGTAGCCCCAGCAAAGTGTCCGAATTTAGGTTTAGAAGGGGTTTTCCCTGTCTAAACAAGTTTCAGATAATAATGTATCCAAACGTTCCTCTAATCTTCCCTTTCTCGTCTGTGGATTTCTCCCAAATGCCGTAGAATAGGAACTAGACTCTTGAGCTAAATTGGAGAAAAGAAAACCACAGCTCAGAATCCAACAGGGCATTTTCTTCCATCCACTGATTTCATCTGGCATTGCTTAGTGGCAGTTCCTTTTGGTAGAACCCTGTGAAAAATATCAGAGGATGTGTGAAAGAGAAAACTTGGTGTTTCTTGATTTCAGTTCTTTACTAATCTTTTTCTCATGCCATTCTAGTTTTGTGTAAATCTTTTCTCATTAGATTGATAAACTTTCCAGTTTCTGCATATCCCTAGAATAGACGAACTCATCTCCGGATGCTTTTGAGCCATTTTATTTCTAGTAGCATAAGGAGACTGTTTCTGCTTTTCTCCCTATCCTTCCCCTAATATAGTATGGCTTGGCTTCTTATTCTCTGGGACTTTTAAATCATAATTTAATGTTATTTCTTCCTTTCTATAGATAGAGACATTGGGATCTACCAGTATTATGACAAGAAAGATCCACCAGGTAAAGTACCTATTCTGTGCAATTAATTTTTATTAACTAAATATTCTAAACCATGAAATACTGACCATTAAAAGCTCTCTTCTCATGAGCTTTAGATAAATTCTAGAATTTTAAGAAAAGTCCCTTCAGTTCTTTAGAAAAATGCTGAGGTTGATATCTATCTGTTCTATATAAAATAAAGTAGTATCGAGAAAATGCTGTAGAAAGACATGAAAATTTTCATTTTACTGCTGATCAGGCTGATTATAGGGCAGTCTATTCACATTTATTTATCAGTGTCCCAGTAGAGGGCATTGTTAATGCATGGGTCCTACTGATGCTGGCCTCCTGGATCCTCACCTGATATCTGAAATAGGCATTTCTGAGTGAATGATCAATTTTCTTTATCTGATTAATCCTGCTAATCCCAGAAGTTTTATGATGGGCCAAAAGGTCTTTCTAGCTAGAGTTACTTCCTGTTTTGGTCTCCGTTGAAGTGGGCTTGTGTGAGCAGCCTGTGTGCTTAGCTTAGTGGTTAATAGGCTGACTTCATGGTTCTGATGACAGACTGAAGCAGCTTCTGTTCTGGGCTCTGTTGCAGTTCTCTTTCCTATCTGATCAGATTGGAAGCTCAGGATATTGGTCCACCTTTTGTGCCCTTTCACTGCAAATTTAGGAAATATCTCTATGAAATGAAAACATCCAAATTATGGCATTTTTTTCAACTGTCCTTTTAGAACCTAAGCATAATTTATTAATCTCAATAATGCATGTAATGTTAATAATACCTTATACATGTACATATTAAAATACAAGGCATTATAATAAAAATAAATTCTACTTTTGTTTTTTTCTTTCTATCCCTTCTGCCACAATATCAGCGACAGAGCATGGTAACTTAGAAAAGAAGCAGAAGCTGGCAGAGTGTAAGCTTACTTTATATTTTTTGGAATTATTATAAAACTGTAAAGTTCAGTATTATAAAATATTCATCTGGAACAAAGAGGAAACTTTATTCCCTCCAAATTTTTTAAATTCCTATTACTTAGGAATATAAACATATAAGTAACAATTGTATTTGTCAGGCCTTTCTAATTTAGATCGTTGAAATCTCTATTCAATTTTGATAAAATGTTTGTTTATATAAACATAAAATTTCATAATGAACTATATATTAGTATATTTAGGATAATTATACCAAGCTTAAATTCTGATAGTAACATTTAATTATTCATACTTTGCCTAAATTGTTAACATGTCTTACCCATTTTTAAGAAAATAGTATTTGTAATATCAGTATTAGCATTTTATTCACTCTAGTCTTTTCTGATCTCCAGTATATAAGTATGTTGTATATATTATGGCGACAATGTAATACGGTTTTAATGACATAGAATTAAACATACATTAAAATTTTTTTGGATTATAGCTAGAGCTGAAAATCCCATTTGTTCTCTTGTTTTTTAAATGGTTGAACTGACATTTAATTTTAAAAAATAATGTATTAGTAGCTGCAACACAGATTTAAAAATTTGCATATACGTTCTACATCAAAATTGTTTATAGACCCAAATTCATTTGCTGAAATAAGATGTATAGCAATTCTACTCTTAAATTTAAGTATCTATGTATACTATGTATATGTATATGTACATATAACACACATGTAAGCACAAATACACATATAACTCATTTAGAATTATTAATGAGGAGAATCCAAAGATGAATTCATTTTTCTGATAAAATAGACATGTTTAACATTTTTAAATTATTTTAAACAGAACTATTTTTAATTTATTTTAGGCTAACATGACTCTACTAAATAATTTTATCCTTCACTTAATTTATTTAAAGCAAAACGAAGGCTTATCATTATTCAATTGTGGTGTATACTTTAAAGATAACTGTTTTAAATTAAAAAGAGCACTATTAGGGCCTAATTTGTTAAAACTTGGATTTCCCTCAGATTTTTCCATAGTTTTAAAATGTGGAGCTTTAATGCTTAACTTCATATATTTTTACATACAGTTTTATTTTTTATTTCTTTTCATTTTATTTCTTTGCTCATTATATTCATTTACTCATGATAATTTTTTTTTTTTTTTAGGTCTGAGTAGGTTACTTGTAGAATTTGGAATTTCTTTTGGATTGAACATTTAATTATTTACATGAAAAAGTTAGTAAAGACTACATCATTTACCATGAATTACTAGATTCACAAGCCTAGCAAACTTTCCCAGGGATTCTCCAAGCCTTGTTGGTTGTCATTGTAAAATTATGGTTAGGGAGATTGTTTTGTGGTAAAAATCCTGTTCCTATGACAAAGCCTTTCATAAGGCTGTCATTTGATGATGGAAATGAAGCCCACTTCCTCTCGATTATAGAGGTGTTTTATTTTAATCTCCCTAAGGCACACTGCTAAGCAGAATTTCCTTTTTAAATCTTGTTTAACTAACTGTAGTACATGTTTTATTTGCCAGCACGAGATTATCCTTGGACGCTCAAAAACAGACGCCCAGAAAAACTCCGAGACTCGCTCAAAGAGTTGGAGGTATCTTTCAAAAAGTTTCAAAAATGGCAACAAACAAATCTGTTTTTAAAACATCTTTCAACAGCTTTAATTTTCATAAAGGATCAACTCTCATGGTGATGATAGCTTTGCTTTTGTCCAGTGATGAGTTCCAAAACAGTTGGATCTTTGTGTGGCATGTTGATCTTTTTTTGCTTGCAAATCAGAGGCACTTTAACTGATAATGACAATGTGTACAGCCAACTACGCTCTCTCTTTTTCTGTTGTGCTTCAGGAGCTGATGCAAAACAGTCGGTGTGTGCTGAGCAAATGGAAGAACAAATATGTCTGTCAGGTAAAATGATTTGACAAGCCTTTGCAGTGTTTAACCAATGGAGCTGAAAACTATGTAGTAATTGGTATTCTTGTGTTATGTTAGGTAATGGACAAAAACTTTTTTAGCAGTGGTTATTTCATAGTTTGAATTCTAGTTGTTCTAGAGCTAACATTAGACAGATTGACACAGGCCACCAGGCTCATTAATCAGTATTAACCAGTATAGTTGTACTGACATACAAACACTAATAAAAATCTTTTCATATTGTATTTTTTTGTTTGAAGTTGTCTGAATGTTGTAGTAGATGTTTGCTGGCATAGATTTAATAATATTTTTGAGTGAAGATGAAACCACAGGGCAAAAGACTTTTTGGCATACTACTCTTGTAAGCATTTGTGAATATCATTGCTTATGCAAATCAACAAGCCGACTACATACAGTTAGACCTATCATAACAAGACATTTAGTCTTACTTTTTGAACCCTGTAAGCTGTGCTGTTTACTATGGTAGCCACTAGTCATATGTGACTGAATAATTAAATAAAATAAAAAATTCAGTTCTTCAGTTGCACTACCCGCATTTAAGTGTTCAATAGCCACATGTTATCATATTGGACAGTGCAGATACAGAACATTTCCATCTCAGACAGTTCTATTGGACAATAGTGTTAAGGCCTAGACAAGTGATCTAAGTATTGAATGGGTAGATTCAGAACATAATAATTAGTGTACACTGATTACAAGATAATGACAAATGCTTTAGCTTTGCTGATAGGCTTAAAAAGTACTATATGCCTAGAAAAATTTAATATACTTGTGATAAAAAGAATAATTATTAGTCATCTGTGGAATTGAAGTTGCATTAGTTCTAATAATAATTGTAACTGATGTATGGAATCAAATATTCCTATATTAATTTAAATTCTTTTTTACAATGTGATTTATTTTGTGTAATCATTCTTGTTTGTAGTTTAGGCCCATGGTTCTATTCATAAAGCTACAACGTCAAATTTGTAGCAATTATAAACAGATCTTAATCTACTATTTGAATATATATACTATCATTTTTGTGGATGCTAGTTTTTCCTCATTTTTTTGTCTAGTCTACCTTTACTCATGGAGGCAACTATTTAGTTACCTTCTCAACTGGCATAAACTTATTTTTCAGAGGTCGTTTACAAGGGTGAATTAGCATTTTGAGAATTATAATACTTCTTAAATTTGCCTTAGGATACTATTAAAAAGGATGGCATTTAAAAAAATTATAGCTTATTTGCATAATAGTACATTTCAATCAGACTTTAAAACTTGAATACAAAATACGCTCCAGAAAGTTTCAAACTTAGTACCAAACTTGTAGTTTTTAATGCCATTACTCACGTTAAAAACAGGCTCAGAATTATTTGACCAGAGGGCCAGCCTGCCACCTATAGTAAGAGGCATGTCTCATGGCCTCCACCCTTACCCATCACACAGGGTAAATTGGAACATGTCGGGCATCTTAAAATATGCAGTGGAGCATCCCAAAAGACAATCCTTTTTAGATAGAGTTTAATGAATTTTAATTTAATAGTAATTTTGTGTGTGTGTCTGACGAAGGGATGTCTGGAGAAGAATGTCCCTCACTATTACATTAATTCAACTCAGAAAGGGAATTTTCATGATAAAATATATATATAATTACTTTTGTAATTTACAGTAATCTAATCGGTTAATCAGGCTGGTGTACCAATGAATCTGCTTTTAACGTTTCTAATAGGACTTATCTTTTTTTGTTGTTCTGTTATATTCTGTGCTTCATTTCTATGATTATAAAGATATTTCTAAAATAGACCTTATACTCTCAGCACATTCTTGATGTGGTATATTTTAACAAGATAACTTCACCTCCACCCTGCCCACAGGTCTAGGTTAGTCTTCACATATTTAAAGTCTTTGAGAGACCTCCTAACATTATCCCTTCACTTCTTCAGTTTCTAGTTAAGACTGTTAGCTAGTTCTTCTAAAAATCTATGTAGGTTCTATTTCAAAAGATCTCTGGTATCGCAATAAATTAAAATTTTGATGTTCAAGCTACGTTATTAGCTTAAGGGAATGAACCCCTTAGCCCTTTTAGTTAAATTTTTGTTAAATTTTCCTTAGTTATAAAGTAAGTAAACCACCTCAACAGGCTCCCCAAGGGACCTCCTTTTGTGCACATATCCAGTATGGTGGTTCCAGAGATAACATGTCAGCTGACTGCAACATAATGCTCTATAACTCTTAGAAAAGGAGTGAAAAAGTTCATCAACATCTTCATGCTAACATGTTTGGACGCTCAGTCTTTTAATTTGGCTACTCCTCTGCTAATGTACGTCATTTTCTCCCAAGAAATGGTAAATTTAGGATTTATGAATTTATTTTAGTTGTCATCCCTTACTGCTTTAAAAAGTCCAATTGTTTAAAAATGAGCCAGGCAACCACAGCAACATAAGATTTCAGAGGATGCAATCTGAGGTTGGATCTTTCTCTGTGTCAAACAGTGAGTTTTCATCATTTACCAAAGCTTAGTTGATGTTGTCAATCCAATGATCTGCACATTGTACCATTTAAAAACTAATTCCCGTCACCTGTAAATTCAGAATTATTTTCTTTCTTTTTTTTTGGAGGATAGTAGTTTATTTTATTTTTCAGGATGTTTACTTATTTTTTCTCCTGTTTTTATTTTTTAATTTTATTTTTGTTTTTTATTTCCATAGGTTTTTGGGGGAACAGGTGGTGTTTGGTTACATGAATAAGTTCTTTGGTGGTGATTTCTGAGATTTTGGTGCACCCATCACCCGAGCAGTATTCACTGTATCCTATTTGTAGTCTTTTATCCCTCACCCCCCTCCCACCCTTTCCTGTGAGTCCCCAAAGTCCATTGTATCATTCTTATGCCTTTGCATCCTCACATCAAACTCCCACTTATAAGTGAGAATATACAGTGTCTGGTTTTCCATTCCTGAGTTACTTCACTTAGAATAATGGTCTGCAATTCCATCTAAATTGCTGTGAATGCCATTATTTCATTGCTTTTTATGGCTGAGTAGTATTCCATGGTATATATTTACCACAGTTTCTTTATTCACTTGTTGATTGATGGGCATTTGGGCTGGTTCCATATTTTTGCAATTGCGAATTGTGCTGCTGCAAACATGCATGGGCAAGTATCTTTTTCGTATAATGACTTCTTTTCATCTCGGTAGATACCCAGTAGTGGGATTGCTGGATCAAATGATAGTTCCACTTTTAGTTCTTTAAGGAATCTCCACACTGTTTTCCATAGTAGTTATACTAGTTTACATTTTCACCAGCAGTGTAAAAGTGTTTCCTTTTCACCACATCCCCACTAAATCTATTATTATTTTTATTTTTTGATTATGGCCATTCTTGCAGGAGTAAGGTGGTATATCACATTGTGGTTTTGATTTGCATTTCCCTGATCATTAGTGATATTGAGCGTTTTTCCATGTGTTTGCTGGCCATTTGTATATCTTCTTTTGAAAATTGTCCATTCATGTCCTTAACCCACTTTTTTTATGGGATTGTTTGTTTTTTTTCTTACTGATTTGTTTGAGTTCATTGTAGATTCTGGATATTAGTCCTTTGTCAGATGTATAGATTGTGAAGATTTTTTCCCACTTTGTGGGTTGTCTGTTTACTCTGCTGACTGTTCCTTTTGCTGTGCAAAAGCTCTTTAGTTTAATTAGGTCCCAGCTATTTATCTTTGTTGTTATTGCATTTGCTTTTGGGTTCTTGGTCATGAAATCCTTGCCTAAGCCAATGTCTAGAGGGGTTCTTCCAATGTTATCTTCTAGAATTTTTATAGTTTCAGGTCTTAGGTGTAAGTCCTTAATCCATCTTAAGTTGATTTTTGTATAAGGTGAGAGATGAGAATCCAGTTTCATTCTTCTACATGTGGCTTGCCAATTATCCCAGCACCATTTGTTGAATAGGGTGTCCTTTCCCCACTGTATGTTTTTGTTTGCTTTGTCAGAGATCAGTTGGCTGTAAGTATTTGGGTTTATTTCTGGGTTCTCTATTCTGTTCCATTGGTCTATGTGCCTATTTTTATACCAGCACTACGCTGTTTTGGTAACTATGGCTTT
Source organism: Homo sapiens (assembly GCF_000001405.40). Classification (NCBI taxonomy): domain Eukaryota; kingdom Metazoa; phylum Chordata; class Mammalia; order Primates; family Hominidae; genus Homo; species Homo sapiens. The sequence continues at coordinate 63,480,491 of NC_000002.12, read as the reverse complement.
GTATTATAGTTCGAAGTCAGGAAATGTGATGCCTCCAGATTTGTTCTTTTTGTTTAGTCTTGCTTTGGCTATGCGGGCCCTTTTTTGGTTCCATATGAATTTTAGGATTGTTTTTTCTAGTTCTGTGAAGAATGGTGGTGGTATTTGATGGGAATTACATTGAATTTGTAGACTGCTTTTGGCAGTATGGCCATTTTCATGATATTGATTCTACCCATCCATGAGCATGGGATGTATTTCCATTTGTTTGTGTGATCTGTGATTTCTTTCAGCAGGGTTTTGTAGTTTTCCTTGTAGAGATCTCTCACTTCCTTGGTTAGGTATATATCTAAATATTTTTTTTCTTTTGCAGCTATTGTAAAAGGGTTGAGTTCTTGATTTTATTCTCAGCTTGGTAGCTGTTGGGCTACTGATAATAGCAGAGCTACTGATTGTATACATTAATTTTGTATCCTGAAGCTTTACTGAATTAGTTTATCAGTTCTAGGAGCCTTTTGGAGGAGTCTTTAGGGTTTTCAAGGTAAACGATTGTATCATCAGCAAACAGTGACACCTTGACTTCCTCTTTACCCATTTGGATGCCCTTGATTTGTTGCTCTTGTCTGATTGCTCTGGCTGAGACTTCCAGTACTATTTTGAATAGAAGTGTTGAGAGTCAGCATCCTTGTCTTGTTCCAGCTCTGGCTGGGACTTCCAGTACTATGTTGAATAGAAGTGTTGAGGGTCAGCATCCTTGTCTTGTTCCACTTCTCAGGGGAAATGCTTTCAACCTTTCCCCATTCAGTATTATGTTGGCTGTGGGTTTGTCATAGATGGCTTTTATTACATTAAGGTATGTCCCTTCTATGCCAGTTTTGCTGAGGGTTTTGTCGAATGCTTTTTCTGCATCTATTGAGATGATCATGTGATTTTTGTTTTTAATTCTGTTTATGCAGTGTATCACATTTATTGAATTGAGTATGTTAAATTATCCTTGCATCCCTGGTATGAAACCCACTTGCTCATGGTGGATTATCTTGTGATGTGTTGTTGAATTCAGTTAGCTAGTATTTTGTTAAGGATTTTTGCATCTATATTCATCAGGAATATTGGTCTGTAGTGTTCTTTTTTTTGTTATGTCCTTTCCTGGTTTTGGTATTAGGGTGATACTGGCTTCATAGAATGATTTAGGGAGGATTTCCTTTTTATCTTGTGGAATAGTGTCAATAGGATTGATACCAATTCTTCTTTGAATATCTGATAGAATTCAGCTGTGAATTTGTCTGGTCCTGGACTTTTTTTTGTTGGCAGTTTTTTATATTACCATTTCAGTCTTGCTGCCTGTTACTGGTCTGTTCAGAGTTTCTATTTCTTCCTGGTTTAATCTAGGAAGGTTGTATATTTCCAGGAATTTATCCGTCTCTTCTAGGTTTTCTAGTTTATGGGCATAAAGGTGTTCATAGTAGCCTTGAATGATTTTTTTTTTTTGTATTTCTGTGGTATTGGTTGTAATATCTCCCGTTTTGAACTTATTTTGATCATCTCTCTTCTTTTCTTGGTTAATCTTGCTAATGGTCTATCAATTTTATTTATCTTTTCAAAGAAACCGGCTTTTTGTTGCATTTATCGTGTGTGTTTTTGTTGTTGTTGTTGTTTGTTTGTTTCAGTTTCATGTAGTTCTGCTCTGATCTTTGTTATTTCTTTTCTTCTGCTGGGTCTGGGTTTGGTTTGTTCTTGTTTCTCTAGTTCCTTGAGGTGTGACCTGAGATGGTTTGTGCTCTTTCAGACATTTTGATGTACGCATTTAAGGCTATGAACTTTCCTCTTAGCACCATCTTTGCTGTATCGCAGAGGTTTTGATAGGCTGAGTCACTATTATGGTTCAGTTCAAAGAATTTTTAAATTTCCATCTTGATTTCATTGTTGACCCAACAATCTTTGAGGAGCAGGTTATTTAATTTCCATGTATTTGCATGGTTTTGAGGGTTCCTTTTGGAGTTTTATTCTACTGTGGTCTGAGAGAGTACTTGATATAATTTCAGTTTTCTTAAATTTACTGAGACTTGTTTTGTGGCCTATTCTATGGTCCATCTTGGAGAAAGTTCCATATGCTGATGAATAGAATGTATATTCTGCAGTTGTTGGATGGAATGTTTTGTAAATATCTGTTAAATCCATTTTTTTTCTAGGGTATAGCTTAAATCCACTGTTTCTTTTTTGACTTGGTCTTGATGACCTGTCTAGTGCTGTCAGTGGAGTATTGAAGTCCCTTGCTAATACTGTGTTGCTGTCTATCTAATTTCTTAGGTCGAATAGTGATTGTTTTATAAATTTGGGGCCTCCATTGTTAGGTGCATATATGTTTAGGATTGTGATATTTTTCCTGTTGGACAAGTCATTTTATCATTATATAATGTCACTCTTTGTCTCTTCTGTGCTGTGTCTGCACTCCCAATTCACCCCCTCCCTTGAGTTCTGTCCAGCAAACTTCACATTCACATTTGGTTGAAATTGTTACAAAGTTGAGCTGGAAGTTTCCTTCTCCCTGTGGTCTCTTCCCAGGGAGCCCTTCCCAAGGATCTCTGCAAGACAAAAGTCAGAAATGGCTTCCCTGGGGACTGAGAGCCCATAGTTCTCTTCCCACTGCTGCTTCTACCCTTTTGTTTTGCTTGGCTCTCTAAAATTGTCTCAGCTCCAGGTAAGGTGAGATCCTTCTCCTGTGATCTAGACCTTTAGGTTCCCTATTTAGGGTGTGTGTTCGGGGGTGGATGATCCTCCTTTCCCACTTTCACACTTCGGGCACTCACGGTTTTGGGGCTGTTTCCCAGGGCCTGCAGGAGCAATCTACTTCCTTCAGAGGGTCTGTGGATTCTTTTGGCTTTTCTGTTAAGTTCCTGTGGTAGTTCTTGGAGCAAAAGTTCATGATGTGTGTCCCCACGTGCTGCTCTGTGTGTCTGAGTGGGAGCTTTAGTTTAGTCCTGCCTCCTATCCACCATTTTCCTTCTACCTCCCAGAATGGTTTTCAAATCAAGACTTACCTATACATATGTTGAGGATAAAAATTGTCTTTTAAAGTTGATTTTCTTCAGACAATGCCTGTCCCTAGTTTGGGATACATTAAAAGGTATGAGATATATAGTTTTAGTTTTACCAGCTATTTAATATATTTCTCACATTTTTTTTGTCTCCTAAAATCATTTCACTAAAAGTGTTTAATAATTTCTTGCTTTGAATTTCTTAAATCATTATAAATCTGTTCCTAGAGAATAATAGTTTTAACATTAATATACTATTAAATTGTTCATTAGTCTGGTGGAATTTTTGAATTTAATAAAGTATTATGGTTTAAGTCACATTCATGTTTGTAGATTATTATGCAATTAGTTTAAAACAGTATTATCATTAAGTATAGATGTAACTTCATATATGTTCATTTTGGATTAAATTATTTGAATTGTGCATGTAAATTTAACTATAAAAGTATATAATATAGTCAGCTGTACCATGGTTTCCATCCATAACAATTCTGCATTTTCAGGCACAATCATAAAAGGTCAACTAAAGATAGTTTCCTTTTTAAATGCCTCTGGTAAATTATTTGACAGGCTATGTAAAAGTACAAATTATTTTCCAAGCCTATCACAGATAAATTGTGACCTTATGAAACTCATTTGATCACAACTCCCTTAATTGTAGAACTTGATTTTTCTTTTTGTCAAGTTGTGCGAAACTCAATTTGCTTTTCTCATAAAATAATAATAGACATACCATGTTTTCAAGTTATAACTATTAATAATAGCTTATTATTTATACAAAACTCATCACACAGTATTTATTGATTTCAACCATTGTGGGAAGAACTGTGGGAGTCACTAAAGAAATATAAGGCATGGACTGGGTCCACAGCATAACCTAGTCAAGGAAAATAGACACATGAAATCACTAGGACACTAATGAGTGCCAAATTGTATGACACTGAGTAAAATGATGGTAGAAGTTTAGAGAAAGCATAGCATAAAATAAGAACAAATTTGTGGAGAATTTATAACTTTACTTAGACCTAAAAAGCTGTGTGAAATTTGGTTAAGCCGAAAGGAAAAGTATTCCAGAAAAAGGGAATTATATTAATTGAGACTTAAATAGGGTGTCTACATAGTATTGAGGAGGTGAGCCCATTTAGAAATACATGGTTCATGTTGAAGAATGAAGGGACTAGAAAGGCACCTTGGAACTTCCTCGTCGGGGACTTTGAATGTTATATTAAGGAACTGACACATTGTCCTGTAACACTGTAAACACTTTCATATTGCGGAGTACCATATTAAAATTAGGCTTATAGAAGGATTAGCCTGGCAGTGGGATGTAGGGTAACACGTGAGAACCAGAGGCCCTGAAATCATTTCAAATGATAAGTACAGTGAGCTTAAGGTGCAGAGGGTTTTGAAAGCCAGAAAAATTTAGAATGACAGGTAAAAAATTTAGTTTTGACTCTGTTACATGTGAAGTGACCAGAGGTAATCAAATGATGATATTATTGGAAGTATGGAACCGCAGTGAAAGGTTGGTGTTGAAAATTTGAGAGGAGACAGCCTCCCAAATCACCTAAGAGGTGATACTAAAACCATCTAAGAGGGTGCCCTCAAGAAGGAGTAGATGAGTATCTTGGGAGAAGAGCTAGAGCCAAGGATCTTCTCATTTGGAGGACAGGAGAGGAAAATTAAGCCAACAGAAGAAACATAAAGATCAATTAGAGTAATGAGGAACTGTGGAGAAGTTTATTTCCCTAAAAATTAGAGGGTTTAGAAGTCAGAGGGCCTGAAAAAGCCTTAACTTATATTTTGATTCCTGTTTTAATATTTAACTACTTACAAGTCTCAATGTTGTTATTATTAAGCTCTCTATCAACAGGCATTTGTTGAGGCTCAACAAGAAACCCATCTTTATGTTAGGGACTAGTGAAAATATTAGATGGAAATTTGAAATATATTTGGGAAATGAAACTAATGTATAAAATATTAAAGGATAATTTGATATTAAATGTTATATTTGTTGATACAGTATCTAAAGTTTAATATCTAAAGTACAGTATCTTAAGTTCAGAGGTTGTTGCTGATTAAAGTAGTTGGTTAAGATTTCATAAAGGAGACTGGACATAGCTGGACTTTGCAGGAAGGACATAACTTTAGGCAAGCAGAAAGAGAAAGGACAACATTCCTAGTCAGGGGAAATGTACCATCAAAGAAAAACTGTCTTTTGATAAGCACAAATTAAGGGCTAGAAAGGTAGTCTGAAAAGATTGCTCCATAGATGTGTATTTGATTTCCTCTTTTGACATACTCTACAACTGTTTTGTTGCAGGGTTGGGCTAGTTTCACTATTATGATAAACAAATAAATAATACTGTGTAGGGGCTACTGAACTTAGCCAGTATGTGGCAGCTTAGCACTTTATATTTTCCCACTTAAAAAAAAAGTATTTACTGGTTTTCTTTAAAATTATGAAAATAACAGACATGCTTAAGGCAGAAAATTTGGAAAACACAGAGAAGCCCAAAGGGACATAAATCATCTAATTCAGCCACTCAGTATTACCCACTATTCACCATTTGATATTTATCTTTTTACTGTGCAGACATTTACTTACAAGTATTTGCTTAAAAGATTACATAGTTGATATACATATACTGTACATATGGCCTAATTATTTTAACACATAATATTTGAACTTACATTAATACATTACATATATTCTTTTTCATGTGTCATAAAATAAACACGTGAACCCAACACTGAACTAATGAATTAGATTATTACCAATATTGTTGAATCTGCCTATTATTCTTCCTCCACCCAGTTGCCCATCCCTCTCAGATACAGATGGTTTTAAAGAGCTTTTCCTACCAATCATTAAAATGTACAAATTAAAATAGCAGTGAGATACTACTTTTTCCACTCAGGAGATAAGCAAATATTTAACAGCCTCAGATATTAATGGTAAGTTTATAGGAAAATGAGTATTTTCATAAATCACTGGTCAGAGTGTACAATTGCCAATTGGAGGGCAATTCTATTGTTAGATATGTATACTAGAGAAACATTCACATAAATGTCCAATTAAAGTAAATGTTTAAAATTGAGAACCATCTTATGTCTGCCAATTAGTGCAGAACTTTTTATGTATACTTTGATTCCATTTATGTAACATAAATTTTCTAATTTGCCATGGATATGTATTTATGTGTGTAAAATTATTAAAAAATGCACTGGAAGACACAATTCTAGTTACCTCTGATATCCTGTAATTGGATATTCTTCAATTCTGTATGTATTTATTTAAGTTCTATATTACCTGAATATACATTTTTTATTTAAAATTTATATAGCATTTCCTATGTGCCAGGCAATCTTTGAGTATTTTATAAATATTAACTCATTTTCATTTCTCATAGAACAAATATTAACTCACTGTACTCCTCACAGCCCTTAGAGATAGCTATTATGTCTCCATTTAATAGATGATAAAACAGGAATAAGGATTAATTACACAACTAGTAAGTCATACCAGGATTCACACTCAAATAAGGTGGCTTCAAAGTTCATGCCCTTAGTCACTGTATATCATACTGTTTTTCAGCAAAACGTAATTATAGAAAAAATATTCAAATAAAAATATCCTCAATCACAGTAAGATATGGAACACACATAGGTCTTCCCATTAAACATGGGTAATTAAAGCTATATTATTATTCTCATTTCCTCTTATAACTTCACTAAATTATAGTAAAGCAATGGGAAAAAAAAGATGTAAAGTCATGAGGACAAAGAGAATAAAAAGGCTGTGAAAATAGGAGATATCGGTTTTTGGAAGTTGCAAACCAGATGGCTATGTGGTACCTGACTTTACAGACCACAGGCTTTCCTGAAATATCAGTGGTTGCAGCAAAAGATACCAATGGGGAATAAAAGTTTAGTACTATAGAACCCCAGAAAGGCACAAATATTGGGATGACCAAGTGCATTAGGAGGTAGAACTTAAAATAAGGGGGTATGTTGAAAGTTTGTATAAAGAGAAAATGAGATGGAATAATTTTTGGGAGACACCAACCCACAGGGTTTCTGGACTTGAAAACACTAAGCACATTAAAAAGTAAACATGAGGTGGCTAGACTGAAAATAAGGTGATTAATTGAGTCTGTATCCAGAATAGTGAGGTTTTTCCCAACTCTTTCCCTGCTCCAGCAACAAGGCTTATGTCTCTATGTTACTTGCTTAGAGGATCCTTCTCTGGAAAAATAGATTATTCTTCCCAGAGTAAAACGTATACATACTGATGTTTGACAGTTCTCTCTGAAAAGGTAGCTGTGCCAACTAACCTCCTTACAATGAGGCTCAAGTTAACAAGCCTACCCATGTAAACCAACTTTCTAATCACCTTTAAATGTAATCGGAGAGCCAGAGATCACCATACTTTTGTGGAAATTCTCCATCTGTAAATCTCAGATCTGTAAGTCTAAGGCTTCAGAAAATAGAATCAGGGACAATGCCGTAAATGGAACTAAATTCAGAGAATTAAAATGTGTATCCACAGAGAAATAAGAGAAGATGTTGCATCCTGGAAACAAGAATGGTATGCTGTTTTTAACAAGGAATAATTGGCTGGGCACGGCGGCTCACGCCTGTAATCCTAGCACTTTGGGGGGCCAAGGTGGGTGGATCACCTGAGGTCAGGAGTTCCAGACCAGCCTGGCCAATGTGGCAAAACCCTGTCTCTACTAAAAATACAAAAATTAGCCAGGCGTGGTGGCACACACCTGTAATCCCAGCTACTCGGGAGGAGGCGAAGGTTGCAGTGAGCCAAGATCGCACTACTGTACTCCAGCCTGGGAGACAGAGTGAGACTCCATATCAAAAAAATAAAAAATAAAAAATAAAAGTAATAATCAGGAAAAAGGGAAAGGAATTCTTGCAAGAACATGACAGCGTAAATAGAAAAATTAATACATTTGAAAGATAAAGTTGAAATATCCCTATAATGTGGAACAGAATGACAAAGGGACATGATAATGAACCAAAGGTGATAGGAGATAAAAAAAATTAGAATATTAAGTCAAAAGATGTAATATCTAACTAATAATAGAAAACAGAAGAGAAGAATAAAAGAAATAATAAAAGAAAATTTCCCCGAACTGAAGGCATGTCTGTAGTTTGAAAGGACCCAATGATTAAAAAAAGATTAATAGGCATATTTTGTGAATTTTAGAAAAGGCATTTTTGTTAATTTTAGGAAATCAAAGAGAGAAAAAAAGAAAATCCAAAAAACTTCTAGAGTTTAAAAAAAAAGAAAAGAAAAAACAGCAAGATACATACAAAAGATTGGGAATCAGGATTATATCAGACTTCTCAACAGTAACACGAGGAGTTAGAATACAATGAGGCCTTCAAAATTCGGAAAGAAAGTGATTTTTAGCCTATAATTCTGTATCTAAAATTCTAAATTGTCACATGTATACATATGTAACCTGCACATTGTGCACATGTACCCTAAAACTTAAAGTATAATAATAATTAAAAAAAAAATTCTAAATTGTCATTCAAGCCAGACACTTTCAGACTTAGTAGCTCTCAAAAAAATTTACCTGCCAAGAACTTTTCTCAGGAAGTTATTGAAAGATGTGATGCCCTAAAGCCATAGAGTAAACAAGATTCTTAGGAATCAAGAAACAGTGAATTTCATACAGGAAAGAGGTGAAACAAAGTTTTAGAATGACTGTGCCTTAGTCTCAGAGAGCAGCTAGTCCAAATAGGGGCAGGGAATGGGAGGTTCCAGGAAGGATGTTGAAGAGATGGAAAGCAACTGATAGATCATTTAATGTAAGATAATTAATAAGAGATAATAAGAGATATGGTAAATCTGCATATATGGTAATGGGAAGTCAATAAGTAATGACTAAATCAAGAAACAGCATCTATTGAAGACACTACTCCTTGCTTGTCCATCATCCATTTTTCCTTATGAACTGACTTTGATGTTCAGAGTAGCAATATAACCAATTAAAAATTCTTGGCTTTCCTATTCCCCTTCCAGCTGCAGTTGGCCATATGAAGCACGTCTTGCTTTGCTAAGCAGAGGTTACTGGTGGGACTTCCAAGAATTGGGTTATAACTTCTCCGCTTCTGCTCTTCGCCTTCTTTTAGAAGTCTGAATCTGAGATATGATCCAGAAAGGGTAGGGGCAGCTTGTGACCATTCATTCACTCAATGCATATTTATTTAGTACCAACAATATGCCAGATAGTATTCTATGTGCTGGGGATAGCAGTGAACAAAAGGGACAAAAGTGACCAATATCCCTGTTCTCATGTAGCTTATGTTCTAAAAGAGGACAGAGTCAAGAAAAGATGAATAAGGAAAATATGTAAGAGAGTGCAACTACTAGAGAAAAATAAAAGCAAGCAAGAAAGCATGATGGGGGATGGTAGGGCAGGCTGGGCCTCATATTTGGTGGCCAGGAAAGGCCTTAATGAAGTATCCCCAGATTGAGATTAAGATATGAAGGAAGTGAGGGAGTAAACCATGGAAGATACCTGCGGAAGAGCGTTCCAGGTAGAGGGAACAACAGGTACAAAGGCCCTGAGATGGGAGTATACCTGGCATGTTTGAAGAATAGCAGGGAGTTGATATGAGTGGGGTGAAATGAGCAAGAAGAGTAGTAGGAATTGAGGTCAGAAAGGAAATGTGACACTAGTTATATGTCTTCTAGGTCATCCAGAGGGCTTGGCTTTTACTCTAAATGAGAAGAGAAGCTCTTGAAGAGTTTTGAGTGGAGAAATATGTTTCAATTTACTTTTTAATTGGATCACTGTAGCTATTGATGGGAATAGATTGAAGACAGTGAAAAAGATGAGTTAGAAGGCTGTTGCCGTAGTCCAGGGTAAGGTGTGATGGTGGCTTTGACTGGATGATAGCAGTGGAGTGGTGAGAAATGGCCAGATTCTGGGTATATTTTGAGTGTTGAGGCATCAGAATTTGCCGATGGATCAAATGTGGGGTATAGAGGAAATTTCTGAGGAATTGGAAGAATGGAGTTGTCATTTACTGATGTGGGGAAGATTGAGAAGAGATATTTTTGAGGGACTTATCAGAAGTTCAATTTTGGACATGGTATGTTTGAAATGCCCATTAGATAGCCAATTAGAGAAGTCAAATAGATTGTTGATTATTGGAATTTGTAGTTGAGGGAAAGATTTGGGCCAGATGTATAAATTTGAGTGGCAGCAACACAGATGGCACTAAAAGCCAAAAGACTGGTGAAGATCACCAAAGGAGTGGGTGTAGACAGAGAAACAGAGGAGACTGAAGAGTGGAGCCCTGGAGTCCACTAACATTTTAAGATTAGAGAGACGGAGAAAAGGGAAGATGAAGAAAGGAGACAGAATGGAGTAGCTAGAGAAGTAGAGCACAATGAAGGGAGTGTGGTGTCCTGGAAACCAAGTTTCAAGAATAAAGTGGAGTGTTACTAGTATGCCAAGATACCTGTAACAAGATGGTGGCCATTGGCCACTGCATGGAGGAGCATGCAGGTCATTCATGATCTAGATAAAAGCAGTTTCAATGGAAGGTGATGGTAGAAGCCTGATTGGAAAGTATTTTTTAAAAAACTTTTATTTTAGGTTCAAGAGTACATGTGCAGGTTTGTTATATAGGTAAATATGTGTCATGGGGGTTTGTTATACAGATTATTTTGTCATCCTGGTACTAAGCTGAGTACCCAGTAGTGATTTCTTTTGCTCCTCTCCCACCTCCCACACTCCATCCTCAGGTAGGCCCCAGTGTCTATTGTTCCCTTCTTTTTGTTCATGTGTTCTCATCATTTAGCTCCCACTTACAAGTGAGAACATGTGGTATTTGATTTTATGTTCCTGAGTTAGTTTGCTAAGGATAATGGCCTCCAGCGCTATCCATGTTCCTGGAAAGAACATGGTCTTAGTCCTTTTTATGGCTGCATAGTATTCCATGGTATACATGTACCACATTTTCTTTATCCAGTCTACCACTGATGGGCATCTAGGTTGATTCCATGTCTTTGCTATTGTGAATAGTGCTGCAATGAATATATGCATGCATGTGTCTTTATGATAGAACTATTTATATTCCTTTGGGTATATCCCAGTAATGGGATTGCTAGGTCAAATGGTATTTCTGACTTTAGGACTTTGAGGAATCTCCACACTGCTTTCCCCCAAGTGGTTGAACTAATTTACACCCCCACCAACAGTGTATAAGCATTCCTTTTCTCTGCAACCTCACCAGCATCTGTTATGTTTTGACTTTTTAGTAATAGCCATTCTGACTGGTGTGGGATGATATCTCATTGTGGTTTTGATTTACATTTCTCTAATGCTCAGCGATATTGAGCTTTTTCTCATAGAGTTGTCGGCTGCATGTATGTCTTTTTTTTTTGAAAAGTGTCAGTTCATGTCCTTTGCCCACTTTTTAATGGGCTTTTTTTTTTCTTGTATTTAAGAGAAAATGGGAGGAGAGAAATTAGGGGCTTATAAAAAGGGTTAATGTTGTAAAGGAAAATGGAGAAATAGAGTAGGAGCTTGATGGAGAAATGGAGTCAAAAGAGGTTTTAATTTTTTCTTTCTTTTTTAGATGAGAGAAATAACAGATATTGGTATGCTAATGAGAATAATCCAATGGAAAGAGGGAAATCAATGCAGGGAAAGGGGAGCATTAATTGCTGGAGCTGTTGGCAAGAAAGAAGGAGAGAGACAGACAGAAAGAAAAACATACCTGCTAAGGGGGGAGGGAATAGAACGTAGGTGCCTGGTATCTGATGACATCATGGAGATGCTTTATAGTCCTGGACTGCTCAACTTCATATTTCTTTCTAAGTGAGAATAACAAGCCCTATTTGGTTAACTAGTGAGTTTTCAGGTTTGTGTTACATACACAAGAATGCATTTCTAACTAACATATCATGTTACTTAGAAGTGTGAGGTAGCAACAGAAGAAGCTGCTAAGAGAATTGAAAATGATTATCTTTGAGAGTGGGATGAGAGGCTGTGGGGTGGAGGTAAGACAGTAAACAGCTGTTTTAATTCCAAGTATTCTCTGACATTTTAACAATTTATACATGCATTCCTTTAATTGAAATCCTTTTCAATCATGCTCAGTGTCAGTTTGGGTCTTCTAAGAAGCAGATGGCAAGATAGTACTAGCCATGTGAGAGATTTGTGGGGGAGATGTGAAAGATGATGAAGAAGGGAGCAGGAGTAGGTGGGGAGAGCTTTTAAACTATGATGCTAGTCTGAACATGTGAAAGGAGAGAGAAGGAAGGAGGGTTGGATAGAAAGAGGTGCAGGCTGAAGCATGGTGCTGAGAAAGTTTCAGCCAGGCCAAATGTTATTCATTAGAGGAATCCCCTGTTGGACAGGATTGGGCTGGCCCTAGTACCCAGTGATGCTCAGTCGTTGGCTGGTAGCCACCCAGGGAAAGTGTGGCTTCTCTCCATCAACTTTACCGCCAGCCTCAGTTCCTCTTGAAGGAGTTCTGAGTGGCATACAGCCATAGCCATCACACTCACAAAGATTTACATTAAAGGATGTGTGTATGTTTGTGTATACACACAACATTGTACCTGAGGAATCTTAAATGTTCAGCTAGTGAGTTTAATATCATGCCCTTGATAATTAGTCTTCCTTGGGCAATTTTTTTTTTTTTTTTTTTTTTTTGGAGACTGAGTCTTGCTCTGTCGCCCAGGCTGGAGTGCAGTGGCACAATCTTCGCTCACTGCAACCTCTGCCTCCTAAGTTCTAGCAATTCTCCTGCCTTAGCCTACCGAGTAGCTGGGACTACAGGCGTGCACCACCACACCTGACTAATTTTTTATTTTTAGTAGAGATGGGGTTTCACCATATTGGCCAGGGTGGTCTTGAACTCCTGACCTCATGATCCACCTGCCTTGGCCTCCCAAAGTGCTGGGATTACAGGCCTGAGCCACCACGCCTGGCATTTTCTTTTGTTTGTTTGTTTTTTTGAGATGGGGTCTCCCTCTGTTGCCCAGGATGGAGTGCAATCTCGGCTCACTCCAACCTCCACCTCCTGGGTTCCAGTGATTCTCCTGCCTCAGCCTCCTGAGCAGCTGGGATTATAAGTGTGTGCCACCATGCCCGGCTTATTTGTGTATTTTTAGTAGAGATGGGGTTTCACCATGCTGGCCAGGCTGCTCTCAAACTCCTGACCTCAGGTGATCTGTCCACCTTGGCCTCCCAAAGTGCTGGGATTACAGGTGTGAGCCACCGCTGGACCTTGGACAAAATTTTTATTCCTTTCCAAGAAAAACAGGAAATTTACATTGTATCTTGACTACTTCAATCCAAAATTCAATGACCTATGATAATTGACTGATATATTATTTATGCTTAAGAATACAGTAGAATATTTACCCGATTTTGCAACATGGTTGTGACACAAAGAAACACTTGGTCTTCTTTTTAATAATATATCTTTGTATCATCAATCAACATTTTCTTCCTGTTCTCTTCATAAATGGTTATTTCTTTGCTTTTATTAATTGTTTTCATTTTAAAACATTTCTTTAAAGAAACTCTTAATTTCCTGGCTCCACTGTTGGCATTCATGACTAATAACGTTTTGGAAGCTTCCACGTATTTTGCTACAAAGGAAGCCAGTTCAGGACTATTAATTTTTCTCATATTTATTCAGTTATAGTTAATCATATGTGTCAAGCTAAATGAGTTCAAATCTGAATAATCTAACTCCTCTCTTGTTGTTTTTCACGTGTCTTTTACAAACACATACCAAATATTTATCTAGTTTTTAAAGGGAGGGTAAAGTTGTACTTCCATAGTTAGCTAATGAGAAGACTTTAATAAATTATATTTAAATACTAGTACTGATTTTTTAATCAGGTTTTATCAGTTTTGTAGAAACTTAAAAAGTGACTTATTTTAAATTTATAACTTTGTATTAAATGTACAAGTTAGAATGTGATATAAATGTATGTATAAACTAAGCATCTAAGGTTAAGTGTGAAAACACAGCAAATTTATATTCGTGATATTTGAGAATATTACGTTTTATATATATATATGTCAATGTAACTAATAGAGAAAACACATAAGGTACTTTTGCCAAATTGTAATTTATATGTCCCTTAGTTTTTTTAATAAAGTGTTTTTTTCAAAAATAAAAATATTAACTTAGCAGATAAACTACTTAACAAGTGACTGTGAAATGAAAAGCAGTTATAACTACTCATAAAATAGTATTGTATATAAAATGTTCACAGTGGCTCTCCACAGTGAAGAAGTACCTGTCCTTTGGTAGTCCTGTTGGTCTTAGTGGAATCCTAGGTTGAATTGTGAGGCCCCACTAAGCATATAAATTGGTCTATTTTTGTGTTCATCCTTCTCCCATAATAGAACAGTCCCTTGTTTTATCTGAGCCAAGTCTTCCACCTAGACCTAAAGTTCCCAAACTAGGCACAGAGGCACCCTGGGTACTACAGTGAATTCACAGGCATGCTGCAGGATATTTTTTAAAGTCTCAAGGAAAACACAGAGACTACTGTCGAAGATACAAACTATTAGCCCCAGATAGTTCAGAGTTTCAATGTTAGTTTATGCTACATTCTTTTTCAGGTTGTCATAGCTATTTGAAGCTGGGTTTTCAGGGCTTGCTGTGATAAAAAGCAGCTACTACACAATAATCAGCATAGAACAGGAATTAGGGTGAGGATGTCCAATTTGATTTCAAAATTTGACAAGTTTTGTGGTGCCTGTCTTCTGTTAGTACACACAACTTGTTAGTAAGTAGTTATTTAGGAATGAAATAAAAATCTTTTTCTTTCAATCTCTGTGTATTATATTTCCAAATGGCTATTAACTTATTAGGACATAAATACTTATTAAGTTGCTTTAATCTATTTAATAAATGGAACTATTGGTATTTCTTTTGGCCTAGGGGCACTGTAAAAAATTAGAGAGACACAAATGGTACTGTGAACTGAGAAAGAATAGGAACCTGTGGCCCTCACTTTGGATCCCAAAGTGGGATCCAAACCTTCTCAAACCTAATGTGACTGTCACTTCTCTGATGTGCAGCATAGTAGTGGAAAGCACAGACTGCTCCATTTTTTTTGGTGTCAAATTTTGGCTTTCCCAGCTGTGTGACTTTGGGGAAGTTACTTCATCTATTTGTGCCAGTTTTTATTTAGCTATCAAACAAAAATAAAAATACCTAAGTCATAGGTTTATTATGGGAACTCAGTAAGTTAACACATATGAAATACTTAGCACAGTGTCTGGCACAGGTACCTGCTTTTTAAATAAATAAATAAATAAATAAATAATAAATAAATTTAACCTGTCAGTTTGATCTTCCCAGTCAGCTTTTTTTTCAGTAAAAAACTTTAAATTAATTTTTTTATTGTGATAAAAACATATGGTACTGTGTTTTTAAAACACAATTGCCCATCTTTAAGTGTACAGTTCAGTGTGTTAAGTATATTCACATTATTGTGAAACAGATGTCCAGAACTTTTTCATTTTGCAAAACAGAAACTCTATACCCATTAAACAACAATGCCCCCTTTTCCCCCTCCCCTCAACCCCTGGTAACCAGCATTCTACTTTCTGTTTCTATGAATTTGACAACTTTAGATACCCCATCTAAGTGGAATCCTACAATATATATCTTTTTGTTACTGACTGGTTTCACTTACATAATGTCCTCAAGGTTCATCCGTGTCGTAGCATGTGACAAGATTTCCTTCTTTTTTTCAGGCTGAATAATGTTCCAGTGTATGGGTATCTACATTTTTTTTTCTCCATTCATCCATAAGTGGACATCTGGATTGCTTCCACCTCTTAGAGTTTGTGAATAGTGCATCTATGAAGATGAGTGTGCAAATATCTCTTCAAGACCCCGCTTTCAATTCTTTTGGATGTATACCCAGAATTGAGATCACTAGATCATACGCTAGTTCTATTTTTAATTTTTTGAGGAAACACCATACTGATTTTCATAGTGGTTGCACCATTTTACAATCTCACCAGGAGTGCATGAGGATTCTAATTTCTCCACATCTTTGCTAACACTAGATCTTTTCTGATTTGTTGTTGTTTGTTTTTGTGGTAGTAATCATTCTACTATCAAGCTATGAAGTAGTATTTCATTGTGATTTTGATTTGCAGTTATCTAATGATTAGTAATGTTGAGTATCTTTTCATATGCTTGTTGGGTATTTATATATCATCTTTGTAGAAATGTCTATTTAAGTCCTTTGCCCATTTTTAAGTTGGATTATCTGATTTTTTCGTTGTTGAATTGTAGGAGTTTTAAAATGTATTTTGAGGATTAACTCTTTCATATGTTTTGCAAATATTTTCTCCCATTCTGTAGGTTACCTTTTCATTTTGTTGATTGTGTCTTTTGATACCTAAAGGTTTTTAAGTTTGATGTCCCATTTGTTTGTTTTTGCTTTTGTAGTATGTGCTTTTGGTGTCATATGCAAGAAATCATGAAGTCCACCCCAATGTCATAAAGCTTTTCCTCTCTTTTCTTCTGGAAGTTTTATAGATTGGGTCCGTGATACTTTGCTTTTCCAGGGTTCTCTCTCTACATTTCTGTCTTTAATCCATTTTGAGTTAATTTTTGTATATTATGTAAGGTAAGGTTCAACTTCGTTCTTTTGCATATGAATATCCAGTTTTCTCAGCATCGTTTGTTGAAAAGATTGTTCTTTCTCCCCATCGAATAGTCTTGGCACCCTTGTGGAAGATCATTTGACCATTTATGTGAGGATTTATTCCTGGGATCTCTTTTCTGTTCCACTGGTTTATGTGTCTGTTTTTATGCCAGAACCACACTGTTTTTGATTAGTTTTGTAATATATTTTGAAATCAGGAAATGCGAATCCTCCAACTTTGTTCTTCTTTTTCAAAATGGTTTTGACTACTGGGGGGCCCTTGATATTCCCAGTCAGCTTTTAAACAGGCTCAACTCTTCTCCATTTAAACAAATGAACCCAACTCTTGGTCAGTACCACATTCTCCTCCAGGTACCATCATATCATATCCTTCTCCTTCCAAATCAGATTTCTCAACAAAATTGTCTGTATTTAGAGTCTCCATTTCCTTCTTGCTTACTCAGCATTCACCAACTTTAATCATGCTTTTTTCCTGATTATTACACAGCCAAATCTTCCACTAAGGTTGTAGAAAACCTCCATATCACTGAATCTAGTAGATGTAAAAAAAATCTTATCATCTTAAATACACAGTAGCAGTTAACATTACTGAGTACCCCTTGTTCTTGAAATTTTTTTTTTTTTTTGGTTCTTTCAGTGTTCTCTCTATTTCTTTTTCAGGTCCGTGTTCCTTTCCCCCGTCTTTGAATGTTGGAATTCCTCAAGGCCCAATTCTGAACCATCTGCTCTCCATTCTGAACTTCTAGATTATCAAATTTATAACCACAGCTTCCATGGTTCCTCCTAGAGCTCAAACCTCTCCCCTGTGCTCCAAGGTTATAAATCCAGCTGACTACTTAATGTCTCCCCTTAAGCAGCTCAAAGATAGCTCAGACAGTATCTTTAAAATGAAACGCAGAGACCCCTCTTTGGTCCTCTTCCACCATTCCCAATCTCAAGGAATGGCCCTGACTTCCATCCATTTATAGAAACCAGAAACCTGGAAGTCAGCTATTTATCTTCGAAATTATCCTCTTCTTTATCCAACTCCTTCTTTCCCCCCATATCCAACTAATCTCTGGTTCTTGTTGATTTTAGTTTCTAAATTTCTCTCACCTCTGCCAGAGGTTCTCCATCCCTTTCTGCATATTTTTAGCCAGAACCTCCTCACTTCTCTCTCTAGACTACTTCAAAACTTCCTAACCACTCTGTCTATTCCGTGTGTGCCCCTACCAGTCTGCTCTCCACATAGTAGTCAGAATGATTTTTTATTTAATTAATTATTTATTTATTTTTTATTATACATTAAGTTCTAGGGTACATGTGCACAACGTGCAGGTTTGTTGCATATGTATTACATGTGCCATGTTGGTGTGCTGCGCCCATTAGCTCATCATTTACATTAGGTATATCTCCTAATGCTATCCCTCCCCTCTCCTCGACCCCATGACAGGCCCCGGTGTGTGATGTTCCCCACCCTGTGTCCAAGCATTCTCATTGTTCAGTTCCCACCTATGAGTGAGAATATGCAGTGTTTGGTTTTCTGTCCTTGTGATAGCTTGCTGAGAATGACGGTTTCCAGCTTCATCCATGTCCCTACAAAGGACATGAACTCATCCTTTTTTATGGCTGCATAGTACTCCATGATGTATATGTGCCACATTTTCTTAATCCAGCCTATCATTGATGGACATTTGGGTTGGTTCCAAGTCTTTGCTATTGTGAATAGTGCCGCAGTAAACATATGTGTGCATGTGTCTTTATAGCAGCATGATTTATAATCCTTTGGATATACACCCAGTAATGGGATGGCTGGATCAAATGGTATTTCTAGTTCTAGATCCTTGAGGAATTGCCACACTGTCTTCCACAATGGTTGAACTTTTTAAAAAACAAATTTGTTACTCCTCTGCTTAAAACCCTTCTACAACTTTGGAGGACAGGTGGGAAACTGGAAACTGATTAAAAGGGATAGAGAAACGTGGGTAAGGGGATACAGGGATGAGAAGAAGACTTTTAATGGTACACCTTGGTATAATCTGCTGTTGTGTTCTTTTGGAGCTACATGAATGTATTATATATTCCAACATGAATCAATAATTTGAATTTTAAAAATTATAACATCAACAAAACTGGTCCCAATCTACCTGCATTTTAAATTTCATCCCTTACTGCACTCTTTTTTAATCTCATTGGCCAAGCTACACCAGGTGTATTAGGCCGTTCTTGCATTGCTATAAAGAAATACTTGAGACTGGATAGTTTATAAAGAAAAGGGGTTTAATTGGCTCGTGGTTATGCAGGCTGTACAAGAAGCATGTTGCTGGCATCTGCTTGGCTTCTGGTGAAGCCTCAGGGAGCTTTCAATCATGGTGGAAGGCAAAGGGGGAAGCCAGCATCTCACATGGCAGGAGCTAGAGCAAGAGAGAGTAGGGATGGGAGGTGCTACACATTTAAACAACTAAATTTAGTGAACACTGTCTCACTATTGCCAGGATAACACCAAACCATGAGGAATCTGCCTCTGTGACCCAAATACCTCCCCGCAGGCCCCACCTCCAACACTGGGGATTACATTTCAACATGAGATTTGGGTGGGGACAAATATCCAAACTATATCACCAGGCTTCTGTCAATCCCTTATATTCTACATACTATCTCTTGCTACCTGGCCTTTGCATGCACCATTCCTAGCTCTGCCTAAAATGCCCTTTGCTTCCCCTTACATGGAAGTAACACATTCTCAACCTTAGATCCCAGACTATCAGTTGTCTCTTCCTCAAGGAAGCCTTCCCAGAGAAGCTTTATCCTTTATTTTGTGGTTTTAGAACATCATGTATTTCCTTTTTTTCTGCTTATAAGAGACTTAGTGGCTGGGCGCAGTGGCTCACACCTGTAATCCCAGCACTTTGGGAGGCTGAGGTGGGTGAATCACGAGGTCAGGAGATGAAGACCATCCTGGCTAACATGGTGAAACCCCGCCTCTACTAAAAATACAAAAAATTAGCTGGGTGTGGTGGCAGGCACCTGTAGTCCCAGCAACTCAGGAGGCTGAGGCAGGAGAATGGTGTGAACCTGGGAGGCGGAGCTTGCAGTGAGCCGAGATCGAGCAAGACTCCGTTTCAAAAAAAAAAGAGAGACTTACTTTATTTTCATGTATTTTTTGTTTTGTTTTTTTCTCTTTTATTGATACATAATTTACATATTTGTGGGGTACATGTGAGTGTTTATATGCAAAGAATGTGTAATGATCAAGTGTGAGTAATTGGGATGTCTGTTAACTTGAGTGGGTAGTATTTTTACATGTTGGTATTACTTCAAGTTCTCTCTTCTAATTATTTTGAAATATACATAATATTGTTGCTAAGTATAGTCATCCTATTCTGCTATCAAACATTATAACTTATTTCTTCTATCTAACTATATGTTTGGACTCATAACCGAACTCTCTCCCCCACCCCCGATTCCCAGTCTTTGGTATCTGTGCCTTCTATTCTCTATGTCCATGAGGTCAAGCTTTTAGCTCCCATATATGAGTAAGAACATGTAGTACCTGTCTTTCTGTGCCTGGCTTATTTCATTTAACATACTGACCTCCAGTTCCATCCATGTTGCTACAAAATGCATGATTTCATTATTTTTTATGGCTGAATAATATTCCATTGGTTATATACACCACATTTTCTTTATTCATCGATCTGTTGATGGGCATTTAGATTGATTCCATATCTTTGCTGTTATGAATAGTGCTGTGATAAACATGTGAGTGCAGATATCCTTTTGATATAAATATATTTCTTTTTCTTTGGATAGATACCAAGTAGTAGGATTTCTGGATTGTATGGTAGATCTCCTTTTGTTTTGTTTTTCTTCTTTTTTTGAGACAGAATCTCACTCTGTTGCTCAGGCTGGAGTACAGTGGCGCAATCTCACCTCACTGCAACCTCCCCCTCCCAAGTTCAAGCCATTCTCTTGCCTCAGCCTCCTGAGTAGCTGGGACTACAGGCACATGCCACCACTTCTGGCTAATTTTTTGTATTTTTATTAGGCACAGGGTTTCACCATGTTGGCCAAGCTGTTCTCAAACTCCTGAGCTCCGGTGATCTGCCTGCCTCAGCCTCCCAAAGTGCTGGGATTACAGGCGTGAGCCACCATGCCAGGCCTCCTTTTGGTTTTTGATAAATCTCCATACTATTTTCCATAGTGGTTGTACTAATTTACATTCCAACCAACAGTATATAAGAGTTCCCTTTTCTTTCTTGCCAGCATGTTATTTTTTGTCTTTTAAATAATAGCCATTCTAACTGGGGTGAGATGAAATCACATTGTGGTGTTAGTCATATACCTCTTGTCTATATGTATGTCTTTTGAGAAATGTCTATTCATGTACTTTGCTCATTTTTTTAAATGAGTTTTTTTTTTAACTGTTGAGATGTCTGAATTCCTTGTATGTGCTGGGTATTAGTAGTCCCCTATTGGATGAGTAATTTGCAAACATTTTCTCCTATACAAGAGGTTGTTTCTTCACTCTGTTGATTGTTTCTTTTGCTGTGCAGAAGCATGTAAATTTAATATACTCTCATTTGTCTATTTTTGTTTTTGTTGCCTGTGCTTTTGAGGTCTTAGCCATAAAATCTTTGCCTAAACCAATGTCCTGAAGAGTTTTCCCTAGAACTACTACTATTTCTAGTAGTTTTATACTTTTGGGTTTAATCCATCTTGAGTTGACTTCTGTATATTGTGAGAGATAGGGGTCCAGTTTCATTCTTCTACATATAGAAGAATAAGTGGTTATCATTTATTGAAGAGGGTTTTCTTTCCCCAGTGTATGTTCTTGAGGGCTATGGAGAAGATCAGTTGGCTGTAAATATGTGGATTTATCTCTGTGTCTCTAGTCTGTTCCATTGATCTATGTGTCTGTTGTTACACGAATATCATGCTGTTTTGGTTTCTATATCCTTGTAATATGTTTTGAAGTCAGGTAGTGTGATGCCTCCAGATTTGTTCTTTTTGGTCAGGATTGCTTTGGCTGTTTGGGTTCTTTTTTGGTTCCATACAAATTTTAGGATTATTTTTTCTATGTCTGTGAAAAGTGGCATGGGTATTACATTCAATCTGTAGATTGCTTTGGATAGTATGGTCATTTTAACTATGTTAATTCTTTTAATCCATGAGCATGGTATTTTCTTTTCACTTGTTTGTGTCCTCTTCAGTTTCTTTCGTCAGTGTTTTACAGTTTTTCTTGTAGAGATCTTTCACTAAATTAGTTAAATTTATTCCTAAGTATTTTATTTTTTGTAGTTACTGTAAATGAGATTGTCTTCTTGATTTCTTTCTCGCCTAGTTCATTATTGTTGTATACTGATTTTTACATGTATGCTGATCAGTGTACTACTGATTTTTATATGTTGATTTTTGTATCCTGCAACTGAATTTGCTTATCAGTTCTAAGAGTTTTCTGGTGGAGTCTTTTGGTTTTTCTAGATATAAAATCATGTCATCTGCAAAGAGGGACAGTTTGAAATTCTGTTTTCCAATTCGAATGCCTTTGATTTTTTTTTTTTTTTTCTTGCCTGACTGCTCTGTCTAGGACTTCTAGTACTATGTCGATTAGGAATGGTGAAAGTGGGCATTCTTGTCTTATTCCAGTTTTTTTTTTCTTTTTTTTTTTTTTGAGACGGAGTCTCACACTGTCGCCAGGCTGGAGTGTGGTGGTGCGATCTCGGCTTACTGCAACCTTGGCCTCCTGGGTTCAAGCGATTCTCCTGCCTCAGCCTCCCAAGTAGCTGGGACTACAGGTGCACACCACCACACCTAGCTAATTTTTGTATTTTTAGTAGAGATGGGGTTTCACCATGTTGGCCAAGATGGTCTTGATCTCTTGACCTCATGATCTGCCTGCCTTGGCCTCCCAAAGTGCTGGGTTACAGGCGTGAGCCACCGTATTCCAGTTTTTAGAGTAAAAGCTTTCAACCTTTCCTTATTCAGTATGATGGATGGTCTTTCTATGCCTAGTTTGTTGAGAGTTTTTATCATGAAGGAGTGTTGAATTTTATTACATGCTTTTTCTACATCTTTTGAGATGATCATATAATTTTTGTCTTTCATTCTGTTGATGTGATGTATCATGTTTATTGATGTGCATGTGTTGAACCATCCTTGCACCCCTGGGATACATTCTTCTTGATCATGATATATTATCATTTGATGTGCTGTTGGATTTGGTTTGTTAGTATTTTGTTGACGATTTTTGCATCTATTTTTATTTAGGGATATTGGCCTGCAGTTTTACTTTTTTGTTGTATCCTTGTCTGGTTTCGGTATCATGGTAATGCTGGACTCATAGAATGAGTTAGGGTGAATTCATTCCTCTTCAATAGTTTGAGGAGGTTTAGTTCTTCTTTATACATGTGGTAGAATTCTGCAGGGAATCCACCTGGTCCTTGGCTTTTCTTTATAGGGAGACTTTTTATACTGATTCAGTCTTGTTATTGGTATGCTCAGGTTTTCTGTTTCTTCCTGATTCAGTCTTGGTGGGTTGTATGCATTCAGCAATTTATCCATTTCCTCTAGATTTTTTAGTTCGTTAGCATATAATTGTACCTCTTAGTCCCTGATGATCTTTTACATTTCTGTGGCATCAGTTGTAATGTTTCCTTTTTCACTTATGATTTTATCTGGGTCTTCTCTTTTGTTCTTGGTTATTCTAGCAAGTAGTTTATCCATTTTGTTTGTCTTTTTGAAGAACCAACTTTTCTTTTTTTGTTTTGAGATGGAGTCTTACTCTGTCACCCAGGCTGGAGTGCAGTGGAGCAACCTCGGCTCACTGCAACCTCGGCTCACTGCAACCTCCACCTCCCAGGTTTAAGTGATTCTCATGCCTCAGCCTCCCTAGTAGCTGGGATTACAGGCATGTGCCACCAAGCTCGGCAAGTTTTTGTATTTGTAGTAGAGACAGGGTTTTGCCATGTTGCCCAGGCTGGGCTTAAAGGCATCAAGTGATTCGCCTGCCTCAGCCTCCCAAAGTGCTGGGATTACAAGAGTGAGCCACCGTGCCTGGCCTGAAGAACCAACTTTTCATTTCATTGATCCTTTGTAATTTTTTTTAGTCTATTTTGTTTAGTTTTGCTCTGATCTTTATTATTTTCTTCTCTCTGCTAATTTGGGGTTTGATTTGTTCTTGCTTTTCTTGTTCCTTGAGGTCTATCATTAGATTGCTTATTTGAAATCTTTCTGTTTTTTTGATGCAGGTGTTTATTGCTATAAATTTCCCTCTTAGCACTGCTTTCACTGTGTCCCAAAAACACAGCACAGGCTTGGGTATATTGTGTTTCCATTTGCATTTATTTATTTATTCATTTATTATTTATTTATTTTAGACAGAATCTCACTCACTCTGTTGCCCAGGCTGGAGTGCAGTGGCGCAATCTTGGCTCACTGCAACCACTGCCTCCCGGGTTCAAGTGATCCTCCCACTTCAGCCTCCCAAGTGGCTGGGATTACAAGCATGCACCACCACGCCTGGCTAATTTTTGTATTTTTAGTAGTGATGGGGTTTCACCGTGTTGGTCAGGCTGGTCTTGAATTGCTGACCTCAAGTGATCTCCCTGCCTTGCCCTCCCAGAGTGCTGAGATTACAGCGTGAGCCACCTCGCCTTGCCTCCATTTGCATTTATTTTGATATATTTTTCAATTTCCATCTGAATTTCTTTATTGATCCAATGGTTGTTTAGGAGTATGTTATTTAATTTCCATGTATTTGTATGCTCTTTAAAGTTTCTCTTGGTAGTGATTCCTCATTTTATTTCACTGTCTGAGAATATATGTGATATGATTTCCATTTTCAAACTTTTGTTGAGACTTTTTTTGTGGCCTAACATGTCTAATCCTGGAGACTGTTCCATGTACTGATGAGAAGAATGTGTATTCTGCAGGTTTTGGATAAAATGTTCTGTAAATGTCTGTTAGGTTTGGTCTAAAGTCTGGTTTAAGTCCAATATTTCTTTGTTGGTTTTCTGTCTAGATGATCTGGCTAATGCTGAGAGTGGACTGTTGATGCCTCCTACTATTATTGTGTTGGAGTCTGTCTCTTTCATTAGATCTGGCAATATTTGCTTTATGAATCTGGGTGCACTAGTGTTGGTTGCATATATATTTAGAATTGTTATATCCTCTTGCTCGATTGATCCCTTTATCATTGTATGATGACCTTTGTTTTTATTTTTATTTTTTTACTGTTTTTGAGTTAAAGTCTGTTTTATCTGATATAAATGTAACTACTCCTGGTGTGTTTTGTTTTCCATTTGCGTGGAATATCTTTTTCCATCCCTTTACTTTCTGTGTGTGTGTGTGTGTGTATATATATATATATATATATATATATCTTTACAAGTAAAGTACATTTCTTAGAGGCAGAATATTGTTGGATCACGGTTTTTAAAAATCTGTTCAAACAGTCTATATCTTTTTAAGTGGAGAATCTAATCTGTTTACATTCAGATTTATTGCTGATATGTGAGGTTTTGTTCCTTTAATATTGTTAATTGTCTTTAGGTTGCTTTGTATAGTCTTTGTTCCTTTGTTTTTTTCCTTTCTGACTGTCTTTGTGGATTGCTGTTTTTCTGTGGTGGTACCATTTGAGTCTTTCCTCTTTCTCATTTGTGTATTTGTATTACCAATGATTTTTATATTTTCATGTGTTTTGATGATGGGAATTAATCATTCTTTCACTTCCAGGGTTAGGACTCCCTTGAGCCTTTCTTGTAAGGCAGGTCTAGTAGTGATGAATTGCTTCAGCATTTGCTTGTCTGTGAAAGTATTTCTTTCTCATTTATGAAGGGTAATTTTGATAGTATCTTTGGGTGGTTATATTTTTCTTTCAGCAATTTGACTATATTTTTTCATTCTCTCCTGGCCCATAAGGTTTCTGCTGAGAAGTTTGCTGTTAGTCTGATAGGGGCTCCTTTATGACTAGATTATTTTCTGCTGCTGTTTTTAGAATTTTCTCTTTGTTAATGACTTTAGACAGTTTGCTTATAATGTGCTGTGGAGAAGACCTTTTTGCATTGAATCTGATTGGGGTCACTGGATCGCCAGTGTCTGGATGTCTAAATCTCTTGCTAGACTTGGGAAGTTTTCATCTATTATTTTAAGTAAGTTTTTGAACTTTCTCATTATCTCCACACCTTCAGGAATACTGATAACTCCTGTACTTGGTTGCTTTATGGTATGCTATTTATCACAGAGACTTTGCTCATTCTTTATTTTTTTATTTTTTTATTTTTATTTTTTATTATTATACGTTAAGTTCTGGGGTACATGTGCACAACATGTAGGTTTGTTACACAGGTATACATGTGCCATGTTGGTTTGCTGCACCCATCAACTCATCATGTATATTAGGTATTTCTCCCAATGCTATCCCTCCCTCAGTCCCCCACCCCCAAACAGGGCTCAGTGTGGGATGTTGCCCACCCTGTGTCCATGTGTTCATTGTTCAATGCCCACTTATGAGTGAGAACATGCGGTGTTTGGTTTTCCATCCTTGTCATAGTTCTCTGAGAATGATGGTTTCCAGCTTCATCCATGTCCCTGGAAAGGACATGAACTCCTCCTTTTTTATGGCTGCATAGTATTCCATGGTGTATATGTGCCACATTTTCTTTCTTTTTTTTAATATATATATATTTTTATTATACTTTAAGTTCTAGGGTACATGTGCACAACGTGCAGGTTTGTTACATATGTATCCATGTGCCATATTGGTGTGCTGCACCCATTAACTCATCATTTACATTAGGTATATCTCCTAATGCTATCCCTACCCCCTCCTCCCTCCCCCCACCCCACAACAGGCCCCAGTGTGTGATGTTCCGTTCCTTACCCTGTGTCCAAGTGTTCTCATTGTTCAATTCCCACCTATGAGTGAGAACATGCAGTGTTTGGTTTTTTGTCCTTGCGATAGTTTGCTGAGAATGATGGTTTCCTGCTTCATCCGTGTCCCTACAAAGGACATGCACCCATCCTTTTTTATGGCTGCATAGTATTCCTTGGTGTGTATGTGCCACATTTTCTTAATCCAGTATGTCATTGTTGGACATTTGGGTTGGTTCCACGTCTTTGCTATTGTGAATAATGCCACAATAAACATACGTGTGCATGTGTCTTTATAGCAGCATGATTTATATTCCTTTAGGTATATACCCAGTAATGGCATGGCTGGATCAAATGGTATTTCTAGTTCTATATACTTGAGGAATCGCCACACTGTCTTCCACAATGATTGAACTAGTTTATAGTCCCACCAACAGTGTAAAAGTGTTCCTATTTCTCCACATCCTCTCCAGCACCTGTTGTTTCCTGACGTTTTAATGATTGCCATTCTAACTGGTGTGAGGTCATATCTCATTGTAGTTTTGATATGCATTTCTCTGATGGCCAGTGATGATGAGCATTTTTTCATGTGTCTGTTGGCTGCATAAATGTCTTCTTTTGAGAAGTGTCGGTTCATATCCTTTGCCCACTTTTTGATGGGGTTGTTTGTTTTATTCTTGTAAATTTGTTTGAGTTCATTCTAGATTCTGGATATTAGCCCTTTTTCATATGAGTAGATTGCAAAAATTTTCTCCCATTCTGTAGGTTGCCTGTTCAGTCTGATGGTAGTTTCTTTTGCTGTGCAGAAGCTCTTTAGTTTAATTAGATCCCATTTGTCAATTTTGGCTTTTGTTGCCATTGCTTTTGGCGTTTTAGACATGAAGTCCTTGTCCATGCCTATGTCCTGAATGGTATTGCCTAGGTTTTCTTCTAGGGTTTTTATGGTTTTAGGTCTAACATTTAAGTCTTTAATCCATCTTGAATTAATTTTTGTTTAAGGTGTAAGGAAGGGATCCAGTTTCAGCTTTCTACCTATGGCTAGCCAGTTTTCCCAGCACCATTTATTAAATAGGGAGTTGTTTCCCCATTTCTTGTTTTTGTCAGGTTTGTCAAAGATCAGATAGTTGTAGATGTGTGGTATTATTTCTGAGGGCTCTGTTCTGTTCCAATGGTCTATATCTCTGTTTTGGTACCAGTACCATACTGTTTTGGTTACTGTAGCCTTGTAGTATAGTTTGAAGTCAGGTAGCGTGATGCCTCCAGCTTTATTCTTTTGGTTTAGGATTGACTTGGCAATGCAGGCTGTTTTTTGGTTCCATATGAACTTTAAAGTAGTTTTTTCCAATTCTGTGAAGAAAGTCAATGGTAGCTTGATGGGGATGGCATTGAATCTATAAATTACCCTGGGCAGTATGGCCATTTTCACGATATTGATTCTTCCTGTCCATGAACATGGAATGTTCTTTCATTTGTTTGTGTCCTCTTTTATTTCGTTGAGTAGTGGTTTGTAGTTCTTCTTGAAGAGGTCCTTCACATCCCTTGTAAGTTGGATTCCTAGGTATTTTATTCTCTTTGAAGCAATTGTGAATGGGAGTTCGCTCGTGATTTGGCTCTCTCTTTGTCTGTTATGGGTGCATAAGAATGCTTGTGATTTTTGCACATTGATTTTGTATCCTGAGACTTTGCTGAAGTTGCTTATCAGCTTAAGGAAATTTTAGGCTGAGACGATGGGGTTTTCTAGATATACAATCATGTCATCTGCAAACAGGGACAATTTGACTTCCTCTTTTCCTAATTGAATATCCTTTATTTCTTTCTCCTGCCTGATTGCCCTGGCCAGAACTTCCAACACTATGTTGAATAGGAGTGGTGAGAGAGGGCATCTCTGTCTTGTGCCAGTTTTCAAAGGGAGTGCTTCCCGTTTTTGCCCATTCAGTATGATATTGGCTGTGGGTTTGTCATAGATAGCTCTTATTATTTTGAGATACATCCCATCAATACCTAATTTATTGAGAGTTTTTAGCATGAAGCGTTGACTTTTGTCAAAGGCCTTTTCTGCATCTATTGAGATAATCATGTGGTTTTTGTCGTTGGTTCTGTTTATATGCTGGATTACGTTTATTGATTTGCATATGTTGAACCAGCCTTGCATCCCAGGGATGAAGCCCACTTGATCATGGTGGATAAGGTTTTTGATGTGCTGCTGGATTCGGTTTGCCAGTATTTTGTTGAGGATTTTTGCATCAGTGTTCATCAGGGATATTGGTCTAAAATCCTCTTTTTTTGTTGTGTCTCTGCCAGGCTTTGGTATCAGGATGATGCTGGCCTCTTAAAATGAGTTAGGGAGGATTCCCTCTTTTTCTATTGATTGGAATAGTTTCAGAAGGAATGGTACCAGCTCCTCCTTGTATCTCTGGTAGAATTCAGCTGTGAATCCGTCTGGTCCTGGACTTTTTTTGGTTGGCAAGTTATTAATTATTGCCTCAATTTCAGATCCTGTTATTGGTCTATTCAGAGATTCAACTTCTTCCTGGTTTAGTCTTGGAAGGGTGTATGTGTCGAAGAATTTACCCATTTCTTCTAGATTTTCTAGTTTATTTGCATATATCTTTTTTCTTTATTTTTGTCTGACTGGGATGTTTTAAAAGTCCCTTCTTCAAGTTCTGAGATTGTCTCTTCTGCTTGGTCTAGTTCATTACTGATGCTTTTGACTGTATTTTGTATTTCATAGAAGGAATTCTTCAGTTTCTGTATTTCTCTTTGGTTCTTTTCTATATTTCTCTCTTTGGTAAATTTCTCGTTCATATCTTGAATTCTTTTTCTTATTTCGTAGTATTATTTTTCAGGATTCTCTTGTATCTTACTGAGCTTCTTTAGTATCATACTTTTGAAATCTTTTTCTGGAAATTCTTGAATTCTTTTTGATTGGAATCCGATGTTGGGGGATTATTATATTTCTTTGGAGGTTTTATATTTCCTTGCTTTTTCATACTTCCCGTGCTCTTACATTGATAGCTGCCCATCTGGTGTAATAGTTGTTTCTTCCAGTTTTTTGAATTTGTTTTTGTAGGGGATGACTTTTTCCTGAAGTTATATCAATTCTCTTGGTTGGATGGGGTGTTTTGGCTTTGATTCTGAGTGTGTTCAGTAGTATAGTCTCTCTATGATTTCTTCATCTGGAAACAGCATCAGTGGTATCTGTGATTTCCTCAGTGGTTTAGGGTGTGGTTATTTGTGGGGGCTATGGTGAAGTTTTGCTGAGGACAGGGGTGCCAGTTGGGCTAGTCTTCAGGCCCCAGTGGTAGTAGTGGTGGGCTGAGTGTGCCTGATCTTGGGTCCTGGGGCTGTGTGCAGTGGCACTGGTGTTAGCAGTACCAGGCAGGTCAGTTACTGGACCTTCAGATGGTTTGTTTAAATGTTAGTAGTGGCAGTGGTGGGCCAGGTGTGTGAGTGGGTTCATGAGTCCCCGGGCAGCTGGCATGGTATGGGTGATGCCAGTAGCAGTGGTGGGATGACTCTTTCGGTCCTGGGTGGTGCATACTGGTGTTGGCTGTGGCTGCAGTGCGGGGTTGCCACCCACAGCCCCAGACAGGTAGCAGCACCACAGTGCTGCTCAGCAATGGGGGAGGAACCCTGTCTCTCACATGTAAGCCTAGGCATGGAGGCCATTCCACTGTTGGGGACTCAGTCACCACTCATAGCCCCAGACAGGCAGCCCTCCAGCTCACTTACTGACTATGCCTGCAGTGGTGTGTGGAAAGGAAGAAGGAGTCCTGGTTTCTATGTGTGAGCCCAGGAGCAGAGTTTGTGCTACTGCTTGAGGCACGGTCACTTCTCACATCCCTAGATAGGGAGCTCTGGGGCTCTGGAAAGCATGCACTTTGCTTTCCTTTGTCCTGGGGGCTCCCTTTTTGGTGCACTGCACTCTTCTTTCCCCGAGGATTAGTACTCTCTGTAGGCTAAAGTACTGGAGACCCCATGGCACCTTTGGGACCAACCAGTGCTGTATTGCTGTAGCCTTCTGAGTGGACACTGGGATGTCAGTGGAAGCTGTTAGGATGTGGATATATGGGGGCTGTGGTTTTCAGGGCAGGATGCAGTCCTGTGACAGCTGTGTAATGGTGCCCAGCTGCAGCCACTTAGGTCTCAGGGGTAGGGTCCATGACCCAGTACAAGTTTTCTGTCTGGGGTAGGGTCCATGACCCAGTACAAGTTTTCTGTCTGGTGTAGTGCCCTCTCAGGGTCTCCAAATCACACCATGCTAATGTCGGGGTTTGTGTGGGTAGAGGAGGTCTCTTGTGGTTCAGATTGCAGCAGTCCATAGTGGGGATGTGGACCGCTGAAGTTTTGTGACTTACTCTTTCCTGGCATTACCAAGCCCCTCAGGGTCCCAGTCAATCTTGGATGAGGTGGCCACTTGCTTTCTTTTCCTTCTGTACCTCAGGTGTTTCCCATGACTTCTCTGTTAGACTCTAGTTCTCTCCTAGATTTTCTATTCAAGGTGCAATTATCTATTCATAATTTTGGTCCTTCTTTCTGGAAAGTGGGGGGGTATCTGATGTCTCTAATCAGCCATATTGAACTGCATTTCATGTACTTCTTGACACTTATTGCAGTTCCAGCTGGACATTTATTGTGTGACCATCTAATTACTAACTACCTCACTGACTTGACTGAAAGTTTCAGGAGAGAGGTTATCAAATATTTGGGAGGAGAAGTTGTAAAACTCCCTGCAAATATTTTGTGATAGATTTTTTTTTCACTTTTATTCAAGTTGTTAATTGATAAATAATAATTGCATATATTTATGGGGTACAATGTGATGTTTTGCTATAGGCATACATAGTGGAATGATTAAATCAAGCTAGTTAACATATCCATCATCTCACATACCATTTTTTTTTGTGGTGAGTACATTTGAAATCTGATACTTTAGCCATTTTGAAATATACAACACATTATTATTAACTTTAGCCACTGTGTTGTACTATAGATCTCTAAAATGTATTTCTCCTGTCTAACAAAAACTTTGTACCTTTTGACCAGTATCTCCCCATTTCCCCTACCCCTAGCATGGTAACTACCATCATACTCTCTAGTGCTATGAGTTTTACTTTTTTAGATTCCACATGTAAGTGAGATCATGCAGTATTTGTCTTTCTGTGCCTAGCTTATTTCCCTTAGCATAATGTCCCACAGGTTCATCCATGTTCTCACAAATGACAGAATTTCCCTTTTTAAAGGCTGAATAGTATTCCATTGAGGATATATACCACATTTACTTTCAGTGATCGTTTTTATTCTCAAAGATTTTGGGGTTTCATATTTCTAACTAAACAAAACATAATGGTAACAATTTAACAGTACTCACTCTAAGAGATTTCTGCTGTGCTTAAACTCACCATAATACTCTATGCTGATAAATGAGGAAGCATATCTCATTGCATATTAAGGGTGTGTGTGTGTGTGTGTGTGTGTGTGTGTGTTGATGTATTTTTAATTAACTCAGGTAGCATGGTTGTAAGTCTTTGAGAGGGGCCTGTTATATGAAAAGTTGCCAAGCTTACTTTCTTGAAACATTATTCAAAGATTATTATTTCATGGACTCTGCTTTGAGAAATGGTCTTTTTTCATTTATTCTTTTTTCATTTATGCCACATTAGTATGGATTATGGAGGAGAACTGGAAGTTGTAAAGGGCAACGGTTGAGTGTGGTCCTAGTAAAAGAGAATGGACAAGGAGGTATATTAAAAGTGGTAGATCTGAGCTAAATGGAACAAAGAGTATCAGCAGAATTTACTGATGAATTTGAAGTTTGTTAGCTAAAGGTAAGAGATTAAAAAGTGCGATCTCATACCAAATGAACTGAAAAGAGATTTAGTGGAGATCTTTATTCCCTCTTTTAATGTTTTTAAATTTAAAATAATAAAATGATTTCTGGTAATCATAAAATGGCATAGTATACAAATAGATATATAGTAAAAACTATATGCCTACCCGAAACTCATTCCCTTCTCCAGTAGTAACTGTGTTCAGCAATTTGGCTTATATCTTTTTTCAAACACTCATCTGTGTATGTGTATGTATACACACATTTAAAAATAATGGAATCACTCTATACATATTTTTCTCTAACTTTCTTTACGTAACAATATATGACCATCTGTCAATGATCTATATCTACCTCCCTATTTTTACTAGATACATAGTAATCCATAATTTGTATATACCATACTTTACAATTATTAATGGCAATCTTTTTAGTAAATATGGAAATTGGACATAGATGAGTAATCAAGGCAATGTAATAAGAACAAAATGGTCTTAAAATTTTTTAATAAGTTAAATAGCAGAGACGAGGGACTCATTTCAGTTTCTTATTTGATCCTTTTAGTGAGGAACAACTCTTAGTGCATTTTCAGTATTCCGACTTTTGAGAAACACATTTCTAGCATCTCTTTAAAACCATAAAATAAGAAGTATATTTGTGGCCAGATATTTTAAGCGTTCCCTTTTTTGAAAATTTTTATAGAAAAATACTGAATAACACACAAAAGTTTTAAAAAATCATCCCTAATATCAATTTTTAAAAATTTTATAAGGCAAGAAGTTGAAGTTTGTGCTCTCTGGGTTCCAATTTTATCTCTGTGAGATGCCTGCTATCAACAGCTTTGGTTTTATTTTTTCTGATATTTTCTTGTGTTTCTACAATTTCTTTATACGTATATGTACCCATACTACTCTTGTTTTTTTCCTAGTAAAACAGAATGATGCTACTTGTGTAGGTCTGTAACTTTTAAAAATGCCTCCCCCCACCTTCAACAAGGTATCATGCAGTTGGGAAAAAATTTCTGATTAATTAAACTTATTTATCTTTTATGTTATCTCCATTTATTTTCTTGTACTAACAACATTAACAATAGCCAAATTCAGATGTGACTGATTTATTAACTGGAATGGCAATTTATTAATTTACTATGTGAGATATATTTGGCATCATAGACATTGCTCATTTCCTTGGGGCATTACCTCACGGATAAGTTATTCAAGAGACTGAAGTATAAATAAGAAGGCTGATTGGTGAGCAGAGAATGAGAACAAAGGCAAGAAGGTGTTCTAACAAGATATTTCTTTCAAGCTAAGGTAGCTCAATTACTTGCTATGGGGCACTTTCAATCTTGAAAAGTAGCATTAGTCATCAAAGTGATAGCCCTGAACATGGTTAGAGACACACAGGGTGGGTTTCCTGTGGACTGCTGATCTGGACTGTGCACTGCCCACCACTCCATTTGAGATATCTGACCAGGCTGTCATACATGAGAGAGGATAGCTTATCACATTACCCTTTCTTTATGTGAGAAAAGGATTGATTAAAATTTGGGAAGTTTCCAAATCTGCCTAATGAAGACATGGAAAACATCTTTGCTTCCACAGCAACTCATTTAAAAGCACTCTTTTAAAGAGAGGCTCTGGGAAGATGGCTAATATATAAAGGTGGTGACAGCTGCAGTGTCTCTAGACGTTGCCAGATGTCATGTCTCCTGGTGGCCAAAATCATCCCCAGTTGAGAACACATGCACAGTTCCCAATAGGGTTTACCTCCTATGAGAATGTAATGCTGCAGCTGATCTGACAGGGGGTAGAGCTCAGGCGGTAATGCTTGCCCACTCACCGCTTACTTCCTGCTGTGTGGCCCGGTTGCTAACAGGCCACAGATGGGTACTGGTTAGTGGCTTGGGCATTGGGGACCCCTGGTTTAGAGGGAGACTGGTTTGAGTGAGGAAAAGAGCTGGAGAGAGAAAAATCAGATGGGATATTGCATGGAAGTCAACTGAGAAGTGAGAGTTAAGGATATTAGTTCCTAAATAGTGGTGAAGGAGTATATAGGATTTGTCATTAATAGACCTGTCTTGGTCTCCACTTTCCCACTAATTATGAGACCTTTGATTAATTGCTTTACCTTTCTGATTGGGAATTAGTATGAGCATGAGATTAACCTTATTACTATTGTTTTTAAAACTTGCATACTTATTTTGTATCAGTTATACTGTCATTTTACATGCATTATGTTGCATATAAAAGTCTTCTGTAAATTACAAAATAATATACAAAAAAAAGTGTTATCTGATTTGCCTTTCTCTTTACTTCTCACCACTGCTTTTAACTCTTTAGATCTTTAAAACTACTGACAAATACAAAATCTACTTTCGGACCTTGTTTTATTTTGAGATGCCTCCCTTTACCACCTTGCCTGCTCTTTTTTATTTTCTGAGCTACCAGAAGCCTCCCTCCAACCCCTTGCAATGGAATAGAACACTGTCTTGGTGCTCTTTTTCTTTTTTGTCCTACCAAATTTGACCATGTTTCTGTGGTCAAATACTTTCTAGGAATGATCACTTTTCTTTTATGGAAATATAGTTAGCAGGATTTTAAAGTTACATTAGGGATTGAAATATGGCATCATTTGTTTTATAATGAGAATAAGTGAGAAAATTAGGTTTATTAAATTGAAATAGACTTTGCAGGCAGATTTCTAGGTACGTTGTATTCCATATATTGAATAACACCGTACAAATCTTTGGGAAATCCCACTGGGAGACCCCAGTGAGGAACCTCACTTCTCTATCCAGAAAAATACTTGTTTATTTCTTGTTCTTTTGTTTTTTCTCCTTAAGTCAGTTCTCTGTAGTAAATCAACTAATTTTTTTTTAATTCTTAACTATATTTACTTTTGTTTCCTGACATGTAGGAGGCACTTACGTGTTTTTTTTTAACTTACTGAATGAACAAAACTCAGATGTTATTTATGTTTTGTTTCAATTAATGATGTCATCTGATATAATTTTCTCATTTCCCTCAAAGTACCGTTTCACTTCCAATTTAATCCCCAATCTAAGTACTGTAGACTTTAGGGTTAAGAGAAGCCAATTTGAAGAGCCATCTGGGGATTGTGAGAATCATTTCTGAGTTTCTTAAAGAGAAAGCTCACCTTCCCAGTATGAGCTTATTTGAAGAAAATGAAAAGGAGCAAATGAGAAAGGCAACATAAAGAGACATGGTCAGAGCAGGAATAATAAGGAAGGTACTTTTTGTCTGGCGGGGTGTCAAAGAAGAAGAAGAGTTTCGGTTTCTATTTGCCTCAGTTATCTCCTGCACAACATTTAAACAACATTCAAATTGGGACAGTGTTGGGAGATACCACTGGCCTTCTCGTTGGTTCATCCTGCGGGTCTTTTCAGTTCAGATCTGCTTCAGAGATGCCTCCCTTTACCACCTTGCCTGCTCTTTTTTATTTTCTGAGCTACCAGAATCCTCCCTCCAACCCCTTGCAATGGAATAGGACACTGTCTTGGTGCTCTTTTTCCTTTTTGTCCTACCAAATCTTACATAGACCCTTTCCATTTTGGAGGTCTTAAGGACTAACCACTTTGGGGAAACAGGCAGAGGTGAGAATAGCACTTTCCTGTCTGGGCTGGAATATTCTTTCCTTGACTATATTTTTCTAACTCTAGTTGTCTCCTTTACAATATCCAGGAGTATTTTTGGCACCAGTATTTGGCAACTCTATGCTTCCCCATAGGCTGTTTTATAAAAATGCATTAATTAGCTTATTAATTGATTTATACCTTCTTATTCCAAAATCTGGTGTCAGGGATGCCTCTAGTCCATAGGACATTTGGAAATATGAAATGATGGACATACTTGATCTTTCAAGTATCCAAACTCAGGTTCAATAAGAGGGCTAAACTGATCTTTTGGGTCAGAATGTCCCAGAGCTCAGACCTTAGATCTCTTTCTGTCTTTCCACTCATTTTTTAAAGGAGAGCATGTCCAGTACCATGGCTTTAAATACTACCTTTGTATTGTTGATGACTCCCAGATATACCTCTGTAGTCCCCCATGAAGTTCAGACACATTTCTGATTATGTACTAGATCTCTCCACTGGTATGTCCATAAATACTTTAAACTTAACGTGTCAGAATCAAACTCTTGATTCTCCATAATCTAAATTTGCTTTTCTTCTAGCATTCCCAATCACAGTAAACTGTTGCTCAGGCCAAAAATCTTTGAGTCTTTCTCTCATGTGCCACATTCAATTTTTCAGCAAGTGCTAGTAGATACTTTTTAAAATATATCTCAAGTCTGCCCACTTATCATTTCCTTCAGCATTACCATTCTAGTCCCAAGCCATCATCTCTCACCTCAACCACTGCAATAGGCTTGTGATGGTCTCCTTGCTTCACTCTTGCCCTGATCCCCCGCTTTAAAACATAAATTATATTATAGTTCTGTGCTGCTTAAAACTCAGTGACTTCTCATCAACAAGGTCTAACCTAATCTGGTCCTTGACTGCCTCTCTGACTTCATCCTCTATGAATATCCCTTTCACTTACTCCCCTCCAGCCACACTGGCCTAGCTTTCTTCAATCAGCCTAGGCACATTGCCACCTCAGAGTTTTTGCATTAGCTCTTCTCTCTGCCTCGAACTCCTTTTCTCCAGATATTTATGTGGCTTGTTCTTTTACTTCATTTGAGTCTATATTCAAATGTTATTTCCTCAGAGAGGCTTATTTCTTTATTAGCCATCTTGCTTAAAGTAGCACCCTCCTAAATTTGCTCTATAGTTCTTATTGCTATTGTACATTATATTAAAACTATTTGTTTTATTATCTGTGTCCACACTTGAATGCAGGCTCCATGAGGCCAGGGAGGGCAAGGGCATTGTCTGTTTTGTTCATTGCTGTATTCTCAGCACTTGGAACAGTGCCTGGCTCATATGATATACTAAATATATATATTTTGGGGTAAATGAGTGAATTTATGAAAAAGTGGCTGTACCTATTCTTTGAGAAGGATTCTGAAGGAATGTCCAACCTCACTTGGCAGGATCCATAGTCTCCAAATCACTGCTCCTGCCTCCATGCATAGATCAGTTATCTAACCAGTGTATGCATGCTTTTGGCTCCATGACACTCACCCCTCTGAATCTTTTCCGGCATAAGTTCCCTCATTTACTTACTCTCACAGGCTGTACTTTCCTTCTTCATCTCATAAAAGTGGGTTTTTAAAAGAATTTTATAACAAACGCTCATACATAGAAAAAGCAGTTTTTGTTAGGATATGAGATTTATTTCATGAGAGCAGTGGTGAGAACAGAAAACAAGGTAAAAGAAATTAGACACTTGGAAAAATTAAATTCCAGAGTTCTGAAGGAACTTGCAAATATTTTGGAGATAATATCCTTGTGAAATCATAGCCAATGGGAGAGGCAACAAAAGATTGCATTTTTTACTAATTGTAACTCACCTGAGTGTCACACATCTAACATTGAGTCCAACCTGGGTTACAAGGTTTTTAAAAAGACAAATGTGCTCAGAGTTGGTTAACAACGTAGTGAGGATATTTGTTATTTGATATAGGATTCAAAGGGATGAACGTCATGGAGGCAAGAGCATGCATACATTGGTTAGATAACTAATCTATGCCTGGAGGCAGGAGCAGTGATTTGGAGACTATGGACAGCATCCTACAATTAATGGTTGAATAATAATAATAATTGCAAACACTGTGTGCCAGGCATTATTCTAAATGTTTTTTGTAAAAAGTTATTTAATCCTCATCCTATGAAGTAGATACTATCATGTTTATTTTCAGGTGAGGAAATGAAGGGACAGAGAGGTTAAATTACACTGTCAGTGTCACACAGCTAGTAACAAGTAGCCAATATTGATTTTATTCTGATTTCAGAGTCTGTGCTCTTAACCACTGTGTTATTATCCTTGAATATTTGAGGTGGGTGCTACTGAAGAATAATTGGGGTGACTGTTGAAGTTGTAGGGAGTCAGTTGTATCCTCAGCCTCAATCTCAAGAGTCACCACCTCCTTCTCAGTCAGACTCTGAGTCTACCCAGTATGTACTTCTATAATAGGTCTGGTAAACTGGTAACAGCACTTTATTAGTTATTTGCTTTGATCTCGACCTCTTTCTATTAACCTACTTTATTTAACCTACTTTAAGAATTATATTTGATTTCTTTTTGAGCCCTTAAATTTAATTTAGTGCTTGGCATATAATGAATATTCAGTTTTTGGTGAATTAAAAAAATGAATGAAGGATCTTTAAATTGATTACAACTGACCCATGGTAGAATAGTTTTCCTGTGAAGCAGTGAGCTCCTGATCACTGGCAATATTCAAGCATGGGCTAGATGCTTGAAGGGATGCTGCAGAAGGAACATCCATGTCATATGAAAATGGAAAATTAGACCAAGTTTTTTTTTTTTTGTAACTGCAAATTATCTGGTGTTCCATTGAGTTAGTTGTGATTCTTTCTCCAAACATTTGTTGAGCACCTACTGTATTCCTGGCACTACAAAGATAAATGTGGCCAAGCCAACATCCATAAGGAGCTGGTAGTCAGTGAGTAATTAGGAAAAGAAGTGCTTAAGAGTATAGGTGTAAAGCTTTAGTAGATAAAAATAAATAGAAAAGGGTAGATTTTAGAGATGTTTTGAATAAAGGAGGAAGGGGAGAAGTAGATATAAAAGATGTCCCTAAAATTGCCCGTCTGAGAAGGAATTTGGGGAGTTAAGACCACCTGCTGTGTTGCTATGGGGGGATTCTTCAAAAGGGAAATATCACCATTTGCCATTAAGGTATGTGGTAGGGCTGGGTGTAATTCAGTAGAGATTAAGTTGTGAAGCATTTTAAATTTCTTGAAACAAATGTGCCTTCTCTTAGTAGTCTCCAAAACCCATAAAGATGATTAAGTACCCTCCCCCCAACTCTCTGCCCCTGTAGAGGTATTAACGCAAAATGGAATAATCTGTTAAGTCAAATAAAGGTAAGCTTTCTGGTGACTAGGACAAGAGTTCTAACAGTAAATGCAAAGCAACTCTTCAGTTTCTTTTCTGAATCATGTGCCTGGAATCTGTTAGGCAGTGAGGAATGGTGGTCTGTCTTTATATTACCCTGGTCCCTCATGCTGCTTATCTTTCACACATGTCCAAATATGTCTCAACACAGAATCATCCTCTCTAGCTGGGACATGATGCCTAGGTGGGTGGGGGATTCCCCTGTTTTGTTTAAAATCAAAGTTGTCTTTGAATTTGGCTAGCATGTTTGTGATTAGTTTACTGACAATTGGTTTTTTTTCTTCTTATACCATATGTTATTCCATGATTCATCAGCTTTGAGTCTGTTGCCTTGAAGGTGAAACAATTTCTTCCAATGTTGATATTTCATAATCTCATAGATAACAAGCATACGCATATGCATAGTCCTTTCAGAAGTTTTAAACATTTGGAGATGAATGAATTATGCTGCCACAAATGGAAAGGAGCAGTATAAAATTATAATGGTGATATCCAATCATCTTTTGTTGAGTGGTTTTGTGAACACTGACATTGATAAAGCCTGGATGCTCTACTATATTCCTTTATTTCTCCTTGTGAAATTGTTTCTGATATGTGTTGTTTATGATTTTAAAAATTTAACATTTTACTTAATTGCCTTGATTTACATGTATTTTAACATTTTAGACTGACAAGATCTTTATTTTTAGAAGTAAATAGTGTTTAACTTCCAAATAAATGCATAACATTAGCTGTTTATATTGTAATAGTGGCATCTCTTCTATATTTAATGTGTAGCAATGACTATTCAAACCTCAAGAAATGTTTTAGTTTATAATAGTAATTTTTCAAAATAATAGAATACATTACATTTTCTGAATCCAAAACAAAGCAGTTATGTCTGCATATGTGCTTTCTAAGTATTTAGAAGATTAGATTTCTAATAAACATGGCCTAAATTAGGTTTCTGCATGTAGCTTTAATCAATGCATTTATTGTGTTGCATCCTTTAGCCACCTTTCTCTTTTTACTCACAATGTCAGTAATTGTTTTTCAGTGAAGAAAATCTTTATAATTTTGTAGTGTAGATGCATGTGTAAAATATCTGTATAAGTTGTATATTTGGAGAGAGGTTTTTTAAAGATTCTAAATCACAGCATGTCTTCCTCCCTCTCTCCCCCACTTACCTGGTTTTAGCTCCTTTTTGGTTCAGGTGTGCTGGTGTCTCTAAGCCTTTCTGGGCCGCAGCTGGAGAAAGTGGTGATTGACAGAAGCCTGGTGGGGAAGCTCATCTCAGACACCATCAGTGATGGTAATTACCCCCATGTGCAAATCAATTGCCTACATTAACAGTGGGGCAGGAGAAATAGTGTGTCAACAGGTAGACTAATTATTACCACTGGGGACTTGCAAACACAACAAGTAATTGCTTGTAATAGCGTACTTACACCCCCTGGGACCAATACAAGTTTCGACTAATATTTAATATCAAAGTTTTTTTCTTGTCAACTGTTAAGCTTATATTCTGAGTTGTTTTTTACTTTTTCCTTAAAAGAAGTGAACATTTTTTCAAAATAGGGTTTTGTTTTCATTCTTTCAAAATTATTTCTCTATAACTGGCACTTCAAATATATATTTTATTTCCAAATGAATTTTGAATAAATAACACAAATATATCAACACAACCACCAGTACACAATTGATGCTTTGGCTCTCATAGGAAGATTCTTTGTTCCTAAAGTCTTAGAGAGATTTTGGGCTATATTTTCTAAATAGTAAAGACCAATGCCTAATATACTGGACAGTCAGGTCCTATTAAGTGACATCTCAATCAGTCTGTAATTGGTACAAAGCACATAAGAAAAAGATATTAAGCCAGTTATTGAATAGGAAGGATACTGACATTTATTGAACCAAAAGGCTCTATATGCTGGGTTCCTAACCTACCTATTTAATACAAGAAAACAATTGTATAAGGTATAGTTATTTCCATTTTTACACATAAGGAAACGAAGCTGAGCTACTAAGGAACATGTCCAGAGTCATATAGCTAGAAAGTGACTGAGCTAAGATTTGAATACAGGTTCGGGCTGTGAAGCCCATTTTCCTTTCACTATACTGTTCTGACTCCTGAATTTTTAAAGATTATATTCTTTTATTCAAGGTAAAAAGGTTGAGAAACATTGTATTATCATGAAAGATTGAAAATGGTCAGTATCTTAAATTTAGTAATCAAAGGAAGTATGTCCTAGTGGAAAGGACAGAGGTGAGAATAAAGAAATCTTCCGTCTGCTGTGTTCTCTCACTAGCTACCTCTGAATAAATCAGACACAATCACATCATCTTGAAGAAAAGAACTCTGCAGGATGGCCATAATTAGCAACATTACTGATAGTAATAAGCTGGGGGTAGGATTGTAAGCATGCCATTTTCCCTTCCTTACAGGAGTAAGGTGCTGAGGAAGCTTCCCTGTAGAAGAGGTTCCATTTTCATATGTCTAATAATTGACCCCTTCATTGGTACTGCAAATAAAATACTGGCTGTGATGATTTTGTTATATTGATGCTCCTCAATGAGAATTAAAAGGAAACTTTCAGCACAATTCGTGTCTCTGAGTTATCCTTTTTCATGTATTTCTTTTATTTGTACCCAAAATAATACACTCTCATGGGAACATGGTAACAATGTGATTTCTTGGCAGTTCTCCAGATTCTCTTGTAATTGTGTAGATCCACTGTTGGTCACTGTTTGTATGGTCAGGGGTGTGAAAGTAAAGGAAAATGTATAAAACATTTAATAATTTCTTTATGCTAGGAACAATGCAAAACATTTCTCAAATTCCTGTAACATGTTTTTATCAATAATTTTATGTAACATTAATAGCCCTTTATATAATCCACAAATATTAGTTATTTACCTACTTGTGTGCTTTGGTGACAAAGCTGTAGAAATATTGTGCTAATTTTCATTATTAGATATTAATTTATGTAATGTACATATTGGTCATAATATGCTTTATTTCATCCAGCTTGTATACCCCTAAAAGAAGATTCACTGATGAAAATTTTTTAAATAAATAGACTGGTAGAGAACACTGATCAGTATCCCCTAATAAATCCACTTTATCCTCGGATGGTTTCTATCATGTAAACATAGGATTAAACTCTTAGCACAAATAAAATGGAATGTTTTCGTCTCTACATTCAGGTGCGAAATAGTTTTTTAAAAATACCTTTATAGCCCTGTTTCTAAATACATCTCATCCATTGGTGGTCCCCAAATATCAGTGTATATTGAAATAGTCACAGGAAAAAAAATCACATATGATTAGATTGACAATTATTGTTTATTCCTAATATCTTTAATATTTTTATAAAATGCTATAATGATATTCAAGAGACTTTAGTGATTTCAGTTAATATGTATGTTTGAAAATAGCTTTTTGTAACATATCAGTGGAAAAATCTATTCATTATTTTATTCTAACTTGGTAATATCTAATTATGTTTTTTAGCTCTTCTCACAGACAGTTTTATCATCTTATCATTTTTGGCACAAAACAAACTATGTTTTATTCAGTTTACCAAGAAGATGGAGTCTTCTGATGTAAACAAAAGACTGGAAAAACTCTCAGCCTTGGATTATAAGGTAGAGATTTTGATTTATATAGTCATATTATTAATTATTAAGGTATATGAGAGTATCACATAAGTTGGTATTCTGCTCATTATTCTTCAACATTTCTGGATTTCAGAAAAACTGGAAATATTACAGGATTAAGCTTAATTAACTGTAAACAGTGGCCATCCTAAGTTTTCTTTTATACTCTCACTATGGGGGGTTGTCTAACAATGGCACGTTTGGAGCAATTTATATAGTATTTATAGACATCAAAGACAGATAATAGAGGCAAGTTACACTTTTGAAAATGGTTTTCGTGCCAGTGGTAGTATATATACCATTCTCATTTTCCCCTAAGACCCCATATCATCTTTCTAGGGTAGGATAGCTTTCTAGGGTAGGATACTTTCCACTTCACAAGAAAAGAAAGATGAAGGCACTTTGAAAGGTTAATAGAAAAGTGTAATAAACAAGGAGGGGGAAGAACCCTCCCCCTCCAGCTATAACTGGACAAAATGCAAAAAGAAATCTTCATGTGTTAGTATCTCACCCTTCACTAATTCCAGGTAATTTGTTTCCTTCCTGTATCAGGAGCTTTACATCTATTAAGGCAGAATTTTTATTTTAAGTGATGTGTTTAATTTGAGTTTTGCCACATTACATTTTAACTGCTGGGAAGGCATATTCTCTGCTAGGATGAGTAATACATTTTCCAGGCTGTTTCAGTTCAAGGCCTCTTTTCAACAGTGACTTGTGTTTGCAAGATTGATCCAACCTCTATGATGTGGATTTGAGACAGTTCACTGTTCACTGGGAACAGAGCTGATATACAGCTTCCTTAAAAAAGATGCACACTTATGCCATACCTAGAGCATCTGTAGCAAGAGCAAAGAGTTTGAGAAGCTAGCTCTGTAGCTTGAAATGTGTGTGTGTTTTTGGCAAAGTAGTATTTAACCTAACCTTTTGCCCTTTGGGATTATTACTTATGAATGAGGTGGTGGTAGCATGGGAGGATTTAGTTTTATTTAGTAGGAACATTTATTCTTAAAAAAAGATTTTTAATGTGGAATAAAATAAATGAGTTTTTCATTGTGGTGATAAACTACCATCTAGTTTCGTTTGCCAGCTTTGTGAAACTTCTATAAAACCTTAATATAGATTTTTTAAAACTGGAAATTAGTGCTACTTATTATATTTGGTTAGCCAAAACAAAAATGGTATTAGCATTCTTAAAGGGATGTTAGTTCTAGAATGGCTAACTTCAGATTTACTTGAAATACTGTTTATTTACTAAAATTGATCGGTCTTTAAAATGCACCAGTGTGCATTAACTCAAACCATTTAAAGTAAGTATATATAAAATTCTGGATGAGTAGTTTCTTTATCTTAGGTGTGATAGCTTGATAAAATCTTCTCAACTGAAGAGTAGTAGCTACCTGAGAACAGAGAGAAACTGTCAAGATGTCATCTTTTCTTATGAAAAGATGAGGAAAAGACATCTAGCGTTTGGGTCCTTAAACCTTAAGTAAGGGAATTACTTACTTGCTTATTCGAATATGCCTTTGGATTTAGGAAAATAGGAACATTGGCACTCCATGTCATTCCTATACATTAGAGAAGTAATCTGTTTCCCTTCGGAAAACTCATTAATTTCATTTCCTGGTTTAATATTTAAAATGTATATTTTTAATACTTAGTCAAATCTGCTATTTGTCCATTGGAAGGATATTTTAAGAAATTTGTTTATTTTACATTCCCTCTTGGTCATCATGACAGAATACTGATAATATTAAACTCATAGGAAACATGAAATTTCCTAACATTTCATAACGTAAGTGATTTGCATTATGTGACAACTGAAAATGTCAGTCACTCATTGTGACTCAATTTCCTCATCTAGAAA
The DNA here is from genome assembly GCF_000001405.40 of Homo sapiens. Classification (NCBI taxonomy): domain Eukaryota; kingdom Metazoa; phylum Chordata; class Mammalia; order Primates; family Hominidae; genus Homo; species Homo sapiens. The sequence continues at coordinate 63,435,544 of NC_000002.12, read as the reverse complement.
TTCATAGGTAACACACTTATGCAGCAAATCAGACATTGAAATAATGTATGTGTATTTTTAAGTACTTAGCAATTTCATCGTGGTATTTCTCTCAAATAAGAAGACTTAATGATATTGAGAGCTTAAATATAAGAAATTACACTTAATAGCATAAAGTACATCTGTGTTGTCTGTCATTGCCCATTTGGATTTTAAAACAAGGAAGTGGTATAGAGTATTGTACTTTTGCTTTTCTTTACAGCTGTACCATAGTTTAATTCTTTCAGATTGACATAATTTTGGCAAAGAAAATTGCAGAGTAAACATCCTTAAACTATTGACCTTTAACAAGTTTTCCTGTCTACATCTGAAAAAAATCCAATTCAATTTATTTAACAGTGAAGGGACACTGTGAGGAGTTAAATGTTTACCATGAGAGAACAACACTGGTAATTACTTTGATTTCAGTTCCTTTTGATGTGCATTCAGAGGATGAAGAGGTCAATAATATTATGGCCATGCAAATAGAAAAGGGTTCCTTTTGACCATATTGAAAAAAAATAGCAGAGGATTATTAAAGCATTAACCTTGGTTTTAATGGCCTTGGTTGAGTGGTGAGATCACAATTTGGATGAGCCTGATTATTTACTAAATACAATACATAAATGCAACGGGTTCTTAACACCCGTTGCACTCTGGCATTATCGCATTACTGCCATCCTTTGTTGCCTTGCAGACAGGAATATGAAAGCAATCTGTCATGTAGTGAGACTGGCTCCAGAAGCATTTCTCTGATAAGAAGACCCCCTGCCCTTTGCTAGTGTCTGGTCCAGTAGGCTTAGCCATGCGCTTAATCCCCAGAAAGTGGTTCGATTATTGCTGACCAGCAATGGCAAGATAGTTTTTTTTTTCTTCCAAGCTATCAACCTTCCATTAATTCCTTAAGCAGAAATACGGTGCAATCTATATTTCCTTGGCATGTGTCACACAGATGGTGCCGTGCTTATGTTTTCAAATAACCATGTTCCAAAATAACATAGTTTGAATAATAAATTCTACAAATCCTGCCTAAGAAAGAGAAGCATAATTCTCAGAAGCTGCATAAACTTTTATGCATGATGCTGTGGCTTATCCCTTTTATGCAGAATATATGTGTATACGTCGCATATATTCTTTAAAGAGATATTTGCCTCAAGTTGTTTTTCCTTTTTTTGTTGTCAGTCATTGTTAACACGTTATGTCTTAAACAGTAGTGAGACTCTCTTGGTCAGCAGTACTGAACTTGTCATTTTATACAGCTGGTCCTAAATCATATGTGTAGGTCGATGCTGTCAGGCAACCATGACTGTACATTTTGGTATTGATTGGAATTGCTACATTCAATTTCTTCCTAGCTCACATTTCTCCTTTTCCTTCCTTTGCTAAAAATGGGGAGAATTTTGAACATATGTCTTTTTTATATATGTGTCAGAAGAATTTGGTAAATTCTGACACCTTCTTACGCACATGTTTAACATGCATATTTACTTGCATGTAACTACATTTCCAGATGCTTTAATTTTTGTAATACTTGAGGATTTTGCATCTTTTAAAAGAAATGTTTCATGTATGCTTTTTTAAAATTGTTAGATTTTCTATTATGAAATACCCGGCCCAATAAACAAGACAACAGAGCGACATCTAGCTATCAACTGTGTTCATGATAGAGTTGTTTGCTGGTGGCCACTGGTCAACGATGATGCTTGGCCTTGGGCCCCCATTTCTTCTGAGAAGGACAGAGCCAATCTACTCCTCCTGGGTTATGCTCAAGGAAGACTAGAGGTAAATCTAAAACAAATATGTACATTTTAATAAAGTGTAAATAAAATAGAATTATTAGATTTTCTATTCTGAAATAAATGTGAATATTTTTTACCTATAATTTATGTTTTTCAAATATTCAAAAAGTATCATATCTAGAAGATACCCAGACAATTCCAGGGCTGGCTAGAATAGTGTAGTAATTAAGAGTCCAGGCTTCCAGGTTCAAATGCTAGCTCTGCCACTATGTAGCTTCCTGTCCTTGACCAAGTTACTAACTTGTATGTGCTATAGTTTCATTATTTGAAAAATACAGTTCATGATGATAAATGAGTTAATACATGCATTTAGAGCAATATCAATGTATAGTAAGCCCTGAATCACTGTTCACTGTTATGACTCTTGTTATTATCATTATTAGTTCTATTATTACTGTTTACTCATGATATCATGCCTGTGAAAGCTTTTATTACCAATTACTCTCTTCAGACTTCAGTCAATTAACAAACATTAGTTAAATGCCTATATTGTGTAAGGCCCTGTCGTGCCAGACCGCATTTGGCGCAAGGATATTTAAGGAGAGCTATAGATTATGAGGTGAGGACAGTATCCTCTATCAATTCATGATAATGGTTTGATCATCCATTCATATATGTGAACCTATGTGTATTTTCAGTTTGTACTAGTACTTTGGTTACAGAATTCTCTGTTTTGTTGTATTATAGCTGTAAAAAAAGCTCCCTCTCCCCCACTTTCTTATGTAGGTAAAATAGTATGTTCCTATATTTGCCTCTAAATCAGTTATCTTTTAGACTTTAAGGAGTATTTCCCAGAATTAGTATTCGAGATAAGATGAATACTCTAAGCTTCTGCCTGCTTCTAGCTAATTCTGTGTTCTGTGCCTTTGAGTAGATCACCTACCCTATCTGACTTTAGTTTTCTTATTTTTAAAACGATTGATTTAATTCAGTTAGGTCACCTCGAGGTCTCTAACAGGTCTAAAAAGTGCTTCTATGGATCCTGAAGCACAGATCTGATTTAGACATTGCCTGCTTAAAAGTCTTCTGTAGATGCTAAAACCAAACTCAGCCTCAGCACTAAAAAACCCACCCTGATTGCCCTTGGCCTGCCTTTCCAGTGTTGTTTCCTTACATAAACCATGTCTTAGTCAAATGAATTTACTTGCTGACTCATTATTTCCTACCTCTGCATGTGCACATTAATGGTATTTCTACTTGAAATAGCCATGTCATTTAGCAACTACATATCCCCTGGTATGAAAAACACTGTATTTCATACCAGGGGATATGAATAAGAAACTGTCCCTGCCTTCAAGGATCTTAGTGTCTGCCAATAAGAGACAAATATGAAAATGTGTAAGTGCATTAAAGTGTTAATGGTGCTGTGGGTAGAGTATGTGTAAGCTATAGTGGGACCCAACAGAAAGTGGTGATCGATTCTACTTAGAGAGATGTTAAGTAGGGAAGATTGAAGAGGCTTCCCAATGTGCTTAAATATGAGCTTGGCACACAATTTTACTTTTTAAAATTATCCTTTCTTATCTCACCTTTCTAGAGTTGATATTATTAGCTCTGTGGAACGATTTGGCTAGCTTTTTCCTTTTCTCCTCTCTGTAACAGTACCAAAAGGAATTGATACTTGAAAGTTTGATAAAACTTACCTGTAAAACTTCCTGGGTGTGACGTCTTTTAAGGAGGGTAGATTTTTTTCATTACTGATTCCATTTTTAAAGGGTTGTTTTTTTCCTTTTTTTTCCACAATTGGTGTTTATAGAAAATTATTCATTTTATGCATTTGAATATTTTTTCATAAAGTTGTATGCAAATTTCTACATGATTCTTTATTCACCACTGATTGTATAATTTCCTCCCTTTTGATCTTATTAAGATATATAATTCATTTTTTTCTCAAGAGCTTTTGTTTTAGGAATTGGCCCTTTTAGTTATTCTAGCAACTGGAAAAATTTGTAAAGATTTCTTTTTTAGAGCTTCATGTGAAAGTCATTATGCAAAAAGTATAATCTTGTAGAAGAAATTTCTAGGGCATTAATTGTTTTTCTTGTGTGTGTGTGTGTGTGAAGACATAATCTTTAAATACGAAGTATAGAATTTTTTTTAGAATATCGTGAACCAAAAGTACCAGTCTATTAAAGTAGTATTCAGGCATATTCCTTTAATTTTTTTTTTTTTTCAGTAGCAGCCAAGGGACTTCTTGGACTAATCATCAGAATAAAGATACAATATGCTCTTAAACCCTAAAATTCAAACTAAAAAAAGAAAACAGCCTTGTAGAGAAGAAATTTAATCATTGGATCTACTATAGAATTTTTAAAAAGCATTTACCATCTAGGTTCTATCAGAAAAGATAAGCTTTTATTTGGACAATGGCAGGATCCTAGAGCAGTAGTTCCTAGCTTTGACAACACATTAAGATCACCTACAGAGCTTTTAAAAGAGGCCCACCCAGACCAGTTACATCAGAATCTCTGGAGGGGAGGGAGTATCAGTATCTTTTACAGGTTCCCTAGGCGATTTTCGTGGGCATCCAAGTTGAGAACCACTGCTATACAGCAAACTTAAAAAAAATGTTTTTTAAGCCATCTTTTTTACATAACAGACCATGAAAAGGATAAAGCCCACATACTGAACCAAATGCGAGTTTTAACAGTAGATTCTAAGTAGAAAATTGGCTTACCAAGCAGCTGAAAACAAAACAAAACAAAGGAAACATAGAAATAAGCTCTCTGTGACTGAATTATGTGATTTTCAGAGGAGAAACATTTTTAAATTATTTTATGGATATTAGAAAACTGCTGGTCTAATTTCACACCACAGAACTCTAAACAACAGTCCACACATATATTTTAGACGTAGTCTCGCTCTGTCACCAGGCTGGAGTCCAGTGGCGCAATCTCAGCTCACTGCAATCTCCGCCTCCCAGGTTCAAGTGATTATCCTGCCCCAGCCTCCCAAGTAGCTGAGACTACAGGCATGCACCACCACGCCCAGCTAGTTTTTGTATTTTTAGTAGAGACAGGGTTTCAACATGTTGGCCAGGATGGTCTCGATCTCTTGACCTCATGATCTGCCCGCCTCGGCCTCCCAAAGTGCTGGGATTACAGGCATGAGCCACCACGCCCAGCCCAACAGTCCATATCTTAATTAGAAGAACAGAACAGAGAGAATTATGTAGTCTAAGAAAAAATTCTTTTGAAAAATATACAGTAAATAGTACAGAAAAAAATTTTGTCAGTAAATTCATTTAAAAATATTAATATATTTTAATGTTCTCTATGTAGATCATCACATATAACATGGTAGTTGTTTTCATTTGAATTTCCACATACTCTTTCTTTTATTTTTCAACTTATTTTAGAATTGGGAGGTACTTGTGCAGGCTTGTTAACAAAGGTATATTGCAGGTTGCTGTGGTTTGGGGTATGATCGAAACCATCACCCAGGTAGTGAGCATAGTACCCAGTAGGTAGTTTTTTAGTCCTTGTCCTCCTCCCTCTCTCCCTGCTCTACTATTAGTCCCCACTGTATATTGTTTCCCTCTTTATGTCCGTGTATACCCAGTGTTTAGCTCCCACTTATAAGAGAGAACTGTTGTATTTACCTTTCTGTTCCTGCATTAATTCACTTAGTGGCCTCCAGCTGTATCCCTGTTGCTAGAAAGGACATACTTTTGTTCTTTTTTATGGCTGCATAGTATTTCATGGTGTGTGTGTGTGTGTGTGTGTGTGTGTGTGTGTGTGTGTGTGTGTGTATAACATTTTCTTTATCCAGTCCACCATTCGATGGGCACCTGGGTGGATTCCATGTTTTTGCTATTGTGAATAGCACTGCAGTGAATTTACAGGTGCACACGTCCTTTTGGTAGAATGATTTATTTTCTTTTCAGTGTATACCCAGTAATAGGATGGCTAGGTCGAATGGTAGTTCAACTCTTAGTTCTTTGAGAAATTTCCAGACTGCACTCCACAGTGGCTGGACTAATTTACATACCCACCAACAGTGTGTAAGTATCCCTTTTTTTCTGCAGCGTCACCAATTTCTGTTATTTTTTGACTTTTAACAAAAGCCATTCTGACTGGTGTGAGATGGTATCTCATTTTGGTTTTGATTTGCATTTCTCTGATGATTAGTGATTATGAGCATTCTTTCATATGTTTGTTGGCGATTTGTATGTCTTCTTTTGAGAAATTCATGTCCTTTGCCCGCTTTTTATAGAGGTTATTTGTTTTTTGCTTCTTGATTTGTTTATGTTCCTTATAGATCCTATGTATTAGACCTTTGTTGGATGCACAGTTTACAAATATTTTCTCTCATTCTGTAGGTTGTCTGTTTACTCTCTTTATAGTGTTTCTTGCTGTGTAGAAGCTCTTTAGTTTAATTAGGCCCCTCTTAATTTGTGTTTTTCTTGTATTTGCTTTTGAGGACTTTACCATAAATTCTTTGCTAAGACTGATATTGAGAAGGGTGTTTCCTAGGTTTCCTTGTAGGATATTTATAGTTTGAGGTCTTACCTTTAAGTTTTTTAAGTGAATTAATTTTTGTTTAATTTAATCGTGAATTAATTTTTGTTTATGCTGATAGGAGGGGTTCCAGTTTCATTCTTCTGCACATGAATAGCCAGCTATCCTAACACTATTTATTGAATAGGGAGTGTTTTCCCCATTGCTTATTTTTGTCAAGTTTGTTGAAGAACAAGATGGTTGTAGGTGTGTGACTTTTTTTCTGGGTTCTCTATTCTGTTCCATCTCTAGGTTGCTTTGGGCATTATGGCCATTTTAACAAGAATGATTCTTCCAATCTCTGAGCATGGAATGTTTTTCCATTTATTTGTGTTGTCTCTGATTTCTTTCAGCAGTATTTCGTAGTTCTTATTGCAGAGATCTTTTACCTCCCTTGTTAGCTGTCTTCTTAGGCATTTTATTCTTTTTGTGGCTATTGTGAATGGGATTGCAATCTTGATTTGGACATTACTGGTGTAGAAAAATCTTGCGTGATTACCCTGGCAAGGACTTCCAGTACTATATTGAACAGGAGTGGTGAGAGTAGGCATCCTTGTCTTGTTCCAGTTTTCAAGGAGAATGCTCCCAACTTTTGCTCATTCAGTATGATGTTGGCTGTGGGTTTGAAATAGATGGCTTTTATTATGTTGAGGTATGTTCCTTCGATACCGAGTTTGTTGGGTGTTGTGAAAGGATGTTGGATTGTATTGAAAGCCTTTTCTGCATCTATTGAGGTAATCATGTGGTTTTGTCTTTAGTTCTGTTTATGTGACAAATCACATTTATCGATTTGTGTATGTTGAACCAACCTTGCATCCCAGGGATAAAACCTACTTGATTGTGGTGAATTAACTTTTTGATGTACTGCTGGATTTGGTTTTCTAGTGTTTTGTTGAGGATTTTTGCATCTGTGTTCATCAGGGATATTGGCCTGAAGTTTTCTTTTTTTGTTGTGTCTCTGCCAGATTTTGGTATCAGGATGATGCTGGCTTCGTAGAATGAGTTAGGGAGGAGTCCCTCCTCCTCAATTTTTTTTTTTTTTTGGAATAGTTTCAATAGGATTGGTACCAGTTCTTCTTTTTACGTCTGGTAGAATTCGGCTGTGAATCCATCTGGTCCAAGGCTTTTTTTGGTTGGTAGGATTTTTATTACTGATTCAATTTCGGAACACATTATTGGTCTGTTCAGGTTTTCACTTTCTTTCTGGTTCAATCTTGAGGGGTTGTGTGTTTCCAGGAATGTATCTATTTCCTACAGATTTTCTAAGTTTTATGCATGGTGATGTTCATAATAGTCTCTAAGGATCTTTTGCATTCCTCTGGGATCAGTTGTAATGTCATCTTTGTCATTTCTGATTCTGCTTATTTGGATCTTCTTTCTTTTTGTCTTATTAATCTAGCTAGCACTCTATTAATCTTGTTTATTCTCTCAGAAAACAACTTTTGGTCTCATTGATCTTTTGTATGGATTTTTGTGTTTCAATTTTGTTCTGTTCTCTGATTTTGGCTTTCTTTTCTACTGCTACCTTTGGGGTTCATTTGTTATTTTTTTACTAGTTCCTCTAGGTGCAATGTTAGATTGTTAATTTGAGAGCTTTCTAACTTCGTGATGTAGGCATTTACTGCGGGAAATTTTCCTCTTAACATTCCTTTCACCCAGAGATTTTGTATGTTGTGTCTCTGTTTTCGTTGATTTCAAAAAATTTTAAAATTTCTGCCTTAATTTCATTGTTTACTCAAAAGTCATTCAGGAGTAAGTTGTTTAATTTCCATGTAATTTTGTGGTTTTGGGAGAACTTTTGGTATTGATTTCTATTTTTATTGCAATGTAGTCCAAGTGTATAGTTGGTATGATTTTGATTTTTAAAAAAATTTATTGATACTTGCTTTATGGCTAAGGAGGTTGTCAGTTTTTCAGTGTGTCCCTTGTGCAGATGAGAAGAATGTATGTTCTGTGGTTGTTGGGTGGAGTATTCTCTTATATGTCTATCAGGTCCAATTGGTCAAGTGTTGCAATTTAGTCCAGAACTTCATTTTTAATTTTCTGCCTTGATGATCTGTCACATGCTATCAGTGGGTTGTTGAAGTCTCTCTATTATTGTGCGGCTAAGTCTTTCACATAGGTCAAGAAGAATTTGTTTTATGAATGTGGGTGCTCCAGTGTTGGATGCATATATATTTAGGATAGTTAGATCATCTTGTTGAATCGAACCTTTTTTTATTGTTATTATGTAATACCCTTCTTTGTCCTTCTCGACTATTGTTAAAGTCTGTTTTATCTGATGTAAGAATAGTGGCCCCGGCTCTTTTTTGATTTCTGTTTGCATGATAGATCTTTCTCCATAGTTTCTTTCCCCTTTCATAGATCTTTCTCCTTAATTTGAGCTTGTGGGTGTTGTTAAATGTGAATTGGCTCTCTTAAAGACAATAAACACTTGGACCTTGTCTTTTTATTCAACTTGCAACTCCATGCCTTTTAAGTGGGATGTCAGGACCATTTACATTCAAAGTTAATACTGATATGTGAGATTTTGATGCTGTCATTGTGTTACTAGCTGGTTGTTTTGTAGATGATGTTTAGTTGCTTTTGATGTGTAGTTGCTTTATAGTATTTGTGGGCTATGTGCTTACTTGTGTTTTTGTGGTAGCAGGTATTGTTCTTTTGTTTCTATGTTTAGCACTCCCTTAAGGACCTCTTGTAAGGCTGGTGTACTGGTAATGAATTCCCTTAGCATTACTTGTTTGAAAAGGATTTTATTTCTTCTTCACTTATGAAGCTTAGTTTGGTGAGATATGAAATTCTTGGTTGGAATTTCTTTTCTTTAAAGTTGCTGAAAATAGGCCCCTAACCTATTTCTTCTGCCATTTGTTTTGTTTTGTTTTTTTTTGAGACAGAGTCTCACTCTGTCACCTAGGCTGGAGTGCAGTGATGTGATCTTGGCTCACTGCAACCTCCGCTTAAACTGGGTTCAAGCGATTCCCCTGCCTCAGACTCCTGAGTAGCTGGGACTACAGGTGTGCGCCACCACGCCCAGCTAATTTTTGTAATTTTTAGTAGAAATGGGGTTTCACCATATTGGCCAGGCTGGTCTCGAACTCCTGACCTCATGATCCGCCTGCCTCGGCCTCCCAAGAGTGCTGGGATTACAGGCGTGAGCCACCATGCCCGGCCTCCTCTTTTGCCTTTTAAGTTTCTGCTGAGAGGTCTGTTGCTAGCCTGACGTAGTTCCCTTTGTAAGTGACCTGACCCTTCTGTCTAGGCCCCATTAAGATTTTTTCTTTGATGTTGACTTTGGGCAATCTGAAGAGTATGTGCCTTGGGGATGGTTGTCTTTTATAGTATCTTGCATGGGTTCTCTGTATTTCTTGAATTTGCATATCAGTCTCTCTAGGGAGATTGGGAATGTTTTCTTGGACTGTATTCTCAAATATGTTTTCCAAGTTGCTTACTCTCTCTTCTTCCCTCTGAGAAATGCCAGTGAGTCATAGGTTTGATTTCTTTACATAATCCCATATTTTGTAGAGGTTTTACTCATTTTTAAAAATTCTTTTAAAAATTGTTTGTCTTACTGAGTTGATTTGAACTGGTCTTTGAGTTCTGAGATTCTTTTCCTAGTTTAGTCTATTATGTTGTTAATGCTTCCAATTGTATTTTGAAATTCTTGTAGTGAATTTTTCAGTTTCAGAAGTTTAGTTTGGTTGTTTCTTAAAATGGCTGTTTTATCTTTCTACTCTTGAATCATTTTACTGGATTCACTGGGTTCTATTGGGTTTCAACTTTCTGCTGAATCTTGATGAGCTTCATTGCCACCCAGATTCTGAATTCTATGTCTGCCATTTCTGTTGCTTCAATCTGGTAAAGAACTGTTGCTAGGGAGCTAGTGTACTTGTTTGGAGGTAGGGGGACACTCTGACTTTTGAATCACCAAAGTTCTTGTGCGGATCCTTTCTCATCTGAGCGGGCTGGTATTGTCTTTTTGGATTTGCTGTCGTTGAATGGGGCTTTTTGTTTTTATATAATTTATTTCCCTTGAGTTTTTAACTGTGGTTCAAGTTGAGTATAGTCAATAGGCTTTGTTTCTGGATGCTTTCAGAAGGCCAAGTGTCTGCACAGGATCTTCATGTGTGGCTAGATTCTTGCTCTCGGTTTCACAAGCTATGTATACTGGAAGAGTATTTTTTGTGTTGTAATTTAGGCTGCAATCCAGTAGATGGCGCTTAAGAGTAATGACTGGCAGATAAGTTCTTAGCCACGTGGCTCTTGTATTTCAGCACATTCGCAGCATCTCTCTGTGGTGTAGGGGGAAAGATAAGCCCCTCGCCAGATCCATTCCCGGGCCTTGGGGATCCCCCTCCGATCACTCGCACCGCGCCCAATACCTTTGTTAGGTATTCTAGGCCTCAGGCTTTCTTAGATAGGGGCTGTGGCTGGCAGACAGGCTATACCCTTCCCAGATAACCCTGTGGAGGGAGGCATGCCCCAGGCCCACACCAGCCCACGAATACCCATGTTTCACTCTTCTGAGTGTTCTGAAAGTGGGAGCTCTTCCCCCGCTTACATGCTGGCCACAGATCTCAGCTTGGCTCCCCTGAGCTGTGTGCTGTAACCCTGGGGGATTGGGACTGGGCCTGCAGCTTCGCTCTCTGGCCCCTGGTTTGGGTACCGGCCATATTGGGGCAGTCAAAGTGCTCCAAGGCCACCAGCAAAGCACTCAGGCTGGGCAGTGGAGGCTGTGCTATGTACACACTCTTGCAGGAGTGGCCAAGCGGGGCCTTGGGAGGGGCTGGTGGACAACGAGGGTGTGAAGAACAGTCATGCCTCAGTCTTATGAGAAAGACAGTCCTCTTCTCTCCTGGCTCAGTGGTCAGTTGGGGGATAGAACTACCTGGAGGAAAATGGAGAACCTATGACCACATTTTGCTGCAGCTGCCCCACTTACAAGGGCTGACGCACACCCCCTCTCCCACCCCCGCCCCCAACACACACCGCGCGCCTCCCTGGGCTCCATGCTGGCTGAAGCTTTGTCTCTGCTTACTCTCTGGGCAGATACCCCTGCCAATTCAAACGTGTATGGGGGTTGTGGGATCTCTTGTAGCTAGAATCCCAGAGGTAAGCGGCGAGAGAGCGTTCCCCTGCCATCACTTCACTCACCCCTTCCTTAGGAGCTGTTCAGGGCCAGGATTGCTGTCCTGGTGCTCAGCAGTCCTATGCAGGGTTCCTAGTTTCTTCCATCTTCAGCTTCGTGTCTATATCCCTCTCTATTGAATGTCAGTGTTTTTTCTCTGAAGATCTGTTCCAAGTACCTTGGCTTACTCAATATTTTCGTCTCTCTCAGTGGTAGAGGTACGTCCTGGCTGTGTCTAGTTGGCCATCTTATCCCTCATTAATCTCCACATACTTTTAATATTTCTTTTTGGAAAGTTATTACCATCCTCCTAGAACTAGTATTTTATTCATTTGCTTTGTCACCTAATTCATTTGTCAACAAACACCTTCAGCTTGAACCAACTTTTATCAGTAATGTGAACCAGTATCAATCACGTGATGGCAACTTATTCTGCCCTTTAGTATCTAAGCAGGTACTTTAACTTTTCAGATGTGTAGACTTGATAATGCTTTCTGAGTATGGTGGTAATTTCATGATCTCTTACTCAGAACAGGTCCTTGAATTTGTTTACCAAATTAACCAAAAATATATAAGCAGAGCTATTAAACCTTAAAATATGTTGTCAGGGAAACATAACATTATGAAAACAATTTTCCCATAAGAAGAAAAAACTAATTTTCCAGGGATTTTTCAAGAGCAGTAACTTATGGGAAAGTAATAATGTAACCAACTATTAATGTAATTTGTCACAATAGGCATTCAGAAGGCATTATAAATGCATCCAACTGTAAAGGCAAAATACTTAAGAAACCTGTCTTCCCCAAAAATGCATATACTGTGTTAGCTTTCAACCAGTGACAAAGATATTCTGCTTTAGGGATGGCAATTTTTAAAGAAACCTCTTTATTATAAAATAAAGCACACATAAAACCACACAAAATAAATGCATAGTTTAATGAGCTATTACAAAGGAAACACTCCTGAAACCACCACCCAAGTGAGGAAATAGAACTGTGCAGGCACCCAGAAGTACCTCCATGTGCTCTGTCATGATCTTAACCTCTTCCCTGTCCTCCAAAGTAACTACTATCATGACTTTTTATCACTTTCTTGTATACCCATATAGCTTTTATCACCGAGTGTGCATCCCCAGAAACCATAGTTTAATATTAGCCACTTAAGACATTTTAATGTATATCTTAAATCTCTTTTAATGTAGAAGTCCCCCATCCATCCTTTCTTTTTCTGTAAAATTTGTCTGTTGAAACTGTAGTGTCCCACAGTCTGGATTTTATTGCTTGCATATTCATGTTTGGTTCAATATGTTTCTCTGTTATTTGAAAATTCCTCAAGTTAGTAGTCAGTTTTGGCAAGACTATATGAGATGGTGTGTCTTTCGTCAGGAGGCACATAATTTCATATTTTCTCTCAGTTCTTTCTCTTTTTTGATGTTAGCAGCTATTCAATGTTCAATGCCTAGATCCATTAATTCATTAGGGTTGCAAAATGGTAATATTATAATTATGTTATTTATTTTTCATTGATTACTTGGGATACTTCTATAAAGAGACACTTCCACTCAACTCCTATGTGTTTCCCAATGGTTGTACTTATATAGGGTAAACAGGACAAATGTCTGTTTATTTTCTATTTACCAGTTTTTGAGATAATGAATTGATTCTCTAGTACTTTCTGAAGGTGCCCTGTTAGCTTTTGTTTTTAAAATAGCATTATTAATTCATGAATTTTAATACATTTGATTTGATGGGGTCCTAAATTATAATTGTAATCCTTTGGAAGCTCAGATTGTCCCATCTTAGGCCAGTGGGAGGCTCTTCAGGTTGGCTGTTCTTTTTGTATGGCCTCAGCAGTCTTGGGTAGCTTCTCTGCTATCTGGTGTGATAGTATATTCCTTGTTTATCTTGTATATTTTCTGCCCCACACCTGGAATTAGTCATTTCTCCAAGACACTGTGGTTTCCTTTTTAATGGAAAATGGTATTTTACGCCTGAGTCAGGGTGTTAGGGATATTAGGCTGTTGTTTTTGGGTTGATTATTGTTTCTAGGTTTCTTCAGTAGAAAGAGTTGGAGATTTTATACATATACATATTCGTAATGAGTCCATGCCAACACTTACAACTCAAATTCAGGACTACAGAGTTTTTAATTTAACCTCTTCTGTATTACATTTATATCTCCTTCTTTCTGTATCAAAAATCCTAGTTTGTAGGGACACGGGATGAATAGGAATATCCCATAATTTCTCATTTACTTTAACCCACAGTACACACTTAACAGTTTCAAGATAATCATGCTATTACTACCACTACATGTAATGTTCTCTTTCTTTTAATCTTCATCTAGTTGTCTGTAGGTTTTGGGTTTTGCCCTTTAGTTTAACTGTCTGTTTTATGTGGGGACTTAGAGACATTAAAAATCTGTAGTACTCCTCGTGACAACTCTCCAGAATTAGGGATGCCGTGTTTATGGTCATGATGAACACCTTTAGTTTGAACCAACTTTTTGTGAAAGCTTAAGGCCTGTGTTTAGATTCACATTTTTGCATGTGGATGTCCAGCTGTTCCACCACTATTTCTTGAGAAGACTATCCTTTCTGCATTGAATTGCCTTTGCTACTTTGTCAAATATCAGTTGATTATATTTGTGTGGGTCTATTTCTGGGCTTTCTGTTCTGTTCCATTGATCTATTTGCCTGTTTTTTTAATGAAATAAAGTTTTTAATATATTGTGTTGACTGTTATAACAACTAGTTCTGTGGATTGGAGGATTTTATTAATATAAACATAATTTGTAACTTTCACATGCCCAAAAGTATGCATAAGAAAATGCTTATACTTACTAGTAAATATGTATGTTTTTCTAAACTTTTCTTTTTATTCTGGTAAGACATTTATATATTTATCCTGTATACAAATGACAGATTTCATTGAAAACGATTACAAATAAGAGAGGTATCCATTTGAAAACAATTGCTACTATTTTGTTTTTAATTGATAATTTGAATAAGTAAAGATGTAGAGCAATAGGGAACTCTCATTCACTATTATGGTAGAGTAAATCAGTAAACTTTAATGGAGAGCAGTTTAGCAATAGGTAATATAATTGAAGGTGAGTGTCCTACACTAAGAAAAACTGGCCCATGTGCACAAAGAGGCATGTACAATAGTGTTCATAGCATCACTGTAATAGTAAAAATACATTAGAAACAACTTAAATGCCTACCAACAGGAAAATGAAAACATCTTGTGGTGAATTCAGAGGGTGGAATGCTCTACAGCAGTTTAAATGACTGAACTAGAGCTATGTGATCATGTGAAATCTGAAAAGAATAAGTTGAGCAAAAAAATTACAGTATGACAAAATACAATAACATTTACATAAAATTTTAAAACATTCAGGATAATGCTATAACACATTGTTCTTGATTGATGATGAAGTAGTAGTATGCATAGGATTAAATACCAAATTCATAATAGTGTTGCATCTGGGGAGAGAGGCAAGGGAATAGGATTTGGCAGGCCTTAACTTTATCTATGATATTTCTTTCATTCTTTTTTTTTTTTTTTGAGATGGAGTTTCACTTCTGTTGCCCAGGCTGGAGTGCAATGGTGCCGTGTCGGCTCACCACAACCTCCACCTCCCGGGTTCAAGTGATTTTGCTGCCTCAGCCTCCCGAATAGCTGGGATTACAGGCATGTGCCACCATAGCCGGCTAATTTTTCTGTTTTTTTTTTTTTTTAAGTAAAGATGGGGTGTCTCTATGTTGGTCAGGCTGGTCCCAAACTCCTGACCTCAGGTGATCTGCCCACCTTGGCCTCCCCAAGTGTTGGGATTACAGGCGTGAGCCACCATGCCTGGCCAATATTTATTTCATTAAAAGAAATGAAGCAAAAGGATAGTATTTCATGAAACTGGTTTTCACATTTATCATATTATTCTGATTTTATGTGTTTTGAATGCATCATGGTAAAAAAGTAAAAATAAAGTGTACCTTTTAAAAAAGTAAAAATAAAGTGTACCTTTTAAAAAAGTAAAAATAAAGTATACCTTTTATCTCCTGTTTCTAAAAATTTCCACAAAGTAAGGAGGGAAATAGATTTCAGAAAAAAATTCTGCTGATAAGCTAAGAACTTTTGGTTGCTGCATAATATTTTAAATGATTGTAATAGCAAAAAATATGTAATAGCAAAAAATAATCGAAACATTAAATGTTTACCTACAGGAAAATGAAACATCTTGGTTACTTACTGGCACTTACTGGTGAAAGTTTTCAGTTCCAGAAAAGGCCACTCTTTAAGTAATTTTTTTTCCTGATTTATATATCAGGTGACCTTAAAAGGATTATAATAGATATATTCCATACCTGAAACATGAAACATGAGGATCTTAAGCCTATCTCTGACTATTGTTTTTCTGCTTTTTGTGTTTTCCTGATTTTAAATATCTTCCAGAGATTGGCGTCAATCATGTTGACTGATTATTTTTCTTCCATCTTTGATGGCATTTGGATCAATTCTAACTACATTTTTCAAATGTAGCTTTTTAAAAATGAAAATGAATCATTTCAGTGATGCATTTTTCAGCAGGTTTCAACCTTAAATAAGACAATGTATGACTGATTTATAGTTGGCTGAAACAATCACTTTAAGATACACTTAAGGGGCCGGGCGCAGTGGCTCACACCTGTAATCCCAGCACTTTGGGAGGCCAAGGCCAGTGGATCATGAGGTCAGGAGTTCAAGACCAGCCTGGCCAAGATGATGAAACCCCGTCTTTACTAAAAATACAAAAATTAGCTGGGCATGGTGGTGGGTGCCTGTAATCCCAGCTACTCGGGAGGCTGAGGCAGAGAATTGCTTGAACCCGGGAGGTGGAGGTTGCAGTGAGCCAAGATCACAGCACTGCACCCCAACCTGGGTGACACAGTGAGACTCCATCTCAAAAAACAAAAACAAAAACAAAAGATACACTGAAGGATAAACTACTACCTTGTTCATCTTTGAAATTGGGAAATCCCAGGACTTTTAGGGACTCTTTATCTTTTCTACTCTTTGTTAGTTTGAATTTTTCAGTTCTCACCATTTCTTTCTTTACCACACAGTTTTCTTTAAAAGCAAAAAAACAAACAAGAAAAACAAAACACTGGACGCTGGCCATCCGTTTCTTGTGTAACAGTCTTCCCTCCCTGGCCATTTTTAATACTGCGTAGCCTGTGGTTTAGCTAACTCACTGCCTGTGTTTCTGTGCTTTTCTTCTTTGTCCTACCCTATTGCCTTAGAATTAAAACAGAGATATTTTCCTTTAGATTTTTAGACTTTCATCAGACTTTTCACCTCATAAAAGTTTTTTCTTCTTCCTTTAATTATCTATACTGTTTTTCCCCTTCTTACTGTTTGCCTTTTCACCATGCCTTTGTTAGAACTTTTTACCCTGTTCGTTATCACAGGCATTCTCTTTTGAATTCTAATGACCAGTTCCTGAAATCCCCAACATGTATTTTAAGACTCTTTAGTTATTAGATTTCAGAATTCACCAAGTCTAGGAAGTACCTGAAGACAGGATTAAGACCAAGAACCCAGTAAGTGAAGGAATTCTTGATCATGAGGTTTGTTGATAACAATAAGCATGCCTCATGGAAGATGGGAGTAGACTTCAAATTAATCTTGATAGATTACACTAATGTCACCAACCACTATCCTATCTTTTTGGATTCTTCTTTCTCCTTTGTGCTTTTGTTCAGATCGTTGTCATTTAGCATTTCTCCCTTCATTACACACCATATATTTCGTTCTTTTTTCTTAGCATCATATCTTGGACTTGGTCATCTCTTGACTAGTAATTCAACCTAAGCTGATTTTGGGAGAAAAACCAGCTGCATGAATATAAGATGAGAGATGTCTTAGTATGGACAAGTTTGGATTTTTAAAAGTCTGGTTTTTTCTAGGTATTTTCAATAACTACATAATTCTATTTGATGTTTTCACCTTCTTATTTGCAAGGATCTGCTAACAGAAAGTCTTATAGCTAGGAAATATATTCACATATTTTTGTCTTTATATAGTTCTTTAGTCAACAGAGTATACTCTAATAACTTTAAAGCTGCTAAAATGCAGGTATTTGCACTTTATCATCTTGGTCTATCACATTAGCATTTTCCTAGAAGAACTGAATGAATTTTCTTCTATTGATTGCCATATTTTATCTGAGCCCATTTTTATTGATGATTGTCCATTTCTCCCTACTTTTTAAATACAAAATGTCTTATTTCAAAATTTTAATTGAAATTCCAATCTACTTTTTCTTTCAATTAAAAATATTACTATAATTTAATATATAAATATATATTAATATTAATATAATTTAATATAATATAATTTGATGTCATTTCAGTCTTCTTGATCAACTTAAACTTTTGCACCAAGGGTCTGTGCTGTGTGAATCAAATTATTTATAAACATTTCCCTGTGCAGATTTATTATCTCTATATGCTTATTCTTGTTTCTTGTTTATTATAGTACATGATACCTTTATCATAGCAGTATACAAATTTATTATTTTCATAGACATTATTTTCATTATTTCATAGACATAGAAACAGAAATATTTCATTCTAATAATATTGGTTATCTTTAAAAATCACATTGTTAAGTATGAATAAAAATAAATTTAAAATTATGAAATTAAAGATGAAATGTATATTTTATTTGAAATGTATTCCATCAATAGTGTTTTATTGAGCTACTACCATATGCCAACTACAGGGTTAAATTTCATAAATCAATTAAATGAGTTTAATATTAACTTCCAAGCTACATCCTTACTATGTTTAAAACAGTTTGCACTATATAAATATCAGCCATAAATTCTAAATAACCAAATATGGATTTTATTTAGTGTCTGTGTTTTTCATTCTTTTTTTGTTTCATTCTGCTCTTCTTGCCAAATAATCCAGGGCTTTCTCATTAGAAACAACAATAATAGCCGCTATTTACTCAGTGCTCCTGTCCCCTGCATTTAGTTACATTATTTTTAATTTGTGCAGCAATCTTGTAACACAAGTGAATAAATCCTTATTTTAGAGATGAGAAAACTTCAGTTCTAAGAGATGATCTTGCTCAAGATCCCAGCATTCTCTATTGTCAAAACAAGGGGTCAGGCCCTGTTATTTGCCTTTTTAACTGTACGGTGTTGTCTGTGGCTGTTATACAGGGTCAGGTCCAACTTGGAATTATATTCTGAACCCAAGTATTTAAAATACTTTAAACATAAAAGTATTTTGGGCCAGGTGTGGTGGCCTACACCTGTAATCCCAGCACTTTGGGAGGCCAAGGTGGGCAGATCACGAGGTCAGGAGTTCGAGACCAGCCTGGCAAACATGGTGAAAACCCGTCTCTACTAAAAATACAAAAATTAGCTGGACGTGGTGGCGGGGACCTGTAATCCCAGCTACTCGGGAGGCTGAGGCATGAGAATCGTTTGAACCAGGGAGGTGGAGGTTGCAGTGAGCTGAGATTGTGCCATTGCACTCCAGCCTGGGCAACAGGGCGAGACTCCGTCTCAAAAAAAAAAAAAAGTATTTTTGGTGTTAATGCTAATGTCATATCCAAGTGTGGTGGCTCGCACCTGTAATCCCAGCACTTTGGGAGGTTGAGGCAGGTGGATCACTTGAGGTCAAGAGTTCGAGACCAGCTGGGCCAACATGGCGAAACCCTGTCTCTATTAAAAATACAAAAATTAGCTGGGTGTGGTGGTGTGCACCTGTAATCGCAGCTACTCGGGAGGCTGAGGCAGGAGAATCACTTGAACCCGGGAGGCGGAGGTTGCAGTGAATGGAAATTGCACCACTGCACTCCAGTCTGGGTGACAGAGCGAGACTCTGTTTCAAAAGAAAAAAAAAAAAGGAAAAAAAAGATTTCATGCAACAGCATAGGACGAACTTAGTTTTCCTTTTTATCTTCTATATAAACAGATGCAAAACTAGCAATAATGTTTTGTATTTGTATAATTTTTGTTTTGAGGAGATAATTTAGTTTTTATTTGGTTCATTTTAGGAATTTTTTTCATTTACATTTACAAAGCATTATCTTTATTTTTAGTACAAATCAATCAATAAAAGAATGAAGCATCTTTATGAGAAGTCAGCTTATTAAGAACTTCCCCTTCCAAACTTTTTCAACCATTCAGAGCAAAGTTACCTATATTATTAGCTACTGGACAAAAAGCACAAGCTTCTTTCTTTTCCACCCCAAAGTTAACAGGCTCTACTATCATTTGCCCTCTTTTCAGTCCCTTCACCTTTTTCTCACTCTTCTTTCTTCTGTGGGGGCTCCCTCAGCCTCACTTAAGGTTCCCAGTGCCCTGTGGTTCCCATTTCCTCTCTCTGATTGTATAAAGGAAAAGCTGATACAGTCATGTAAACTTATTAGTTACCTATGCTTGACAACATGCAGCATGTCTTGCAGAGATCTTAGTTTTTAGAGTCAGACAGACCTGGATTCAAACTGCAACTCTATCACTTATTAGTGGGACCAGGTGCAATTTATACCATCTCTGACCCTCACTTTCCTTATCTTTAGAATGCAGATTATAATACCTAACTTTGGGGTATTGAAAATGTTAAATAAGACAATGCATGAAAAGTCAAACAGTATCCTATTTTCTTGCTTACTACTATTATTATTGGTGAGGTTACTCTTTACGGAAACTTATGCACATTCAAGTATTTTCCTTTGTTTTTTTATAGACAGTCTTGCTTTGTCACCCAGCCTGGAATGCAGTGGCATGATACTAGCTCACTGTAGCCTCAAACTCCTGTGCTCAAGTGATCCTCCCACCTCAGCCTCCTGAGTAGCTAGGATTATAGGTACGTGCCACCGTGCCTGGCTAATTTTTTAATTTTTTTGTAGAGACGAGGTCTTGCTAAGTTGCCCAGGTGGGTCTCAAACCCTTGGGCTCAAGTAATCCTCCCGCCTTGGCATTACAAAGCACTGGGATTATACTAAAGTATTTTTTTAATCTTTAAACTTTTATGGTATCTTTAATTATGCTGTGCAAGACATTTTCCACCCTTAAATGAGTGTTAGCCATCTATCATTACGTGGACAGTTAGTTGAGAAGACAGCAAGTGATCCTCTGGCCTTGACTGGCTTTTAAGAGTAATCTAGGATTGGCAGCTGGGGAAAGGGGGTACATAAGTCCATGGTCTTACTCCTCTTTTTATTATTTTCCCATAACTTATTGGGGTAAAGGTGGTATTTGGTTATATGAGTAAGTTCTTTAGTGATGATTTGGGAGATTTTGGTGCACCCATCACCCAAGCAGTATACACTGCACCATATTTGTAGTCTTTTATCGCTTCTCCCCTTCCACTCCTTCCTCCAAGTCCCCACAGTCCTTTGTATCATTCTTAGGCCTTTGCATCTTTATAACTTAGCTCCCACATATCAGTGAGAACATAAGATTTTTGGTTTTCCATTCTTGAGTTGCTTCACTTAGAATAATAGTCTCCAATCTCATCCAGGTCACTGCAAATACTGTTAATTCATTCCTTTTTATGGCTGTGTAGTATTCCATCATATGTATATATGTGTGTGTGTATATATATGTGTGTGTGTGTGTGTGTGTGTGTATATGTGTGTGTATATATATATCACAGTTTCTTTATCCACTTGTTGATTGATGGGCATTTGGATTTGTTCCACGATTTTGCAATTGTGAATTGTGCTATGCAAGTATCTTCTTAATATAATGACTTTTTTTCCTCTGGGTAGATACCCAGTAGTGGGATTGCCGGATCAAATGGTAGTTCTACTTTTAGTTCTTTAAGGAATCTCCACACTGTTTTCCATAGTGGCTGTACTAGTTTACGTTCCCAACAGCAGCATAGAAGTGTTCTCTGATCACTGCATCCATGCCAACATCTACTGTTTTTTTATGTTTTGATTATGGCCATTCTTGAAGGAGTAAAGTGGTATTGCACTGTGGTTTTGATTTGCATTTCCCTGATCATTAGTGATGTGGAGCATTTTTTCATATGTTTGTTGGCCATTTCTGTATCTTCTTTTGAGAATTGTCCATTCCTGTCCTTAGCCCACTTTTTTTATGGGATTTTTTTTTTCTTATTGATTTGTTTGAGGTCGTTGTAGATTCTAGATATTAATCCTTTGTCAGATGTACAGATTGTGAAGATTTTCTCCCACTGGGTTGTCTGTTTACTCTGCTGACTGTTCCTTTTGTTCTTTGCAAAAGCTCTTTAGTTTAATTAAGTCCCAGCTATTTATCTTTGTTTTTGTTTGTTTGTTTGTTTGTTTGTTTTTTGAGACAGAGTCTCACTCTGTAGCCCAGGCTGGATCTTGGCTCACTGCAACCTCCACCTCCCAGGTTCACACCATTCTCCTGCCTCAGCCTCCTGAGTAGCTGGGACTACAGGCTCCCGCCACCACACCTGGCTAATTTTTTTGTATTTTTAGTAGAGATGGGATTTCACCATGTTAGCCAGGATGGTCTCGATCTCCTGACCTCATGATCCGCTCGTCTCGGCCTCCCAAAGTGCTGGGATTACAAGTGTGAGCCACCATGCCCGGCCTTATCTTTGTTTTTATTGCATTTGACTTCGGGTTCTTGGTCATGAAATCCTTGCCTAAGCCAATGTCCAGAGGGATTTTTCCAATGTTATCTTCTAGAATTTTTATAGTTTCAAGTTTTAGGTTTAAGTCCTTCATCCATCTTGAGTTGATTTTTGTACAAGGTGAGAGATGAGGATCCAGTTTCATTCTTCTACATGTGGCTAGCCAATTATCCTAGCATCATTTGTTGAATAGGGTGTCCTTTTCCCACTGTATGTTTTTGTATGCTTTGTCGAAGATCAGTTGGCTGTAAGTATTTGGGTTTATTTCTGGATTCTTTATTCTGTTCCATTGGCCTGTGTGCATATTTTTATACCAGTACCATGCTCTTTTGGTGACTATGGCCTTATAGTATAGTTTGAAATCAGGTAGTGTGATGCCTCCAGATTTGTTCTTTTTGCTTAATCTTGCTTTGGCTATGTGGGCTCTTTTTTGGTTCCATATGAATTTTAGAATTGTTTTTCTAATTCCATGAAGAATGATGGTGGTATTTTGATGGGGATTGGATTGAATTTGTAGATTGCTTTTGGCAGTATGGTCATTTTCACAACATTGATTCTACCCATCGATGAGCATGGGATGTGTTTCCATTTGTTTGTGTCATCTATGATTTCTTTCAGCAGTGTTTTATAATTTTCCTCGTAGAGATCTTTCGACTCCTTGGTTAGGTATATTCCTAAGCATTTTTTTTTTTGCAGCTATTATAAAAGGGGTTGAGTTCTTGATTTGATTCTCTGCTTGGATGCTGTTGTATAGAACTACTGATTTGTGTACATTAATCTTGTATACAGAAACTTTGCTGAATTCTTTTATCAGTTCTAGGAGCTTTCTGGAGGAGTACTTACAGTTTTCAAGGTAAACAATCATGTTGTCAGCAAACAGTGACAGTTTGACTTCCTCTTTACCAATTTGGTTGCTCTTTATTTCTTTCTCTTGTCTGACTGCTCTGGCTAGGACTTCTAGTACTGTGTTGAAGAGGAGTGGTGAGAGTGGGCATCCTTGTCTTGTTCCAGTTTTCAGAGGGAATACTTTCAACTTTTCCCCATTCAGTATTATGTTGGCTGTGGGACTGTCATAGATGAAATTTATTACATTGAGATATGTCCCTTGTGTGCCAATTTTGCTAAGAGTTTTAATCATAAAGGGGTGCTGGATTTTGTCAAATGCTTTTTCTGTATCTATTGAGATGATCATGTGATTTTTGTTTTTAATTCTGTTTATGTGGTATATCACATTTATTGACTTGCGTATGTTAAACCATCCCTGCATCCCTGGTATGAAACCCACTTGATCATGGTGGATTACCTTTTCGATATGCTATTGGATTCAGTTAGCTATTATTTTGTTAAGGAGTTTAGCATCAATGTTCATCAAGGATATCGGTCTGTAGTTTTCTTTTTTGGTTATGTCCTTTCCTGGTTTTGGTATTAGGGTGATGCCGGCTTCATAGAATGAAGTAGGGAAGGTTGTTCCTTTCTCTATCTTGTGGAGTAGTATCAAAAGGATTGGTACCAATTCTTCTTTGAATGTCCGTTAGAATTCTGCTGTGAATCCGTCTGATCCTGGACATTTTTTTGTTGGTAATTTTTAAATTACCGTTTCAATCTCACTGCTTGTTATTGGTCTGTTCAGGGTATCTAATTCTTCCTGACTTAAGCTAGAAGGGTTGTATTTTTCCAGGAATTTTTCCCTCTATTCTAGGTTTTCTAGTTTATGTGTGTAAAGGTGTTCACAGTAGCCTTGAATGATCTTTTGTATTTCAGTGGTGTCAGTTGTAATGTCTCCTTTTTCGTTTATTAGTGAGGTTATTTGGATTTTCTCTCTTCTTTTCTTGGTTAATCTTGCTAATGGTCTATCACTTTTATTGATCTTTTCAAAGCACCAGCTTTTTGTTGCATTTATCTTTTGTATTTTTGTTTGTTTCAATTTCATTTAGTTCTGCTCTGATCTTGATTATTTCCTTTCTTCTGCTGGGTTTGGGTTTGGTTTGTTCTTGTTTCTGTAATTCCTTGAAGTGACCTTAGAATGTCAGTTTCTGCTCTTTCAGTCTTTTTGATGTAGGTGTTTAGGGCTATGAACTTTCCTCTTAGCACCACCTTTGCTGTATCCCAGAGGTTTTTGTAGGTTGTGTCATTGTTGTTCAGTTCGAAGAATTTTTTAAATTTCCATCTTGACTTTGTTTTTGACCCAGTGCTTATTCAGGAGCAGGTTATTAAATTTCCATGTATTTGCAAGGTTTTGAAGGTTCCTTTTGGAGTTAATTTTAGTTTTGTTCTACTGTGGTCTAAGAGAGTGTTTGATATTTCAATTTTCTTCAATTTATTGAGGTTCATTTTATGGACTATCATGTGGTTTATCTTGGAGAAGGTTCCATGTGCTGTTGAATAGAATGTGTATTCTGTGGTTGTTGGATGAAATGTTCTGTATGTTAAGTCCATTTGTTCCAAGGTATAGTTTAAATCCATTTTTTCTTTGTTCACTTTCTGTCTTGATGACCTGTCTAGTGCTGTTAGTGGAGTATTGAAGTCCCCCTCTATTATTGTGTTGCTATCTATCTCATTTGTTAGGTCAATTAGTAATTGTTTTATAAATTTGAGAGCTCCAGTGTTAGGTGCATATATATTTAGGACTGTGATATTTTCCTGTTGGGCAAGGTCTTTTACCATTATATAGTGTCCCTCTTTGTCTCTTTTAACTGCTGTTGCTTTAAAGTTTATTTTGTCTGATATAAGAATAGCTACCCCTACTCACCTTTGGTGTCCATTTGCATGAAATGCCTTTTTCCATCCCTTTACTTGAAGTTTATGTGAGTCCTTATGTGTTAAGTGAGTCTCCTGAAGGCATCAGGTAGTTGGTAGGTGAGTTCTTACCCATTCTGTAGTTCTGTATGTTTTAAGTGGAGCATTTAGGCCGTTTACATTCAATGTTAGTACTGAAATGTGAGGCACCCTTGCATTCACAGTGCTATTTGTTGCCTGTGTACTTTTGGTTTTTTGTTTATTGTTTTGCTTTATAAGTTGTATTTTTGTTTTATAGGTCCCGTGTCATTTATGCTTTAAAGGTGTTCTGTTTTGATGTGTTTCCAGGATTTGTTTCAAGATTTAGAGCTCCTTTTAGCAGTTCTTGTAGTGGTTGCTTGGTAGTGGCAAATTCTCTTAGCATTTGTTTGTCTGAAAAAGACTGTATCTTTCATTCACATATGATACTTAGTTTCAATGGATACAAAATTCTTGACTGATAATTGTTTTGTTCAAGGAGGCTGAAGATAGGAGCCCAATACCTTCTAGCTTGTAGGGTTTCTGCTGAGAAATCTGCTGTTAATCTGATAGGTTTTCCTTTTTAGGTTACCACGTGCTTCTGTCTCACAGCTCTTAAAATTCTTTCCTTTGTCTTAACCTGATGACAATGTGCCTAAGCAATGATCTTTTTGCGATGAATTTCCCAGATGTTTTCTGTGCTTCTTGTATTTGGATGTCTCTAGCAAGGCTGGGAAAGTTTTCCTTGATTATTCTCCCAATTTTGTTTTCCAAACTTTTCAAATTCTCTTCTTCCTCAGGAACACCAATTATTCTTAGGTTTGGTCATTTAACGTGATCCCAGACTTCTTGGAGGTTTTGTTCATATTTTCTTATTCTTTTTTCTTTGCCTTTGTTGGAAGACTTTGTCTTCCAGCTCTGAATTTCTTTCTTCTACTTGTTAATGCTATCGCTGATACTTTCCACAGCATTTTGCATTTCTATAAGTGTTTCCAATGTTTCCTGAATTTTTCACTGTTTTTTCTTTAAGCTCTCTATTTCCTTGAATATTTCTCCTTTCACTTCTATCGTTTTTCGAATTTCCTTGCATTAGGATTCACCTTTCTCTGGTCCCTCCCTGATTAGCTGAATAACTAACTTCCTGAATTCTTTTTCAGGTAAATCAGGGATTTCTTCTTGGTTTGGATCCATTGCTGGCGACCTAGTGTGATCTTTTGGGGGTACTAAAGAGCCTTGTTGTGTCCTGTTACCAGAGTTGGTTTTCTGGTTTCTTCTCATTTGGGTAGTCTCCGTCAGACGGAAGGTCTAGGGTTGAAGGCTGTTGTTCAGATTCTTTTGTCCCTCTGCGTGTTCTCTTGATGTAGTACTCTCCCCCTCTTCCTATGGATGTGGCTTCCTGTGAGCCAAACTGCAGTGATTGTTGTCTCTCTTCTGGGTCTAGCCACCCAGGAAGTCTACCTGGCTCTGGTCTGGTACTGGGGGTTGTCTGCACAGAGTCCTGTGATGTGAACCATCTGTGGGTCTCTCAGCCGTGGATACCAGTGCCTGTCCTGGTGGAGGTGGTGGGGGATGCAGTGGACTTTGTGAGGGTTCTTAGCTTTGGTGGTTTAATGCTTTATTTTAGTGGTCGTTGGCCTCCTGCCGGGAGGTGGCGCTTTCCAGAGAGCATCAGCTGTGGTATTATGGAGAGGGACCTGTGGTGAGCAGGGCCCTAGAACTCCCAAGATTATATGCCCTTTGTCTTCCACTACCAGGGTGGGTAGGGAAGGACCATCAGGTGGGAGCAGGGCTAGGTGTGTCTGAGCTCAGACTCTCCTTGGGTGGGTGTTGCTGTGGCTGCTGTGGGGGATGGGGGTGACATTCCCAGGTCACTGGATTTGTGTACCTAGGAGGATTATGGCTGCTTCTGCTGAGTCATGCAGGTTGTCAGGGAAGTCGGGGAGAGCCGGCAGTCACAGGCCTTACCCAGCTCCCACACAAACCAAAGGGCCTGTCTCACTCTCACTGCCTCACACAACAGTCCCAAGTCTGTTTCCAGGCAGTGGGCGAGCCAGGCTTGAAAACTTGCCCTAGGCTACCTGCCTCCTAGCTGTGAAAGAAAAGGGCTTGCTTCTCCCCCTGGCTGTGGAGTGTGCATCCCGGATGTCTTGTCCTGTTCGAATTGTTACACAGTTCAGCTAGAGATTTCCTTCTCCCTGTGGAGTTTTACCCGTCTTCCTTCTGGCCACCCCCTCAATGGATCCCTATGGTATCAGGTTAGGAATGGCCTGCTTGGGGACATAGTGAGCTCCCAGGGCCTTTCTGCTACTTGCACTACCCCTGTATTTTGCTCCACTCTCTAAATTGACTCACTTCCAGTTAAGGTCAGAAACCTCTCCTACAAACAGACCTTCAGTTTCTCCATTCTGGGGGTGTGTTCAGGAGAGGAGGCTCTCCCTTTCCCACTCCGCAGTTGGGGCACTCACAGTATTTGGGGTGTCTCCTGGGTCCTGCAGGAGCAGTCCGCTTCCTTCAGAGAGTCTGTGGCTCTTCTTGGGACTGCTGGTTTGTTCTTGCAGTCTATCTGGGCTAAAATTCACAGTGCGAGCCTCCACACACTGCTCTGTCTGGAGGTGCACTCTAGATCTGCCTCCCATCCACCTCCACTTTTTACCCCGTTTTCTTCGTGAAACTACAGAGCCTATTAGAGAGCATCTCACAAACTTTGCAAACAAGGAGGCCTGGGATCCTTTTTTCTGGATCATGAACGTAACTTGTTCAAGTCCAAGACTGCCATCTGTTTGGGCCCCTTCTTTTAGGCTGCCCCTTTGTGAGTACAGGCTCTACTCGACATGACCTGGCCTCTCAATCATCTGCCCTAAGGCTTCCTTTGCAAATCTTTAAGCTTTCTGGAAGTATGATATTTCAACCAGCATTACAATTTTCTTTTAATTCATAGCTTAAGAAACTTCCTACCAGCACAGTTTTTGGCTAGCTGCTACACAGGTACAAAAAAGTGTAAAATATATAAGACAGATTATTTTTTTAAAGATGCCAGAAGCTAGAAGGAATCCAAGAAATGAGGATACTTTTGGTGTAGCATATATGTAAGTACGGTTAGTTAAGTATGGTTGGTAGGACAAACAGAGTGTGTAGGTGAAGACTGTGGATTTCAGGCAAAAAACATGAATGAAGTTATAGAGCAGGGAAAATGTGGGGCAGGTTTTAGTTTGAACTTGGAGTAGGGGTCCTGGAGGGGAGACTGTAGGAGATAATACTGGAATTTGCAAAGCAGATCATGTCCCTCCTTTGTTCAGAACTTACAGCCTCTCATCTGATTTAGAGAAAAAATCAAAGTCCCTAGTGGCCTACAAGCTATCACACAATATCCTCCCTGTGCCTCAATTCCCATTTCCCATGACTTTCTTCCTTGCTTCCCCTTCTCTAGCTATATTAGTCTCCTTGATCTGGCCAATAGAGATTCCACCTCAGGGCTTGTTTCCTCTGCTTGAAGCTCTCCTTTCCCACATGGCTGCATGGCTCATGCCTCTTTCAGGTCACCTTTATGAGAGAGGTCTGTCTCGATCTCTCTGTATCACACCCCGAGCCCCACTCCAGCCACTCCCTATTCCCTGTACTTTGCTTTATTTTACTTCATAGTGTTTAGGATATCTATATGCTTTTATTATTATTGCCTCTGTTTTTGCTATTAGGGTGTGATGGTGTGTGGAAAGTGCTACCCCCAAATAACGGCATTTTTGGCATACTGAATGTTTAAAGCTGAAGGAAATTGAGAAAACCACAGAAGCAGAAAGGTCCCTTTGTCTTTGTCATTCTCTTTCTCTGACATCCTTCCACCTTTCTCCCCTGAAGCCATGAAAAGAATTCTCTGACCTAAAAGTAGATCATAAGACCCTCATGTGACAAGTGTCTACCCTGTACATGGAGGAAAGGAATGAGTACACAGAGACACAGAGAAAAATCTGAACAAATAGGACTTGCTAAGTTCCCCTCAGTACATTAGGTCATACCTGCTTTTTGTCCAGTCATACTTCTATATGACTATCAATTCTTCATCAAACCTAAGCATAAAATAGAGTTTTCCCTGGTTCTTTGGGTCTTCATTTCTGAAGGCACCTATGTTGCATAAAACTTTGGTTACATAAAATCGTTAAGCTTTTCTCTTATTAATCTGTCTTTTGTTATAGGGGGTGTCAGCTATGAACCTTGTGATAGGAGGGAAATGTATTACTTTTTCTCCTTTACAAGTGTATGCCCCTGATCGAGAAGATTTTATGCAATGTCATATCCCTAGCCCCCAGAACCAGTGCCTGGCACATGGCTCATATTCAAATATTTATTGGACAAAAAAGAAAATGACTGCAGCAAAAAGAGTGTGAGGGAGGGAAGGAGTTGGATATGGATCCTATGGCAGTTTATGTTCAGGCAAAGGAATAAAAATTTAACGTATTAGTCAGTGGGTAGCCATTGAACGGTTTGAAGAGTGGAGTAAAGGCAAAAGCATTTAGTTTAGGGAGATTAATTTGGTGATAAGGTGTAGGATGGATTTTTTTTAAGTCACATCAACTCCCCACCCCTCCCCAATCCAGCACTCTGCCACACAGCTCTATGTGCTTTTTTAAAAAATGACTTTTAATCTTGAAATAGTTTGACTCACATGAAATTGTTAAACAGTACAGTAAATGCTCTTTCTGTACTTTCCCCCAGTTTCCCCAGTGACATCTTACATTACTGCAATACACTGTCAAATACAGGAAAATGACCTTGTTACTATACTGTTAACTCAGGTGCAGACCTTAGATGGATTTCATCAGATTTTACATGCACCTTTTCTGGGGGATGTACAGTTCTATAAAATTTTAACGTGTAGATATATGTTTTTTAATATTTCTGGGTCTGACCTTCTTTAATACCACTCTCCTGGTTCTTGGACTCCTGTCATTTACATATGAATAAAGTGAATGGCCTGTGGTTTTATTTGATGTTCTTCTGCATTGTGTTCCATGTTGGTAGATAGCCTTTCCTTTCTATACCAAAGATGCTTTTAAAATTTTACTCCACCAGGATTGACAAATCATATTGCAGTTGTCCCTCGATATATGTGGATGATTGGTTCCAGGACCACCCCCGCCAACACACACACACACACACACACACACACACACACACACACACACACACACACACTATACCAAAATCTGCATATACTTAGCCTTGTGGAACTCAAGTATATGAAAAGTCAGTCCTCTGTTTACATAGATTTCCCACATACTGGGAATACTGTATTTTCTATTTGCATTTGGTTGAAAAACATCCACCTATAAGTGGACCCTACAGTTCAAACTCATGTTGTTCAAGGACCGACTATATATACTAGGTCTTAATTTTTTAATGTTTATTTTAAAACTAGTACATTACATTATTTCTTTCTATTGGTCACTTGTCTACTTAGAATTCCTATATATCCTTTCTGATAGTAAAATATTTCCACAAGATTGTTAACAGGTTTCTAAAGTTTTTTCCTTTGTCTACCCAGCCCTACTAATTAGAAATATATTTCTAATAAGCAATTTACCAATAATTTCAGAATTGACAAGGGTGGTAGGTTGAAGGAGATTAACTAATCATTTAAAGTCCAACTTTGTGTTGGTAAGTTCTTATTCATTCTTTTTAACTTTTTAAGATATTCTGCTAACCATATGATATTACTAAAAGCTGACTTTCTTAGTTTTTATGTACTGTGGAACATATTTAAAGTGATTTACAGGCCTTCCAAAACAAATTGTTAAAGTTAAAATCTTATAGTTTAATTCTTGCAGCTGTGCTATATGTATATTTTTTATTTTTTTAAGACAGGATCTCACTGTGTCACTATATATATTTGTATACATGCTGTATATGAGATAGATGTGCTATATGTACTTTATATACTTGTATGTTGCTGATGTTTAAGATAGTAATTGATTTTCTTTAATAGGTTTCTGAATAAATATGCAGTCCTAGGTGTGAAGTTGAAGAAAAACCAAAGTTTATCTGAATGTACTTGATATATTTCTTAACAGGTTCTGAGTTCTGTCCGCACAGAATGGGACCCACTGGATGTTCGCTTTGGCACCAAACAGCCTTATCAGGTGTTCACAGTGGAGCACTCCGTAAGTGTAGACAAAGAGCCCATGGCTGACAGCTGCATCTA
The DNA here is from genome assembly GCF_000001405.40 of Homo sapiens. Taxonomy (NCBI): domain Eukaryota; kingdom Metazoa; phylum Chordata; class Mammalia; order Primates; family Hominidae; genus Homo; species Homo sapiens. The sequence continues at coordinate 63,404,526 of NC_000002.12, read as the reverse complement.
TGAATGCATTCGGAATAAAATCCAGTGTGTGTCAGTCACCAGAATACCACTAAAGTCAAAGGCCATCAGCTGCTGCAGGAATGTTACTGAAGACAAACTGATTCTGGGCTGTGAAGATTCTTCGCTAATTCTTTATGAAACTCACCGTAGAGTGACTCTCTTAGCACAGACTGAACTTTTGCCTTCATTAATAAGCTGCCACCCAAGTGGTGCCATTCTGCTAGTTGGCAGCAACCAAGGGGAGTTGCAAATTTTTGATATGGCTCTATCCCCTATTAACATCCAACTGTTGGCTGAAGACCGCTTACCCAGGGAGACTCTGCAATTCAGTAAATTATTTGATGCCTCCAGCAGTCTTGTTCAAATGCAATGGATAGCTCCTCAGGTTGTTTCTCAGAAGGGTGAAGGTAGTGATATCTATGATCTCCTCTTCCTCAGGTTTGAAAGAGGACCTTTGGGTGTGCTGTTGTTTAAACTAGGTAAGTCAAGGAAAGTGATGAGTAAGTAAATTAAAATGTTTAGGATAGTGACATAATTAAGGCAATAAAACTATTCTTAGAATGTAGATTTTTCTATTTATCATCCCATAAATATGTTTGCCTTTCAAATATCCATATAGTTCCCTTTTGTGGATGACTTTCTAACTGCCAAAGGAACACTAGATATTGAATAATTTGTAAATTGCACTAATTGTCAATCATGATGCTTCAAAAGCCCTAATTTTTACATTTGATACGCTCTAAAATAAACTACACTACTAAATAATTCCTTAAGAAATAGACATGTGAATATTTTAGAAGGACTTACTTTGTCCATTGAAAAATTCTGTGTTGTAGGAATGGAATAATTTTTCTATAAAAATTATTTTAGATTATTGGTGTCTGTTGCTTCCCAGACTGGAATTGTGTGAAGCAAGTGTTTTAAAAGAAAAGAAAGCAGATATTTAGTTAGAATTTGCTGAAGATACCTGTATAACTTTTAGTTTCTCTTTTGGATAAAAATATTCAAAAGGATAGGTATTTTTATAGATGTTGATAAGTTAATAGCTATAAAATTATATATTAATATAGCCCATTTCAACCAAGAGAATTTTTTTTAACTTTTATGTAGGTTTGTGGGTACACATGCAGGTTTGTTATATAGGTAAACGTGTCACGGGGGTTTGCTGTACATATTATTTCATCACACAGGTATTAAGCCCAGTACCCAATAGTTATCTTTTCTGCTTCTCTCCCTCCTCATATCCTCCTCCCTCAAGTAGACCCCAGTGTCTGTTTTTTTCTTCTTTGTGTTCATAAGTTTTTATCATTTAGCTCCCACTTATAAGTGAGAACATGCGGTATTTGGTTTTCTGTTTCTGCATTAGTTTGCTAAGGATAATGGCGTTCAGCTCCGTCCAAGTTCCTGCAAAAAACATTATCTTGTTCTTTTTAATGGCTGTATAATATTCCACAGTGTACCACATTTTCTTTATCCAGTCTGTGATTGATGGGCATTTAGGTTGATTCCATGTCTCTACTATTGTGAATGGTGCTGCAACAAACATTTGTGTGCATGTATCTTTATGGCAGAATGATTTATATTCCTCTGGATATATACCCAATAATGGGATTCCTAGGTCAAATAGTAGTTTTGCTTTTAGCTCTTTGAGGAATTGCTATATTGCTTTCCACAATGATTGAACTAATTTACACTCCCCCCTCACAGTGCATAAGCATTCCCTTTTTTCCACAACCTTGCCAGCATCTGTTATTTTTTTACTTTTTAATAATAGCCATTCTTTGTGGACCTGGGAGGCGGAGCTTGCAGTGAGCCAAGATCGTGCCACTGCACTCCAGCCTGGGCGACAGAGCAAGACTCCGTCTCAAAAAAAATAGCCATTCTGACTGGTGTGTGATGGTATCTCATTGTGGTTTTGGTTTGCACTTCTCTAATAATCAGTGATACTGAGCTTTTTTTCATATGCTTCTTGGCTGCATGTATGTCTTCTTTTGAGAAGTGTCTGTTCATGTCCTTTGCCCACTTTTATTTTATTTTTATTTTTATTTTACTTTAAGTTCCAGGATACATGTGCAGAATGTGCAAGTTTGTTACGTAGGTATACATGTGCCATGGTGGTTTGCTACACCTATCAACCTGTCATCTAGGTTTTAAGCCCTGCATGCATTAGGTATTTGTCCTAATGCTCTCCCTCTCCTTGCTCCCCACCCCCAACAGGCCCTTGTGTGTGTTGTTCCCCTCCCTGTGTCCATGTATTCTCATTGTTCAACTGTCACTTATGAATGAGAAAATGTGATGTTTGGTTTTCTTTTCCTGTGTTAGTTTGCTGAGGATGACGGCTTCCAGCTTCGTCCATGTCCCGGCAAAGGACATGATCTCATTCTTTTTTATGGCTTCATAGTATTCCATGGTGTATATGTACCACATTTTCTTTATTCAGTCTATTATTGATGGGCATTTGGTTGGGTCCATGTCTTTGCTATCTTAAATAGTTGTGTAATAAACATGCATGTGTCTTTATAGCAGAATGATTTATATTCCTTTGGGTATATACTCAGTAATGGGATTGCTGGGTAACATGGTATTTCTGGTTCTAGATCCTTGAGGAATCACCATACTGTCTTCCACAATGGTTGAACTAATTTACATGCCCAGCAGTGTAAAAGTGTTCCTATTTCTCCACAGCCTCACCAGAATCTATTGTTTTCTTGACCTTTTTTTTGAGACACAGTCTCACTCTGTCACCCAGGCTGGAGTGCAGTGGCGTGATCTCAGCTCACGGCAACCTCCACCTCCTGGGTTCAAGCAATTCTCCTGCTTCAGCCCCCTGAGTAGCTGGGATTACAGGCATGTGCCACCATGCCTGGCTAATTTTTGTATTTTTAGTAGAGACAGGGTTTTACCATGTTGCCCAGGCTGGTCTCAAACCAGCCTCAAGTGGTCTTGAGCTGGTCTCAAATCCTGACCTGAAGTGATCTGCCTGCCTCAGCTTCCCAAAGTGCTGGGATTACAAGTGTGAGCCACTGCACCTGGCCTCTTGACTTTGTAAATAATCACCATTCTGACTGATGTGAGATGTATCTCATTGTGGTTTTGATTTGCATTTCTCTAATGATCGGTGATGATGAGCTTTTTTTCATATGTTTGTTGGCTGCATAAATGTCTTCTTCTGAGAAGTGTCTGTTCGTATCCTTTGCCCACTTTTTGATGGGGTTGTTTGTTTTGTTCTTGTAAATTTGTTTAAGTTCCTTGTAGATTCTGGATATTAGACCTTTGTTAGATGGGTAGATTGCAAAACTTTTCTCCCATTCTGTAGATTGCCTGTTCACTCTGATGATAGTTTCTTTGGCTGTGCAGAGGCTCTTTAATTTAATTAGATCCCATTTGTCAATTTTGGCTTCTGTTGCAATTGCTTTTGGTTTTTTCGTCATGAAGTCTTTGCTCATGCCTGTGTCCTGAATGGTATTACCTAGGTTTTCTTCTCGGGTTTTTATGATTTTGGGTTTTACATTTAAGTCCTTTATCCATTTTGAGTTAATTTTTGTGTAAGGTATAAGGAAGGGGTCAGTTTCAGTTTTCTGCATATGGCTAGCCAGTTTTCCCAGCACCATTTATTAAATAGGGGATCCTCTCCCCATTGCTTGTTTTTGTGTCAGGTTTGTTGAAGATCAGATAGTTGTAGATGTGTGGTGTTATTTCTGAGGTGTCTCTTCTTTCTCTTCCATTGGTCTATATATCAGTTTTGGTACCAGTACCATGCTGCTATGGTTACTGTAGCCTTTAGTATAGTTTGAAGTCAGGTAGTGTGATGCCTCCAGCGTGTTCTTTTGGCTTAGGATTGTCTTGGCTATATGGGCTCCTTTTTGGTTCCATATGAAATTTAAAGTAATTTTTTCTAAGTCTGTGAAGAATGTCAATGGTAGTTTTATGGGAATAGCATTGAATCTGTAAATTACTCTGGCTTTGCCTACTTTTTAACGGGTTTGTTTTTCTCTTGTAAATTTGTTTAAGTTCCTTATAGATGCTGGATATTAGACCTTTGTCAGATATACAGTTTACAAATATTTTCTCCCATTCTGTAGGTTGTCTGTTTACTCTATTCATAGTTTCTTTTGTTGCAATTGCTTTTGGCGTCCTTGTCATGAAATCTTTGCCTATTGTCCAGGATAGTATTGCCTAGTTGTCTTCCAGGATTTCTATACTTTTGGGTTTTATATTTAAGTCTTTAATCCATTTCCAGTTGATTTTTTATGTATCAACCAAGAGACTTTAAAATAAAATGTTATTATGATGATTCACTTGCCTATTGTAGCTTTGCATTACTAGCTGTGCCCTGAAATATATGATATACTTTAGGTAGATTTCTACAATTTAACATTCTTGAGAGAACCTCACTTAGGTGTAAAAAATAAATTTTAATTAATGTACATTATGGCTATTTGAAAACATAGGTAAATACATTTTAAAACCCTTTATGGAATTTGGCTCTATGGTACAAAGTTAGATTTTTAAAGACATTGTAGTCTTTGTTAAATAGCTTTCAATTTACTTTATTTTTTCATGGATCTGCTTGTCTCTGAAGTTGAATACATGAAATAAATCTAGTGAACATGATTTGATTTACCTGAAAGATATAATACATACAATGTGAGACCTATGTTCTTTTCACATAATAAAAATGCAGCTAAATCTATTCATAATGTTAATATTGTTCAAGAAAAAAATGTTTGGAGTCTCATTTATTACGAGATAATCCAGTTATACTTTGCCTAACTACATGTTTAACAGTTGTATGTCTCCATACACAACACTAATTAAAGTGGATGTTTGATGTTTTGCATGTCTGTTAAAACACACACACATGCATGCACTCATGCTCTCTCTTTCTCACATACTCTGTCTCTCTCTCTTCCCGCCCCCCGCCCTTCTTCCTCTCTCTCTCTCTCTCAATCTCTCCTTTCACCCTCTAAATTACCCAGTTACCTGTCAAACAGAAGGCTTTCTGCCCATGTACACCTAGCTTTTCTTCAGCCCTCCCTTGTGGGCCTACTCACAACAGCTTTGCAAAAAGCACAGCTTTCTCTTCCTATCTCTAGCACATTTGCCTTCTTACTAAAGTAAACAGGCTCTCAGTGTAGGGATTTAGAGGGCTTCCTGCTAATTGCCAGCTTGTAAACTTAATTGGACTGTCTCCCTGGGCACTGTTCCTAAATCAATTAGGCAATGAGTTGGCTGTCACCTCTTTTTCCCAAGAAGGTCTCTTGGAAGAGAATTATCCAATAGAAGTCAAGCATTCAAATGAAAAGGTGATAACTTTTGCAACTGACATTTATCATTTAAATTTTATTTTCAATATGACTCTTAAGTTTTATAGAATAGGGAAACTGTACAGTCTTATAGGCTCTTTAAAAGATCTAAATGTGGAATTTCCAAGGATTTTTTAAAGTTTTGTTTCTCATTTTTAATGTATAAGATTAATATTTATTACAAAGTATTTTTCCTCGGAAGAGTAGATTCCTTGAAATAGAAGATTCCAACTAGCAGATTTTTAAAAGAAAACCCAGTATAAAGAACAGATTTTTCTTATGATCTGCTACTAAATACATCCAAAAAAATTAATATACTTCTTGAATTTGTCAGTGCTGATTCTGGGCATCCATGTGGAGTTTTCATGTATAATTCAAGTTACTGCATATATAAACAGGTAGTTGCATGTGCAGTTTTCCCACTAGGGAGCATTTATGAGATTTTTTTTTTTTTCAGATGCTTGTTATGCAAGCCTTTGGAAAATTTGACATGAAAGGTGTAGCTTACAATTTAAAATTGTAAAGATAGATCATGGGTCGTAGTTTAAAATAGAATGCTTTCATATGTAAACGTGACAGTGCCTAATGCCAATATGCTAAGATTTTTGGAGTTAGACTCTTAGATTAGGTCAGTTAGTGTAATGTTGAAGGAACATTGCTCCAAGGCTAGAGCTTCCATTTCTTAATCCTTACAATGATCACACAAATGTGTTGGGCATTAAAAGTCCATCATTCTTGTCATTAGAATAATTCAAAGATTATGTCTTCCTTAGGAGGTAATTAGAAGTGTCATTACATGGAAGCCAAGAAATGTTGTTTTATAGAAAGCAATATGTATTCAGAATCTCTTTATGTGGCAATAATTATAACATATTTCTTCATATATAGACTGAGATTAATTTTAAAAAGTGGAGGCCCTAATTATACTATTAAGATATTAAAGCTTTTCCATTCTCACCAGTACCTTTTCCAACCTTCACTGCTCTCCTTAAACTCACATTATCAGCTCCCTATTCCTCTCAACAGAGCATCTCACCTTTTGTCAGTTCATTAAGTTTATCTGCTTCTTACGACGCCCCCACTCAACCACTTATCAATATGCACATGAATCTTTCCCTCTCAGTTCAGTGAAAAAGAATCCCTTCCTCTTGTCCAAGACTAGCGCCACCACTATTTGCTCTGTGGATCCCATAACATTCCCTTTGACACCTTTACTTTGTCACCCTCCCCGGCCCCATCTATCTTGGAACAGCAGCAGATAAACAGGCCCAAACTACACCATAAAAACAGACTAACAAAACTCTTCCCTAAAATGGTTTCCCATCTGTTGCTGATCTAATATTCACCTTCCTTTCATAGCCAAACTCATTGAAATAATACTGAACATTGCCTTTTCTCTGCTTCTTCACTTCTCACTCCTCAGAACACTGTGCTCTGGCTGTATCTTCTGCGGTGTCTCAGAACTGCTCTTGGAAAAGTCACCAGTCACTTCCTACTTGATAAATACATGTCTCTTACATTGTTTGATGACTTTTCAGCATTTGATGGTTGCTGACCACTCCCACTTTCACAGAACCCTCATCAAACAGCCTTCTATGATCCCAAATGCAACTTTCTATCACATTTTTATGCTCTTCTTCTGCCTACTCATGAAAATGTTGGGGCCATCCAGGCTTCCATTTTTAGCCCTCACTTTGTGCAGGTTTATACTTTATTTTCAGTTTTGTTATCTGATCTCTGACTCCAGCCCAGACCATTCCTGACTCCACATCCACATATTCATCTGGCTTGCTGAATAACTTCTCTTGGATGTACATGTGTGCCTTAGACTCATTATGTGCAGACATGAAGTCATCTTTTTTCTCTCCAGACCTGCTTTTCCTCTCGTATTCTTCTTTTTGGTGAATGGTACAATTATTCAGATGGAACGTCCAAGTCAAAAGTCGTTCTAGAATCCTCCCTCACTCCTAATGCCACATCCAATTAGTGACCAAATCCTATCGATTCGGCCTTCTAAATACAGTCAAAACATTTCATTCAATTCAGCGTCACTGTCATTGCTTTAATGTAGACCTTCTCTATTTTACCATGATCAAGCAGAGGCCCTGTATCTATATTCTTCTGCCTTCCAGTCTTGTCATCCTACTCCGCAGTTAATCCCCTGAGTGCTATCCTAGTGATCCTTCTAACAGTACAGATTTGGTCATGGATTCTCCAGCTTGAAATACTTCATGTCTTTTGTGGGAACATGGATGGAGATGGAGGCTATTATACTTAGCAAACAAATGCAGGAACGAAAACCAAATACCACATGTTCTTACTTATAAGTGGGAGCTAAATGCTGACAACTCATGAACACAAACAAATGAACAGCAAACACTGGGGTCTACTTGAGGGTGGAGTTTGGGAGGAGGGAGAGAAGCAGAAAAGGTAACTATTGGGTACTGAACTTAATACCTGGGTGATTAAATAATCTGTTCAACAGGCCCCCATGATATGAGTTTACCTACGTAACAAACCTTCACATGTATCCCCAAACCTAAAATAAAAGTTAAAAAAAAAGAGAAATACTTTAGTGGTTGATAAGCCCTTTCCTGCCACTTGGTCTTTATCTCCCCAGCTGAGTTGCACTAGTGTAGCTTCCCAGCCATGGTGTGTGCTCTCACGCTCACTCCTTCCATGTTGGTGATGATAGTATTCCCTTTGCCTAAAGTGTCCCCACAATGCCCTCATAGAGTGTGCAAAGTTAGGAAAAGGTTACATGTTCAAGTGATGATGTTAAACAAGAGGTAATTAAAGCTAACATCTTCACTCTCATAGAATTTTTAAAATCACAGGCAACGTGTGTATGTGTGTGTATGTCTGTCTGTCTCTCTTTCTAAAAAACAAACAGTATGATTTTTCTCTTGGAAATTTGGTACAAAGCAATTTTCCTCAAGAGTTATTTTCAAAGAGTTATTTTAACATTATACTTTACCCAAGTGGTATTAGGTTATTTATTGCTGAAAATGCTAGACACTTTGTTAGATGCCTACTCATCTTAAAATTGGATCTCATATCATTTAAAATGAACTTTTATTCTAGACAGGCTTCTACTTTCTTCAAACTAGAGTGATGATGAATTTTAAAAATCAAGTTTATTGAGGTATAATTTACATAAGTAAAATACACACATTTAAAATGTACAGTTAAGGCCAGGCACGGTGGCTAATACCTGTAATCCCAGCACTTTAGGAGGCCGAGGTGGGCGGATCACCTGAGGTCAGGAGTTTGAGACCAGCCTGACCAACATGGTGAAACCTGTCTGTACTAAAAATACAAAAAAATTACCTGGGTATGGTGGCACATACCTGTAATCCCAGCTACTCAGAAGGCTGAGACAGGAGAACCGTTTGAACTTGGGAGGCGGAGGATGCAGTGAGCCGAAATCGCGCCATTGCACTCCAGCCTGGGCAGCAAGAGCAAAACTCCTTCTCAAAAAAAAAGTACAGTTCAATGAGTTTTGACAAATGTATATACCCTCATGATTACCACCACAATCATAATATAGAACATTTCCGTCATCCCAAAAAATTCTCTCAAGGCCCTTTTCAGTTAATTCCCACCTCTCCGGAAGCTGATGAGCATTGATACGCTTTCCATTATTATAGATTATATTTGTTCATGTCCTTTGCAGCAACATGGATGGAGCTAGAGGCCATTATCCTAAGTGAAATGGCTGTAAAACAAAGTCAAAAACTGCACATTCTCATTTATAGGTGGGAGCTAAACAGTGGGTACACGTGGACATACAGAGTGGCGTAATAGACACTGGAGACTCCAAAAGGTGAGAGAGTGGGAGAGGGGTGAGGGATGAAATACTGCCTATTGAGTACAATGTTCACTGTTTGGGTGATAGGTACAGTAAAAGCCCAGACTTCATCAATGCAATATGTCTATGTAACACAACTGCACTTGTATCCCTAAATCTATAAAAAACATTTTTTAGATAAAAAAATAGATTCGATTTGCCTTTTCTAGAATTTCATAGAAATGGGATCATGTAGAAGGTACTCTTGTGTCTTGGTACTTTTGCTCAGCATTATTCTGTGACAATCTTCAACGTTAGTATGTATTTCTGTATTTTTTTGTTACATTACTGAGCAGTAGGTCATTATGTCAATACACCACAATTTTTTTAACTTTTAGGTTCAGAGGTACATGTGCAGGTTTGTTTTATAGGTACATTGCGTGTCTTGGGGGTTTGGTGTACAGATTATTTCGTCACCCAGGTAATAAGTACAGTATTCAATAGGCAGTTTTTCGATCCTTACCATCCTCCCACCCTTCACCCTCAACTAGGCCCTGTTGTCTATTGTTCCTTTCTTAGTGTCTGTAAGTACTCAATGTTTAGCTCCCACGTATAAGTGAGAAATGTGGTGTTTGGTTTTCTATTCCTGTGTTATTTCATTTAGGATAATGGCCTCCAGCTGCATCCATCTTGCTGCAGAGCATATCATCTCATTCTTTTTTATGGCTATGTAGTATTCCATGGTGTATATGTACCACATTTCCTTTATCCAGTCTACTGTTGATGGGTATTTGGTTTGATTCCAAGTCTTTGCTATTGTGAGTAATGCTGTGACAAACATACGTGTGCATGTGTCTTTATAGTAGAACAATTTATATTTCTTTGAGTATATACCCAGTAATGAGATTGTTGGGTTGAATGGCAATTCTGTTTCAAGTTCTTTGAAAAATGCCCAAACTGCTTTCCACCATGTCTGAGCTAATTTACGTTCCCACTAGCAGTGTATAAGCATCCTCTTTTCTCTGCACCCTCACCAGCATCTGTTTTTTTTTTTAGCTTATTAATAATAGCCATTCTGACTGGTATGAGATGGCATCTCATTGTGGTTTTGATTTGCATTTCTCTGATAATTAGTGATGTTGAGCATTTTTTCATATGGTTGTAGGCTGCATGTATGTCTTCTTTTGAAATGTCTATGTTCTTTCCCAATTGTTAATGGGGTTGTTTGTGTTTTGGTTGTTCATTTGTTTAAGTTCCTTAAGATTCTGGATACTAAACCTTTGTCAGATGCATAATTTGCAAATATCTTCTCCTATTCTGTAGGTTGTCTGTTTACTCTGTTGATTGTTTCTTTAGTCTCATTTGTCAATGTTTGGTTTTGTCACAACTGTTTTTGGCGCCTTTGTCATGAAATCTTTGCCAGGGCCTGTGCCCAAATGGTATTTCCTAGGTTACCTTGCAGGGTTTTCATAGTTTTAGGTTTTACATTTAAGTCTTTAATCCATCTTTAATTGATTTTTCTGTATGGTGTAAAGATGGGGTCCAGTTTCAATCTTCTGTATATGGCTAGCCAGTTATCCCAGTACAATATACTGAATAAGAAGTCCTTTCCCTGCTTGTTTTTGTTGACTTTGTCAAGATCATATGGTTGTAGGTGTGTAGCATTATTTCTGGGCTCTCTATTCTGTTTCATTGGTCTCTGTGTCTGTTTTTGTACCAGTACCATGCTGTTTTGGTCATTGCATCATTGTGGTATAGTTTGAAGTTGGGTATGTTGTGATGCCTCCAGCTTTGTTCTTTTTGTTTAGGATCGTGTTAGCTATTCAGACTCTTTTTTTGGTTCCATATGAATTTTAAATTAGTTTTTCTTTTTTTTCCCCTTTTTTATTTTATTTATTTTTATTATACTTTAAGTTCTAGGGTACATGTGCACAACATGCAGGTTTGATAAATAGGTATACATGTGACATGTTGGTTTACTGATCAACTAGTCATTTACATTAGGTATTTCTCCTAATGCTATCCCTCCCCTAGCCCCCCACCCGCTGACAGGCCCCAGTGTGTGATGTTCCCCTTCCTGTGTCCAAGTGTTCTCATTGTTCAGTTCCCACCTATGAGTGAGAACATGCAGGGTTTGGTTTTCTGTCTTTGTGATAGTTTGCTGAGAATGATGGTTTCCAGCTTCATCCATGTCCTGGCAAAGGACATGAACTCATCCTTTTTTATGGCGGCATAGTATTCCATGGTGTATATGTGCCACATTTTCTTAATCCAGTCTATCACTGATGGACATTGGGTTGGTTCCAAATCTTTGCTATTGTGAATAGTGCCGCAATAAACATGTGTGCATGTGTCTTTATAGTAGCATGATTTATAATCCTTTGGGTATATACCCAGTAATGGGATTGCTTGGTCAAATGGTATTTCTAGTTCTAGATCCTTGAGGAATCGCCACACTGTCTTACACAATGGTTGAACCAGTTTACAGTCCCACCAACAGTGTAAAAGTGTTCCTATTTCTCCACATCCTCCACAGCATCTGTTGTTTTCCTGACTTTTTAATGATCGCCATTATAACTGGCGTGAGATGGTATCTCATTGTGGTTTTGATTTGCATTTCTCTGATGACCAGTGATGATGAGCATTTTTTCATGTGTCTATTGGCTGCATAGATGTCTGCTTTTGAAAAGTGTCTGTTCATATGCTTTGCCCACTTTTTGATGGGGTTGTTTGTTTTTTTCTTGTAAATTTATTTGAGTTCTTTGTAGATTCTTGATATTAGCCCTTTGTCAGATGGGTAGATTGCAAAAATTTTCTCCCATTCTGTAGGTTGCCTGTTCACTCTAATGGTAGTTTCTTTTGCTGTGCAGAAGCTCTTTAGTTTAATTAGATCCCATTTGTCAATTTTGGCTTTTGTTGCCATTGCTTTTGGTGTTTTAGACATGAAGTCCTTGCCTATGCCTATGTCCTGAATGGTATTGCCTAGGTTTTCTTCTAGGGGTTTTATGGTTTTAGGCCTAACATTTAAATCTTTGATCCATCTTGAATTAACTTTTGTATAAGGTGTAAGGAAGGGATCCAGTTTCAGTTTTCTACCTATGGCTAGCCAGTTTTCCCAGCACCATTTATTAAATAGGGAATCCTTTCCCCATTGCTTGTTTTTGTCAGGTTTGTCAAAGATCAGATGGTTGTAGATGTGTGGTGTTATTTCCAAGGCCTCTGTTCTGTTCCATTGGTCTATATCTCTGTTTTGGTACCAGTACCATGCTGTTTTGGTTACTGTAGCCTTGTAGTATAGTTTGAAGTCAGGTAGTGTGATGCCTCCAGCTTTGTTCTTTTTGCTTAGGATTGTCTTGGCAATGCAAGCTCTTTTTTGGTTCCATATGAACTTTAAAGTAGTTTTTTCCAATTCTGTGAAGAAAGTCATTGGTAGCTTGATGGGGATGGCATTGAATCTATAAATTACCTTGGGCAGTATGGCCATTTTCACGATATTGATTCTTCCTATCCATGAGCATGGAATGTTCTTCCATTTGTTTGTGTCCTCTTTTATTTCCTTGAGCAGTGGTTTCTAGTTCTCCTTGAAGAGGTCCTTCACATCCCTTGTAAGTTTGATTCCTAGATATTTTCTTCTCTTTGTAGCAGTTTTGAATGGGAGGTCACTCCTGATTTGGCTCTCTGTCTATTATTGATGTATAGGAATGCTTGTGATTTTTGCACATTGATTTTGTATCCTGAGACTTTGCTGACATTGCTTATCAGCTTAAGAAGATTTTGAGCTGAGATGATGGGGTTTTCTAAATGTACAATCATGTCCTCTGCAAACAGGGACAATTTGACTTCCTCTTTTCCTAATGGAATACCCTTTATTTCTTTCTCTTGCCTGATTGCCCTAGCCAGAACTTCCAATATGTTGAATAGGAGTGGTGAGAGAGGGCATCCTTGTCTCGTGCCGGTTTTCAAAGGGAATGCTTCCCGTTTTTGCCCATTCAGTATGATATTGGCTGTGGGTTTGTCATAAATAGCTCTTATTGTTTGGGGATATATTCCATCAATACCTAGTTTATTGAGAGTTTTTATCATGAAGTGCTGTTGAATTTTGTTGAAGGCCTTTTCTGCATCTATTGAGATAATCATATGGTTTTTGTCGTTGGTTCTGTTTATGTGATGGATTACGTTTATTGATTTGCGTATGTTTAATCAGCCTTGCATCCCAGGGATGAAGCCAACTTGATCGTGGTGGATAAGCTTTTTTGATGTGCTGCTGGATTCGGTTTGCCAGTGTTTTATTGAGGATTTTTGCTTCGATGTTCATCAGGGATATTGGTCTAAAATTCTCTTTTTTGTGTGTGTCTCTGCCAGGCTTTTGTATCAGGATGATGCTGGCCTCATAAAATGAGTTAGGGAGGATTCCCTCTTTTTCTATTGATTGGAATAGTTTCAGAAGGAATGGTACCAACTCCTCTTTGTACCTCTGGTAGAATTTGGCTGTGAATCCGTCTGGTTCTGGACACTTTTTGGTTGGTAGGCTATTAATTATTGCCTCAACTTCAGAGCCTGTTATTGGTTTATTCAGAGATTCAACTTCTTTCTGTTTTAGTCTTGGGAGAGTGTATATGTCCAGGAATTTATCCATTTCTTCTAGATTTTCTAGTTTATTTGCATAGAGGTGTTTATAGTATTCTCTGATGGTATTTCTGTAGGATAGGTGGTGATATCCCCTTTATCATTTTTTATTGCATCTATTTGATTGTTCTCTCTTCTTTATTAGTCTTGCTAGCGGTCTATCAGTTTTGTTGATCTTTTTGAAAAACCAGCTCCCGGATTCATTGATTTTTTTGAAAGGTTTTTTTGTGTCTCTATCTCTTTCAGTTCTGCTCTGATCTTAGTTATTTCTTGCCTTCTGCTAGCTTTTGAATGTGTTTGCTCTTGCTTCTCTATTCTTTTAATTGTGATGTTAGGGTGTCAATTTTAGATCTTTGCTGCTTTCTCTTGAGGGCATTTAGTGCTGTAAATTTTCTCCTACACATTGCTTTAAATGTGTCCCAGAGATTTTGGTACATTGTGTCTTTGTTCTCGTTGGTTTCAAAGAACATCTTTATTTCTGCCTTAATTTCATTATTTACCCAGTAGTCAGTCATTCAGGAGCATGTTGTTCAGTTTCCATATAGTTGTGCGGTTTTGAGTGAGTTTCTTAATCCTGAGTTCTAATTTGATTGCACTGTGGTCTGAGAGACAGTTTGTTGTGATTTCTGTTCTTCTACATTTGCTGAGGAGTGCTTTACTTCTAATTATGTCGTCAATTTTAGAATAAGTGCAATGTGGTGCTGTGAAGAATGTATATTCTCTTGATTAGGGGTAGAGAATTCTGTAGATGTCTATTAGGTCTGCTTGGTGCAGAGCTGAGTTCAAGTCCTGGATATCCTTGTTAACCTTCTATCTCATTGATCTGTTGAATATTGACAGTGGGATGTTAAAGTCTCCCATTATTATTGTGTGGGAGTCTAAGTCTCTTTGTAGGTCTCTAAGGACTTGCTTTATGAATCTGGGTGCTCCTGTATTGGGTGCATATATATTTAGGATAGTTAGCTCTTCTTGTTGAATTGATCCCTTTACCATTATGTAATGGCCTTCTTTGTCTCTTTTGATCTTTGTTGGTTTAAAGTCTATTTTATCAGACCCTAGGATTGCAACCCCTGCTTTTTTTGCTTTCTATTTGCTTGGTAGATCTTCTTCCATCCCTTTATTTTGAGCCTATGTGTGTCTCTGCACGTGAGATGGGTCTCCTGAATACAGCACAGTGATGGGTCTGGACTCTTTTTCCAGTTTGTCTGTTTGTGTCTTTTAATTGGGGCTTTTACCCCATTTACATTTAAGGTTAATATTGTTATGTGTGAATGTGATCCTGTCATGATGTTAGCTGGTTATTTTGCCTGTTAATGGATGCAGTTTCTTCATAGCATGGATGGTCTTTATAATTTGGCATGTTTTTGCAGTGGCTGGTACCAGTTGTTCTTTTCCATGTTTAGTGCTTCCTTTAGGAGCTCTTGTAAGGCAGGCCTGGTGGTGACAAAATCTCTCAGCATTTGTTTATCTGTAAAGGATTTTATTTCTTTTTCACTTATGAAGCTTAGTTTGGCTGGATATGAGATTCTGGGTTGAAAATTCTTTTCTTTAAGAATGTTGAATATTTGCCCCCACCCTCTTCTGGCTTGTAATGTTTCTGCAGGGAGATCTGCTGGTAGTCTGATGAGCTTCCCTTTGTGGGTAACCCAACCTTTCTTTGTGGCTTCTGTTGACATTTTTTTCTTCATTTCAACCTTGGTGAATCTGACGATTATGTGTCTTGGGGTTGCTCTTCTTGAGGAGTATCTTTGTGGTGTGTTCTGTATTTCTTGAACTTGAATGTTGGCCTATCTTGCTAGGTTGAGGAAGTTCTCCTTGCTAATATCCTGAAGAGTGTTTTCCAACTTGGTTCCATTCTCCCCATCACTTTTAGGTACACCTATCAAACCTAGATTTGGTCTTTTTACATAGTCCCATATTTCTTGGAGTCTTTATTCGTTTCTTTTTACTCTTTTTTCTCCAACCTTGTCTTCTCGTTTTATTTCATTAATTTAATCTTCAATCACCAATACCCTTTCTTCCACTTGATTGAATCGGCTATTGAAGCTTGTGCATGCATCACAAAGTTCTCGTGCCATGGTTTTCAGCTCCATCAGGTCATTTATGTTCTTCTCTACACTGTTTATTCTAGTTAGCCATTCGTCTAACTTTTTTCAAGGTTTTTAGCTTCCTCGTGATGGGTTTGAACATGCTCCTTTAGCTTGGAGAAGTTTGTTCTTACCAACCTTCTGAAGCCTACTTCTGTCAACTCGTCGAAGTCATTCTCCGTCCAGCTTTGTTCCACTTCTGGCGAGGAGCTGCGATCCTTTGGAGGAGAAGAGGCGCTCTGGTTTTTAGAATTTTCAGCTTTTCTGTTCTGATTTCTCCTCATCTCTGTGGTTTTATCTACCTTTGGTCTTTGATGTTGGTGACCTACAGATGGGGTTTTGGTGTAGATGCCCTTTTTGTTGATGTTCAATTCCTTTCTGTTAGTTAGTTTTCCTTCTAACAGTCAGATCCCTCAGCTGCAGGGCTGTTGGAGTTTGCTGGAGGTCCACTCCAGACCCTGTTTGCTTGGGTATCACCAGTCGAGGCTCAGTTGGAAATGCAGAAATCACCCGTCTTCTGTGTCAGTCACACTGGGAGATGCAGACTGGAGCTGTTCCTATTCAGCCATCTTGGAACGGCTCTCAAATTAGTTTATTTTTTTTTCTAATTCTGTGAAGAATGTCATTGGTAGTTTGATAGGAATAGCACTGGATCTGTAAATTGCTTTGGGCAGTAAAGTCATTTTAATGATATTGATTCTACCTATCCATGAGCTTTGAATGTTTTTCCATTTGTTTGTGTCATCTCTGATTTCTTTGAGCAGTGTTTTGTAATTCCTGTTGTAGAGATCTTTTACCTCTCTGTTAGCTGTATTCCCAGGTGTTTTATTCTTTTTGTGGCTTTTGTGAATGGGATTGTGTTGCTTATTTGGCTCTCAGCTTGGATGTCGTTGGTGTATGGAAATATTACTGATTTGTATACTTTAGTTTTGTATCGTGAAACTTTGCTGAAATTGTTTCTCAGATCTAGGAGCTTTTGGGCAGACTATTGGGTTTCCAGGTATAGAATCATATTTTCTACAAACAGAGATAGTTTGACTTCATGTCTTCTATTTGGATGTGTTTTATTTCTTTCTCTTGCCTGATGGCTCTGGCTAGGACTTCCGGTTCTATATTGAACAGGAATGGTGAGAGAGGGCATCCTTGTCTTGTTCCAGTTTTCCAGCTTTTGCCCATTCAGTATGATGTTGGCTGTGGATTTATCATAGGTTACTCTATTATTTTGATGTATATTCCTTCAATACCTAGTTTGTTGAGGTTTTTTTTCTTTTTTTTAACATGAAGCGATGTTGGATTTTATTGAAAGCCTTTTCTGTGTCTATTGAGACGATTGTGTGGTTTTTGTTTTTCATTCTGTTTATGTGATGAATCACATTTAGTGATTTGTGTATGTTGACCTAACCTTACATCTAGGGATAAAACCTACTTATTTGTGGTAGCTTTTCATTTTGATGTGCTGCTGGATTTCATTTGCTAGTATTTATTGAGGATTTTTACATCTACGTGTATCAAGGATATTGGCCATAAGTTTCCTTTTTTTGTTGTCTCTCTGCCAGATTTTGTATCAGGATGATGCTGGCCTCATAGAATGAGTTAGGGAGTCCTTCCTTCTCATTTTTTTGGAATAGTTTCAGTAGGAATGGTACCAGCTCTTCTTTATACACGTGGTAGAATTTGGCTGTGAATTGTCTGCTCCTAAGCTTTTTCTGATGGTAGGCTTTTTATTAGTGATTCAGTTTTGGAGCTTGTTATTGGTCTGTTCAGGGATTCAGTTTCTTCCTGATTCAATCTTGACAGGGTGTACGTTCCCAGAAATTTATTCATATCTTCTAGGTTTTCTAGCTTGAGTGCATAGAGGTGTTCCTAATATCCTCTGAGGGTTTTTTTTTGTATTTCTGTGCCACAGTTTTTTAATCCTTTCACATATTGATGGACGTTTGGTTTGTTTCCAGATTTTCGCTAACAGATTAAAAATGCTATGTACTTTCATCTACAAGTCTTTGTATGAACATATATTTTCATTTCTCTTGTCAAAAACCTACAAGTTTAAAATGGCTGGGCCATATGCTAAGTGTTTGTTCAACTTTAGAAGAAACTGTTTTCTAAAATGATTGTGTCATTTAGCATATCAGCAATTTATGGGAACTCTAGTTGCTCCAAGTTCTAACACTTGAAATTAATGGTCATTTTAATTTTAGCCATTCTAGTAAGTGTGTTGTGGTACTAATTTGCATTTCTCTGGTGACTGTTGGAATCAAGCATCTTTTCATGTGCTTATTTGTTGTATATCTTGTCTGATGAAGTATGTCTTCAAATCTTTTGCCCAAATTTAATTGGATTTTTTCTTTACTTATTCTTGAGTTGTAAGAGATTTTTTATGTATATTTTATGAATACAAGGCCTTTGTAAGATACTTGTATTGTGAATATTTTCTTTCAGCCTGTAGTTTACCCTTTCATTATTTTACCATTGTTTATAAAGTAGCAGAAGTTTTTAATTTTAATGAAATTCAGTTCATAATGTTCTTTGTTTTATGGCTTTTGCTTTTCACGTCCTAAGAAAACTCTTTGACGCAGGGTCACAAGGATTTTCTTATAGAAGTTTTGTGGGTTTAGCTCTTACATTTAGGTTGATGGTCTACTTCAAGTTAATTTTTTGCATATGGTATGAGGTATGGGTTGAGATTAATTTTTAATATAAATATTTATTGTTCCAGCACCAATTGTCAGAAAGAGTATTCTTTCTCCCATTGAATTACTTTGATCTATCAATAACTGTATTGTCTTTTAGTGAATTAAATGTCTGTACCTTAAGCAAGTACCATTCTGACTTGATTCCTGTGGCTTTACAGTAAGTGGCTTTACAGTAAGTCTTGAAATCAGGTACTGTTAGTCCTTCAACTTTATTCTTCTTTTTCCTATTATTTTGACTATTCTAGATCCTTTCCATGTCTATATAAGTTTTGAAACTGGCTTGTTTCACCTGATGGGATTTTGACTGAGATTGTGTTGGATCTATAGATCATTTTAGGGAGGAATGATTCTTAACAATATTGAGTCTCCTAATCCATAAAAGTAGTACCCTTCTCCAATTATTTAGGTGTTCATTAGTTTCTCTCTGCGTAGTTTTATAATTTTAAGTGTAAAGGTCTTGTACATGCTTTGTTATATTTATCCCTAAGTATTGCATGTTTTTGGATTATATTGTAAATATTTTTATTACAATTTTTATTGTTCATTGGGATTATGTAGAAATAAATTTTTAAAATATTGACTATGTATCCTGCAATCCTGTTAAGCTCATTCTTAGCTGAAGTAACTTGGAATCCTTAGGATTTTCTACATAGATGACCATGACAACTGGATTTAGAAGTGTTACATCATCTTATCTAAACTGTGTGCTTTTTATTTTATTCTCTTCACTTCTTACAGCTAGGACATCTGGTACAATATTAAATAGAAATGGTAAGAGAGGACATCCTTTCTTTGTTTCCAATCTTCGGTGGAAAACATTCAATCTTTCACTATAAGTATGATGGTATTATATTGAGGAAGTCCCTTTCCATTCCTAGTCTGCTGAGATATATTAAGTGGATGTTGAATTTTTTTTCCAAGTGCTTTTTCTGCAGCAATTGAAATGATTATAGGTTTTTTCTCTTTTTTCTCATCATAAGGTAAATTATATTGATTGGCTTTCAGATGTTTAAGCAACCTTGCATTTGTGGGAGTAATCTTGCTTGTTCATGGTATATTATCTTTTTAATATATTGCTGGATTTGCTAATATTATGTTAAGGGTTTTTGTGTTTGTTTATGGGAAATATTGGTCTGTAGTTTTCTTTTTATTTTCTTGTAATATCTTCATTTTTGGTGTCAGTGTAATTCTAACCACATGAAATGAGTTGGGAAGTATTCTCTCTTATAATTTGAGTTGTATTGAATTTATATTATTTCTTCTTTTGTTAATTTTTTTTTTTTACGTATTACTATTTTTTTTTAGAGACACAGTCTTGCTGTCTTGCCCAGGTTGGACTTAAAACTCTTGGGCTCAAGCAGTCCTCCCGCCTTAGCCTCCTGTGAGGCTGGGACAATAGGTGTATGCCACTGTTCCTGGCTTTATTATTTCTTCCGTTAATGTTTGAGAGAATTCACCAGTGAAGACATCTTAACATGCAGGTCGTGTTTAATTATGTGTGTGCATTGGTGCACGTGTGTGTGTGTGTATGTGTAAAGGTTTTTTTAACAATGACTTCAAACTTAAATAATATAGAGCCATTCAAGTTTATTCCTTCTTGAGTGAGCTTTGATAGTTTGGGTCTTTCAAGGAATCCATTGCATTTAGGTTATATTTGTTCATATAAAAACTAATTATTCACTGATTTTAAATGTCAGTAGTTCTGTAGTGATCATTCTTATATTGGTAATTGTATCATCTCTCTTTTTTTCTCAGCTGAGACAGAAGTTTGTCAATTTTACTGATCTTCTCAAAGAACAAGCTGTTGAATTCATTGATTTTTCTATATTTGTTATTTACTATTTACTGTCTTTATTATTTCCTTCCATTTACTTTGGGTCTTACTTTAATTCAATTAAAAATATTTTCTAATATACTTTGTGACATTTTTTTCTTTGACCCATAGGTTATTTAGAAGGATGTTGCTTAACTTCTAAATATTTGGGGATTTTCCAGATAATTTTTCTGTTACTGATATTTAATTCTATTGTGGTCAGAGAAAATGCTCTTACGATTTTAAAACTTTTAAATGTATGTAGCTTCATTATATTACTCAGAATATGCTCTATCTTGGTCTGTGTTATGTGTGCACTTAAAAAGAATGTATTTTACTGTGGTTGGGTGCAGTGTTTTATAAATGTCAATTAGGTCAAATTCATTGATAGTGTTTTTCAAGTATTTCCTATACTTACTGATTTTTTGCTTACATATTCTCTTGATTATTAAAAGTGCTGAAATCTCCAATTATAATTTTATTGATTGATTGATTGATTGAGACAGAGTCTCACTCTGTCACCCAGGCTGGAGTGCAGTGGTGTGATCTTGGTTCAACGCAACCTCCACCTCCCAGATGCAAGCGATTCTCCTGCTGCAGCCTCCCGAGTAGCTGTGATTATTGGCCCCTGCCATCATGCTTGGCTAATTTTTGTATTTTTAGTAAAGACTGTTTTGCCATGTTTGCCATGCCTGTCTCGAACTCCTGACCTCAAGTGATCTGCCTGCCTTGGCCTTCCATAGTGCTCAGATTACTGGCATGAACCACTGCCCCTGGGCACCAATTATAATTTTAGATCTGGCTTTTTCTCCTTTTAGTTCTGTCAGTTTTTGCTTTATTATTTCACAGCTCTGTTATTAGGTGCATTTAAGGATTGTTATCTTTCTTCATGAATTTTGGATCATTTTTATAAAGGTATAGAATTCTAGATTAATTTTTTTACCTCTCAGTACTTTTAAAATGTCTTGTTATTGTTTTCTGGATTACATAATTTTAGATGCAAAATCTGTAATCATTCATATCTTTGCTTTTTTGTACATCCAGTGTATTTTTTTTCCTGTGGTTGCCTTTTAAGATTTTCTCTTTATCACCTTTCAATGATTTTATTATGATTATATGTTAGCTTTTCTTCTCAATAGATGAGTTCTTTCTCTTGTTACTAGTAGAAGTATTACATAGGGTATAGGTGGAGTCAACAGACTTCAGATATTTTTGGTTTCCTGCAAAGTTCCTATGAATTAATATCTACTGCCAAGGAACCACCCTGATTTATGAGGACTTCCAATGCCTGACTGCAGGCTCATGAAGGCTGTTGGACGGTCACATTCTTTGATTTTACCAACACAAAAGGAATAGTAAAGTTTTACTGCTTAGTATAGTCAGGGCAATTCCCCAGATTCCCTATCAAGTTGAGTCCTGTTAATAGCACAAGTTTTCATTTTGATGTGATTTGAAGTTAGTATGAAGAATTTTAGCATCTTTCTCATGAACTAATACATTTTTTAAAATCCTGAAGCCTATAACTATTCCAGTTAAATGATGATGATGATGATAGTAATAAAAAGAATTACAGTAATATTTTATACTACTTTGTGGCTTAAAAGTAATTTCACATACATTTTCTCATTTTCTTTCATGATTATTTGTACTGAGAGGAAGTTTTTTAGACTTTAATCAGTAAACATTGAAGAAAAAAAGATTTTGTAACCTACCATTTTGAAAAGATTTAAAAAATTACATAAAACAAGCAAAAAACCTTGGTTTTTTTTGCTAGTACTTATTGTCATTTAATACACAGAAATTATTAATTTCAAATGAGGTCAGCCATATTTAAAAGACAATAAAACCAGAACAGAATGCCACCCCCCAATCTTTGTTTTATGCTCTTGGTCCTAAGAGTAAAAGTGAATTTTCTTTCATTTTAAAAGGATCAACAGATGTGTTTTTGTTGTTATCAGTGTATCTTATAGCAAATATTAGTTGAGAAGGAGATCAGTCCCACATTTCTAGCACTTAATGCAAGCAATATAGGTTTTTTTCTTTATGGAAAAATTAACTCTTTTTGTTATTCTATTTTATTTTAAAAGATTCACCTGGTTTTCCATGTTTTGTGATAGGCGTCTTCACTCGAGGACAGCTGGGCCTGATAGACATCATCTTCCAGTACATTCACTGTGATGAGATCTATGAGGCAATAAACATCCTGAGCAGCATGAACTGGGACACTCTGGGCCACCAGTGCTTTATCAGCATGAGCGCCATTGTAAACCATCTTCTTAGACAGAAGCTCACTCCAGAGAGAGAAGGTCAGACTTGAAATATTTTTCATTGATGAGTTTTGTATATACATGAAATAGATTTTATTGAGTTATTTTTTGAGGTTGTTTTTGAGTCATGGTATTGGAGATTAAATGATAAAAATGTTAGTGCTCTATTAAAACTGAAAGGATCAGATATCAAATAATTGCTCCCATATAGTACTTACTGTATAGTATTTGTCAACATAAAGAACAGCTTTTCTGTATATGCTTATGTTGGAGCTTACAGTGCAGTCATTGTACAATTCAGTCTAAGCTCACAGACAGAACATGCTCAGATTTCAAACTTTGATCAAAAATTTCATGTACTCCGTGGGGTCTGCTAGACAAAGGGCACCAAACAAAAGTCTTTATTCCTCCCTCACATTAGATATCAATATTTTTTTCTCACACCGAAGTCCTCTGTCCAGACAATAGTCCTTAACACTTCCTTTTTTTGTATATCTGAATTGTAGCCCAGGCCGCTCCTTCTTGTTTTCCTTATTCTGACTTATAGTTGTAACACTCTTCTCTCTTCTGCCTGCTTGGATTTCCTTACCTTTGCCCAATAAGTAATTTTGTTGATATATATCTAAGATGTTTAATTTTAAAAGAGAAGGTAAAAAAACTAAGGTCAGGGGGTGGGGCAGTGGGGAATGCTGTGACACATACAATAATGAAATAAATCTTTATATTTGCCAATTATCTAATAGTATTATTTTTCTTATAAGTTATTTACTTAATGTACAATGCACCTAAACATTCTAACATTTGCATCTTTCATATCTTTGTGGTAAGCATTGACATTAATGGTGGAAAATCATGGTGAATGAGAAACTGTCCCTAGGTAATTTACAAGATAGGAGGAACAGGAAATATGTCAAAAGATCTTTACTTGAAGAGCTTTTCTTTTCTACTTTCTTTGCATTTTTATAGATTTTTCTTATCCCACTTTATTACATTGCCAAAATAAACAAGTTGTTTGGATAGAATTCTGTAGGTAACCTTCATTTTAGTAATTTTAGAGAAGAATAATTAGTAAGTACATGCTTTTCCAGGAAGTCTGTATCGTGGGTCTTGGCCCAAGTCACACGTGGCCCACAATACATATTTATTTAATGTTAATTAAATGTTCTTTTTGGAGGTAGTCAAAATTTATCTCGGGAAATTCCGATATTTTTCTTTTTTTATTTAGAGACAGTCTCACTCTGTTGCTCAGGCTGGCATGCAGTGGCATGATCTCTTCTCACTGCAATGCCTGCCTCCCAGGTTCAAGCGATTCTCCTGCCTTAGCCTCCTGAGTAGCTGGGATTACAGATGTGCACCACACACCCAGCTAATTTTTCTATTTTTAGTAGAGGGATTTCACTATGTTGCCCAGGTTGGCCTCAAGTGATCTGCCTGCCTAAGCCTCCCAAAGTGCTGGGATTACAGGCGTGAGCCCGTACTGCGCCTGGCCAAGAAATTCCAGTATTTTTACAATGAGAAAATGCCTAGTGCATGGCCCACTACTTCGGTACTCAATGAGTATTAGTTAAAAATAAAAAGAAGAGTATAACTCCATAATTTTTAGGGTACAAGGTACTACTATAATATTGCTGCCTGCAGTTATCTTAACTAATTATTTCTTAGTATTGATATACTGTAATGACTGAGTGTATACTTAAAAAAAAAATGAAAGAAAAAATTTTAAAAAGCAGGGTCCCTAAAGAATGCTTATGTTATACACAATTTATATAAGAGATCATAAATTTACAGTTAAAGAAGAAATATGAAAAAGATAAAATATTGACCCTCAGCACACTGAAAAATTGCTAGCACCTTAGTGAATTTGTCTTGTAAGATTACTGTGTTATAGGAAAGATTATTAGGGAATACACAAATGGGCATTATCAGATTCTTGCCTTAATAAAGTATATTTTCAAGGAACCATATTGGGGAGATAGGGAAATAAAAAGCTTGTATGATACTAGGCTATTAAAATAAAATTTTTGCATGATGCTGGGTTATCAGAATATGTACATTTTAAGTAGGTGTGTGCGTTTTCCTCCAAGTAACTACAAAACATATTTCTAAAACATTCACAATTTTTTTTCTCTCTTGAGACTTATTCTATCTGAATCTAACAAATTTGACGTGGTAATTTGTTTTCCTTTTATTAGTGGAACCCAGTGAGCTCTTTTATTTGTAGCCGTATTGTAGTTATCTTTGAGATCTTCATTTCTGCCTTAAACATCAAGCTGGGCTATCTAATGAATCTACAGCTGTGCTGGGAGTTATGAGTATTCCATGTAGGTTCGAATATTTCAGATGTACGAAACATGCTGTCAAGAAAACAAGCAATGGCAAGAGAATCTGGCTTGTTTTCACAATAGCATTGCTGTATTCAATTGTAATCTAAATTGACTGCTGCTTTGAAAGAAAATACCCCTAAAGTTCATCTTACTTTACTGTCTAGATTTGAGATTAAAAAAAGAAATTACTAACAGCTTAGCCAAGTCCATAGTAATTACTCTGATGAGGTATTTAATACTTTCAAACCCAAATATGCCTAAAACTAAAGAGTTTTGCTAAATAAGGAATTGTTTATTCAACTCAGTGCTAGTAGCATAAAAATCAGAGAAGTCTTACTGTGAACTGTAGTGTTCTCGTACATACTCTTACTCTCACCATTATGGTAATTACTTAACTTCCAGGTATTTCTGGGAAAAAACCTAGTCCCATGAGCATGTCTTGGTAAAATTCTGAAACAGGCAAAATGTGCCCTTTCCCCCAGTCTTAGCCCTCTAGTTTATCAAAACCTGCCTCTCCAGTCCTTGTTTCCTCTCCCAGAGGTCTTAGTTTTCACACTTGGATAAAACCAAGACTTTTGCTGTTTAGGGCAGGACTTAGGGAAGATATAGGGACTTTCACGGTTGTCTTAAAATTGCAATAGAGATATATTTCTACTCCAATATGCCTGTTTATTTGTATTATTTTAAAGAACATTTCTGCTATATCGATTTCAGTTCCCAATGAAGAAAGGTCAGTTTTCTCCTTTTAGCCAAAGACAGTAAATGTTTAGCACACTGTGAGTTGATTTTACTGGAAGTACTAGTTCAAACTGTGTTACTTTGATGAGTCACTGTTTTAATTACCCATTTGTGGTGAGAGGTTGGTTCATTATGGATTTCTTCAGTTTTGACAGCTTTTTGTTGCTCAGAGTCATTGTCAGCTTTGCCTCAAGTGAAAGTTTATACACAGGTTTGTTTTTGTACCAGCTGTCATATTTTAATTTTATCTTTCCTGCAACAAGTTCATGTTTCATCCAAGTCTGCAAAACCTGACTGACTGCAAACATGAGTATTTTGTTGTAATTGAAGGAGTTTTCACTTGTTTTAGTGCTGCTATGTTTGAATTCCACAGCACAGCTTGAGACAAGCCTTGGAACCTTCTATGCTCCAACAAGACCACTTCTGGATTCCACTATATTGGAATATAGAGATCAAATCAGCAAATATGCAAGGAGATTCTTCCATCACTTGCTCAGGTGAATGATATGTTTGGATTGATTAGCGTCAGACTAATTACTTATTTCAGGAGACATCCTCTTTAATTAAAATATTCCATAGTAAGGCTATGTGTTTCCTAACAGTCCATCTCCTCAAAGAAATATACATCTTCTTTTGGTCTTATTTAATTTGTTATTGTTTTCATTTTAAGGAAATATTTGAATATTATTTGGGGGTTTTATATAACCAATACTTTTTAATATACCTTCCTCTTTAATATGAAAGCTATGTAAAGTCAATGTAGAAATATTAACTGAATTGTGCTACTCGCACTAAGTAAATATTTTCTTTTTAATTGAAGCTAATGATGTGAATGTTCTGTAAAGCTCTGAGACAGTCATTAGTTTGTTTTTCTTTAAGAATTACTGTAGAAAAACTTGTCCATTGTCTGCTTATATAATGTGGCAAGTTTCTAGCTTCACCATACCCCATTTTCTCTGCTTTAAATGGGTATAATAAATTTTGTTAACCTAGAAAATATGTGAAAAATAATGTCAAGAGATTTCTCTAAGAAAAGTATTGCAGAAGTTAAAGGAAAAATACAATAGCATGTATATATATATATATATACATGAAGTTCAGAAAGCAGGATTAATGGATGGAAAGAAGGAAGATGAATGCATGGATAATTTAGGGATACATATATAAATGTGGCAGTACTATAAGTAAAAGCAAGCAAAAAAATTAGCACACAATTTAGAGCAGTCTGGAGTGAATGAAAAGAAATATGATAAAATAAGCATATAATAGCCTCTAAGGTATTAGTAATGTTCTGTTTCTTAAGATGAGTGGTAAATATCAGGGTATAGTAAATTATTAAATAAATTATTAAATTATTAAAAATAAAAAATTATTTTTAAACTGTGTATATATACACATACATATACATATGTATGTCTGTGTATGTTTGCATATATGTATACATATATGTATAGTATTCTTTTATATATGACATGTTATACAATGGAAAGTAACAGAATTTTCAACTGTGTACCAAAAAGGAGGATTACATCAAGGAGTTGATTTTAGACTTTTAATTTTACTAATAATATAATCTGTTATAGTGCTTTTCACTCTTTCAAGGGCTTTGATGTATATTCTCTTATTTTTTTCTCAGAAACTCCTGTTAAAGTAGTAGTATCATTTGACAAGTGAGTAAACTGAGGCATAGATAAGTGGCTTGCTTAGATCAAATAACAAGTTATTGGTGGTGTCACATCTTTGAACTGATTTTGATTCCCTGTTCCTTACTCTTCCCTTAAAACCATTTATCTATTATTGATTGTATATTTTTTAGATCCTAGCTTATAAAATACCTGGAAATTTTTATTCACTTAAGAGTAGACTGTTTGGTAACTATTTTTAACTGCCAAAAAGAAGGGGGAAACTTCAGATTGGTCAAGATTTGAGAATTTGTGTTGTTGTGTAGATATTCATGTTCTATCATTAGATTTTTATATATAAAGTGGCATTTTGAAGTCTACCAAGCAGTGAAGCCTCTGGAAAACAGCAATTTTAGAAGCTGAGAAACATTAAAATATTGCAAGGGTTATGATATGTAATTGAATCTTGCCTTTTCATCTGAATGACATTAGCATATTCCAGGACTCTTCATATAAATGAGGCTGTCTTCTATGAATGAACACATGGTAAAAGTGCTGGGGTTAATGTCACATTTATTTGGACTTAGAGCTTTGTTCTTTGCTCTTATTGCTAATATTTGTTTCTCTGTTTCTGGGGAAAATTAATGAATTCTCCTCCTGCCTAAAGAGCCCAAAAAGGTGAAAGTGAATGAAACAGAAGTTTTGGAAGCCTATTCTTTGTGTCCTCATTGTCTCTGGCCTCTGAGATTTTATGCAGTGATTTAGTTTTCACATAAGCATCATATTTGTAACCATCCTGCTGGCTCTAGGATGCTCTATTCTACTAATGTGAATTTTTTGTTCATTGGTTTTTCTCAAATGGTTTTCTAATTATTTTTTGGACATACTTTGATAAGGTCACTATTATTGTTATCAAAATTATTATTCTCCAGCTTTTCTATGTGGTTACATCTGGAACTGGATGTTTTCCCTTGGGGCATACTAGCTTTTTCATGTTTCTTCTTTTGCATACTTTGCTACTGTTTCAATTATAATGAGTGTTTTATTAGTTCTTCTTTTGATAGTAGGCTATACAGTATTATGAAAAAAGAAACAAAAGTTTTGAAGAAATTAAATGAGATAGCTTAAGTTGGAACCATTCTTTTGTTTAATGTGCTACCAAGAAGTTCTCATGCTCAGGGGAAGAGAAACAGGCCAAATACCTTTTTGTATTTGTGAAGTGCTAGAATTACATTACTCCCTGTCCTTTGGCTAGTCAATATTTTAATACTCTGAAAAAAGAAACCATATTAGACAATGGAATATCCCTAAACAGTAAAGACCATCATAGGGAATTTTAAATTAAAGATGAGGAAAAGTTGCCCCACAGAGATTAGGGGTGTGCCTAAAATTACTCACATGGAACTCAGATTGCCTGAATTTGGATTGGATTATTTTGATAAAGAGTAAAATATTACATTGATTTTAATTTCATCTAGCATATGAAGGGTAAGGTCATAGTATGAATTTGTGATAATAGACAAGTATACCATGTAGATTATTAAAATAAATGTTTTATATACAATTTTATTTTTGTCTTGAGAGGAGAGGAATTCTATAGACATTGCTTTACACTTTTTGGTCTTTTTTGTCTTTAACAAATATAAAAAATTATCTGAAAGCCTTTTTCCAAATCCAAACAAATCTAAACTTTAAAATTCACTTCTCATCTTTTTGTATGCATTCAAAGTGATCAATTTTCATAAAGAAATGCTCCCTAGAAATGTAAATTAAGCTCCTAACGTTAAAGATAGGAAAACAGTAGAAGCACAGTCTTGATATGGTAGCTAATAAAGTATTTATTATAATAAAATTTTAAAGAGATGATAGAATCTAATTTATAAAATCATTAAACTGGAAGACACTTACCTACAGAAGGTAAATGCAACTTTGCCTAAACTAAGTTTAAAAGGTAATTAGTCAGCTGCCTCCATGAAATTGAATAGTCTTCCACAAGTACTGAACAGGGAAATGATGGCAAATGAGAGCTTTTCATCATAAACAAATAGAAACTATAGTAGGAACCCCTAAATATTGATGAAATGAAAGGGCAAACATTTCAAATGAATGTGCCACATATGAAGCTTATTACTAACATGGAAATATAATGTATTATAAAGAGTTAATAATTTATTTTTAACTTTTCCCCCTTCTTAACTGTGAGACTGTTGTTTTCTGACTCAAATAGTGTTATGTGATTGTGGCACAGAGAGTTGTGCTTTTTAAATGCTTATAAAAATATTAAGCAAAACTTGGGGAATTTGAGATTTATTGCCTAGAAATAAAATTTTTTGGTTATGAAATATTGGTGGGGTAATGTATTGATGTCTGCATTTTCCTTTGTAATGTAACAACAAAAAGTAATATGAATTGATGGATAAACAGAGAGATAGGTAAATATGTGATAAGCAATATTGTAAAACGATAAAGTCAGAATACATGTGGTAGATAATCTTTTAACTTTGCTCTATGTTGGAAATTTTTACAGTAAGATGTTGCGGATAATATACTGGAGTCAATATTTACACTTAGAATTCAGAAAAAAAGGGCAGTCTTTTGGAAATGGCTTTTAGCTTATGTAAAATATATATGATAGGCAAAACAAAAATCATTTTGTGACTAAAACAGTTCTTAAGCAATTCCATGTATACATGGCTTTTTCAGTTATACTTTTCGCTGATAGAGCATATATAGTAAATACAACATTTGTATGAAATCATTTTAAAGAACATGAATACTAAAAAAGTTAACCTAAGAACATTCAAGGCAACAAGATAGAATGATTTTTAGAGAAAATCTCCTGGTCAGATCATCCAAAAATGCTAGATAATATATTCAAAATATTTATTGAAAGCATGGTTGAGCTGGCAGTAAAGTAAGGGAAACAGGCTGAAATGATAAGGATGCTTGATTCCACAAGAGTAAGCAAACTCAACGTTCTCCTGGAGGGCATCCTCTGGCTCACAGTAAGATAGGTGCTTGGTTTACAAAGGTTGTGTACTCAGAGGATAGGAGACA
This sequence comes from Homo sapiens, assembly GCF_000001405.40. NCBI lineage: Eukaryota > Metazoa > Chordata > Mammalia > Primates > Hominidae > Homo > Homo sapiens. The sequence continues at coordinate 63,374,203 of NC_000002.12, read as the reverse complement.
TAACTGAGAGCTCATGCAGAATGGGAGGTTGTATCAGACATCCATATATAAATCTAGAACCCTTGAATGGGACAGCATACTTCCTGAGAGAACTGGAATGAAGGAAGTCATGAGATGCAGAAAGGAATGGTAGACAAAAAAAAAAAAAAAATCATAAACTTGTGGAAACCTAAACAAAAATTGATCATATAAAGCATATACACTAATGTCTAATTCAGGGGGTTAAAAATTAAAATAAAATCTTGGACAATAACAACATATAAATCAGAAGAGGAGTGAAGAGAGTTAAAGCATTCTAAGGTCCTTATACTTTTCAAGAGGAAGATAAAGATATTCATTCTAGATTTTAGTAAGTGAAATACAGAATTTCTAGGGTAATCACTAAAAGGAAAGAAATAGAGTATATAATTTTCAAGGAAGGAGAGGGAAAATGTTGGATAAAGAAAAAAAATTAACCCCAAAGATGGCAAGAATTAGGGGTAAGTGGAGCATGCAGGGGAAGAAACATGGGAAAAAAGATGGAAAATAGAAAACACACAATGAGATACTAGCAATGAATCAAAAACTCAATAATCATTGTTAATGTAAAACAGATTTTTTTCCTCAGTTTTTTTTTTTTTTTTAAAGACATCTAAAACAGAGAAGGTGGCTGGGTGCTTTGGCTCACACCTGTAATCCCAGCATTTATGGGAGGCCAAGGCAGGAGAATCGCTTCAGCCCAGGAATTTGAGACCAGCACAAGCAACACAGTGAGACCCCGTCTCTACAAAACGTTTTTTAAAAAATTAGCCGGGCGCATGGTGGCACACGCCTGTAGTCCCAGCTACTTGGAAGGCTGGGATGGGAGGATTGCTTGAGCCTGGGTGTTCAAGTCTGCAGTGAGCCTTGTTCCTGCAATTGCACTGGGCGACAGAGCAAGACCGTATGTCATTTAAAAGAAAAAAAAAAACAACAAAAAAATGAAAACAAAGAAAATTTAAATGTCAGAGAATATAAAAAAGTTTATACCAGATAAATACTCCAAAGAGGGCTAATATAGTAGTAATGGGTTTTTTTGTTTTTGGTTTGTTTGTTTGTTTTGATATGGCGTTTCACTCTTGTTGCCCAGGCTGGAGTGCAATGGAGTTATCTTGGCTCACCGCAACCTCCGCCTCCCAGGTTCAAGCGATTCTCCTGCCTCATCCTCCGAGGTAGCTAGGATTACAGGAATGCGCCACCATGCCCGGCTAATTTTGTATTTTTAGTAGAGATGGGGTTTCTCCATGTTGGTCAGGCTGGTCTCAAACTCCCAACCTCAGGTGATTCACCCGCCTCGGCCTCCCAAAGTGCTGGGATTATAGAAGTGAGCTACCGTGCCCAGCCTATATTGGTAATGTAATACAAATAGTCTTTAAAGCAAAATCATTAGTAGAGATTACTAGAGATCAATATTGACAGAAAAATCAATTCTCTGGGAAGATAAAACAATTCTAAATGTGTGTAACATAGCTTCAGTGTACACAAAAGTCCACTGTCAATAGTTAAAGAATTTTAACTCCTTTCATTTAGTAATTGATAGATTAAGCAAACAAAGTGTCAGGAAATAGGAGATTTGAACAATACTGTATAATTGAAATCTTGATTTAATGGACATGTGTAGAGTCCAACAAGTGGAGACTATACTTTTTTCCCATGAATAAACATTTATATAAATTGACCATATTCTAGGTAATAAAATTCATGAAAATGTCAAGGAGTAATTTTTATTTACTCCACAATTAATTACTGAGTACTACATGCCAAGCACTTAGCTAGGAATATGGCAAAGGGCAAAACAGACCAAAAAAACAGAAGTTTGTATATTTGCCCCTGCCTAAATCTCATGTTGAAATGTAATCCCCAGTGTTGGAGGTGGGGCTTGGTAGGAGGTATTTGGATCATGGGGGTGGATTATTTATGGCTTGATGCTCCCTGTGATAGTGAGTTTACAAGGACAGCACCAAACCATAAGGCATCCACCCTCATGACCCAAATGACCATATTTGGTTGGTTAAACATTGGTGGCTCTCCCTCCTCTTGCTCCAGTTCTTGCCATGTGAGATGCTGGCTCCCCCTTTGCCTTCCGCCATGAGTGAAAGCTTTCTGAGACCTCACCAGAAGCCAAGCAATTGCTAGCACCATGCTACCTGTATAGGCTACAGAACCATGAGCCAATTAAACCTCTTTTCTTTATAAATTTCCCAGTGTCAGGTATTTCTTTATAGCAATGCAAGAATGGCCTAATACAATAAATAAGTGGGTAAAATACATAATATGTCAGGTAATGATACATGCCATGAAAGAGAACATGCAGGGACAGGGCTAGGAAGTATTAGATGATGGGTGAGTAGACTGCAGTTTTAAATAAGATTGCCAGATTTCTTAAATTTTAATCCTTAGGTAAATTCTCTTGTTCTCCCTCATTCATCTCATCCTAGCCTTAGCCTTGGCCCTGGCCCTGGAAAATACAAATTGTTATGAAAAAGGTTTTTTTGGAGGAGTGGAGGCTTGTTTTACAAAATAAAGAATCATACTATTAAAAAAAAAAGATTGTCAGGGAAGGCCTCACTAAAAAGGCAAAATATTAGTTAAATCCCAGCAGTTTGGCTGGAGCAGTGAATGAGAAGGAGAGGAATGAGACAATGGGTCAGAGAGGCAGCAAGTGGCCAGGTCATACAGGACTTTGTAGATTATTGTAAGGAATTGAGAGTATTCTCTTGAATAATAGGGGAACTCAATAGATGATTTGAAACTACCTAGTGAATGGATAACTCAGATCCTGTGTTGAGAATTGTCCTTAGAAGGTCAAGGAGAAGGAGACCCATTGGGAGGCTATTGCAGTAATTGAGTAAGCGATGGTGGCCAGTTACAGATTGGTAGCAAAGGGAATGAAGATAGAGTGGTGGATTTTGAACATATTAAAGGTTCTGACAACAGGATTTTCTAACAGATTGGACAAAGAATATAATAGAGAAGTCAAGCATGACTTCAAGTGTTTTGACCTGAGCAATTGGAAAAACAAAATTGTTACTGACAAGATTGATAAGACTCCAGAAAGAACAGGTATGTGGGAAAAGACCAGGAGTTTGGTTTTGGAAATGTTGAGTTTGAGTGAGAAATTCAGAAGTGAGTTCTGAGACAGGGCTATGAAGGGAAATATATATATTTAAAATGTTTTTCTTGGAAAAGAAGAAAGACTCAAAATTTATGAGCCACGAAATTTTTAAAACTTGCAAAAAATATCAGTAAAATAAATCTGAAGAAAGAAGGAAGGAAGTTTAAAAATAAATGTAACAAAAACCAAAATTATAAAATAGGATTAATAAAGCTAAACATTTCTTCTTTGACAAGATTAGTCAAACAGAAAAAAAAGCAAAGGGAATACAATGAACAATTTATGACAACAAACATGAAAAATGGGGAAAACTGAAAATTTCTTAGGTAAATAAAAACCAAAACTGACTAAAAAAGAAATAGAAGATTTAAATAGTCCTATACACATGAAAGAAAATGGTAATTAATGTTTCTCCTATAAAGTAAACTACAGTCCCAAGATGTTTTTTGCAAGTGAGGTTCCATTGCTATATTCGCACAATTCTTTTCTATGTTGTTTTTTTTTAGTCCTTTTTATCAAATGCATTTTTTACATAGTTGTAATCATTGAATACATGAAATTTTAACATCTTTAAAAAATTCTAAGAAGTTTGATCCATTATGATGACATTCCAAGAGACTTGTACTCTTTGGTATGGTAGTTGGATTTAAAGGTTGTTTAAGCCTAGAGTGGTCTGCACACATCTGAACAGACCCTTGGTTAGGGAAAGGATGAAAAGGCAAAAGGAGAAATAAGCAGGAGGGAACAATAGCAAAACCTCAAGTCTTTTAACTGGAAGAACCTAGAAAAATGTGATTTTATAGATGAAGTAGCTGGTTTTTATGTGGGCACAGTTAGGGCCATTTAGGAAGGAATACCATGGGTATAAGGGCTCTTTAGATTCCTGCCAAGGGATGAGGGTTCCTTTACCATAATGGCAATTTGAAGAAAAGTTGTTATACTAATCAGTAAATTAAGATACCAAACAAAATTGACATAATATAGGTATAAATAACTCGATGGTCATTATATGAACAAATTTTGTATACCTTGCTTTTCTTCCTTAAAGCCCCTTTCATAGCTAATTGGGTGTGTGAGTGAGGGGTGTCGCCCAAAGCATCCATGCTGTTTTTCATCTGGCAGTCTGGTTTCCTTTAACAGCATTGCCTCCTAAATATAGCAATAGCAGTAAAAGAAGTCCTTATATTTTGCTTATGTTGTTCGTATTCTAAATTATGAATGGTATTTTGTCTAAAAATCAAATGGGTAAAAACTGCAGTGTTAAAAAGGGAATATCATGATTATGTAAGAAGCTACCCTAATACCCACTCTGTTCCATTTGCATTGCTGTGATAACCTTAACAACTCTTTTTTTCTGTTGTGAGAGAAATAGACTGGATTCATTGTACAGATAGAGGTAAGAGTGGGGATAGTCTGCTTATTAGGCGTGACATTGAACAAATGAATCTTAAGACTTTTCTTCACCCTAGACATTAGTTATTTTTTTCATTTGGGATGTACAAAATGTGTTTTCTGCCCAAATTCTAGTTGAGGTATCTGTTTGGAATTGTTTATTACTCTCATTTTCTTTTGCTTGTAACTCCTCGCTGTCTTCTCTGGTACTTTTATTCAGTGAGTGAGGACCTGGGTAGAGGACCACTTTTATAAGAGAGTGAACTGCATCTGCAGACCCACCATACTCCTGATCAAGACAGTTGTTGACCTCAAACTCCAGACTGTCCCCTGCTGATGACCTCATCATGCTTCTTGTCAGCAAGCTTGGCTCTCTTTAGTTTGGCAAGGATTAAAAGACATACAGTGCCTATATTCACTGTATTAAGTAACTGGCCTTTAAGGACATTTGATTATAGTACCAGCAGAAATTAGTATGTACTGGAGATGGCTATAGACACTTCTGTTACAAAGCTACAGTTGTATTAAAGCTGTGGGATGAGGACAGCCTTTACCAACATGGTCAAAATCAAAGATTTTTTTTTTTCTACTATGTAGTGAAGGGCATACATAGTATGTGCAAACTGCAGCTATTAAGAGAGATATGATGATTTTTGGCTGTTTACATTCATGAATACTTTATAAAATCCAGGAAAAATTTTGTTAGATATTCTACTCTATTGAAGTCTGAAAAGAAACATGCAGAGAAAATATAATCAAGAATTTATTTGGCAGATTTATAACATCTGCAGAGCTCAGAGCTCAAGGAAAGACCATAACACATAAAATATGAACATCAATAAATGTTCAGAATGTGTCACTGGATGTGAAATATATTTGTATTTCCTTTGTGTTTAATACAATGTAGACACAACCTTAATAATCCTTTACACTTTTATTACATATTTAAACTTAACAGAACTTGCCAGGTGTATGCCTGTAGTTCCAGCTACTTGGGAGGCTGAGGCAAGAGGATTGCTTGAGTCCTTTTTTTTTTTTTAATTAAATAAAATTGGCTGGGCGTGGTGGCTCACGCCTATAATCCCAGCACTTTGAGAGGCCAAGGTGAGTGGATCACCTGAGGTCGGGAATTCAAGACCAGCCCGGCCAACATGGTAAAACCCTGTCTCTACTAAAAATACAAAAATTAGCCAGGCATGGTGGCATGAGCCTGTAATCCCAGCTACTCAGGAGGTTGAGGCAGGAGAATCACTTGAACCTGGGAGGTGGAGGCTGCAGTGAGCCGATATTGTGCCACTGCACTCCAGCCTGGGCGACAGAGCGAGACACTGTCTCAAAAATAAATAAATAAATAAATAAATAAATAAATAAATAAATAAATTAAAAATAAACTTAGTAGAACTCAAAAAACTATTGACAGGTGATGTAATCTTTTTCTCCTTCTAGTAAGTTAAGTGCTCTCAAGCATCTGTCTCCTAGAGGAGACAAGGATAAGTACAACTCATTTCTTTTGAATTCTCCCTCTTTCCTTTTCCTTCCCCACAGATATGCATGTGTAACTAAAAAAGTATTCAGCTTGCTGTAGATTCTGGTCCTTATTCTCTATCTCATTACATTTTATTGAAAAAGGTATTTGAGTTTTGTCAATACCTGGAAACTGAGGGTCATCTGTCTAAATCTGAGGTAACAAATATTAGCTTTCCTCAAAGATCACATTGTTTGTGGGCCTCAGCAGTGTTGAATTAGTTGAAAAAAATACATCACTTTTGTGAAATCTTTAATGAACACTTTGATCACATGTGGTTATTGCTGTGGAAGGATATGTATTTGTCTTTTGGTTCATAGGTTTAATAAATAAAAATTGTTTAAAACTAAAGCCCTCCCATTAATTCAAGTTTTCCTGATCCATAGACTGCCCAGCCACTATAGTTCTTTGGAACACTTATGTTTTTTCTAAAGCAAAAATAACTTTCTGATTACAGGAGTAACACATGATTTTTTTGCAAGACATAAATATTATGGCCTTCTATTTATGTTAATAAACATAGATCTATATCACACATTTATTAAGGATAGACTACCATAATTTATTCAACTATCCTGCTATATATAGACATGAACAATTTCCAGTGTCTTGCTACTATAAACAGTGCTGCAATAAACGTTGTATTTGTGTGTGTATAAAACATTCACACATCACACATATCTCTGTACATTTATCTGATTATTTCCTGAAAATAAATTTCTATAAATGGAATTACTGAGTCAGAAGTGTGTATACATTTTAAGGAATCTTGATATGTATTGTCATATATTCCTGTCACTATTTTTTTGTGAAATTTACTTACTACACCCACAGTTGAAATAATCAGTATTTTTAAGTGTTGACAGTTAAACAGATGAAATTTGGCATCTTGTTGTTTTAATTGTTTTAATGTATGAGATTCTTACTTTTTTATTGGTCTTTAAGTAATTATAAGCTTTATTTTTAGAGTAGCCTTAGGTCACAGTAAAATTAAACAGAAAGAACAGAGAATTCCCATATACTCCCTGTTACCACCTGCTTTAATTTTTTTTTTACAAATGATGATTGCATATATTTCATATATATAAATGAATATATATATTCATATAAATATATGGATTGAATGACTACTATTTAATGTGTGCTAGTGAAAGGTAAGGGCTTTATAAACATGATCACATTTAAACCTCACATTCTACTATGTAACCATATATAATTCCTATTTTATAGATGAGTACACAGATTAAATAACTTGCTCAATAACCACAATGTGTGATAGACTAGAATTAGAACTTCAGTCCATGTGTGTGATGTGTGTATGTTTTATGTGACCTCAAAGTCTACACCTTTCACCTTCATACTATGAAATAAACCACTTCAGGATACAAGGAGTTTTCTTCTAGAGGTATTTGATAAGAAGGGAGATACATACTGATGTAGAGGGCAGTATGGTATAGAGTATAACAACATGAAAGTTTGAATATGAGGACATTCTTAATATTTCTTAGCTTCAGTTTCTTAATTTGTAAGTAAGGACAATCATGGTACCTGTCACACTGGGATGTTGTGAGAATTAATATGATAATCCATGTAACAAGAATTTAAGCGAAAGTCTGGAAGATAGATAGATAATAAGGGCACAATGAGTGCTAACTATTATTGATGACAGTGTTGTAGAGATACACAAATTAGATAAAGGTAGACTAAATGATCTTTAGAACAGCATTTCTCAACCTTTTTTTCATTATTGCCTCTCAAAGGAGGAAAAATATACTTAAATTAATTTTAAATTAAGTGATTTTAATTTCTAACAAGATCAATTAAATGCTAAGGAATAAGACTTTTCATGTAGGGTTGGGCTTTGGAGGGACAGAAATCATTGTTATTAGCTAAGAGTTTTTTCATTCCTTAAAGACCAACTTTTGCTCCCTTGAAGGTGATGCTGCCCTTCATTGACAATATATATTTTGAAACAAAATGCCTCCTTTTGAAAATTAAACAGAACCCCACATATCAAACTAGTAAGAGAGTCATCCTGGATTTGGGAGAATTAGTGGAGGTATGTGAGATTTCCTCGTACTTTTAAGGTTCTTTCCAACATGAGATTCTATGATCCTATTTATCAGGCACCTTTGAGTAGACAAGTCAAGTCTCAGTTCCCTAAGCTAACCTCCTGTCTAGTGGGTTCAAAATTTTCCAAGTTCTCATTGAACAGTTAAGGAATATCTGTAATAAGTCATGAAGAATGACACACAAATAGTTTAGGGTTAAATAAATTTACAACAGTGTTTATCTGAGACATCCAATAATATTTACAACCATAGCTTGGCTACATGCTACTAAATGAACTTATATTTTTTACAATGAAACTTAGTTCTGCGAGTGGTAAGGTAAATGGGACCATGTGATGTCAGTTGAGGATGCTGCTCCACATTGAGCCATTGTGGCAGTTGTCTAATGTCTGCATAGGGCCATTTTCTCTTACTTTGGGCTGAGCGAACCTGTAGCGAGGAGCTTTCAAAAAATATTGGTGCTCTGATTAGTCTTACCATTAGGAAAAAAGAAGGGCTACCCCAAAAATGCCAGTCCTAAGAGATCAAAGATTATGGTTTTAGGTCCTAGTCTACTCCTAATCTGCTGTAAGAATGGGAATTTAATTTTTTTTGTAGTTCTCACTTTTCTTAACTTTGTCATGGAAAGAACACCTACCATGCATACTTCTAGGGTAGTTATTGAGCTCAAATGAAATATTTGAAAGTTCTTAGCAAAAGGTAACTGAATATTATTACGATTTTTGTTATAGCTGTAGTAAATTCCTGCCATTCTTTGGGGTTACATACAGCAGAATAGTCTTCTGAATCCCTTTAGTAGAGCATAGCACTGGTTAGAATCCTGGTGCTGAAGAGACCTTGCTAGGTCAGCACATTACCTACATTGACTTATTCTTCCACATGGGCCATGTGGTGCTGAGTTCAAATTTGTGCTAGTTGGCTATTAATATAATCCTTACAACAACACTATTTAAGTCCACCCATTCCAAGTCAGTACATGGCCGGGACCTTTACTTTGACTGCAGTTGCCAAAGTTGATTGTATAAAACAGGAGTCAGCAAATTACAACCTGCCTCTCATCTTTGTAAATACAGTTCTTTTGGAACACAGCCAAGCCCATTTGTTTGCATATTGCCAATGGCTGCTTTCATACTATAATGGCAGGGTTTACTTGTGATAGGGTTCATATATCCCTCAAAGTGTATTACTGTTTGGCCCTTTACATAAAAAGTTTGCCAACTCATTATAAACTAAACAGCAAGAGATAATTTTTTGGAGCATGCAGTCTGAATATGAAAGGAAAGAGAAGGAAGATGTAAGAAGAGTTCCATTTGTAATATTGTGTTAATTTCTTCATAAGTAAGAGGTTATTGAAAATATTGAAATGACTTCATAGGTCCTAGCACTCTGTTGAGAGTTTTATTGTGAGAATGGATTAAGAGGTAATTTTGACATACAAAACACTACAGACATGGACCAACCTAGGTGTGCTATCACAGTGGTGGGTTTGGGTCCACATATAATAGCACTGAGCTATGTGTCTTGGGGAAGAGGTAGGACAGGTGACAGGCAGGGAATAAAGACAAACAACCGTGAAAATCAAGACAGACTTGAGATAATCACAGTGAATGCACATGAAAGACAGATTAAGGCAATTAGAAATATGTATTTGATATAGAAGACAGATGATTCAGCATTAAACTAATAGGAACAGAAGATGTACTCAAAGATATAATTCAATAAAAAGTCTCTGAAAAGAAAAAAGAATCTAGAAGTGTGACCCGAGAATATTATACTCGGTTGAGATTTTTGTCACATTTAGAGGCAACAGGCAAATATTCTCAATCATGTAAGTCTTCAGAGAATAATAGCATCTGTGAGTCCTTCGTGAAAAAACTGCTTAACGATGAATGTAAATAGAAGACTTATCAGAAATGGAGAATCTGAATGAAAAAACAAAGAATCATGGTGTTGAGCAATCCACTTATGAGTAACTAATGCTAAACAACCATAGATATTATGATTAGAAAAGAAATTGAGTATTTTTTTTTAAAGACAGGGACTTGCTGTGTTGCCGGAGGTGGAGTGCAGTTGCTATTCACAGGCATGATCATAGTGCATGTCTGCCTTGAACTCCTGGCCTCAGGCAATCCTCCTTGCTCTGCCTCCAGAGCAGCTGGGACTAAGGCACAGGACACTGTGCCTGGCAAAAATTGGGTATTATCTTGGTTAATGTAAAAATACAACTATATGATAAAAAGTGGAATTTGGAGGAAAGAGAAATGGAGAAAATATCAGAGTTATCACTTTCAAAACAAAGAGTCCAGAATACTGTTTAAAAGTCATTAAGTAGTTAAAAAAATATATTCTTCCTAATCTCCTAACTTTAGAGGGATCTTATAGAAAATAAAATATGGTCAGGAAATACGTATTTGAAGGTTAATAATTCCTATAAAATTTCGCTTTTCTTTTTTAAGTAAAATTAAATTTAATACTCTATATATTTTTTGAGACAGGGTCTCTGTTGCCCACTCTGGAGTGCAGTGGCCTGTTCATGACTCACTGCAGCCTCAACCTCTCAGGCTCAATCAGTCGTCCCACCTTAGCCTCCCGAGTAGCTGGGACTATAGGCTCACCCCATCACACTTGGCTAATTTTTAAATTTTTTGTAGAGATAGGGTTTCACCATGTTGCCCAGGCTGGTCTCAAACTCCTGGCTCAAGCATTCTGCCTAACTCTGCCTCCCAAAGTGCTGGGATTACAGGTGTGATCCATTGCGCCCAGCCATAATATTCTTTATTAACAATAGGACGTATAACATAAACCTATTAACATAGAAGAATCCCTTCGTATCCTTCCATCTGCAAGATATGGAGGGTGATGCATATCTAATATGAACCATGTTAATTTCTGGGTATTGCAAAGTGGAAGTGATATATATTTCCATCTTTGTGCTTCTTGTATTGTTTGAATTATTTTTTATGAACATAGATACATTTTACAAAAACAAGAATAATTATTTTGTCCATATTAAAAAAAAATCTAAATAAGTGGAAGTATATATATCCAGATGTGAACAGTGGTAATTAAGTTGTTCTTTGTATTTTCTTATTTTCAAAATTTTTAAGTTTTTAAATTACAAATGAATAATAGTACTAAAATTGTACTTGAACTATAATCTTAAGGACTTTCATGTTATAGGGAAACTGAAGCAGAAAGTATGCCTAAGAGTAACCTAGTTTGTAAATAAAACATTTTATCATACTTGTTAAGAAAACTGATTTTTAGCAGGGTATGGTAGTTCCAGCTACTTAGGGGGCTGAAGTAGGAGGATCACTTGACCCTAGGAGTTTGAGGCTGCAGTGAGCTATGATTGCACCACTGCACTCCAGCCTGGGTGACAGAGTGAGACCCCATCTCTTAAGAAAAGAAAATTGATTTAATTTATAGAAGCAAAAATTTTCATGTTCATGTAAAGTAAATTAATTTCTGAGAGAGCCAGCTCATTTTTCAAATCTATGGGAACACCTTAGAGATTTCATACATCAGGCTCACTCAGACCACAGGGGACAAGCAGAGCTAAGAAGACCAGTATTATTAACATAATTTGTTCTCCTGGCAGTACTGGGTACTATTCATAGTCTTGGTGACTACAGTATTAATAAACACCACTGATGACCCAAATAATAATAACAAATTTTCTAGTCACTCTGAGCAGAATATTGTTTTACTTTCTATTTCCAGATAATCTGCCTCTTTCCCTCCCTCTCTCTTCCCCTCCCCTCACCCACTTCCTTTCTACACACACACACACACACACACACAACCAAAAAAAAAAAAAAAAGGGATTCTACCGATTTTACCAGGATATGCATGTAACAATACCTCATTAAAGAGGAAAAAATTGGGTTGCAAAAAATAGTTAGATGGAAAAAATAAGTTCTGTTATTCAATAGTACAGTAAGGAAATTATAGTCAACAGTAACTTGTATATTTCAAAATAATTAATAGCTAGAAGAGAAGTGAAACATTCCCAACACAAAGAAAAGATAAATGAGGTGATGGATATCCCAATTACCCTAATTTGATCCTTACACATTGTACACAGGTGTCAAAATATCACATGTACCTCCAAAATAGATGCAACTATGATATATCAATTTTTAAAAAGTGGGAAAAAAGGAAAAGCTCAAAACCTTCCTCCTCAACCCCAAATTTTTAGGTGAAGCTTCTATGCCCTGAGATACCGTGAATCTTGGAGCTTGGATGCCTCACCCCTCCCGCTCTGAGAAGCACAGCTTTAACCTTTGTCAGCCTTGTCCTCACTGCTCCTCTCTCTTTTCACCTCTTCACTTGCACTGTTTGCAAAAACCAAATAAAGAAAACAACAACAACAACAAACAAATGAAAGAATCAGGCTAGTGCTTGGAGCAGGTCATGTGCTACCAACATAAAATTAAGTAGGGAGAGTTTTCTACCCTAAATGGTGACACATGTGCATAGTTTAGATGGCACTAGACTTAACTGGCTTTATTTCCATGTTCCCTATGTTATTCTTGCTTTCCTCATAATCTTCTACAAATTTTTCTTTAGATTTTGCAAACATCATTAACTCAATAAATACTTGTTTACTATATGCCTTGCACTATGCCAAGAGTGAAGAATAGGCTCAAAAGTCTACTTTTTTGTAGCTATTGAGGCTGTAACCCCATGCTTGGTGTAATTTAGGATTAGTGGCCAGTGATCAGTATCAGAATATTCCAATTTATACATGTATTATCTCAGTAGCTATTTTGGCCACAATAATACACTGTTTAGTCTTGATTTCTTGTTTGATCCACTCTGTAAATGTTTCTGAATATTCTCATCTAGTCCCTCCCCATCTTAATCAATTTTATGCATTTTATTTCCAGTGACTCACAGTTACTTTTAAAGAACTTTAATCTGTTCTAACTACATGTGCTAGGTGATTAAGGTCACTATGAATTCTGACCTGGTCCTTCTCCTTTCTTCCATCTTATCTTGTCACGAAAACACTCTACTAAGATCTGCGGCTGGAAGACGGACATGCATTTAGTTAATTTCCCAAGTTCCTGTTCTTATAGTTAAAATTATTCAGACACTGCATCCAGATAACTGACATTTATCATTAGAACATATTTCATTCTTAAATTAGAGCCGTGACTTAGGGCTGCCTGCATTGACTCTGTGTAGTCATCCTGATAGTTTTGCTCAGTAAAACATGGCTTTTCTGTTAAGTTTGAATGATCATCACAGTGAAAGACCTGCAGCTGGAATGGAAGAAAAGCTGCAGAAAATTATTGAAATAAAAGATGGGATTTGGACCACTGGGGCTTGAGCAAAAGAAGTGTGAAACAACAGGTGCCATGGGATGTTATCTACGTTTTTAAATTAACATCTGTTTTTAGCTGAAAGCAATTTGCAGAGAATGCACCACGTGCCTTTATTCAGAGCTAAACACTGACTACTGAGACGCCGCTAAGTAGTAAGGGTTTAGTAAAATATAAAGATTTTCCTTGGGAGGAAAGAATAATGGAGATTATTCACTGGATATAGATGTCTAAGAGAAATCTCTGTTAAACCTATGTTTGGCATAAGGTATGGTAGCAGTTTAAGAATTTTTTCATTTGGGAAAATTGAAAGAATCTAGAGAATTGAAAAAAAATAAAAACCAACAAGGGTTTCTGGAAGGGAGTCAAAGTAGTCTTCTTGATTAGCTTTTGTCAGATAGCGAAATATGTACTAGTTGAGACTAACTGTGCAATATTGGTGCTTAAGTTTCTCTGCATAACCACTGCATAACTGCAATTATAACAAGACACAGACTTCCATTATTCAGCCTAAAATCGAATTCAAAGCTAAGGTTTGGTTTGGTTTGTACTGTTTGGAGGAAAAATGATTCTTAGAAATGTTTTAATAGATACTTCTTTTTCACACATATATAAAGCTGCTAGTCTGACTCTCCTAAGAAATGTTATTTTATAAAGTACAATTTTTTTTTTTAGATGGAGTCTTGCCTTGTCGCCCAGGCTGGAGTGCAGTGATGTGATCGCGGTTCATTGCCACCTCCATCTCCTGGGTTCAAGCGATTCTTCTGCCTCAGCCTCCCGAGTAGCTGGGACCACTGGCATGTGCCACCACACCCAGCTAATTTTTGTTGTTTTTAGTAGAGATGGGATTTCACCATGTTGGCCAGGCTGGTCTTGAACTCCTTACCTTGTGATCCACCCGCCTCAGCCTCCCAAAGTGCTGGGATTACAGGCATAAGCCACCGTGCCCGGCCATAAAGTACAATTTTTAAAAATCATGGAATTCACTTCTCAGGGGGTATTTTGGTTGTGGCCAGTTTGGGGCTATTACAAATAAAACTTCCATGAACATTCATGTACAGGTTTTTGTATGGATGTGATTTCATTTCTCTGGAATAAATGCCTAAGAGAGTGATTGCTAAGTCTGGTGCTAGGCCATGTATGGTTAGTTCTATAGGAAACTGCCATACTGTTTTCCAGAATGTCTGTGTCATTTTGCATTCCCACCAACAATGTGTGAGAGATCTGGTTTCTCCTAGCATTGCCATTTTTTATTTTAGCTATTATAATAGATATGTAATGATACCTCATTGGGGTTTTCATTTGCATTTTCCTGATGGCTAATGATATTGAACATCTTTTCATGTACTTATGTTCTATCTTTATGCTCTCTAGTGAAATATCTTTTCATGTCCGTTGCCTATTTTCTAACTGAATTGTTTGAACATATGCTTCTAAAAAAGTTTATGGATTTTTCCTTGGAAATGCAAGGTTGCACGTCTTAAGCATGAGAGAAATATTGCAAGACAATTTGATGATATTATAGATGTTTAAATGTAGATGTCGGAACTAGAATGTTGTGATTGGATTATGGTAAGACTCAAATATTGGCAAAGTAGTATTGAGATACGAACATACAAGGGAGGGAGAAGGAAAAAGAAGGGAAGGGAATGAGGGAAAGTGGAAAGAGGAAGGAAGGGAGGGAAGGAAAGAGAGAGTGCAAGGACAGGGAGAAGAGATAGGTATACATAGAAATAAGAAAGCGGATAAGTAAGGGAGAGAGTGGATCCAGGGAAGAAAATGAAATATGTCAAGTCTAAGTATAACCTAGGAACAAGGGCTTTTGTCAGGGACTAGAAAGTATTTATGGGACTAATGGGCAGTGAGACTGGGTAGTCTGTATAGAAATTTTGGGGATTTAAAAAATGAGTTATAATCTGTGATAGTGGAAAAGAATTTGACTTCCTTTAAATTGCATCTATGCTGACCGTTAGTGGTAGAGTT
Organism: Homo sapiens; assembly: GCF_000001405.40. Taxonomy (NCBI): domain Eukaryota; kingdom Metazoa; phylum Chordata; class Mammalia; order Primates; family Hominidae; genus Homo; species Homo sapiens. The sequence goes on along the minus strand of NC_000002.12, from coordinate 63,358,768 downwards.
AAGAGAGCATTGGAGGCCATCCTGGTGGCTCACACCTGTAATCCCAGAACTTTGGAAGCCTAGGTGGGAAGATTGCTTGAGGCAACTAGTTCAAGACCAGCTGATGCAACAAAGTGAGACCCCATCTCTACAAAAAATAAAATAATTAGCCAGGTGTGATGGTGCACACCTGTAGTCCCAGCTGCTCATGAGGCTGAGGTGGGAGGGTTGCTTGAGTATGAGGCTGCAGTGAGCTGTGACTGCACCTGCACTGCAACTTGGGTAACAGAGCAAGACCCTGTCTCTACCAAAGAGTAAGAGATCTTTGACAAGCTACTTATCTATATACTGGGAAATCAAATCATCTGAATCTCCTGTATTTCTGGAGTGTTGTATCCAATAAGACAATTACTAGAAAACATTTTTAAATCTGTAAGGTGTTCTGTAAATAAAAGCTGTGAGTGCTAGTTAAAAAAAAAACAGGAATATAGTAACAGGACTGAAATATTATAAGAATGCAAATACAACCATGATTTTTTTTTCTTTTTTAAAAAACTTTTAGGTTCAGAGATACATGTGAAGGTTTGTTACATACATAAACATGTGTCATGATGGTTGTTGTACAGATTATTTCATTACCCAGGTATTAAGCCTAGTACTGAATAATTAGCTTTTCTACTCCTCTCCTTCCTCCCACCTCCACCCTCAAGTAGACCCCAGTTCATATGTTTGTATCATTTAGCTCCCACTTATAAGTGAGAACATGCAGTATTTGATTTTCTGTTACTATGTTAGTTTGCTAAGGATAATAGCCTCCAGCTCCATCCATGTCACTGCAAAAGACATGACCTCGTTCTTTTTTATGGCTGCATAGTATTCCATGGTGTATATGTACCACATTTTCTTTATCCAGTCTGTAACTGATTGGCATTTAGGTTGATTCTATGTCTTTGCTGCTATGAATAGTGCTGCAATGAACATTTGCATGCATGTGTCTTTATGGTAGAATGACTTATATTCCTCTGAGTATATACCCAGTAATGAGATTGCTGGGTCAAATGGTAGTTCTCCTTTTAGCTCTTGGAGGAATCGCCAAACTGCTTTCCACAGTGGTTGACTAAATTAACACTCCTGCCCCCAGTGTATAAGCATTCTCTTTTCTCCGCAACCTTGCCAGCATCTGTTGTTTCTTGACTTTTTAATAATAGCCATTCTGACTGTGAGATGGTATCTCATTGTGCTTTTGATTTCCATTTCTCTAATCAGTGATACTGAGCTTTTTTTCATATGCTTCTTGGCTGCATGTATGTCTTCTTTTGAGGAGTGTCTGTTCATGTCCTTTGCCCACTTTTTAATGGAGTTGTTTTTCTCTTGTAAATTTAAGTTCCTTATAGATGCTGGATGTTAGACCTTTGTCAGATGCATAGTTTGCAAATATTTTCTCCTATTGTGTAAGTTGTCTGTTTACTCTGTTGGTTTCTTTAGCTGTACAGAGGCTCTTAAGTTTAATTAGATCCTACTTGTCAATTTTTGCTTTTGTTGCAGTTGCTTTTGGTGTCTTTGTCATGAAATCTTTGCCTGTTCTTATGTCTAGAATGGTATTGCCTAGGTTGTCTTCCATGGTTTTTATAGTTTTAGGTTTTACATTTAAGTCTTTAATCCATCTTGAGTTGATTTTTGTATGATGTAAAGAAGACCTCCAGCTTCAATCTTCTGCATATGGCTAGCCAGTTATCCCAGCACCATTTATTGAATAGATACTCTCTTCCCCATTGCTTATATTTGTCCTTTGTTGGAGGTTAGATGGTTGTGGATGTGTGGCCTTATTTCTGGTCTCTCTCTTCTGTTTCACTGGCCTATGTGTCTGTTTTTATACCAGTAGCACGCTGTTTTAGTTACTATAGCCCTGTAGTATACTTTGAAGTAGGATAACATGATGTCTCTAGCTTTGTTCTTTTTGCTTAGGGTTGCCTTTCAGTGTGGACATTTAGTGCTATGAAATTCCTTCCTAACACTGCCTTAGCTATGTCCCAGAGATTCTGTTATGCTGTATCTTTGTTCTTATTATTTTCAAAGAACTTATGGATTTCTGCCTTAATTTCATTGTTTATCCAAAAGTCATTCAGGAGCATATTTTTTAATTTCCATGTAATTGCATGGTTTTGAGCGATATTCATAATTTTGACTTCTATTTTTATTGTGCTGTGGTCCAGGAGTGTGTTTGGTATGCTTTCAGTTTTTTTACATTTTTTGAGGATTATGTTCAATTATGTGGTTGATTTTAGAATATGTGCCACATGGCAATGAAAAGAATGTATATTCTGTTGTTTTGGGGTGGAGAGTTCTTTAAAGGTCTATCACATCCATTTGGTTCAATGCTGAGTTCAGGTCCTGAATATCTTTGTTAATTTTCTGCCTTGATGATCTGTCTAATACTGTTAGTGGAGTGTTGAAGTGTCCCACTATTATTGTGTGGGAGTCTATTTCTCTTTGTAAGTATTCTAAGAGCTTGCTATATGAATCTGAAGGCTCCTGTGTTGGGGTCATATATATTGAGGATAGTTAGGTCTTCTTGTGGAATTGAATCCTTTACCATTATGTAATGTCCTTCTTTGTCTTTTTTGATCATTGTTGGTTTGAAATCTGTTTTGTCTGAAATTAGGATTGCAACCCCTGCTTCTTTCTGTTTTCTATTTGTTTGGTAGATTTTCCTCTATCCCTTTATTTTGAGCCTATGAGTGTTATTACCTGTGAGTTGGGTCTCTTGAAGACAGCATACCATTGGGTCTTGCTTTTTTATCCAGCTTGCCACATTGTACCTTTTAAAAAGTGGGGCATTTGGCTTGGTTACATTCAAAGTTAGTATTGATATATGTGGGGTTTTTTTGTTTGTTTGTTTTTTGAGACAGAGTCTTGCTCTGTCACCCAGGCTGGAGTGCAGTGGCACAGTCTCAGCTCACTGCTACCTCCATGTCCTGGGTTCAAGCAATTCTCCTGCCTCAGCCTCCCAAGTAGCTGGGATTATAGGTGTCCGCCACCATGCCCAGCTAATTTTTATATTTCAGTAGAGATGGGGGTTGGGGGGTCTCACCATGTTGGCCAGGCTGGCCTTGAATTCCTGACCTCAAGTGATCCACCTGCCTCAGCCTCCCAAAGTGCTAGGATTACAGGCATGAGCCACCGTGCCTGGCTGATATGTGGGTTTGATCCTGTCATTGTGCTGTTAGCTGGTTATTATGTTAGCTTGTTTGTATGGTTGCTTGATAGTGACACTGCCCTGTGTGTTTAAGTGTGTTTTTATATTAGCTGGTAGCAGCCTTTTCTTTCTATATTTAATGCTCCTTTCAAGATCTCTTGTAAGGCAGGCCTGGTGGTAATGAACTACCTCAACATTTGCCTATCTGAAAAGGATCTTATTTCTCATTCACTTTTGAAGCTTAGCTTGGCGCAAACAAGAATTTCAATTCTTGTTTGAAGATTTTTTTCTTTAAGAATGTTGAATATAGGTGCCCAATCTCTTCTGGCCTGTAAGGTTTCAGCTGAGAGGTCCACTCTTAGCCTGATGGGGTTTGCTTTGAAGATGACCTGCCCTTTCTCTTTAGCTGTCTTTAACATTTTTTTCCTTCATTTTGACCTTGGAAAATCTGATGATTATGTGTCTTGTGGATGTTCTTCTTGTGTGGAATGTTGGAGGAGTTCTCTGTATTTCCTGAGTTTGACTGTTGGCCCCTCTAGCAAGGATGGGGAAGTTTTCATGCACCATATCCTGAAATATGTTTTCCACATGTTTGCTTTCTCCCCCTCCCTTTCAGGGATGTCAGTGATTCATATATTTGGCCTCTTTACATAATCCCATACTTCTCCAAGTTTTTGTTCATTCCATTTTATTCTTTTTATTTTTGTCTGACTGTCATTTCAGATAATCGATCTTCAAGTTCTGAGATTCTTTCCTAAGCTTGTTTTATTCTGCTGTTAATATTTGTGATTGCATTGTGAAATTCTTGTATTGTGTTATTCAGCTCTGTCAGACCTGTTAGGTTTTATATACATATACACACACACACACACACACACATACATATATACATACATACACACACATATATGTACACACACACACATATATATACACACACATATATGTGTGTGGGGGTGTGGGTGTATGTGTATATGTATTTTTAATGTTGAAGCTTTGGGGTGTGATCCAGCTGGTGGCACTTAGACTTATTGGTCAGTTGGTAGACTCTTGCTTAATGATTGTGACTCCCCTATGTTTGCTCACAGTTGCAGCCATTTTCCCTATTAGTGCTCTGAATGTGTGGGTTCCTTTCCCCCTTGAGTGCTGGCTGTAGATCATGACTTGGCACTCCTGGGGTGCCTACTTAAGCTCTGGAGAGATCTCAGTGTTTATGTTCCTTCCCCAACTTGGAGGCAGCAGAGGAAGGGACCTCATAGTGGTTATGGCCAAGTGTTGTATGCTTGTCTCCTGGAGGCTCTTCTCCAGAGAGATGCAGGTCAGCAATCACTCAGTGCAATCAGCCCAGGATGGAAGGTCTGTGCTGTGGGCCCAAGCCAGGGGTTCCTTGTCTGGTGACAAGCACTTGGGGATGTGTGGGATTGGTGGGAGACGGACTGGCCTCTCTTTGGGTCTACTGCAGCTTGTAAGAGGTGTGGATAAGGCATTTAGGGTCTTTGCCCCTTTGTTAGTCTGAGGGTGGCAAGGGCGGTTCCACTGTAGAGGCAGTGGCAGAGAGGCTTTCAGTTGCCCCTGAAGGCTCTGTTCAGGGAGTTGCTGACTTGCTACTGGCTCAATAGCTCTGGCAGGGGATGACTGGAGGCTCAGACCTGGAGGACCTGCCCAGTGAGGAGATATGGGAATGGGCAACCACATATAACAGTTTGGCCACTTTTCTATAGGGCTGCTGCAGTATTCTGGGGGCCTGCTCCCGTCCCTTGTCACTTCGGATTTTCCAGTACCTGGAGGTATCACCAGGGAAGGCTGCAAAACAACAAAGATGGCAGCCTGCCTTTCCCTCTGGGAGCTTCATCCCAGGGACATACGGTGCTGTTGCCAGCCCAAAGACACCTGTAGGAGGTGGATGGAGACCCTAGTTGGGAGGTCCTGCCAAGTGAGGAGGAACAGGATTGGGAAACTGCTTAAAAAAGCACCCTGGCCACGTTTTGGTAGAGCAGCTGTGCTGTGCTGGGGATCCTTTCCACCCCTGGTCAGCTTGGACTCTCCAAAGCCTGACTGGAGCAGCTAAGGCACCCAAATAGCAAAGATTGTGGCCTGCCCCTCCCACCAGGAGCGCCTTCTCAGGGAGGTGCAATGCTACTACCAGGGGCTGGCTGGAATTCCAAGCCAGTGGGTCTTATCTTTTGAGGTGCTGTGGAAGTGGGACTTGCAGGCTGTTTTTGCTCAGTCCCTTGGATTCAGCCTCTTTCCTAGGGGTATGTTCCAATGTCTAACCTCCCACTTTGCTGGAGCCGCAGCTACTTTTGCCAGAAAGCCCAAGTATCTAAGGCTCCATGGTCTCTACGTGTGCCTTAGGGACTGTTCTACAGAGACTCCAGGTAGCTCTGTCTGTCAGACTGAAGGCCCCGGTGGAGTGGGTTCACATAGAGATCTCTTGACCTGAGGGTTGCAAAGATCTGTAGGAGAATCGTGGTTCCCTGGGGTCACACATTCATTCACTGCTTCCCTGGCTCTGTGTTGCTTCCGGGTGGGCCATCGTCCTGTTGTGCTTTTCTTTGTTCTCCGTGGGTCAGGTTGTTTCCTTGATTAGTCCCAATGTGAGTATACAACCATGATTTTTTTTAAAAAAGGACTTTACTAATTTTTATTAGAAAGGGCCACTACCTTACTAGTTTTTTTATTAGCATAACCATTATTACACACCAATAGGACATAGCAGGAGTCAGTAAATTCATGTCATATTCACATTATTTGTGAAGTATGAATACCAGCATCCAAGGCACAGAGCTTGCACCCTCAAGTAGAGAATGTGTCATTCCTTTATGTATGTTCCTAGCCTTAATGGAGGCCAGGGAAGGTGTCTGGCACCAAGATCATATGCTCAACAGCTGCCTTTCCACTGTAGGAGATACTGGCTCCACGTTCTTCTCCTCTTTGCTTTTGAACCCAGATTGAATTAAGAATATTGAACTGTATTCAGGCTTCTGGCTGTTGTCTTGTCAAGTACAACTTACTATGATTCCCTGAATGCATTCATCCCATGATTCAGTTAAATATCCATTTAGTTTATATTTTATCATACTACTAAGTTATAAAGTATCGGCACTCAACATTGAAAATGGTTTCACATTGATTTCTGAAGCATATTTATTGCCATACATTAATTTATCACTGTAATCTCATGAATTTGTTGGGAGCAGAAATTATATCATTCTTGCCTTTTAGATAAGAATATGAAGTATAGGAAAGTATTGAAACTTAACACTTTTTAAAAACATTTTCAACTTTTAAAAAAACAAAAATAGACAAGTGCATCCTGATTAAATGAAAGAGCTTCTGCACAGCAAAAGAAACTATCAACAGAGTAAACAGACAATCTATAGAATGGGAGATGATAGTCACAGATTATGCATCCAACAGAGGTCTACTACCCAGAATCTATAAGGAAATTAAACAAATCAACAAGAAAAAACAACCCCATTAAAAAGTGGGCAAAGAACATGAACAGACACTTCTCAAAAGAAGGAAGACATACAAGCAGCCAACAAACATGAAAAAATGCTCAACATCACTAATCATTAGAGAAATGCAAATCAGAACTATAGTAAGATACCATCTCACACCAATCAGAATGGCTGGTATTAAAAAGTCAGAAAACAACAGATGCTGGTGAGGCTGCAGAGAAAAGGTTATGCTTATATACTGTTGTTGGGAGTGTAAATTAGTCCAGCCACTGTGGAAAGCAGTCTGGAGACTTCTCAAAGAACTGAAAATAGAGTCACCCTTTAATCCAGCAATCCCATTACTGGGTATATACCCAAAGGAATATAAATCATTCTACCAAAAAGACACATGCACTCCTGTGTTCATCACCGCACTATTCACAACAGCAATGACATGGAATCCACTCATGTGCCTATCAATGGTGAATTTGATAAAGAAAATGTGGTACCTGTATACCATGGAATACTATGCATCTGTAAATAAAGAAATCATGTTCTTTGTAGCAGTGTGGATGCAGCTGAAGGCCATAATCCTAAGTGAATTAACAGGAACAAAAACCAAGTGCCACATATTCTCATTTATAAATGAGAGCTAAACATTGAGCATACATGGACATTAATATGGGAACGACAGACACTGTGGACTACTAGATGGGAGAGGAAAGGACAGGTCATTGGTTGAAAAACTACCTATCAGGTATTAGGTTCACTACATGGGTGATGGGATCCATACCCCAAACCTTAGCATCACACAATATTCCCATGTAGCAAACCTGCACATGTACCTCCTTTATCTAAAATAAAAGTTGAGCCGAGCACAGTGGCTCATGCCTATAATCCCAGCACTTTGGGAGGCCGAGGTGGATGGATCACTTGAGGTCAGGAGTTCAAGACCAGCCTGACCAACATGGTAAAACCCCATCTCTACTAAAAATACAAAAATTAGCCAGATGTGGTGGCACACGCCTGTAATCCCAGCTACTTGAGAGGCCGAGGCACAAGAATCACTTGAACCCAGGAGGTGGAGGTTGCAGTGAGCTAAGATTGAGCCATTGCACTCTAGCCTGGGCAACAGAGTGAGACTCCATCTCAATAATAATAATAATAATAATAAATAAATGTTGATATTTAATAAAATTAGAGACAAATATTTAGAAATTTTCATTGTTTCAAAATATTTTATTATTTAATTAGATTTCAGGATAGAAAGCAAGGGAGGGAGGAAAGGTCTAAAAAGTATATAAATTGGCTATTTGCATTTAGTAGGTAAACAAAGCACCATAGAAGCTTATAATTTGCCTTGCCGTGCCACAGAAATGCTTGCAAATTGCCAGTAGACATCCAAAGCTTTACATAATCCCTACACTAAGCAAGAGTACAATTTAGAGCCAAAATGGAGTGGGAAGGACTATTACAGTCCTTCCTCTTTCAACATACCCTATACTGTGCCCTGCAAAGAAAGGGCTTAGACCTCAGATCAAATGGACAGTAGCTCACAGTGTAAGCCTTAAACCCGCAACTTCCAGGGACTGACAATGGGTTGGCTCAGATATGGCTGTTAGAGAGAGGAGGGTGTATGCAAAAGAGAAGCACACAGTATTTTTTTTTTTTTTTGGGTTTCGTTGATTTTCTCTATTTCCTATTTTCTTTTTTTATACTCTAAGTTCTAGGATACATGTGCACAATGTGCAGGTTTGATACATAGGTATACATGTGCCATGCTGGTTTGCTGCACCCATCAACTAGTCATTTACATTAGGTATTTCTCCTAATGCTATCCCTCCCCCAGCCCTGCACCCTCCGACATGCCCCGGTGTGGGATGTTCCCTGCCATGTGTCCAAGTGTTCCCATTGTTCAATTCCCACCTATGAATGAGAACATGTGGTGTTTGGTTTTCTGTCCTTGTGATAGTTTGCTGATAATGATGGTTTCCAGCTTCATCCATGTCCCTGCAAAGGACATGAACTCACCTTTTTTATGACTGCATAGTATTCCATGGTGTATATGTGCCACATTTTCTTAATCCAGGCTACCATTGATGGACATTTGGGTTGGTTCCAAGTCTTTGCTGTTGTGAATAGTGCCGCAGTAAACATACGGAGAAGCACACAGTATTAAGGAGAGGAAATCCTATACCCCATGAATTCTTCCATTTCAGTCTTTCAGAAAAGGAGGGCTGGAATCTAGCCTATTCCCTGAATGTGATCTGGGAGAGCCTGCAACTAAATTGAAATAATCCTGCTATTTTTTTATTCAGCAGAGATGAGCAGTGCTGTAAGAAACCAGGGGGTAGAGCTAGCCTAGTAAATTAGTTTTTATAAGCCTCCCTTTTCGTAAAGGTATTTTTCTCTTCAAAGGATGAAAATAAGACTGTTCCTAAGCCAAACAGCTTCAACTTCAAATGTGTCATTTTAATGCAGATTTATATACCTTTTTTATATGGGGGCTAAAAAGGAAAGAAACCAACTTGGGTTTTTTTTCCCCAGAGGATTCTGACTACCATTCATTATTAATTGATTAATGAAAATGCCAATAAACCTTTAATTTTTGTATGATGTTATAATTTAATCAGAAATAATTTATCTTTGAAAATAATTCATATAGAAAGAGATAGTCTAGAGGTACAAAATAGTCATGAGTAGTGGTTAATTTGATACAGCTTAGAATAGAGTGAAATTTAGGATGGGTTTTAAATTAACTAAAATAAAATTAAAAGAAAATAAATTTTTAGTACTTTATGACTTAGAATAATAAAATTGTACTTCTATACATTTAAACTAAGATCTGAATTATTTTATTTTTGAAATTTATGCCCTATATATACAAAAACAATGAGTTAAAATTTCTAGTAAAGAAACAGGTACTTCCAACAACCTCATATTTCTAGAAAAAAAAACCAGGAACTTTGACTAAATCATTACTTCTATTCATACTTCACAGACAAAATTTAACATGAACAACCAATCCATGTAAATTTTTTACAGATTTATTAATCACAAATTTTCATCCCTATACTAAACACACAGGCACACAGACCTCTCCTACTTCAACAGGAGAACTCGGTTGTAGTTTCCATAAGTGGCCATGAGAAACATTTCTGAAAACTTCTATGGACATCTCACTATCTCAACATGTTTTCAGGTCCACAATTTATACTGCTATTTTATCAGCTCAGCTTTTCTGAATATCCCTGATGTCTGAAGAGCCAGAATATGTTCCCACTTGTTAACAGTTTTCTCCAGAGGCATATCCTTGGTTAAACAGTAGTGTTGAAACTCTCCTTTGTTGGGCCTTATCTTTTTACTCATATTCTTATTTTTTAAATATACTTGCTGCCATTAATTTGGAGTTTTCTATTTTAATTTATTTTAGACTGATTTACTGTCATGGAATTATTCTTCAACTTAGTATTATTTTTCATGTAATTATAATATCCGTAGTCATTTTGCAACATTATATCATCAATACCCATATAAGCACAATTAAATATACATGGTATCTCCTACCATTATTATATGGTAATAGAGTCAGTCTATTACCAGTTTCCTCATCATTGCTGTCAGAAAAAAGTCTTAGAAATAATGTCTTTAGAAATATAACACCAACAATAAGATTAATTGGTACATGTCATCTCAATAATCAACAGCAATTATAATTAAGAATAGCCCCTCTACTAGGTATTGAGGAGGATGCACTAGTTATGAATGCTTCACTAATTCTTCATTGACAGCTCTGCTATAGCACTTATAGTCTGAAGTTTAAGTCAGTTGTGGAGATAGCATGCAGTAATTTTTGAAAAGTCCAAGGCTTGGAGTCAAACACAACTAAGTTTGAATCCCAGCTTCCTAATTTATTGGATGGGTAACTTTGGGTGAGTTACTTAAGCTATTACTATTATTTCCATCTTTATAGATGAAGAACTTACCAAACTTTAATTAAATGCCAAGATTATAAATAATAAATAATAAAGTGACTAGCATGTATTAAGTACTTTGTAAGTGATAGCTATTATCATTGTGTTTGTGGCTATCTCGCCTACTAGACTGAGTTTCTTAAGGTGAGAAAGACTAATGTCATTAGTTTTTCTAAACTTTTTAGTCCTACCACAGGACATCAAGCATTAGGGGATTTTGAAAATACCCTATAAAAGTAAATGTAGTTATAGCTGACATCTAGCTGATGATAACTTTTGAATGATACTAATTTTAAAACTTGCAAGGTCCAAAATGACAGAAGTTTAGGTCCCTAACATATAAGTCAAAGAGGGGGCTGGCATTAGGGAGGGCCACAATCAAAAGTCAGGGCCATAGCTGGGACTCAATAAAGCTCAGATGAATATCCAGTCGGGGGCGGGGGGGGCAATTTCCCCCTCTCAGAAGTTATTTCTTCAACACCCAATGACCCCCCCACAAAAACAGCCCAACATGGGAGCTACTTGATCATTCTTTTTCCATGACTACAACATGGCATTTCTAATCTTGAATTCTGAAAACCAAAGAACCAGATCTAAAGAAGGATCTATAAGCCTGGGGCAAATACTTAATTCTTTTCCAATGACAGTAGAGCAACACTATGGTAAAGAGTGTGAGTTTTGGAGCAAGACTGCCAGGCTCCATGTCCTACTATGCAATTGAGTAGCTATGGGAGCTTGGACAAGTTAAGGGTTGCCAGATTTAGCAAAAATACAGAATGCCCAGTTAAGTCTGAATTTCAGATAATAAATAATTGTTTCATATAAGTATGTCCCAAATATTGTATCAGATATACTTATAATCAAAAATTATTATTCATCTGAAGTTCAAATATAACTAGGTGTCTTGTGTTTCACCTGGCAACTCTTATTTAACATCTCTGTACTTGAGTTTTCTCATCAGTTGAATGGGGATAATAGTACTACCAATTTAACAGGGCTGTTGTCAAGATTAAATGAATTAATATATGTAAGGTACTTAAAATAGTAACTAGTACACAGAAGATCCTAATAAATATTACCTGTTGTTGTTACTGTGGCTATTGTTGTTAGGGTTGTAATATTTAATGAAAATATTATTTGAGAGTTCCTGCTTTCAGCTATGATAATTATTTGGAAACAGACTGACCCTCTTGCCATAGACAATTATTAAACTGGACAAAATGCACTGAAAATTTGTCTTTAGATATTAAAAGATTGACAGTATAGGACTCTGATCCCTGAGAATTAAAAACAAATGAGGTCAACCTTATGATCCTCTGGTTTTATGATGAGAGGCACTTTCTAGACCAGAGAGCAAAGAGAGGGAATGCAAGTGGAACATGGCAGTTTTTTGAGTTAGTTGGAGTTCAGGGAAGATGAGGCAGCTTGAATTTGCAGGTTTGTGTACTGGAGAGGCAGGTGCTTTGTGGAGAAAGAGCTCCATAAATCTACATAAGAGTCACCTTGAGTCTTTGGCTGAACTCTGAGCTATGCATTCATAGAGTGAGATGACTTGAGGCTAGGAAAAGAACAATAACAGGCAGTTCCATGTCTCCCAGAAAGGGAGCTGCCCTAGAATCCCTGCTGGGGATTGGCTGGGAGCAGCCTGTGGGAATTATATGTTCTGTGCAGATGCACTAATGGATTTCAGACCATAGCAGCCAGGGCTGCTGGTCTATTTTGTTGAATGAAGTCAGAAATCTGAGGGGTGCATTCTCAAGATCTCCACTATCCACCTATTGGCTGAATAGGTCTACTTTTCCACATAGGCTCAGCTATTCCATAGTAACTGAGGGGAGGTGAAATGGGAGGTTCATAATATAAACTGAACCCACTGTCACTGCATCTCATCTCGGCTTCAGATGATTCTTACTCTCCCTGCTATGCTTTCCATTTTTTCTTGTGCCATAACAATTGGGGTATTTCACTTCATTGAGTATTGGACATTACTTTTTCCAGGCATCTAAGAGCCATTCCAGCAGCAATTAGCTCCATCTCTTGGGCTCCTCAGTAAGGTGTTAAATCCTGTGTCCTGAAAAAGTACCTCCACATAAATGGACTCTTACCCAGTTTTCCATTCCAGCTCCCATGTTCAAGCATCCTCTTAATCCAATCCGAGAGGTGCTCCCCTATTTTTGCTGGCACATAGTGTCGAATTCTTGCAACTCTTTAGTTGTATAGTCTCCTACCTTATCAGGTTCATCATGTCCCCAGCTGGATTGTGCTGAGATTTGACTGTAGTTATCAGCCTGGCAGCCAGGATAAAGGTAGAGGCATTTCCTGAGAGAGGGGAGTAGGTACTACATTGTGGGGAAAGGTCTCTGAGCTTCTTCTAGTACAGTGGAGTGCTGGCTCAGATTCAAGAGTTCTGCAGTATCAGAATACTCAAGGGCATCTATTCAGAGGTACCCATTTCATATTTCAGGATTCCAAGTGTTACTAAGCAGTTCCCTGACTTTAGTAAAGCAGACCTGCCTTGATGTTGCATCTTAACATCTCTAGAGTTCTGATCAACAATTAGATCTTCTACTTGTCTACTATGTCTGCCCTTCAAATTAAGAAGATAAGAACCTCTGTGAGCTACCAGAGAGATTCTCTGTCACATTTAGTCATTACCTGTAAATAGCACTCAGTCTTTCACTAGCCTTCCTGAAAGCATATACAGCTTAGTAGCAATCAGCAAATTCCACTGACTTAGTGAGACTTGCCTATCTGTGTCCTGCCAACTGCATGTACTGCAGAGCGGTTCTACAGAAAGGGCACTGGGAGTCTTCAAGCCAAAGTTGCCCAACTAAAGTGCCTTATGTCACCTAGAAACAGACTGCATTAGTATTGCTCTTTCTGAATAATCACCCATTGCCTAGGAGCAGCTTATGGAAAGTGTAGTCCTAACATGAAAATACAGTGATAAACTTCAGAATGCAGCAACTGGGGCTGTAGTAAATTTTCTGTGTAATAGGAAATTGGAGATGTATATGGTAGTAGATGCCACACTGCGGTTTATAAATAGAAGCAGGAGTGATATCATTAAACACAGCTGAGTAAGAAGCTCCAAGAATTAATGCCTCCACTGAAGCAACTGTTAAGTAGGCAAAAACTGACAGAATCAATTTTTTGAAAATTAGATTATAAAGAATCTAATGAAACAGAGCAATCAGGTGAGTGCTTAATGAAGATAGAAGCTGCTAAATTTTGGTTAGAAAGCATGGTGGCATTTTGGTTACCTGTGTATCACCCCCAGTTCCCAGTGTGATAGTGGCCATAAGGACATTTCTGGTGTGGTTAGTTGGTGCCAGAGGGCCATTACAAACCTTGTTCTCAGAAACTGTGGTTGTGTATTTTGACCAGTCTGGTGGTTTCCAGAGGAACTGATACAGAGGTTCGGTTTTTTCACATCCCTCAGGCTGGAATAGCATTTCTGGCAGTGTGTATCTAAAGCATGTAAAGACATGTAATACCTATATGTCTGAGAAAATACCTAGCTGTCTCAGTCAAGGGATGGCAAATGGGGAAAGCAGCAGACAGACCAAAGAAACCTGGGAAAGAAAAGGATGAGGAGAAAGATATTTGGGTGAATAGGAGCCATGAATAGCTACTTGCATATGTTAGTGAATTGTGTACAACACCATGCCCAGAGCTGGACACAGGCTCAGAAATAATGAGATGCACCCTGGGTTTACACCTCTGGAGGACTTTCAGAGTCTGCACAAGTAAGAAAGAAATGGTAAGGCAGAATGTCAGGCAGCCTGGCTAAACAGTGAAGGAGTGCCCTAGTTCTCGGAAAATTTTTGTCTTTGTTCATTTGTTATTGTGCTTCAGGATTTAAAGGCATCTCTGTTAGGTCACCAGCTAATGACAGAGATAATGAAATGGAGACTTCACCGACCACAAATGACAAGGAATACAGGCTTTGCAAGATTAGTTTGGGAATGTCACTAATAAAATGGGTGACTGCAGCCCTCAGCAGTAACAATAGCAAACCATGGAGAGGGAAATAATCTGATTTCCAGAGTTATAACATTAAAATATTTAAAATGTCAACAAAAGTTTAAAAGCAGGAAGGTATGGCCCATTCACATAAAAAAGAAAAAAAAATAGAACGTATCCCTGGGGAAGCCCAGACATTGAAATTACTAGACAAAGACTTAAAATCAACTGTCTTCCTTTAAACTCAGAAAGCTAAAGGAAACCATGGACAGTAAACTAAGGGAAACCAGGATAATGATGCCTCAGCAAATAGAGAATATCAATGAAGAGATAGAAATTATAAAAATGAACCAAATAGAAAAGTTGGAGCTGGAAAATATAAGAACCAAAATGATAAATTTGCTAGATGGCATTCATCAAGTTTGACCTGGCAGAAGAAGCATTAAAATAGGACATGAAAATAGGACAATTGAAATGATCAACTCTGAGGAATAAAAATTTTAAAAATGAAGAAAAATGAACAGAGTCTGTATATGCAGCATAGCAGCATATATATTATGGGAGCCCTAGAAAAAGAAGAAAGACTATCAGAAGAAATTATGGTAGAAAAATCCCAAATTTGATTGAAGACATGCATCTGCACATGCAAGAAGCTCAACAAAATTCAAGCAGAATCAACTCAAAGATCAATACCAAAACACATTATAATCAAAACCAAATGACAAAGAGAGAATCTTTAACAGAAAGTAAGAAGTATTTTGTCATGTAGAAGGGATCCTCAATATATTAACAGATATTCTCATTAGTAATCCATGTAGAAGGGATCCTCAGTATGTTAACAGATACTTTTCTCATTAGTAATCATTGAGGCCAGAAGGCAGTGAGAAGACATATGCAAACTGTTTAAAGAAAAAAAAAAAATCACCTGTAATCCCAGCACTTTGGGAGGCCGAGGTGGGCAGATCACTTGAGGTCAGGAGTTTGAGACCAGCCTGGCCAACATGGCAAAACCTCATCTCTACTAAAAATGCAAAAAAAGAAAAAAAGCCAGATGTGGTGGTACAAGCCCGTAATCCCAGCTACTCGGAAGGCTGAGGCAGGAGAATCGAACCTGGGAGGCAGAGGGTGCAGTGAGCTGAGATGGCACCACTGCACTCCAGCCTGGGTAACAGAGTAAGACTCTGTCTCAAAGAAAAAAACCAACAACAAAGAATTTTATATCCAGCAAAATTATCTCTTAAAAATGAGGGAGAATTAAGACATTCTAGATAAAAGATGAGGGAGTTTTTGCTAGTAGACGTGTCTTATAAGAAATGCTAAAAGGAGTTCTTCAGACTGAAATGAAAAGACACTGGACAGTAACTCAAAGCCATAGAAAGAAATAAAGAACGTGTAAAGATAACTACATAGGTAAATATAAAAGACAATACTACTGTATTTTTAGATTGTAAGTTTTCTTCATGATTTAAAAATTAATACATGAAACAATAATTAAAACCTATGTAAATGGGGATACAATATATATACATGTAATTTATGACAATAATAACAGGGTAGATAGAGCTATAGAGAAGCAAAGTATTTGTATGTTATTGAAGCTACGTTGGTGTGAATTGAAACTAGATTGTTATAAATTTAGTACATTAATTATAATCCTTAGGGTAACCGCTAAGAAAATAACTAAAAATATATACAGAAAAGGCAATGAAGATTAAAATGGTACACTGGAAAAAATTTGCAAAATAAGGCAGTATTGGAAGAATTATATAACAAAACACATATGATTTATGGAAGACATAGCGAATGGTAGATGTACTTTCTTATCAGTAATCAATTTAAATGTAAATAGATTAAATTTGATACTTAAAAGGCAAAGATTGAAACAACGGATTAAATCAGGGCTCCCCAATCCCCAGGCCATGGACCTGGTTAGGGTCCCCAATCCCCAGGTACCATGGCTTGTTAGGAACCAGGCCACACAGCAGGAAGTGAGTGGTGGGAGATTGAGCATTACCACTTGAGCTCTGTCTCCAGTCAGATCAGTGGCAGCATTAGATTCTCATAAGACCATGAACCTTATTGTGAACTGCACATGCAAGGGATCTAGGTTGCATGCTCCTTATGAGAATCTAATTCCTGATGCTCTCAGGTGGAATGGTTTCATTCCAAAACTATCACCCCCTCCCCACCCCATCCATGGAAAAATTGTCAAAAAAGTTGGGGACCACTGGATTAAATAACATGATCCAACCATATATGTTCTAGAAGTGACTCACTTTATATCCAAAGACACAAATAGGTTCAAAGTGAAAGGATGAAAAAATATATTCTATGCAGTGGTAACCAAAAGAGAGGTGGGGTGGCTGTACTAATAACAAATAAAATAAGATGCTAAGACAAAAATTATTACATGAGGCAAAGAAGAACATCATATATTGATGAAAGAGAAAATGCATCAAGAAGATATTACATATTTAACATGTGTGCACCAAACAGCAGAGACCAAGATATATGAAGCAAACATTGATGCAATTGAAGGGAATAGAAAGTTATACACTAATAGTTGATGACTTCAATAGCTCTGTCCCATCTCTCTAGATGTCCCACCTCTAGAGAGAAAGTCAATAAGGAAATTGAGGGTTTGAACAATGCTATAAACTAACGACACCCAATAGATACATAAACAGAATACACTACCCACTACCCACAACAGCAGAATATACATTTTTCTCAAGGGCATTCTGCAGGATAGATCCTATATTAGGTCACAAAACAAGTCTGGGGCTGGGCGTGGTGGCTCACGCCTGTAATCCCAGCACTTTGGGAGGCCGAGGAGGGTGGATCACCTGAGGTCAGGAGTTCGAGACCAGCCTGGCCAATATGGTGAAACCCTGTCTCTACTAAAAATACAAAAATTAGCTGGGCATGGTGGTGCGCTCCTGTAGTCCCAGCTACTCAGGAGGCTGAGGCAGGAGAATCACTTGAACCTGGGAGGCGGAGGTTGCAGTATGCCGAGATCACGCCACTGCACTCCAGTCTGGGCAACAGAGTGAGACTCTGTCTTTAAAAAATAAACAAGTCTGAATACATTTAAAAAGACAAATCATACAAAACAGTTTCTGTCAGAGTAGAATGAACCTAGAAATTAATGAAGGAAACTGAAAAATTCAGAAATATATTGAAATTAAACAAAAGACTCTTAAGAGGTCCCAGAAGAAATCACATTGTCAAATTTGACAGAAATTAAAAATGAAAACAGTGAAACTTACGGGGTACAGCAAAATTCATGCTCACAGGGAAATTTATAGTGGTAAATGCCTACATTTTTAAAAAGGAGGAACTTCTGGATTTAAAATGGCAGTGTAAATGCAAGCTGCCTTAACTCCCCCTCCCACAGAAAACCAGAAATAAATATACAACGGTGAGATTTCTACCAACAACAACCCAGAACTCAAATATGAGGATGATACAGATCCCAGGGCCACAGAGAAGTGAAAACATTCTGAGCAGATGGTAGGAGAATTGGACTTTCACATCCATCATACCCCTTACTCCTATTCTGCCTGGCAACAAGTGAATGGAAAAATCTTCACTTCAGTTCACAGTTTCTATACTGGAAAAAGTAAGATTAAGGTGGTCAACCAGCAGTCACACTATATTGGGGTCCCTGGTAGGAGACCTGCCCTTGTGTTAATCCACAAGAAGCATCATGACTGCTTAAATGAAGAAATATCCCTTAGGAGAGGCAGAGACAGAGTAGGTAGGCAGGACTACTATCCTCCACCCTGGAAACTCTGCTCTGGAACTTGGCCAAAGGAGACGCCAAATCACGGTGGTTATTCAGCAGCACCACACTTTAGGAGGTATGTTTCACAGGTCCCTTGGACAGGAACTCCTTGCCAGCCTTCACATACTGCTGGGATAATCCCTTTAGGACCGCACCATTTGGGACAGGCAGAACTCTGATCATTTACTATAGCTGAGGAGAACCTGGGCTTAAAGAGCCACCTTGAGCCAAAAAGGAGGCAGTGACCTACCAGTAAAGATAGGCTAAGCAAATATATTCAATAAAAAACAAAACAAGCTGGACAGAAAAAACAGGAATGAATAATCCTTCAATGCAAAGACGTAGATGTATACCCGTAAGAAACACCAACAAAGAGAACCATGAGCTTCCCAAAAGGACTAAGTAAAAATCCAGTGACTGACGCTAAACATGGTATATCACATTAACAGAATAAATAACAAAAAACATATGATTATTTCAATAGATGGCAAAAAAAAGCATTTGATAAAATTCAATATACCTTTATGATTGAAAACCCTCATCAAAATAAGTATAGAAGGAACATACCTCAAAATAATAAAGGCCATCTATGACAAACCCACAGCTAAAATCATACTGAATGGGGAAAAATTGAAGACTTTCCCTCTAAGCATTGGAAAAGACAAGGATGCCCACTTTTCACCACTTTTATTCAACATAATATGGAAACTCCTGGTGAGAGCAATTAGGCAAGAGAAAAGAAGAGAAAGGGCATCCAAACTGGAAAAGGAGAAGTTAAATTAGCCCTGTTTGCAGATGACATGATCCTATATGTAGAAAAACCTAAAGACCCCACCAAAAAACTGTTAGAACTGATAAACGAATTCAGTCAAGTTGCAGGATATAAAATTAACATACAAAAATCAGCAGCGCTTATATATACCAACAGCAAACAATCTAAAAAATAAATCAGGCTGTGCACGGTGGCTCACACCTGTAATCCCAACACTTTGGGAGTCAGAGGTGGGCGGATCACTTCAGGTCAGAAGTTTGAGACCAGCCTGGCCAACACAGTGAAACCCCGTCTCTACTAAAAATACAAAAATTAGCTGGACGTGATGTCGTGTGCCTATAGTCCAGCTACTCGGGAAGTTGAGGCACAAGAATTGCTTGAACCCGGGAGGCAGAGGTTGAAGTGAGCTGAGATTGCACCACTGCCCTCTAGCCTGGGTGACAGAGTGAGACTCCATCTCAAAAAATAAAAATTAAAAAAATAAGAAATCAGGAAGGCAATCCCATTTATAATAGCTACAAAAAAAAATTAAGTACCTAGGAGTCAATATAACCAAAGAAGTGAAAGTTCTGTACAAGGAGAACTGTAAAACTCTGATGAAAGAAATTGAAGAGACACACATACAAAATAGATATTCCATGTTTGTAAATTGGAAGAATTAATATAGTTAAAATCACAATACTGCCCAAGGCAATTTACAGATTCAATGTTATCCCTATCAAAATACCAATGACATTTTTCACAAAAATAGAAAAAAAACTATAAAATTTATATGGAACCACAGAAGACCCTGAATAGCCAAAGCAATCCTGAACAAAAAGAACAAAGCTGGAGTCATTACACTACCTGACTTCAAAATTTACTACAAAGCCATAGTAACTGAAACAGCATAGCACTGGTATAAAAACAGACACATAAACCAATGGAACAGAATAGAGAACCCTGATATAAATTCACACTTTTATAGACAAGTCATTTGCGATACAGACACCAAGTACATATAATGGGGAAAGGACAGTCTTTTCTAATTATCCATATATATATATATATATATATATATATATATATATATATATATATATTTTTTTTTTTTTTTTTTTAGATGGAGTTTTGCTCTTGTTGCCCAGGCTGGAGTGCAGTGGTGCGATCTCGGCTAACTGCAACCTCCACCTCCTGGGTTCAGGTGGTTCTCCTGCCTCAGCTTCTGGAGTAGCTGGAATTACACACACCCGTCACCATGCTTGGCTAATTTTTGTATCTTTAATAGAGACGGGGTTTCACCATGTTGGCCAGGCTGGTCTCAAACTCCTGACCTCATGACCTCAGGTGATCCACCCGCCTTGGCCTCCCAAAGTGCTGGGATTATGGGCGTGAGCCACTGTGCCTGGCCCTAGGAGAGTCTTTTCAATGAATGATGCTGGGAAGACTGGATTACTCTTTGAAGAACAATGAAGGTAGACCCCATCTCTCACCATACACAAAAATTAAATTAAAATGGATTAAATACTTAAACCCAAGACCTGAAAGTATAAAACTACTAGAAGGTATCATTAGGGAAAGGCTCTGGGATATTGGTTTTTGAGAAGACATTTTGTGTAAGACCTCAAAAGCACAGGTAACCAAAACAAAAATAGACAAATGAGATTACCTCAAGCAAAAAAGTTTCTGCATAGCAAAAGAGATGATCAACAAAGTGAAGAGCCAGTCCACAGAATGGGAGAAAATATTTGCAAATTATTCATTTGACAAGAGATTAATAATCAGAATATATAAGGAGCTCAAATAACTTAATAGCAAAAAAAATCCTATTTTTTTTAAATGGGCAAAAGATCTGAATAGACATTTTTCAAAAGAAGACATACTAATGGCCAACATATATGTGGAAAAACTGTTCAACATCACTAATCAGAGAAATGCAAATCAAAACCACAATTACCTATCATCTTATCCCAGTTAAAACGACTTGTATCCAAAAGACAATAACAGATGCTGGTGAGATTGTGGATAAAGGGGAATTCTTATACACCGTTGGTGAGAATGTAAATTAGTATAGCCACTATGAAGAACAGAATGGAGGTTCCTCGAAAAACTAAAACCAGAACTACTATATAATTCAGCCATTTTACTACTGCTTTAAATATATACTACTGCATATATATCCAAAAGAAATGAAATCACTATATCCAACAGATTTTTGCCCGCCCATGTTTATTACAGAACTATTCACAATAGCCAAAATATGGAAGCAACCTAAGTGCCCATTAATGGATGGATGGATAAAGAAAATGTGGTATATATACACAATGGAATATTATTCAGCCATCAAAAATGAAATCATGTCACTTGCTACGACGTGGATGGAAATGGAGGTCATTATGTTAAGTGAAATAAGCCAAGCACAGAAAGACAAATACTGCATGTTCTCACTCATAAGTGGAATCTTAAAAAGTGACTCTCATGGGCCGTGCGCAGTGGCTCACGCCTGTAATCCCAGCACTTTGGGAGGCTGAGGTGGGTGGATCACGAAGTTAAGAGATTGAGCCCATCCTGGCCAACATGGTAAAACCCCATCTCTACTAAAACTACAAAAATTAGCTGGGCATTGTGTCACAGGCCTGTAATCTCAGCCACTCAGGAGGCCGAGGCAGGAGAATCACTTGAACCTGGGAGGCGGAGGTTGCAGTGATCTGAGATCATGCCACTGCACTCCAACCTGGTGACAGAGCGAGACTCTGTCTCAAAAAAAAAAAAAAAAAGTGACTCTCATGAAGATAGAGAGTAGACTGGTGGTTACCAGAGGCCAGGAAGGGTAAGATGGAGGATAAAAGGGGAAAAATATATATATAAATATATTTATTAGCACTGAACTGTACACGTAAAAATAGTAAAGGTGGTAACTTTATATGTATATTTTACCTAAAAATTAAATTAAAAAAAGAGGAGAGATCTGAAATCAACCTAATGGGTAGATTTATCACAGGAATACAAGGGCATTTCAACATAAGAAAATCTGTCAATCATGAGTGGAAGCAACGAGGAAAGCCATACAATAATCTTAATTGATGCAGGAAAAGTGACCACATTCAATACCCATTCATGTTAAAAACACTCAGAAAACTAAGAATAGAGGTGAACTTCCTCAACATGATAAAGGCCATTTATGGAAAACCCACAGCTAACCTTATATTCAATGGCTGAGTGGTTTCCGCCTAAGATTGGGAACAAAATAAGGATGTTCGCTTTCACCACTACTAGTCAATATTGTTCTAGAACTGCTAGTCAGAGCAATTAGGTAAAAGAAAGAAATAGCACCTAAATTGGAAAAAGAGTAGAAAAACTATATTTGCAAATGACATGATTCTATTTTGAAAATTCCAGAGAGTCCACATAAAAACCATTATGTTACAGGAAAGCGGTCCTGATCCAGACCCCAAGAGAGGGTTCTTGGATCTTGTGCAAGAAAGAATTCAGGGTGAGTCTGCAGTGCAAAGTAAAAGCAAGTTTATTTAAAAAAGTAAAGGAATAAAAGAATGGCTACTCTATAGAGCAGCCTTGAGTGCTGCTGGTTGCCCATTTTTATGGTTATTTCTTGATGAAATGCTAAACAAGGGGTGGATTATTCATGCCTCCTCTTTTTAGACCATATAGGGTAACTTCCTGATGTTGTCATGGCATTTGTAAACTGTCATGGCGCTGGTGGGAGTGTAGCAATGAGGATGACCAGAGGTCGCTCTCGTTGCCATTTTGGTTTTGGCAGGTTTTGTCTGACTCCTTTACTGCAACCTGTTTTATCAGCAAGGTCTTTATGACCTGTATTTTGTGCTAATCTCCTATCTCATCCTGTGACTTAGAATGCCTTAACTTGCTGGGTTGCAGCCCAGTAGGTTTCAGCCTCATTTTTACCCAGTTCCTATTTAAGATGGAGTTGCTCCGGTTCACGTGCCTCTGACAATTAGACCTAATAAATGAATTCAGCAAGGTTGCAGGATACAGGATCAACACACAAAAACAGTAGCATTTTTCTACACCAGCAATGAACAGTTTAAGAAGGAAATTAAGAAATCCTGGCCAGGTGTGGTGCATGCTTCTAATCACAGCTACTTGGGAGGCTGATGTGGGAGGATCTCTTGAACCTGGGAGGCTGAGGCTGGACTGATCTGAGGTCGTGCCACTGCACTCCAGCCTGGGTGACAGAGCCTACACCCTGTCTCAAAAAAAAAAAAAATCTTTCATTCTATTTACAATAGCATCCAAAAGAATAAATTACCTAGTGTAAATCAAATGAGCAAGGAGAGTCTCAATCATTTTAGGAGGTTTATTTGCCACAGGTAAGGACATGCCCAGGAAAGAATACAGATTCACAGGAAAAATTGTGGTCCATGCTTTTTCCAAAGAGGGTCTGGGGACTTCAGTATTTAAAGGGAAAAGGGCAAGTATTGGTGAAAGAGGAAGAAATTTTAAAAGGGCATGGGTAGATAAGAGGCAAGGGGTTGCATTCTTTTGAGTCTTTGATTACCCATATACATGTGAAAGGGGTAGAAGAATAGTCACTTACGCATCTAGCTCATTAAATCTGCATTTTTTAAATAAGATAAACATAGAGCAGAGGAAGCAATCAGATATGCATTTGTCTCACTCAGTTGGGCAGAGGGATGACTTTGAGTTATGTCCTTTGTCCCTTACCTGTGAAGATAAGCTATCAATTTACATTGTCAGGGTAGAAGTCAACAGAACTGTTTTAGGGTAAAGATCTTGGGGCCCACAAGAAATTTCCTCGTGGGCAAATTGTGAAGGAGGTTTATAGCTTTTAAAAATCTTTGTATCTGTCCTATTTAGGAATAAAATTGGAGGCAGGTTCGTGTGACTCAGTTTCCAACTTGACTTTTCCCTTTGGCTTAGTGAGTTTGGGTCCTAAGATTTACTTTCATTTCACACTAGCAATAACTATAACCAAGGAGATTGTGAAAGGAAAATAAATCTTGGGGCCCCAAACTCACTAAGCTAAAGGGAAAAGTCAAGCTGGGAACTGCTTAGGGCAAACCAGCCTCCTACTACTCACTCTACTCACTAAGATAAATGCATATCTGATTGCCTCCTTTGGAGAGGCTAATCAAGTTCTAAAGAATGCAACCATTTGTCTCTTGTCTACTTATGACCTGAATGTCCCCTCCCCATCTCCAGTTGTCCCACCTTTGCTTCAAGTTGTCCTGCCTTTCTGGACCGAACCAATGTTCATCTCACATATGTTGATTGATGTCACATGTCTCCCTAAAATGTATGAAACCAAACTGTGCTCTGACCACCTTGGGCACATATCAGAACCTTCTGATGCTGTGTTACAGGCACGCATCCTCAACTTTGGCAGAATAAACTTTCTAAATTAACTGAGACCTGTCTCAGTTAGATATTCAGGGTTCACAAGGTGAAAGAAATAAACACTGAAAGCTATAATACATTCCTGAAAGAAATTAAGACTTAAATAAATGTAAAGACACCCCATGTTCATGGATTAAAAGACTTGGTATTGTTAAGCCGGCAATTGTAAACAAAGTAATGTACAAATTTGATGGTACCCCTCCCAGAATTCCAATGGATGTGTTTTTTGTTTTCTCAAAAATAGGGAAAGCCAATCTATGAATTCATATGAAACTACAAAGTGCCCCCAACAATCTTGAAAAAGAACAAAGTTTGTATATTTCCCCTTCATTATTTCAAAACTTATTACAAGTGGGTTTTTATTAACTTGTCAAGATAATTCTATGTGGAATGTGTTGTTGAAAAGAGTCAAACTCTGTAAAATATTTTAAGAGATTTATTCTGAGCCAAATATGAGTGAACATGGCCCATGACACAGCCCTCCGGAGGTCCTGAGGACATGTGCCCAAAGTGGTCAGAGTGCAGCTTGGTTTTATATATTTTAGGGAGGCATGAGACTTAAATACATTTAAGAAATACATTGGTTTGGTTCAGAAAGGCAGGACAACTCAAAGCAGGGGCTTCCGGGCTATAGGTAAATTTAAACATTTTCTAGTTGACAATTGGTTGAGTGTATCTGAAGACATGGGATCAACAGAAAGGAAATGTTCAGGTTAAGATAAAGGATTGTGGTGACCAAGTTTTATTGTGTAGCGGAAGCTCTCAGATAGCGGACTTCAGAGAGAACAGGTTGTAAAATGTTTCTTAGTGGACTTAAACGTGTTCCTAGCTCTTAGTTGATTATCTCCTGGATCTGCAAAGGAAGGAAGGAAAACAAAGGGGAAAAGGGAAAGGGGATTCTCTACAGAATGTGAATTTTTCCCACAAGAGACTTTGCATGACAATTTCAAGGTATGACAAGGAAATATATTTTGGGGTAAAACATTTTGATTTTCTTCCTTGTTATGACAGAGTCAGATTGGAAAGTAAGTCATGATATACAGGGTTTAATAAAACCCATCTGATGAGAATTTTTGGTTTGTAGGGCATGAGTCCCCAGACCCCTTATACAGGAATTTGGGCAAGATAAAAAAAATCAGAGCTTAGTCATCAAATGAGTAATCTTTTCAATAAATGGTGCTAAAACAATCGGATATCTGTGTGGGCCAAAAAAATAAAAAATCGTGTTCTCATACCAATATAAAATGTACTTGAAATGGGTAAAGCCTAAATATAAGAGGTGAAACTGTAGACCTTCAGGAAAAGTGGATAGAAGATTAACATTAATGATTTTGATATAAAGATTTCTTAGATATAACATGGAAAAAATAGGTCGAGTGTGGTTGTACCTGTAATCTCAAGTGCTTTGGGAAGCTAAGGTGGGAGGATCACCTGAGGCCAGGAGTTCCAGATCAGTCTGGGCAGCACAGTGAGACCCTGTCTCTACAAAATCAAATAAGGAAAAAATAAAGAATAAAAAAGACAGATCTTCATTAAAATTGGAAGCTTCTGCTCTTCAAAAGACACCATTAAGAAAATGAAAATGGAAGCCACAAACTGAGAATATTCTCAATATATGTATCTGATAAAACAGTATCTGATTAGAGTATTGTATCCAGCATATATAAAGAATTCTTACAACTTAACAGTAAGATAACGCAATAAAAAATGGACAGAAGATTTGAAGAGACACATTACCAAAGAAAAAATATGGATGTCTAGGTAGCACATGAACAATGTTCAACATCATTAGTCATCAGAGAAATATAAGTTTTACATATAATAAGAAGCCACTACAGTAGGAACCATTAGAAGGATAAAATTTAAAAGACAATACCAAGTGCTGGGGAGGATGTGGATATACTGGAAATTTTCTGTGTTGCTCTTGGATATATAAGATGTTATAACCATACTGGAGCATTGTTCAGCAGTTCCTTTTAAGAATACATTTACCATATTACCCAATAATTCTAACCATTCTAATCATACATATATATGTATTTCTGTTAGGGGGGAGATATATATTTATATTTATACATTCTAACCATTCTAATCATATGATTAGAATTATTAGAATATTATTAGAATGGTTGGAACATATACATAAAAATATATATATACATATATATACACACACACACACATATATATATGTATCTCCCCCCAAGAGAACTGAAAATACATCTCCACACAAGAACTTATACATGAATACTTAAAGCACCATTATTCATAACAGGCCCAAATGGGAACATCTCAAATGACCACCAGTTGGTAAATGTATAAACAAACTGTTGATTAATGCTACTCAATTTTTTTTTAAAAGCTAGCTACCTGAAAAAAATGGATGAATCTCTAAAGATTTATGAAAAGAAAGGTAAAAACAATACATTCTGCACTATTCCATTTATGATATTATTGAAAAGGAAAAGCAAAGCCTGATACATTTTAGACTATATTCTGTTTGATATCAAACATATGACATGCTAGGAAAAAAAGCAAAAGTATAGTGACAGAAACAAGGTGGATAAATTGTTTTTCAAAGCCTGAAGGTGGGTGGACTAAGGGCATTTGCTGCAAAATAGCACATGGAAACTTTTTTGAGATGATCTAAAAAATACTTATCTTGATTGTAGTTATTGTAACATAACTATACATTCATCTAAACCCCTTGCACTGTTTAAAGTGGTGAATTTTATTATAAATGAATCATATCTCAATAGGTGATTAAAACATTCGAGATATCTTTCCTGAAATAGATGACTTGAATGTACGTACTGAAAGAACTCACAATGTACCTGGAAAATTAACCCAAACAGTCAGACTGTTCCATGAAATAGCTTAGTAAAACAGACTTTAAAGATAATATATCCTCCCAGTCTCCAGGCCAAAACATTAAATCATTTTGAAAGGGTAAAAATAATCAAGTTAACATCAGATTTCATACCAACAAAAGAACACTGGTGCAGTGACTACAAAATACTCAAGGAAAAAGGGGATGGGCCAAGGATTTTATATCTTTCCAAGCTGTTCTACATGGTGTCAAATCTGGCTTTAAAAAAATATGGCCGATGGCTTTAAAAAAATTAGGCATGATGGCTTATGCCTGTAATCCCAACACTGTGGGAGGCCAAGATGGGTGAATTTCTTGAGCTGAAGATCAGCTTGGACAACAGAGCAAAACCCTGCCTCTACTAAAAATACGAAAACTAGCTGGGTGTGCACATCTGTAGTCCTGGCTACTTGGGAGACTGAGGTGGGAGGATCCTTGAACCTGGGAGGTCAAGGCTGCAGTGAGCCATGATAGTACCTCTGCATTCCCACCTGGGTGACAGAGCAAGACCCCGTCTCAAAAAAAAAAAAAAAAAAAAAGCCTTGGGGAACAGTGAACATATGCATCCTAAGGATGAAACACACAATATACCAAAACATAACTAGATGCAGCAAAACAGTTCTAAGAGGGATGCTTCTCTTATACCATACAAGCAAGTTAACTTAAAATGGATTAAAGACTTAAACATAAAACTGTGAAACTAAAACTGCTAGAAGTAAACAAAGAGGTAAAGTTTCTTGCCATTGGTTTTGGCAATGAGTTTTTAGATTTGATATCAGAATCATAGGCAACAACAGGAAAAATAAAGAAATGAAACTACATGAAACTAAAAAGTTTCTGTACTGCAAAGAAAAAAAAAATCAGCAAAATGAAAGGCAACCAACTGAATGAGAGAAAATATTTGCAAACCATATAGCTGGGAAGGGAGTCAATATCTAAAATATATAAGGAACTCATACAACTCCATAGCAAATAAACAACCAAATTTTAAACTGGGCAAGGGAACTGAATAAACATCTTTCCAAAGAAGATACACAAATGTCCAACAGGTATATGGAAAGATGCTTGACATTACTAATTATCAGGAAAATGAAAATCAAAGCACAAAGAGATAACACCTTACATCTGTTACGATACCTACTAACCAAAAAGTCAAAAGGTAACAAGTGGCTGGCAAGAATGTGCATAAAAGGATACCACTTGGGGGGAATGTAAGCTGGTATAGGCCCTGTGGAAAACAGTATAAAGGTTTCTCAAAATATTAAAAACAAAACTATCATATGGTCCAGAAATCCTACTTCTAGGTATATGTCAAAAGGAAATGAAATCAGTATCTTGAAGAGACATCTATACTCATGCTCATTGCAGCATTATTCACAACAGTTGAGATACGGAAACAACCTAATTTTCCCTCAAAAGTTGAATGGATAAAGAAATGAGATACATATCTATATAATGGAATATTATTCAGCCTTTAAAAAGAAGGAAATCCTGTTACTTACAACAATGTGAATGAACCTAGAGGACATTATGCTAAGTGAGTAAGCCAGACACAAAAAGACTCCATGATCTCACTTACATGTGTAATCAAAAAAAAGTTGCACTCATAGTAATACAGAATAGGATGGTGGTTACCAGAAAGTTAGGGAAATGAGGCATTCTGGAAAAGAAGAGATGTTAGGCAAAGGGTACCAAAAAAATTCAGTCAGCCCTGAAAAATTTGGATATTTCACATTTAAAATTTTTTTAAATGAAAAGACCTTTGGGGGAAGGGTAATAATGAAAAAAATTGAGAAACATTGATATACAAAACCAGAATAATAAAATTCAGACTACCAACTTCATCTACAAGGCAAATTAGGAAGTTCTGTGAGGATTAGTCAATCTCTAATTCTTAGCAGAATTAAATAGAATTCAAATACTTACAAAGTTCTATTAATATCATCTGTATCTTTCACTTATATTGCAGTATAATCAATAAAAGCAATGTACTTGCAAAAAAAAAGTGCGGTATGTACATAAATAGAGTATCATTTTGCCTTATAAAATAAAGGAAATTATAACATGGATGAACCCGGAGCACATTTTGCTGAGTAAAATAAGCCAGGAACAGCAGACAAATATGACTTATTCCACTCATATGAGAAATCTAAAGTCAGACTCATAGAAACATGGAGTAGAATAGTTATTGCCAGGGCCAGTGGGAGGGGGAACAACATGTGTTAGTCAAAGAGCACAAAGTTTCAGATATGCAAGATGAGTAAGACCTAGAGATCTAACGTACAGTGTAATACCTATCATTAACAAATACTGTACTACATACTTAAAAATTTGCTAATAGGGTACATCTTAAGTGTTCTTATCATGAAAGTAAACAAATTAAGAGGGCCAGGCATGGTGGCTCACGCCTGTAGCACTTTGGGAGGCCAAGGCCAGCAGATGGCTTGACCCAGGAGTTCGAGACCAGCCTGGCAACATGACAAAACCCCATCTCTACAAAAGATAAAAAAAATTGGCCAGGCACAGTGGTGTGTACCTGTAGCCCCAGCCTACTCAGGAGGCTGAGGTGGGAGAATCACCTGAGCCCAGGAGTTTCAGGCTGCAGTGAGCCATGACTGCTGTACTCCAGCCTGGGTGACAGAGTGAGACCCTGTGTCAAAAAGAAAAAGTAAAAATTAGAAAACAGAATAAGAGGAAATTTTTGGAAGTGATAGATATGTTTATGGCATTGAGTGTGGTAATGTGTCTGGAATTGGTGGGTTCTTGGTCTCACTGACTTCAAGAATGAAGCCGCGGACGCTCGCAGTGAGTGTTACAGTTCTTAAAGATGGTGTGTCCAGAATTTGTTCCTTCATGGTCTTGCTGACTTCAGGAGTTAAGCCACAGACCTTCACAGTGAGTGTTACAGCTCTTAAAGGCGGCACGTCCAGAGTTGTTTGTTCCTCCCGGTGGATTTGTGGTCTCGCGGACTTCAGGAGTGAAGCTGCAGACCTTCGCAGTAAGTGTTAACAGCTCATAAAGGCAGCGCGGACCCAAAGAGTGAGCAGCTGCAAGATTTATTGTGAAGAGCGAAAGAACAAAGCTTCCACAGTGTGGAAGGGGACCCGAGCAGGTTGCCACTGCTGGCTCGGGTGGCCTGCTTTTATTCCCTTATCTGGGCCCACCCACATCCTGCTGATTGGTCCATTTTACAGAGAGCTGACGGGTCCGTTTTGACGGAGTGCTTATTGGGGTGTTTACAAACCTTTAGCTAGACACAGAGTGCTGGTTGGTGCATTTACAATCCTTTAGCTAGACAGAAAAGTTCTCCAAGTCCCCAACCAACCCAGAAGCCCAGCTGGCTTCACCTCTCAATCCCCTCTCTAAACAGGACACCCCAATTGCTGTTGGGAATTTGGCCGATGACTGCTCTAGCTATTTCCTGCCGGATAGGGGCGAAGAAGGGACCCTGCAGTTGTAGTGTCCTTCAGAGGGGAACTCTTTAGGCCAGTGGAAGGGCCAGCGGGTTGGTCCAGGGGTCCTCAGTAGAAGTTGTTAGTCGAACTCATTTGGGGTTCCATTTGTAAGACCATCTGTAGCTTGATGGCCTCGATTCTAGAGGAAACAAATTTGACAAGGAGGTTAAAAATACAGGGCCCCGAAGGCAAGTAATAATAAGATGGCTGTCTTGGGACCTAGAAAGAGGAGAAGACGTGTTGCCCAACTCCAGAGGTTGGTTTACGAGTTTGAAAGGCGTCTGATTTCAGAAGCCTTTTCCTGTAAATGCCGGGCGATATCTCATACTGTCCCTGACTGGTTAGTATAAAAGCAACGTTCTTCCCCTAAGAATGTGCAAAGTCCTCCTTTCTCAGCAGTGAGGAAGTCTAGGCCTCGGGGGTTTTGGAGAGTCACTGCTGCCAGAGTCTATTTGGGATTGTAGAGTAAGGATAGATTTAGTTATTTCTTGCAAACTGTCTGAGAAATCCTTTGAGAGTGTGTGGTAATAGGATAATGCATGTTACACTGTTAAGTTTTAGCAAACTTTAGTTGAAAACCTTTTAAGTTTGGGATTTTAATTTTTCTTTGATATTAATAAAACCTCATTCAGTCCATATTAACTTAGAATTGGTATAGATGGCTCCTTCCTGATTCTGTAAGTACTTTAAGATTTGGCTGAGTGCAAACAACTCGCAGGTTTGAGCAGATCAATTATTAGGCAATTTTCCTAAGTCTGCTTCTACAAGAGTTTCCTTATCACTTACTGAATACCCATTGTGTCTTTTTCCCTTAATCGCCTGGGAGGAACCATCTATTGTCCTGTCCTGAAGGGAGTTCTGCCCAGATTTGGTCAGAACTTTGTATGGTAATTAATTAAGATTTAGATCCCCTGTTAGGAAACCTGTTAGGTTAAGGATTTTTGATAGGAAGGCTATGGGTTGTCAGTGGCCTCAGTGCTTTCAGGCTACACCCTTGTTCACACTGACAACAAGGTGGTATTGGAGTGTTGTTACAGGGTTACAGAGAAGACCTTCAATTATCAATTAGAGGTTTTAAATTTACCTGGCTTTTAAAGGAATAGGGTACACTGTTTTTTCTTTACTACTTCCATCTCTCTTTCTCTTTGACATCTTCGTCTCTCTTTCTGACTCCCTCTTTGTCTGTCTCTTCCTCTCTCTCTCTGACTTTCTTCTGTTCCTTCCTCTCTCTCTCTGACTTTCTGTCTGTCTCCTTCTCTTTGACTTCCTATCTTTCTCTCTCTCTGTCTCTCTGTCACTTCCTCTCCCTCTCTCTCTGTCTCTCTGTCTCTTCCTCTCTCTGTCTCTTTCTCTCTTTCCTTCTTTGACTTTGTCTCTTTCTTTCTTTCTGACTCCCTCATTGTCTCTCCCTACCCCTCTCTGTCTCTTTCTCTCTTTCCTTTCTGCTGGTCTTTCCCTTTCCCAGTTCTAAGGCTCAGGTAAGTGCCACTAGTTCTGCTAACTGGGCGCTGGTCCCTCGGGGAAGAGGCTTACTTTCAAGTACAGTTACATCACTAACTATGGTATAACCTGCCCTTTGCATCCCACTCTCCACAAACGAACCTCCATCAACATATAGGTTAAGGTCAGGATTAGCCAAGGGGACCTCCAAGAGATCATCTCGGGCGGCATAAGTCTGGACTATAATTTGTTGGCAGTCATGCTCGATTGGTTCCTCATCCTCTGGGAGAAAAGTGGCAGGGTTGAGGGCCACGAACTTATGTATTTGAAGCACCAGTCGCTCAAGGAGTAGCGCCTGTTATCTAAGTAGGCGGTTGTCCGATAGCCATAAACTTTTTTTAGCACCTAGTACGCCATTTACATCATGAGTTGTCCAGACAGTGAGATCCTTTCCTTGTATTATTTTGATAGCCTCTGACACTAAGACAGCCACCGCTGCAACTACCTGTAAACAGTGAGGTCAACCTTTTGCTACTACATCAATTTCCTTACTTAGGTATGCCACTGGTTGTGGGGTTGTCCCACGAGTCTGAGTAAGGACTCCAAGAGCTATCCGTGCTCTCTCTCTGACATATAAAGAGAAGTTTTGTCCTGTGGGAAGGCTTAAAGCTGGAGCTTCAGTTTGTTCCTTCCACTGCCCAGACTTCAGGGTTGATTTTCTTTTCAAGTAAGGGGCAACAAATGGGTAACTTGTTCCCCATATTCGTGTAGCTAATAGCTCCAGCTTTGGCTAATATATCCCTCCCTAATAAGGGTATGGGACTTTCAGGCATAACAAGAAAGGCATGTGAAAAGAGCAAAGTCTATCAATTACAACTGAGGAGGTGGGAGAAATACCTGGTTACAGGCTGTCCCAGGATTTCTCGGACGGTAACGGACCTTGAGGACAGTCATCTGGGACAGAAGGTTAACACTGAGAAGGCCACACCAGTGTCCAGGAGGAAGTCAATTTTCTGGCCCTCAATGGTTAACCATACCTGGGGCTCAGTGAGGGTGATGACATGAGCTGGCGCTTTCCCGAGGCACCCTCAGTCCTATTGTTGGATCATCTGGTTGGGGGCTTTTTTCTGGCCCAGAGAACCATTGCACTCTGGGACAGTGTGCCTTCCAGTGATTGCCTCAGCATAGCGGACATGGACGAGGGGGTGGCTTGTTTCTCATTGGGCAATCTTTTTTAAAGTGTCCTTGTAAACCACACTGATAACAAGCCCTACCAGATGATTGGCCTGCTCCATTTTCTGTTCTCTCTGAACCACCAAGGTTTGTTTGTCTGAGGGCCATGACAAAGGCTGCAGCATTTCTCTGATCTTGCTTTTCCTTTTGGGCCTGTTCCTCTTCATCCCTATTATAGAACCCCGAGGTTGCCAGGTTTAATAATGCCTCCAGATTTTGTTTAGGGCCTGGGGCTTGCTTTTGGAGCTTTCTCCTGATATCTGCAGCTGATTGGGTAATAAACTTATCTTTTAGAATCAATTGACCCTCAAGTGATTCAGGTGATGGGAGTATATTTTCTTAAGGCCTCCTGTAGCCACTTGAGGAAAGCAGAAGGATTTTCTTCCTTTCCCTGAGTTATGGTGGACATCATTGAATAATTCATGGGCTTTTTCCTAATTCTCCTTAGTCCTTCTAGAACACAGGTCAACAGATGTTTGTGACTCCAGTCCCTATGATCTGAGTTGAGGTCCCAGTGGGGATCCATACTGGGGACAGCTTGCTGACCAGTAGGGAATTTTCCCTTTCTTTGGCTGTCATTTTATCATTTACTTGACTAAGATGCCAGGTATCTCCAAACTCTTGGGCTGCAGCTAAAGCTGCATTCTTTTCATTAAAGGCCAGGGTTTGATCTAACAAAAGCATGACATCTTTCCAAGTGAGATCGAAGGTTTCCCCTAGACCCTGTAGGACATCTATGTACCTATCAGGATCATCTGAAAACTTTCCCAGGTCTGCCTTGATCTGCTTTAAATCAGAGAGGGAGAAGGGGACATGTACCTGGGTTGGGCCAAATTCCCCTTCCCCTACAGCTTGAAGGGGACGTAACCGATAGCCCGGGGGTTTTTGTGGTCCTTTGGAGATTTCTTTGCTTATTTCCTTCTGGGCAGGGGAGATTAGAGGAGGCTTATCATTAATAGGAGGGGGAGCCATAGGGAGGCTAGGATATGGGACTAAGCTGAAAGGTCCTCCTGGGGGATGTAAATTGCAAGCTTTGCATAGTCATGTATTCTCCTTCAATGAAAAGAGTTTGGACATAAGGTATTTCACTCCATTTGCCTTCCCTCTTACAGAAAAGGTCAAGCTGCAGGATAGTATTGTAATTTATACTTCCCTCAGGTGGCCATTTTTCCCCATCAGAGAGAGAATATTGGGGCCAGGCTGTAGGGCAGAAAAAAATGAGCCACCTCTTTTTCAGGGTTTGTGGGTCAAATTGGTCCCAATGGCTTAGGATGCATTTCAAAGGTGAGCCTGTTGATGCCTGAGTGTTTCCCATCTGAAAGACAAAACCGCCTGTGGTTTTGGTTTGTTTTGTTTCTCCCCCACCCACAAACCTGCAACGGTCCCTGGACCCTGCTGATCGGAATAGTTGTGCTCCCTGACGCAGCAGCAAAAATACTAGTTTTCCTCCCAGACCACAAGGGGGACTGAGAAAGGTCGGATTTAGTGGCCCTTACCAACGCATTCTCGAAAACCTGCACCCTTGCCTGTCCTCCTAGACCACAAAGAGGACCGAGAAAAATCGGATTTAGTGGCCCTTACCGACACATTCTCGAAAACCCATTAGAGTCCTAAGCATTCACCTGTTAGTATTGGGACCTTAACCATGTCCTATAAAGATGTTATGCCCCCCAAATGAAGTGGAGGGCCATACCCTGAGGGAGGGAAGGGATGTCCAGGGTTGGAAGAGTGACACCTTTTGTCCTTACTTATATGAATAGGAAGGATACAATTTCTGAGGCTCCCCATATTCTAGCTTCAGGAATAGCTTTTGTTAGGCCTGCTAGTCTGAGGAGGGATCCTAAAATTCCAGATAGTCCCCCCTACGATGGGGCTTTGGGCAAAAATTACGTCTTTCTGATTGGTGAGCCTGGGTGCCTACAGAAGGTAACAGAATCCCAAATTTATACTAGAAATCATTCTTATAGGAGAAACTAGAAAAGCACCAGAGACAGGGAGTGGTTTTTAGAAGCAGGACTAGCCTGGAGAAGAGAGGCAAGGGGAAGTTTGTCTGGCAGGCGTTAGGACCCAGGGGGCAATGGTCAGGGTAGATAGAATAGATGGGCAAGTCTCGCTTGGGCGACATGACTTTGAGAGTTCCACTCATGGCCACAGGGTCAACCAACTTGTTGTTGGGACCCCGGAGCTGAATGGCTTTCCTCTCTGTCGACCCTGGGCTCAGTCCAGAAGTACAGGAAAAGCGGAAGCTGGTTCCAGGCAAACCAACGCTACCAACTCTGAAGAGTCAGGGATTGTTAGAAAGGCCTTTCCCAGAAAGCCTGACACCTGTGTCTTTAGTCTGGCAGCTGCGCTAGTAGCTTTTAACTGGCCGACAGGTGCCTGGTATTTAGACCCCGAATTCTAAGGAAAAATAGGAAAGAATAGCAAGCGAAAGGGGTCCGATGGTACTCACCACTTGGCAATAGGCGATAGTCTCACTTCTTGGCGATAGGCGATGGTCCCATCTGGGTCGCCAAAATGTGTCTGGAATTGGTGGGTTCTTGGTCTCGGTGACTTCAAGAATGAAGCTGTGGACCCTTGCGGTGAGTGTTACAGTTCTTAAAGATGGTGTGTCCAGAGTTTGTTCCTTCTGATGTTCAGACATGTCCAGACTTTCTTCTTCTGGTGGGTTCATGGTCTCGCTGACTTCAGGAGTGAAGCCGCAGACCTTCGCAGTGAGTGCTACAGCTCTTAAAGGTGGCACATCTGGAGGTGTTTCTTCCTCCCAGTGGGTTCATGGTCTCACTGACTTCAGGAGTGAAGCTGCAGACCTTCACGGTGAGTGTTACAGCTCATAAAGGCAGCATGGACCCAAAGAGTGAGCAGCAGCAAGATTTATTGTGAAGAGCGAAAGAACAAAGCTTCCACAGCATGGAAGGGGACCCGAGCGGGTTGCCACTGCTGGCTCAGGTGGCCTGCTTTTATTCCCTTATCTGGGCCCACCCACATCCTGCTGATTGGTCCATTTTACAGAGTGCTGATTGGTCCATTTTACAGAGAGCTGATTGGTCCATTTTGACAGAGTGATGACTGGTGCATTTACAAACCTTTAGCTAGACACAAAGTGCTGATTGGTGCATTTACAATCCTTTAGCTAGACAGAAAAGTTCTCCAAGCCCCCTACCTGTTAGCTAGACACAGAGTGCTGATTGGTGCATTTACAATTCTTTAGCTAGACAGAAAAGTTCTCCAAGTCCCCACCCAACCCAGAAACCCAGCTGGCTTCACCTCTCAGTAATAGCTTCAGTGGTGTCTACTTCCCTCCAAATTAATCAAGTTGTATACATTAAATATGTACAGCTTTTTTTGTGTCAATAATACCTCAGTAAAGTGATATGTAAAAAGAAGACAATAGAAATAAAGAAAAAGGAGCTCAAGAGAATTACATTAATTATACATACTTGAGTTTATAAAAATGTAAACATTCCTATATACAAAACAAATATGAAATCAAAACAATTTTTTAAAAAGTAAAGCAAAGTTGCCATATGGCAAAAAATACAAACTAAGCAGGGATTATTATATACTGTATAACAAGACAGAATTATGCCACAGATTATTAAACAGAACAAAGAAAGTCACTCTACAATGCTGTGGGCTACCTTTCATAATAAAAAAAAGTTATATCCGTGTACCAAATAAAATGATAGGAATCTTCGTAAAGCAGAAATTGTAGGAGATATAAGAAGAAACAGACAAAAGCAAACCAGTAGTTAATTTGCACGTAACATTTTCAGTCTAAGATGGGCCAGAATGACAAAAATGAGGAAATAAATCAGCAAAGTAACAATAAGGAGCTCTCATGTGGGTGGATACACACACACACACACACACACACACACACACACACACAGAGTGTATATATATGTCTATACACACAAAGTACATATCAAAATGTATATATATATATATATACTCTGATAATAGAGACACACTTCAGTACTTCAGACTGATATTGTTCTATAATATCAGTTACATGAATATAGAGATCATCTATTACTTTATTTGTTTAACTTTCCATTTGTTTATCTTGCTGATTGAGGTGTGCTAAAAGCAACTGTTAATATAATTGTCTTCTTTATTTCTGTCACCTTTTTTTTGTTTCATATATTTAAGACACTCACAGTCATGATTGTTGGGTCTTCCTGATGAATTGGTGTTTTTATCATTATGAAATGTCCCTCCTTTAATACTGTTTTTTAAAGTATATTATATCTGATAATTATTGCCATTCTAGCCTTTTCATATTTACATTTTTCTATTTATGTACTTTCAAACTATCTGTGTTTGTATATTTATAGTGGACTTCTTACAAACAGCATATATTTGGTTCTTGCTCTTTTATGACAGTCTTTGTCTTTTAATTGAAATGTTCAGTTCATTAACATTTAATGTAATTATGGATGTAGTTGCAATTCAGTCTGTCATTTTGTTTTTTGTTTGTACTAATTTTTACTAATTTTTGTTTCTTCACTCCTCTTTTCCTTCCTTCTTTGGATTATTTTAATATTTTCCAGATTTTTTATTTATTTGCTTTTTCAGTCATACCTACTTGCACTGTTTTTTTAGTGGTGCTGTAAGGGTTACATTTATATCCTTAGTGTTCTACAGTCCACTTAGAATTAAAATGTAGAAATCTTCATGCAGTCCACTTCATGGAAAATGTAGAAATCTTGCAATGAACTGTATCAGTTCATTTACCCACCTTACCCCATCCTTTATGCTATTGTATAACCTACATGTTACAACCCTCACAAAATGTTATAATTTTTGCTTTCAACAGACTAGTGTATATTAAATAAAGGTAATGGAGTTCTTTATATTTGCCCAGGTATTTACTGTTTCTCTTACTTTTCATTCTTTCTTGAAGATCTGCATTTCCATCTAGCATTTATTTTAGCCTAAAGAGCTTCTTTTAGTCTTTCTTACGGTGTAGTTCTACTTGTGATAAATTTTCTTGGTTTCTTCCTGCAAATGTCTTTATTACACCTTCATTTGTGAAAGAGTCTTTGCTGCATATAAAATTTTTTGTGTGTTTCTTCCTTCCAGTACTTCAAACATGTTATTCCACTGCCTTCTTGAGATTATTCTGCTATTGTTTTTTTAAATTATTAAGTTGGATGTTTAGTTTATCAATTTTTAACCTTCTTTTCAATATAAGCATGTAAGGCTATAGATTTCCCTTCAAATACCTCATTTGCTCAAGTTTTTTTATAGTATTAGCATTTATTTAAGTATTTTAAAATTTCTATTATGATTTCTTCTTTGACTAATGACTTCATTTCTAAGTACATGTGCATATATTGCTTATCTTTTTGTCAATTAATTACATTGTTGATGGATTAATTATAATGTTTAAAATGTATTGAGACATGCTTTTTTACTTACTACATAATATAATTTTGTAGATATCCCATTTGTGCTTAAGAAGAATGTGTATTCTCTGATTTAAGATTTAAAGTTCTCTGGGCCAGGCACAGTGGCCTGTAATCCCAGCACTTTGGGAGGCTGAGGCGGGTGGATCACGAGGTCAGGAGATGGAGACCATCCTGGCTAACACAGTGAAACCCCATCTCTACTAAAAATACAAAAAATTAGCCAGGCGCGGTAGTGGGCCCCTGTAGTCCCAGCTACTTGGGAGGCTGAGGCAGGAGAATGGTGTGAACCCAGGAGGTGGTTCTCTGATTTAAGTTCTGTGTATCCAATAAATATAACTTTGTAATTATGTTGTTTAAGACTCCTGTTTCTTTCTAATTTACTCAATGCTTAGACTAGCAAAAATTTAGAGATAACCCTTAGTCTCACACAGTGATGGTAGTCTGATCATTTGTTTTAATTCTATTCATGTTTTGCTTTATACATTTTTGAGCCTATTTTATTAAGTACATTCAAGTTTAGAATTTTTGTATATACAGAAGATTGAAACTAGGCCCTTTCCTTTCACTGTATACAAAAATTAACTGAAGATGGATTAGAGACTTAAATGTAAAACCTACAACTATAAAACCCTTAGAAGAAAACCTAGGAAATATTGTTCTGGACATAGGCTCTGACAAAGACATCATGACAAAGACTCCACAAGCAATTGCAACAAAAACAAAAATCGACAAATTGGAGGAGTCGCTGCACAAAGACTTGATGCTTATTTTTCCTCCATAATTTGAAGATATTTTCTGTCTTCTACCTCCCATTGTTGCCAATGAGAAGTCTAGGGTCAGTCTATTTGTAGTTCCTTTTTAGATGATATGTCTTCTCTCTGGCAGCTTTTTCTTTTTTTAAACTTTATGTATAAGTTATTCTTTTTTTCTTGCACTTTTAGGGTCAAGGGTACATCAGCCGGTTTGTTACAAGGGTAAATTGCATGTCATGGGGGTCTGGTGTACAGCTTATTTCATCACCCAGAATAACTATGCTACTAATGAGCATAGTATTCGATAGGTACTTTTTCAATTCACCCTCCTCCCACACTCCAGCCTCAAGTAGGCCTTGGTATCTACTGTTACCTTCTTTGTGTCCCTGTGTACTCAGTGTTTAGTTCCCACTTATAAGAGAGAACATGGGGTATTTGGTTTTTTGGTCCTGTATTAATTCTCTTAGGATAGTGGCCACCAACTCCACCCATGTTGCTGCAAAGGACAATCTCTTTCTTTTATATGACTGCATAGTATTCCATGGTGTATATATACCACATTTTCTTTATCCTGTCAACCACTGATGAGCATCTAGGTTGATTCCATGTCCTTCCTATTGTGAATAGTGCTGTGATGAACATACACTTCACATATCTTTATGTTAGAACAATTTATATTCCTTTGGGTATATACTCAGTAATGGGATTGCTGGGTTGAATAGTAGTTCTGTTTTAAGTTCTTTGAGAAATCTCCAAACTGCTTTCCACAGTGGCTGAACTAATTTACATTGCCAGTAGGGGTGTATAAGTGTTCTTTTTTCTCTGCACCCTTGCCAGCATCTGTTGTTTTCTGACTTTTTAATAATAGCCATTCTGACTGGTTATGAGATGGTATCTCATTGTGGTTTTGATTCACATTTCTCTAACGATTAGTGATGCTGAGGATTTTTCCATATGCTTGTTGGCTGAGTGTCTTACTTTGAGAAGTGTCTGTTCATGTCCTTTCCCTATTTTTTAATGGGGTTTTAAGTTTTTTGCCTGTTAATTTGTTTAAATTCTTTATAGATTCTGGATATTAGACCTTTGCCAAATGCATAGTTTGTGAATATTTTCTCCCATTCTGTAGGTTCTCTGTTTACTTTTTTGATAGTTTCTTTTGTTATGCAGAAGTTCTTTAGTTTAATTGGTCTTTCCATTCATGAATTTTTTGTTTTTGTTGCAGTTGCTTGTGGAGTCTCTGTCATGACATCTTTGCCAGGGCCTATGTCCATAATGATATTTCCTAGGTTTTCTTCTAAGGTTTTTATAGTTTTGGGTTTTACATTTAAGTCTGTAGTTCATCTTGAATCGATTTTTGTATACAGTGAAAGGAAGGGGCGTAGTTTCAATCATCTGTATACGACTATCCAGTTACTCCAGCACCATTTATTAAATAGGAGGTCATTTCCCCATTGCTGCTGTTGTCTATCTTGTCAAAGATCAGATGGTTGGTTGCAGGTGTTTGGCTTTATTTCTAAGTTCTCTAATCTGTTTTATTGGTTTATGTGTCTGTTTTTGTACCAGTACCATGCTGCTTAGTTTACTGTAGCTTTGTAGGAGTTCGAAGTGCATAACCTGATGCCTCCAACTTTGTTCTTTTTGCTTAGAATTGCTTTGGGTGTTCAGGCTTTTTTTGGTTCCATATAATTTTTTTTTTTTTTTGAGATGTAGTTTCACTTTTGTTGCCCAGGCTGGAGTGCAATGGTGCGATCTTGGCTCACTGCAACCTCTGCCTCCCAGATTCAAGCTATTCTTCTGCCTCAGCTTCCCAAGTAGCTGGGATTACAGGTGCCCGCCACCACGCCCAGCTAATGTTTTGTATTGTTTTTTTAAGTAGTGCTGGGATTACAGGTATGAGCCACCATGCCTGGCCTGGTTCCATATAAATCTAAGGTTTTTCTAGTTCTGTGAAAAATGTCAGTAGTAGTTGGATAGGAATAACATTGAATCTGTAGTATGGCCATTTTAACGGTATTGATTCTTATTATCCATGAGCATGAAATGGTTTTCCAATTGTTTATGTCATCTCTAATTTCTTTCCACAGTGTTTTGTAATTCTCATTGTAGAGATCTTTCACCTCCCTGGTTAGCTGTATTCCTGCTTATTTTATTCTTTTTGTGGCTATTGTGAATGGAATTGCATTCTTGATTTGGCTCTCAGCTTGGACATTATTGGTGTATAGAAATGCAACTCATTTTGCACTAATTTTGTATCCTGCAACTTTGCCAAAGCTGTGTATCAGATCTAGGAGTCTTTGGGCAGAGACTATGGGATTTTGTAGGTATAGAATCTTATCATCTGAGAAGGGAGATAGTTTGACTTCCTCTCTTCCTATTTATTAATAGATGCCTTTTATTTCTTTTCTGGAAGCTTTTAGTTTTTTTTCTTTTATTTTTATTTATTTATTTATTTATTTTGAGGCAGAGACTCACTCTCTTGCCCAGGCTGGAATGCAGTGGCACAATCTCAGCTCACTGCAACCTCTGCCTCCCAGGTTCAAGTAATCCTTGTGCCTCAGCCTCCTGAGTAGCTGGGAATACAGGCACCCACCACCATATCTGGCTCAGTTTTGTATTTTTAGTAGAGGTGGGGTTTTACTATGTTGCCCAGGCTGGTCTTGAACTTTTAGCCTCAAGTGATAAAATCCATCTCGGCCTCCCAGAGTGCTGGGATTATAGGCGCCCGGCCTTATTTTCTTTTTTTGTTTAGTTCTGCATTTCCATTACAAATGTGGATATTTTAAATTTCCTTTTTATATCTCCTGCCTGATATACATTGTTTCTTTTGTGTTGATTGTCTCATATCATTTATCATCTCTGGAAATTCTTAGCCATTAACTTAATTCCCTGTGTAGTCATATTAGACTTTTTCATTTTCTGTAATTTGCTCAGCCTCTCTTTATATTTTTAATCTCTTTTTCCTCTGTGTAACATTCTGTGTAATTCCTGACTTATACATAATTTATGCACTTTTATTTCACCAATTCTTTCTTCAAATGTGTCAAATTGACTGAGCACAGTGGCTCACACCTGTAGTCCCAGCATTTTGGGAGGCTGAGGCAGGAAGATCACTCGAGCTCATGGATTCAAAACCAGCCTGGGCAACATAATGAGACCTCATTTCTACAAAAAAAAAAAAGTATTACCCCAGAACGTGGCACATGCTTGTAGTCACAGCTGCTTAGGAGACTCAAGGTCTTCTAAGACACTCGAGGTACTTATGAGGTTGATGTTACAGTGAGCTATAATCACGCTGCTGTACTCCAGCTTGGGTAACAGAGCAAGACCCAGTCCAAAACAAAAAAAAAATCAAATTATTTAACTTCAATAATTAGATTTTTATTTCTAAAAGTTCTGTTTTATTCTTTAAAATAGTAACCTGATTATTCTTTATTGTATCATATTACATGCTTATTTTCATGACTCCCTCATTTCTTTAAATATTTTATATTGAATTATTTTATATGCCTACTTTAATAATTCAATTATTTGAAATCCATGGAGATCTAAATTTGTTATTTTTCTAATTTTTAGTTATAGTGCCTTGTTTTCTTGTGTTTTTGATTATCTTTATGAACTCATACTTGTTTGATTTTAATTTATGTTAATTTTATGTTAAAAAATCATTGAGGGCCTCTATTAGGCTTTAATCCAGACATGAATTTGTTTGTTTCTGTGAAAGTTAGGGGCACTACTAACCT
This sequence comes from Homo sapiens, assembly GCF_000001405.40. Taxonomy (NCBI): domain Eukaryota; kingdom Metazoa; phylum Chordata; class Mammalia; order Primates; family Hominidae; genus Homo; species Homo sapiens. The sequence goes on along the minus strand of NC_000002.12, from coordinate 63,315,369 downwards.
GGGTCTCTTTTAGCCCCTGGCTTAATCAGAATTCTTGGGTTTAGCTCTTTTACTTGCCTTAATCAACAGTCTGAGCTTATCACCTTTAACTTGAGTTTTGTTCAGGCTTATCTCCTAAGGGTGATGGCCCTGTAAGTAGTTCTGCCCTGTTTTTCCCCCTTATTTGTTGTCTGCTGAGTGATCCTTACTCTGATTTCTATCAAGGGATTTTGTTTAATTGGTTATTTTTTTATGGAGGATATGGCCCCCTTGGTATTTACTTACTTTTCATAGTCCTATGATTTACTTTAACTAAGTATTTTATAAACAAGCTAGTTGGGAGTCTCCTTTTGTTATTTCTGTTTCACCATGCTGCCAGATGCCAATGTCAGTTTTTTAATTTTACCATGTATCATTACCATCTACTGTCTATCATTACCTCTTACCTAGAAAGAAGAGCACATCCTAACTTATCCCCCTTAATTTCACTCTCTCCAATTTCAGTTTGCCCTCTATGATTGCCAAATTGATGTTTCAGTGAACATGTTAGACATGTTAACTTTGAGGTGCCTTGAAATAATAATTTGGAGATCAGGGAAGAGATGGATCCCGGAGGTGTAGATTTGTAAGCCACTGATAATTGATAAGCAATGCCCTGGGTGTGGTAAGGTTATTGAGGAGATTGGAGACAGTGGGTAGAAATAAAAGAGGATCATAGAATACTGATTTCATGGGGAGGCAGAGAAAAATGAACTAGCAAAGGAGACTAAGAACACATCTAAGGAAGGGAAAACAAAAAATTAAGGAAAGCAGGGCAAGCCAAGGTAGGAGAGGGTTTCAAGGAAGGGCAATTTATAGAATTAGATGGGACCAAAGGGGCACAAAAGGTAAGAATTTACCTTTAAGTTTGATCCTAAGAAGATGGATGACAATGGCTCAGGCCTATAATCCCAGCACTTTTGGGACGCTGAAGTGGGTGGTTTGCTTGAGCCCATGAATTTGAGACCAGCCTGGGCAACATGGCAAAAACTCCATCTCTACAAAAAATACAAAAAATTAGCTGGGCATAGTGGCGTGCACCTGTAGTCCCAGCTACTTGGCGGGGCTGAAGTGGGAAGATCATCTGAGCCCAGGAGGTCAAGGCGATGATTGCACCACTGTACTCCAGCCTGGGTGACAGAGTGAGACCCTGTATTAAAAAAAAAAGAAGATGGGGCCAGGCACAGTGGCTCACGCCTGTAATCGCAGCACTTTGGGAGGCTGAGGCAGGCGGATCATGAGGTCAAGAGATCAAGACCATCCTGGCCAATATGGTGAATCACCATCTCTACTAAAAATACAAAAATTAGCTGGGCATGGTGGTGCGCGCCTACTCCCAGCTATCGGGAGGCTGAGGCAGGAGAATCACTTGAATCAGGGAGGTGGAGGTTGCAGTGAGCCGAGATCATGCCCCTGCACTCCAGCCTGGTGACAGAGCGAGACTCCATCTCCAAAAAAAAAAAAATATATATATATATATATATATATATATATATATGTATGAATAATTAGTATTGCCAGATAGTTACAATGGAATGGGGACAAATGCAAAACTGCAGTGAATGCATGGACAAATAGTACAATTTGCTAATCCTCTGACCTCTTCCTTAGTATATCCCATCTCCACTGAATATATAATGAATCAATAAGCTTCCTAGTACAAGACACTCTTCATTCACAAAATAAACACAATTGCCTTTTGATTTCTATAGCTGAGAGGGATTCAGGCAAATATAGGAGGTACTAACAAGAAGAGGCAACGTATTTTCTAAGCTATCATAGTCAGCAGTGTCTACTTGGGGTTATGTTTATTCTTGAAAGTTATACTTAAGGCCTCCACAGGCTCTGCGCCTCAGCCCCTCCTAAATGTAATAACTTTGCACATATGGAAGATCCTAGTAGGCCAAATCCCTTCTGTTTGAAAATATTTTTCCAATCAGAAGGACAAAAACAGTATCACAGATATATGTTAAATAAACAGCTCTTTTCTTTTATATATTCTTGTTCACAACTAACATAATATTTTTTTCTGCCTTGTAGGTACCAGAGGTTTGAAAAGGCATTTCTCCTAGCTGTTGACGTTGGTGCTCGTGACCTCTTTATGGTGAGTCATTTTCAGAGATGATTTTGTGCCTTCAGTTCTAAGGCTAAGTTGTCAGCTTTTGTGACCATAAAAAGGATTACTGTCATTTTGCAGCCTTAGACACAGGGTGGGAAAGCATTATTCCATCTTGACTTGCAGGTTTGCTTTCGTGAAACTGGTCAATAACCATCTAATATCTTTTGATTTGTTGACATTTTGTTTGCTGGCTCCAATGGATCTTTTGTGTTTTCTAAGAATTTATAATTCTTGAACTTTTCTCCTCATGTACCTTGATGCAAGGGGATGACACCTATCTATCTAGTAAGCTTAAATGTCTTTCTAATCCATTCTCTGAAGAAAAGCTATAGAATCCAGGACATAGGGCAAAAGATGTCCCACAGATCTCGAATGTGCTCAGTTTGTCCCTTATATTTTAGTGTAGAGTAACAAAGCAGGAATGTTCTCACATGTATTTTTTAAGTAACCATAGTACAAAGTGGATCCAAGAGGTTAAATTCATGTACACTCTGGCCCTCCCATTTATTAGCTACAGAACAGTAAAACTGACCAGTTTCTTACAAATCCTTGTACTCTGTATCAGGTTTCTGTTTTATAAGATCTTGCACTACAGTGCCACATTGAGATCAAATGAACAAAGGAAAAGTCCTTTCCTCGTTTCCCAGCATATTCTGTTAGACAGCAATTTCATTGTTTCCACAGAAACAACAGAGCAAAAGGTTCTTGAAAGAAGAAATACTTCTAGAAGGTGCTTTTGCCTGAATCTTTTGCACAATTAAGACATTTTGTAGTTTAAATTAAGCTTTGATGTTTCAGATATTCTGTTATACAGCAATTTCATTGTTGTCACAGAAACAATAAATCAAAAGCCTCTTGAAAGCCAGAAATACTTCTGGAAGGTGCTTTTCCTGAATCTTTTGCACAGTGAAGACATTTTGTAGTTTAAATGAAGCTTTGATGTTTTAGATAATATTATGGATTCATCACATTAGATCAATCATCTTTGGATTGAGTTTGATATTTAAATTCTAAATGTATGTCATTCAATTAATTATACTATTATTGATCATAAAAAATCTAATTTCAAAAGTGTGAACATTCTATTGTTCGTCATCTGCATTTTGTGATGTCTGATTGAGCAGGCATATGACATTGAGGGAAGATTTTATTATTTTCATCAAAATCTATACATGCAGAGATCACAGTGTCAGAAAATTAATTACACTTTTTAGATTTTCCAGCCCCATTGACTTTTTTCCTTATCTCCACCTTTTCACCTTTGCCACTTACCCCAATAATGGTAGATTTTCCCCACATTTCTTTATTTTTTATGTCTATAGTTTCAGTCTTTTTTCTAGCCAAGATAAGAACTAAAGAGATGAATATTTAAATGTTTGGTGCCTGGTAAAATTTCTCTCTCAAGGTATTATGTTCTTTAATTTCTAATGTTGTAATAATTAATAGAAACATCACGAAAGGCACCTTCTAAACTTTTCTCAAATCATATCTCTTTCAGCTTTCGGTCTCAGTTTAGCCAATAACAATATAAAGTGTCCATGTTAGTTCAAATCACCTTCATCCAGTAGCCTTTCTACTGATAGGCTAATCCTAAACCATGATGATTTTTACACATAAAAGATGAAAATCTAAAATAAGGGAAGTATAGAAGTGGTTTTACTGTCCTTTTTATTTGCAAAAGCAAACAGTCATTATTCAGAATGCTGCATTGTTACTCTTCATACATAACTTTATTGATAGCCCAAGGTCTGCTTTAAAGAAGCTCAAAATATTGAGAGCATTAAAGCCTCAGAGTTCTATTTAAGCTCATGAATCTACTATATACATTTAAGGTTCCATGTAGAAATTGCCTAAAAGGATTTATTTTTTTAATAGATTCATTCTTACTATCTAAATTTCATCTAGCCAGAGGTCTATAGCCTATAGATTGAAAAATGTTACCTCTTTTGAAATTAAAAGCTTGTAGATTAAACAGGATTATTCCTATTTATACATGATTTTCTACCCTTGAGATATCTCTTGCTAAAAGACTAAAAATAATAACATATGAATCACAATGGGATCACACAAAGGTGTATCAGTTAACCTGAAAATAGTCCTTTTTGCATTAGCATATTATCAGTGGTAAAAAGTTACAAGGCATACAACATGATAAGAAAGTTGATATGGCTGGAAAGCAGAGAGACTAAAGGGGCTTACATTCCATATAAAGGAGTTAGAATTTATCTCAAAAGCAATAGGAAGTTACTAAATCATTTTAAATAGAAGAGTGATATTATCAGTATTTTGGCTAGGAAACTTTTCCTCTAAAGGGCCAGGTAGCAAATAGTTTAGGCTTGCTTGCTTGCTTGCTTTATTGATTCATTCATTGATTGAGACAGGGTCTTGGTTTTTCACTTAGGTTGGAATGCAGTGGTGTGATCATAGCTCACTATAACCTTGAACTCCTGGGCTCAAGCAATCCTCCTATCTTAGCCTCCAAAGGAGCTAAGACTACAGGCATGTGCCACCATGCTTGGCTTAGTTTTGCAAATATTTTAGACTTTTTACAAGCCATACGGGCTCTGTTGCATCTACTTAATTCTGCCATTATAGAGCAAAAGCAGGCATAGTCAATAAATACAGAAATAAGTTTGGCTGTGTTCCAATAAAAGTTCATATATGGACACTGAAATTTGATGTCACATAAAATTGTTCCTGTGATTTTTTTTTTTCCAAAAACCATTCTTAGCTTGGGTTAGACTTGGATGGCAGGTCACAGTTTGCTGATTCCTTGTTTAGAGTATGATCACTTAAGGCTGCATTGTAGAAAATAAACTGAAACGAGACAAGGCTCCTAGGTACAAGTGTGAAGTAAACAAAGAGGTGGGTTCTTTCAGGCCCATTTCCTCAGGTCCAGCAACCTCATAGTAATTTTCTTATATTTAAGGCCTGTTGATTCAACTCCAAGCTCTCTCAGTTATTAGCTGCATAATTTTGTATAATTTACCTAACTTTGCTTGCTTTCATTTTATTACCTGTGGTGATGATAATGCATAAATCCCTAGTGTGCTTTAAGTATCAAATGAATTAATAATATATATGAAGTGCCTGGCATATTGTAATGACTTAAGAACTACAGTTCTAGTATATATTTTATATTACTCACTTTTCAAATATTTAGGTAGTACTTCACTTTACATTGTTTATACATTTGTCAGATTAACAATGCTGGAATTTAGGTAGCTATTGATATTTGGGTGTTTAAAAACAAGTAGTCTCTACCTGAAAGATTGGAATTGAATCAAGGCAGCCTAGTTTCAGAGTACATACTCTGTGTTTTCATTTTTATTTGTCTCTAAGGGAAATTTTCTAATTTCCCTTGTGGTTTCTTTTTTAATCCATTAGTTGTCTGAGTGTGTTATTTACATGATTTCCAGAAACTGGGGTTTTTTTTTGTTTTAATTCTGTTATTGATTTGTAACTTCATCCCATTGTGATGGGAGAAGATACTTTGATGTCTATCGTTTTAAATCTATTGAAACTTAGTTTATCCTAGAAAATGTCTTATATAGACATGAGAATAATGTGTATGTTTTGGGGAAGAATATTTTGTATTTGTACAACTAGTTGATTTATTGTGTTGTTTAAGACTTCTGTTTCCTTCTGTCTGGTTTTCTAGCAATTATTAAGAGTACGGTATTGAAGTCTCCAACTACTATTGTAGACTATTTCTCACTTCAATTCTGTTTGGTTTATTTTAAGAGACAGGGTCTCACTATGTTGCTCAGACTGGACTTGAACCCTTTGGTTTATGCAATCCTGCCACATCAGCCTCCCAAGTAGCTGGGATTACAGGCATGCACCACCGTACCCCTCCTGTCAGTTTTTGCTTCATATATTTGATGATACGGTATTAGGTACATAAATGTTAATTATTGTTATTTTTCTTGCTGTATTTAAATTTGCATCAGTATATGCCATCTTTTAACTTTTTTTAGTTTTACATTCAGAAGTACATGGACAGGTTTGTCACATGGATACACTGAGTAATGGTGAGGATTGGGCTTGTGGTGTACCCCTTATCCAAATAATAAACATTGTATCCAATAGGTAAATTTCTAACCCTTACTCCTCTACCAACTTTGGAGTCCCCAGTGTCTGTTATTTCCATCTTTATGTCCATGTGTACCCAATATTTAGCTCACACTTATAAGAGAGAATATGTGGTGTTTGATTACCTCAGTTACTACAACTAGGATAATGTTCTCAAACTCCATCCATGTTGCTGCAAAGGACATGATGTCATTCTTTTTTATGGCTGAACAGTATTTCATGATGTATATTTACCACATTTTCTTTGATTATACTTTAGGTTCTTGGACACATGTGCGGAACATGCAGGTTTGTCACATAGGTATACATGTGCCATTGGTTTTCTGCACCCATCAACCCATCATCTACATTAGTTATTTCTCCTAATGCTGTCTCTCCCCTAGCCCCCGACCCCCTGACAGGCCTCAGTGTGTGATGTTCCCCTCCCTGTGTCCATGTGTTCTCACTCTTCAGCTCCCACTTATGAGTGAGAACATGTGCTATTTGGTTTTCTGTTCCTGTGTTAGCTTGCTGAGAATGATGGTTTCCAGCTTCATCCATGTCCCTGCAAAGGACATGAACTCATCCTTTTTTATGGCTGCATAGTATTCCATGGTGTATATGTGCCACATTTTCTTTATCCAGTCTATCACTGATAGGCATTTGGGTTGGTTCCAAGTCTTTGCTATTGTGAATACTGCTACAATAAACATACGTGTGCATATGTCTTTATAGTAGAATGATTTATAATCCTTTGGGTATATACCCAGTAATGGGATTGCTGGATCACATGTTATTTCTAGTTCTACATCCCTGAGGAATTGCCACACTGTCTCCCACAATGGTTGAACTAATTTGTGCTCTCACCAACAGCGTTAAAACGTTTCTATTTCTCCACATCCTCTCCAGCATCTGTTGTCCTGAGTTTTTAATGATCACCATTCTAACTGGCGTGAGATGGTATCTCATTGTGGGTCTGATTTGCATTTCTCTAATGACCAGTGATGATGAGCTTTTTTTCATATGTTTGTTGCTGCATAAATGTCTTCTTTTGAGAAGTGTCTGTTCATATTCTTTGCCCACTTTTTGATGGGGTTGTTTGTTTGTTTTCTTGTACATTTGTTTAAGTTCTTTGTTTAATTTCTTTGTGTTTAAGTTCTTGGTAGATTAGCCCTTTGTCAGATGGATACATTGCAAAAATTTTCTCCCATTTTGTAGGTTGCCTGTTTACTCTGATGATAGTTTCTTTTGCTGTGGAGAAGCTCTTTAGTGTAGTTAGATCCCGTTTGTCAATTTCGGCTTTTGTTGCCATTGCTTTTGATGTTTTAGTCATGAAGTCTTTGCCCATGCCTGTGTCCTGAATGGTATTGCCTAGGTTTTCTTCTAGGGTTTTTATGGTTTTAGGTCTTACATTTAAATGGTTAATCCATCTTGAGTTAATTTTTGTATAAGGGGTCCAGTTTCAGTTTTCTGCACATAGCTAGCCAATTTTCCCAACACCATTTATTAAAAAGGGAATCCTTTCCCCATTGCTTGTTTTTGTCAGGTTTGTCAAAGATCAAATGATTGTAGATGTGTGGCATTATTTCTGAGGCCTCTGTTCCATTTGCCTATATATCTGTTTTTGGTACCAGTACCACGCTGTTTTGTTTACCGTAGACTTGTAGTATAGTTTGAAGTCAGGTAGCATGGTGCCTCCAGCTTTGTTCTTTTTGCTTAGGATTGTCTTGGCAATGTGGGCTCTTTTTTGATTCCATATAAAATTTAAAGTAGTTTTGTTTCTAATTCTGTGAAGAAAGTCAATGGTAGCTTGATGGGGATAGCATTGAGTCTATAAATTATTTTGGGCAGTATAGCCATTTTCATGATATTGATTCTTCCTATCCATGAGCATGGAATATTTTCCATTTGTTTGTGTCCTCTGTTATTTCCTTGAGCAGTGGTTTGTAGTTCTCCTTGAAGAGGTCCTTCACATTCCTTGTCAGTTGTATTCTGAGGTATTTTATTCTCTTTGTAGCAATTATGAATGGGAGTTCACTCATGATTTAGCTCTCTGTCTGTTATTGGTGTATAAGAATGCTTGTGATTTTTGCACATTGATTTTGTATCCCGAGACTTTGCTGAAGTTGCTTATCAGCTTAAGGAGATTTTGGGCTGAGACGATGGGGTTTTCTAAATATACAATCATGTCATCTGCAAACAGAGACAATTTAACTTCCTCTCTTCCTATTTGATTGCCCTTTATTTCTTTCTCTTGCCTGATTGCCCTGGCCAGAACTTCCATCACTATGTTGAATAGGAGTGCTGAGAGAGGGCATCCCTGTCTTGTGCTGGTTTTCAAAGGGAATGCTTCTATCTTTTGCCCATTCAGTATGATACTGGCTGTGGGTTTGTCATAGATCGGTCTTATTATTTTGGGCTATGTTCCATCAATACCTAGTTTATTGAGAGTTTTTAGCATGAAGTGGTGTTGAATTTTATGGAAGGCCTTTTCTGCATCTATTGTGATAATCATGTGGTTTTTGTCATTGGTTCTGTTTATGTGATGGATTACGTTTATTTATTTGCATATGTGGAACCAGCCTTGCATCCCAGGGATAAAGCTGACTTGATCATGGTGGACAAAGCTTTTTGATATGCTGCCAGAGTCAGTTTGCGAGTATTTTATTGAGGATTTTTACATTGATTTCCATCAGGGATATTGGGCTGAAATTTTCTTTTTTTGTTGTGACTCTGCCAGGTGTTGGAATCAGGTTGATGCTGGCCTCATAAAATGAGTTAGGGAGGAGTCCCTCTTTTTCTATTGTTTGGAATAGTTTCAGAAGGAATGGTACCAGCTCCTCTTTGTACCTCTGGTAGAATTCGGCTGTGAATCTGTCTGGTCCTGGGCTTTTTTTGGTTGGTAGGCTATTAATTACTGCCTCAATTTCAGAACTTGTTATTGGTCTATTCAGGTATTCAACTTCTTCCTGGTTTAGTCTTGGGAGGGTGTACGTGTCCAGGAATTTGTCTATTTCTTCTAGATTTTCTAGTTGATTTGCAGAGAGGTGTTTATAGTATTCTCTGATGGTAGTTTGTATTTCTGTGATCATTGGTGGTATCCCCTTTATCATTTTTTATTGTGTCTATTTGATTCTTCTCTATTTTCTTTATTAGTCTGGCTAGCAGTCTATGTATTTTGTTAATCTTTTCAAATAGGTCCTGGATTCATTGATTTTTGAAGGGTCATTTGTGTCTCTATCTCCTTCAGTATGCTTTGTGAAGTTCTTGTGCTGTATTTTTCATCTCCATCAGGTCATTTATGTTCTTCTCTAAACTGGTTATTCTAGTTAGCAATTCCTCTAACTTTTTTTCAAGGTTCTTAGCTTCCTTGCATTGGGTTAGAACATGCTCCTTGAGCTCGGTGGAGTTTGTTATTACCCACCTTCTGAAGCCTACTGTCAATTCGTCTCACTCATTCTCCATCCAGTTTTGTTCCCTTGCTGGCAAGGAGCTGTGATCCTTTGGAGGAGAAGCAGCTTTCTGGTTTTTGGAATTTTCAGCCTTTTTGCCCTGGTTTTTCCTCATCTTTGTGGATTTATCTACCTTTGGTCTTTGATGCTGGTGACCTTTGGATGGGGTTTTTGTGTGGACGTCTTTTTTGTTGATGTTGATGCTATTTCTTTCTGTTTGTTAGTTTTCCTTCTAGTAGTCAGGCCCTTCTACTGCAGGTCTGCTGGAGTTTGCCTGGGTATCACCAGCAGAGGCTGCAGAACAGCAAAGATCGCTGCCTGTTCCTTCGTCCCAGAGGGGCATCTGTCAGATGCCAGCAGGAGCTCTCTTGTATGAGGTGTCTATTGACCCCTGCTGGGAGATGTCTCCCAGTCAGGAGTCACGGGGGTCAGGGGCACACTTGAGGAGGCAGTCTGTCCCTTAGAGCTTGAGTGCTGTGCTGGGAGATCCACTGCTCTCTTCAGAGCTAGCAGGCAGGAATGTTTAAGTCTGCTGAAGCTGTGCCCAAAGTCGCCCTTTCCCCCAGGTGCTCTGTCCCAGGGAGGTGGGAGTTTTATCTATAAGCCCCTGACTGGGGCTGCTGCCTTTCTCTCAGAGATGCCCTGCCCAGAGAGGAGGAATCTAGGGAGGCAGTCTGGCTACCGCGGCTTTGCTGATCTGTGGTGGGCTCTTCCCATTTTGAACCTCCTGGCAGCTTTGTTTACAACGTGAGGGGAAAACTGCCTACTCAAGCCTCAATAATGGTGGATGCCGCTCTCCCCACCAGGCTCGAGTGTCCCAGGTGGACTTCAAACTGCTGTGCTGGCAAGAATTTCAAGCTAGTAGATCTTAGCTTGCTGGGCTCCATGGGGGTGGGATCCGCTGAGCTAGACCACCTGGCTCCCTGCCTTCAGCCCCCTTTCCAGGGAAGTAAACGGTTGTGTCTCACTGGCATTCCAGGCACCACTGGGGTATGAAAAAAAACTCCTGCAGCTAGCTCGGTGTCTTCCCAAACAGCCACCAAGTTTTGTGCTTGAAACCCAGGGCCCTGGTGGTGTAGGCACCCGAGGGAATCTCCTGGTCTGCAAGTTGCGAAAACCATGGGAAAAGTGTAGTATCTGGGCCTAAATGCACTGTTCCTCACGGTACAGTCCCTCACAGCACAGTCCCTCACAGCTTCCCTTGGCTAGGGGAGGGAGTTCCCCGACCCCTTGTGCTTCCCATGTGAGGCGATGCCCCACCCTGCTTCAGCTCGCCTTCTGTGGGCTGCACCCACCATCTAACCAGTCTCAATTTGATGAATCAGGTACCTCAGTTGGAAATGCAGAAATCACCCACCTTCTGTGTTGATCTCACTGGGAGCTGCAGACTGGAGCTGTTCCAATTCAGCCATCTTGCCAGCCACCCATATGTCACATTTTCTTTATACAATCAACCATTGATGAAGACTTCAGTTGATTCCATGACTTTACTATTGTGAATAATACTGCAATAAACATATGAGTGCAAGTGTCTTTTTTATATAATAATTTATTTTCCTTTGGGTAGATGCCCAGTTGTGGGATTGCTGGGTTGAATGGTAGTTTTATTTTTAGTTCTTTGTAAAACATCTATACTGTTTTTTATAGAAGTAGTACTAATTCACATTCCCACCAACAGTGTACAAGGGCTCCCTTTACTCCACATCCCTGCCTACATCTGTTTTTTTTTTTTTTTTGACTTTTTACTAATAGCCATTCTGAGTCATGTAAGATGAAATGTCAGTGTGGTTTTAATTTTAATTTCTCTGATAATTAGTGATGTTGAGCATTTTTTCATATGTTTATTGACTGCTTATATGTCTTCTTTTGAGAAATGTCTATCTCTTTTGCCCACTTTTAATGGGATTGTTTGTTCTTTTCTCTTGCTGGGTTGTTTACCAAGGCCTTCTTTAGCATTCCCATTGCCCCAGAGAGCCAAGACCAATATGCATTCATCTGGGAAAAGAGAACGGTGAATCTTTACCGTGTTGCCCCTGGTATCTTTACTTAGCCCCACTGTCTGTTGTGGCCAAAAGGCCTCCAACCTCAGTCAGTGGACCACTCCAGAGGGGTATGTGTTTTCCATTATACTGATGATATCATGCTAACTTCTGAGTCTTTTTCTAGCTTAGAAACTGCAGCCCCAACCTTGCTGTCTTACTTGACCTACAGAGGTACAATGGGTGGTCAATGCAAAGTCCAGGGTCCAGGCGTATCAGTCAAATACCTGGGTTTCATCTAGTGGGGTGAGACTAAATTTATTCAGTCTACCATTATAGAATAAGGTAAAGGCCAACCCACGTCCTACCACACCAGAGCAGCTGCAAACCTTCTTAGGCCTTCTAGGGTATTGATGTCCTTTTATTTCCCCATTTGGTACAACTCCTTAGGCCCCTAGATGGCTTAGTCAAGAAGGAGGGCCACTGGAACTGGTCCACAAAGGAGGATGTGGCCTTGAACAAGCTAAAATCGCAGTGAAATAAATGCAGGCCTTGGAAGTTATAGTGCAGGGATAGCCTTGTAAATTGGAGGTAGCCAGTTACTCTGAGGGGCTTGGGTGGGGCCTGTAGGAAACACACGGACATATACATGTGCCTTTAGGATTCTGGTACCATCTATTGAAGTGGCTACTTTGGGGTATATACCCTGACCCCACTCAGAAAACTGGCTTCTGATTTTGTGGCCCTCACCCAGGAACTGACTTAGCACAAGAAGATAGTCACCATTGTAAAATGGCAGAGACTAAAACAAAATATTGCCATGTGTTTACAGGTCATGTTCCCAAGGACATGAAACAAGATGGAGGCCTGTAGCCAAGTTTGTTACTGATCATTTTGTTGGGCTGGCTTGAACAGCAGTCGTATGGGGTCCTGGGTCTACATCTTAACCTAAAGTACCCTTTCTTCTGACAGAACCATACAGAAAGACACACAAAGCACACAAGAGTGTCTACAGCTTGACACCAACCTCACAAATCCTTTTTCATTAAAACTTTACAGAGAATATTAGCAATTATCCTTATTTATCCCTTTTACCAATTTGCACAGGGAGAGAGAAGCCAAAAGCCCAACTGGTAAGAAATTTTTACCCTTTTGTTGGCATGTCAGGCTTCTGGGTTCCCTTCCTCCTAGCTCAACTCTAAGCCAAGCATTTTAATGGTTGGGAAATTAATTTTTCCAAAGTTGGAAGAACATTATAAAAGAGAAGCCATTTTAAACCATGAAAGAAGGAAAAACACCATAGAAAAGTCTGGTAGTTTCAATTAAGATTGTGAACAGGTATTTCCTATCCTACTGGGAATGGTATTTGCTGTATTTCTTCCCCTTTTCTATTTTCTCTTTTCTCTTTTGGCCCACTATAGGAGACATATTGCTCATCTTTGATATTCTCTGATGCTTGCAGAGCTGCCTGCTTCTCAGCTGTGGTTAGGGTTTGGCTTAGGAGCAGCCTAACATCCTTCTATGAGAGGTCAAATACATGAGTTAAATTTTGGAAAGCTTCTATATACCTATCAGAGTCGTTAGAAAATTGACCTAAGTCTCCCTTTATTTGCCTAAGGTCCTGTAATGACAAGGGAACTTGAAGGGGCCCCAAATGAGGGGGATCATGAGGTGGTTCCCTTCGAAGTTGCTTCTCTAATTTTGGAGAAATATTCTTTTTGGGTCTGCCCGATATGATTGCTAAAAGCACTAGGTTGATTTTGTAACACTTGCAAAGATCTAGTAAAAAGGCCATGCCCTTGTGCAAAAGAAAATGAGCTGCTTTTTCTTTAAAGTCTCAGGGTGAAAGAAGTCCCAGTGCTTCAGAATGCACTCCAAGGGAGTGCAGGTTTCAGATAGTACCCATCTAGAAAGAAAAGTGGAAAAAAAAAAAAAAGGCATCCCTTTGTCTCCTTCCTTTTGGTGTGACTCAGTGTGGAGAGGAAGACAGTGGGGGTGTCCCCTTGCTGTTTTCCCTCTATAGTTCCTGGGTCCTGACACCTTGTTGAACATGCTGCTCATGGTTGCTGGCGTGACCCCCAGCCATGGAACCAGAGGAACTAAGAGATTGGGATTAGTCATGCTTACCCAAGTGGCTCTAGTTCTCTGCCTGTGATTTCCCTTTGACTTCCTAGATTTGTGTGACCTGCCTGGCTCCCTGAAAAATGGATCTCCAGAAAAACTACATAATAGTTGAAGAAGGCCACTTTAATGGAGGGGGTATGCTAGATTGAACTTTATATCCTGCTATTATGGCCTGTGCTGAAGCGTTTACCCATAGAGAATGGTTCAGGCTAACTTCTGAACTTAAAATCCCCTTACTAATTAAGTGCCACTCTAATTGGAGGCAGAACAGGTACCTTAAAAGAACGTAGAGACTGAATGGCCATTTTCCTGCTGATGGGACAGTATCAAGACTAAAATTTGGCTTTGGAGGATATTTTAATGCAATTGTTGAAGGCAGAATTTTCCCGTTTACCAAAGCAGCAGAAAGCCTGGTTTCCAGTAGAGAGGCTCAAAAAGGGAAGATAATTGAGAGGCTAGGGTATTTTGTTGAAGGACCAACAATGTGCCTCATGGATCCCTGTCCCACTAGGTGGCACTGTTGACCTTGAAACACCATGTGCTCTCTAGACCAAGGGCAGAGTGACCTTGACATGCCATGTGCTCTTCAGACCAAGGGCAGATAGAGACCTGGAAATGCCATGTGCTCTACAGACCAAGGACAGAGAGAGACCTGGAAATGCCACATGCTCTCCAGACCAAAGGCAGAGAGAGACCTGGAAATGCCACGTACTCTCTAGACCAAGGACAGAGAGACCTGGAAATGCCATGTACTCTCCAGACCAAGGGCAGAGACCTGGAAATGACATGTGCTCTTCAGACCAAAGGCTAAGAGAGAGACAGTCACTGTGGTGGGGGGAACCCTCTGTTCCTAGAAAATCACAAAGACATCTTCCCTTGAGCTATATCCCCAGTTACTAGACATTCTCTGATATTGCCAAACAATATTACTTACCTGAACTGTAAAACTTCCCACATATATTTCATACACAGGATAAGAGATATGATAGTTGCAAACAGGAAAGGAGGAAATTATGATAGGAAAGTTGGGGATCCTGTTGCTGACACCCCATCAGGGCAGTCAGAGGCTGGGGTCAGTCCAGAAGCCTTTGAATAATACCAGGTGGGAGCTCTGGCCAGAAGAAATATTCATTTGCCCTAGGACTTCTTTCAGTCCCATGCAACAACTAAGTCCTCCATGAAAGGTCTAAAATGGAGGCTGAGAGCCTCAGAAGGAAAGGACAGAGTTGGAGTTCGCTCCCCTCTACTCACCATTTTGATGAATGTTGTACTTGGTATCCTAGACAAGGTTCCCATTATGAAGTGGCTACATTGTCTGGGTTATAAACCCTGGGGTTCATTGTCATGCACCAGGAAAATTTAGGGCACAGACACACATGAGGAGTTTAGGAACAGAGGTTTAATAGGTAGAAGAGAAGAGAAAGAGCAACAGCTTCCTCCGTAGAGGAAGAGGTCTCCTAGCAGAAAGGGCCAGCTGGCCAAGTTTATAGTCCAGTTTGAGGAGGTGGTGTCTGATTTATATAGGGCTCATAGATTGGTTCCATCAGGTATGATGTTTACATAGCAAGCAGGGAAGGCTAGTTGTCCCAGGGCTTTCCAGTTGATCAGTGCCATCTTATCTGCTCCTTACAGCACACGTGGCTGGCAGAGAAGGGAAGATGGAGCCGCCATCTTAAAAATGTCCAGTCCTTAGTTCCTGCCGGCATTCATCCATGCAAGCTCCCAGCTTGCAGGCTGTTCTTTGTTAGAAAATGATCGGGGCTGCTTTTTATTAAACAGAAAAGCCTTTCCAAGGACTCCCATGTCCTTGCTATCTGCCTAAGGGATTTCTTCTTAACTCCTGCATCACTATGGAAGGGGACTGGAGTTAAATGTAATGTCGCAGAGCAACAACTTTGTGCTACATATTATGCCTTACAAGTTGAGGACATTACAAAGAGGGTCTCGAGGCTCGTATGCACCCCGTACCTCACAGCAGGTTGGCTGAAGGGTACCTTCCAGAAACCAAAGTCTATGAATGCCCAGACTGGCCAAATGTGAAGCCTGCCTTCAACAGAGGAGCACATGAACTAATAGCCCCTTGATTGCAGAGCTCCATTTGATGCTTGGACCTGTCACTTATGTTACAACTGAAGGACAGTCTTCAGTGGAGGATGCTGAGCCTCCACAAATCCCTTCCTTTTTACAGTAGGGACAGGGTCCAATTCCTAACCAGGCCTGGTACACAGATGGCTCATCACGATGCAATCCTTGCAACTAGACAGTTGTGGCCACTCAGCCATCCACTGATAGTATCTGGTTTGATACAGGTGAAGGGCATAGTAGCCAATGGGCTGAGCTGTAGGCAGCTTGGATGGTCCTCCTTCATAAGCTGGACCCAGTAGTCCTATGCACTGACAGCTGGGCTGTCTTTAAGGGACTCACAATGTGGCTACTATGGTGGAAAACACAGGATTGGTCAATAGCAGCCTGTGCCCTTTCAGGTGCTGACGTGTGGAATGACGTTCTCCATGCATCCAGAGGATGCATGTAACAGTCTACCATGTGGATGCCCACATTGCATCTACACCACCTGGAAATCAACAGGTAGACAAGCCTAGCCTACATTCTCCTCCTCAAGGAAGTGCCCACAAAAGATGTGGCTTACTGGCTACATAAAAAGACAGGACATTGGGGACCACATACCTTTTGGGACATAGTGAAAATTGAGGACTACCACTATGATATAAAGATATAGTACTCATCTATCAGCAATGTCCTACCTGTGCACAGCAACACCTCAGGCCCTTTCCACACAATACTGAACAGATAGGCCAGGGCTGCAGCCAAGTGCAACAGTGGCAGGTAGACTACATAGGACCTTTGCCTCTATGTAATGGCTGCCAAGGAACCCAGTAATGGCTCAGCCCAAGTCCCAAAACCTCAAAAGTAAGGAAGTCAACATTGTGGCCTCACAGCTGTGGCTGAAGGCCCGAGAGCCCCTGGCAAACCACTGATGTAAGTCCAAGAGTCCAAAAGCTGAAGAACTTGGAGTCTTGAGAGCAGGAAGCATCCAGCATGGGAGAAAGATAAAGGCAAGAAGACTCAGCAAGTCAGCTTCTTCCACCTTCTTCTGCTTGCTTTTCTAGCCATGCTGGCAGCCAATGGGATAATGCCCACCCACATTGTGGGTGGGTCTTCCTGAAGGTGGTTCTTCCTCTCCCAGTCCACTGATTCAAATGTTAATCTCTTCTGGCGACACCCAGAAACAATACTTTGCATACGTCAATCCAATCAAGTTGACAATATTAACCATCACAGATGGCTATCCCCACAGCAATGTAACCGATCCCTTCAAATAACCAAAGATATGTGGCTGGGTGGCAGTATAACTCTCTCCACATGGGGGCCTATCCCTCCCCTTGGGGATTGTTATGGGCCGTGACACCCACAGCTGGCCTTACTTACCCTCTAATTGGACTGGTATATGCACCTGGTGGCATCCTTGTCAGTATGCGTTGTGTCCCGTTTAGATACCATGCATTCCTATTCACTGGGAGAGTGTAAAAGTCAGGTACTGCCAGAAGCATGCATTCTGGAGGTTTTACCCTTTGGCCATTTTTTCTCCCCAAGTGGCAACAATAGATATAGATAGAGCTGCAAGTTGAGGCTAAACATATGGCTGCAGCCATTAATGATACCAATCATGCTATTCTTCTTCTTACTGTAGAGACCACCCAAATCAGACACATTACTTTGCAAAATGGCATGGACATCTTAACTGCTGCCCTGGGTAGAACCTGTGCATTAGTTAAAACTGAATGTTGTGTATATATCCCTGATTACTCTCACAGTGTAACTAGGCCATGCGGGTCCTAAATACCAGTATTTAGGTCTACCCTGTGCATTATATTCTATAGTGTATATTATAATAACACTATAGAATCTCTGTCTTACACCCCTATAACAACATGGTTAAATCAACTCCCAAGCACTTGGTAGAACTTTCTATCCAGTGAGATTGTCATTATATTTGTTATTCTTTTTTGTTGTTGTAGTTTGTATTGCTGCTGTAGCATCTGGCTGAAATGCTCCTCCACATACCTGACTGTAGGAGAATAATAGAGGAAATGGCATGATAAGAACGAGAGGGCCATTCAAGAGTATGTTAGGGTGGAGTGTATGGCACATGCACCTGACAGCAATAACTTAAGTATACCCTGAGAATGATCCTGTTGTCTTACAAGAATGTGTGTCTGGAGTCCTAAGCTAAGGAATCCAAGAGTGACGAACCTGAGGATCTATTCCATATTTACGGAGGACATCTGAACCCCCAGCCCACCCCTTGGAATGCAGGCTGTACCGGGGATTATTTTGGCCAAGTGGAGGTTGTTAAGTGAAAATGCTATATAAACCACATGCTTTTTACAAGCGGTAACAGTTCTCCTGTCCAACTCACCACCTCTGGACCATCCTTTTATGTAAGTTCCTCACTAAATGCTGTGCCTCGTTTGCTGGCTCCGGGTCTCTTCTTCAGCCTCTCAGACATGGTGCCATCCTTATTGGAGTCAGTAGGCATCCAGAACAACAGCATTCAGATAATGTGATGCTTTCAGCTTCATTCTTTTTCCTTAGGATTGCTTTGGCTATTTGGGCTCTTTTTTGATTCGATAAGAACTTTAGGATTGTTTTTTCTAATTTTGTGAAATGACATTGGTACTTCGATAGGAATTGCATTGAATCTGTAGATTGCTTTGGGCTGTGTGGTCATTTTAACAATACTGATTTTTCAAATCCATGAGCATGGAATGTTTTCCCATTTTTTTTGTATCATCTGTGATTTCTTTTATCAGCATTTGTGGTTCTCCTTGTAGAGATCTTTCACATCCTTGGTTAAATATACTACTAGGTATTTTAATTTTTATGGCTGCTGTAAATGGGATTGAGTTCCTGATTTGACTCTCAGCTTGAATGTTATTGGTTTATAGAAATGCTACTGATTTCTGTATGTTGATTTTGTATTTGGAAATTTACTGAAGTCATTTTTCAAGTCTAGAAGTCTGTTGGAGGAGTCTTTAGGATTTTCTTGGTATAAGATCATGTAATCAGTGAATAGAGATAGTTTGACTACTCTTTTCCTAGTTGGATACGTTTTATTTCTTTCTCTTGCCTGATTGCTGCAGCTAGGACTTCCCAGTATTATGTTGAATAGTAGTGCTGAGAGTGGAAATCCTTGTCTTGTTCCTGTTTTAAGGGGGAATGCTTGCAAATTTTCTCCATTCAGTATGATGTTTGCTGTGGGCTTGTCATAGATGGCCGTTTTTATTTTGAAGTATGTTCCCTCAATGCATAGTTTGCCAAGGGTTTTTATCATGAAGGGATGCTGGATTTTATCAAATGCTTTTTTTTTTTTTGCATCTACTGAGATGATCATATGGTTTTTGTTTTTAATTCTGTTTATGTGGTGAATCACAATTATTGATTTGTGAATGTTGAACCATCCTTGTATCCCTGGAATAAAGCCCACTTAATCGTGAGTTACCTTTTTAATATGTTGTTAGATTTGGTTTGCTAATATTTTGTTGAGGATATTTACATCTGTATTTATTAGGAATACTGGCCTGTATTATTAGGAATATTTGTTGTGTCTTTGCATGATTTTGGTATCAGGATGATACTGGTTTTGTAGAATGAATTAGGGAGGAATCCTTCCAACTTGATTTTTTTTTTTTTTTTTTTTTTTTGGAATAGTTTCACTAAGTTTGGTACCAGCTCTCCTTTGTATATCTGATAAAAGTAGTCCATGAGTTCATCTGGTCCTGGGCTTTTTTGTTGTTGTTGTTGTTCGAAGATTTTTTTATTACTGATTCAATTTCAGTACTCTTTATTGGTCTGTTCAGGATTTCTATTTCTTCCTGGCTCAATCTTGGGAGGACGTATAGGAATTAATATATTTCCTCAAGGTTTTCTGGTTTATGTGTGTATATATGTTCATAGTAATCTCTGATGATCTTTTATATTTCTTATCAGTTGCAATTTCACTGTTATCACTTCTGATTGTACTTATATAATATTCTTTTTTTTATCTCTTGTAACCTTTTTAAATTTAAAGTCTGTCTTTTTTCTGAATATTAGTATTACCATACCTGTTATTTTGGTTACTATTTGCATGGAATATCTTTTTTTTCATCTTTTCATTTTTAATCTATTAGAGTCTTTGGCTCTATAGTAAATCTCTTACAGCGTATAGTTGAGTCAGTTTTTATCTATTCTGTTAATATGTCTTTTGATTGGAAGTTTGATCCATTTGCATTAAAATTACTAATACAGAGGGTCTTCTGTTATTTTGCCAGTCGTTTTTTATACCATACAGCTTTTTTTGTCCCTCATTTCCTGGATGACTGTCTTTTTCATGTTTGGGTGATTGTTTTTGTAGTGAAATATTTTTTTCTCTCTCTTTCATTTGTGTATATTCTATAGCTATTTTCTTTGCAGTTATCATGGGGATTACATTTAAATATCCTAAAGTTATAAGGCTATAATTTGGATTTACACCTGGTTAATTTTCAGTAACACACAAAAACTCTGCTCCTTCATGCCTTTCTCTACACCCTTTTTGGTTTTTAATGTCACAAAACTACTTTGTTACAAGTTGTTTACTCTATAACATAAACTAATAATTCTTTTAAATGTATCTGTCTCATATAAAATATAAAATGTAGTATTACCAACCAAAGTTACAATAATGCTAGCTTTTAGACTCATAATTTTTAAAATGAATTAGTATCTTAATTTGTATAGAGAGCAAAAGGTGGAATTTTGAACCATTGTTACAATAATGCTAGCTTTTATAATATACCTGGTAGTTAATTTTATTGAGTTTTTTTTTCTTTGTATGGCTTTGAGTAGCTGTCTAGTGCCCTTTTATTTCACCCTACAGGACTCCCTTGCACATGTCCTGCAGGCAAGGTCTAGTGGTAATGAACTCCCTTAGTTTAGGTTTATCTGGGAATTTCTCAATTTCTTCTTCACTTTTGAAGGACAATTTTGCCAGATACGGGATTCTTGGTTGACATTTTTTTTCTTTCAGCACTTTTTTTTTTTTTTTTTTTTTTTCGAAACAGTCTTGTTCTATCACCCAGGCTGGAGTGGAGTGGCATGATCTCAGCTCCCTGCAACCTCCACCTCCCGGGTTCAAGTGATTCTCCTCCCTCAGCCTCCCAAGTAGCTGGGATTACAGGGGCTTGCCAAGATGCCCACCGAATTTTTTGTATGCGTATTTTTAGTAGAGATGGGGTTTCCCCTGTTGGCCAGACTGGTCCTGAACTCCTGACCTCAAGTGATCTGCCTGCCTCAGCCTCCCAAAGTGTGGGGATTACAGGCATGAGCCACCATCCCTGGCCTCTTTTGGCACTTTTATCAGCCCAGTGCTTTCTTACCTCCAAAGCCTTTGATGGGAAATCTACTGGTAGTATTACTTAGGGGCCCTTGTATGTGAAAAATCACTTCTCTCTTTCTGCTTTCAACATTCCCTTTGTCTTTGTATTTTGAACATTTAATTATAATGTGTCTCACAGTGGGTTTATTTGAGTTCATCTTACTTGGAGTTCATTGAGCTTCTTGGATGTTTGTATTCATACCTTTCATCAAATTTGGGGAGTTTTTAGCCATTATTTCTTTTAAGATTTTCTCTGGCAGTTTCTCTTTTCCTTCTGGAGCTCCCATGCTGCATATGTTGATCAGCTTGATGGTATGTCTCAGGTCCGTTAGGCTCTATTCACTTTTCTTCAGTCTTTTTTCTTTCTGTTCCTTAGGTTGATAATGTTTATTGTCCTGTCTTCAAAGTTCCTGATTCTTTTTCTGTCTGCTCAAATCTGGCTTTGAAATCATCTTGTCATTATATTTTCCAGCTCCAGAATTTCTTTCTGGTTTGCTTTTAGGTTTTCTTTTTATTGATGTTTTCATTTTGTTCATTCATAATTTTGACTTTCCCCACATCTTCCTTTAAGTCTTTGAGCAGATTTTAGACAGCTGTTTTACAGTCTAGTAGGTCTGCCATTAGGTCTTTTTTTTTCAGGGACAGTTTCTGTTTATTTTTTCCTCTTAAAATAGGCCATACTTTCCTATTTCATTATATGCCTCATGATTTTTTGTTGCTGAAAACTGGACATTGGAATCTAATAACATGGTAACTGAGAATCAGATTCACATCCTTCTCCAGGGTTTGCTGTTTTTTATTACCGTTTTAGGGTTTTTACAATTGTTTTAGGCTGACTGTGGGCCAAAGATTATACTAAGGTGAATCTTAAGGTCTTCTCAGGCCTTGTCCAAAACTATACTTTTCCTGCCCTTGGAATGTGTGGTAACTTTCTAATTTTCCCCATATATGCAGTTGCATTTCAGAGTCCTAGTCTTTAATGTTTGGTTCGCAAAGGGGCAAGAAAGAAAAATGAAGGGGGTAATGAGAGCACAGCTCCTTAAATCTACTACAAGTCACTTCAGGCAAGGAGGAGGGGTTTGCAATAATGAGGGGTGAGGTGCAATGAGGGGTCAGGTGCCCTGCCTCCCTGTCTGCACCTCTGCAATCAAGCATCAATTCACAGAGCACAGAACCCCTATGTTTTGCTCACCCTCGTTCCAGACAGCTGACCACCAGCTGCTCTGGAAGGTGTGCACAGTTGCCCACCATACAGCTGGGGTGGTGGATGTGTAACAGATACTGTGCTAAGAGCTGAAATTGAAAATTAACTGCAATTTACCATCCAAGCCTTTCCCTAAAAGTTGCAAGCCTCAGTAGACTCCATAGTTCCAAAACAATTACATCAGACAGATTCTGCCAATGCAATTATTATTTAGGTTCCAGATTCCTGGTGCTTTCTACTCTGTCATCTTCCCAGAGATCAGTGTTCAGAATCCAGGGATGATAAGGGATCTAAAATTTTTGATATATCAGAAAGGGGGAATCCGTGTGAAGAGGTGAGACCCAGAAGTCTTTATTGTGGTCCCCTTTGGGTCCTTAATGGAGAGCTAGACTATAGGTAGACAAGGCATAGCAAAAAGCCACTGCTGTGAGATTAAGGGCTAAATGGAGATGCTAGAGTTTTCACAGTTCTGAGAAATACTAGAATTCTGACTCATCCAAACTTAAGCATCCTCATTGGGCATTTGTATAAAATCCCACATTAAACATGTCTTATATTTACTAAAAACAAAAAATTAGACAATTTTTTGTTCTGTTGTGAGATTTTTTTTTTAAATAAAACTGTTAGGATAGAAAATCCAGCTGCATTAAATGATGATAATGTTGATATCCTTCTCCATGACCCTCAACCTGATAATTCTATTACAGGGTTATTTTGTGGTCTTTTTAAACCTTCTCATAAATTCATTATGGAGACTAAAAGAGCCAACTTTCAAATTGCTAACAAGATCTTTCCATTTCCTCTTTGGGTTTGTCTTTTCTTTTCTTTTTCTTTTTTTTTTTTTTTTTTTGAGCCGGAGTCTTGCTCTGTCGCCCAGGCTGGAGTGCAGTGGCGCGATCTCGGCTCACTGCAAGCTCCACCTCCCGGGTTCACGCCATTCTCCTGCCTCAGCCTCCCGAGTAGCTGGGACTACAGGCGCCCGCCACCGCGCCCGGCTAATTTTTTGTATTTTTAGTACAGACGGGGTTTCAACGTGTTGGCCAGAATGGTCTCGATCTCCTGACCTCATGATCCGCCCTCCTCGGCCTCCCAACATGCTGGGATTACAGGCGTGAGCCCCCGCGCCCGGCCTTCTTTTCTTTTTCTTTTTCTTTTCTTTTCTTTTTTTTTTTTTGTAAGAGAATCTCACTCTGTTGCCCAGGCTGGAGTGCAATGGCACAATCTCAGCTCACTGCAACCTCTGCCTCCTGCATTCAAGTAATTCTCCTGCCTCTCCCTCCCAAGTACCTGGGATTACAGGCATAAGCCACCATGCCCAGCTAATTTTTGTATTTTTAGTAGAGATGGGTTTTCACCATGTTGGCCAGGCTTGTCTCAAACTCCTGGCCTTAAGAGATCTGCCCACCTTAGCCTCCCAAAGTGCTGGAATTACAGATGTGAACGACCATGCCCAGCCTCCTCTTTGTTTTTCATTTCCCTAGATTTGTAATCCAAAAATCAGAGACACAAAAACACCATCACTATGGAGACATTAATTTGCCTTATTCTTCCTTCTCTTTGACAGTGAAAAATAAGTCTGTGTAGCACATACAAAACTGTAATTGACTCTCTGGTGCAGCTGCCATTGGGTCTTTCCTATAAGAAACTGTATTAGCCTTCCTTTTAAATGTGTTCTGGGTAATAAGTCATCAGAAATGTTCAAGGATTTTCAAGGAAATGATGAACATAATGATTGAAAAGATAGGGATTCTCAGGAGAAACATAGAAACTGTATTTTTTTTAAAAGCAAAATAGAAATTCTAGAAGTAAGAAATATAAAACCTGAAATGAAACATTTACTCAGTAGAAGATTGGACATAATAAAGGGTCAGTGAACTTAAAGACAGATCAGTATAAAGTATCCAGTCTAAAGAAAACAAAAATATTTCAAAAAATGAGCAGAGTCTCAGTGACTTATGGAACAAAATCAAATAGTCTAAAATACATGTAATTGGAGCTTGGTGAAAAATATTGGCCTACAGATCCAAAAATCTCAGTGAATTCCAAATATAAGAAATCAATACCTAGGCACACCATATCTTGGCACAGCATAGACAAATTACTGAAAACTAGTGATGAGAGATAAATCTTTAAAATACCCAGGAAACAAAAAATTGTATCTTTAAAATACCCAGGAAACAAAAAAGAGCAACAGCTAATACGAATTATGACTGACTTCAAATCAGAAACAGTAATGCCAAAAGATAATGGAACAGCATCATCAACATGCTAAACAAAACTAAAACTCTCAACTCAAAATCTTATATCCAGTGAAAATCATCCTTAAGTGAGGGTGAAATAAAGATACTTTTAAATTAGTGAAATTAAATTGAAATTAGCAGCAGCACTACTAGAAAAGCTGAAGGAGGTTTTTCAGATAGGACAAAAATGATACCAGATGAAAACTCGTCTCTACATGAAAGAATGAAGAGTCCTAAAAATCATAAGCATGTGACTAATATTAAGTCTTTCCTCATTTTAAAATTTCTTTAGTATATAATTATTTAAAGCAAAAGTAATAACAATACATTGTGATAATTATGTCTACAAGAAATGAATAACAGCAACATCAGAGGAGGGGGTAAATGGAATTATATTATTGTAAGATTTGTGCCTTTTAACTGAAGTGGTGCAGTATGAATTCTAGGTAGACTGTGATAAGTTAAAATTGCATATTATGGTGCCAAGAGGATTTTAAAAAAAATGTAAATAGGTATGTTGCTTTAAAAAGTCAAAAGAGGAAATTTTAAAATACTTTTAAAATATTCAATCCAAAAGAAGACAGAAAAGGAGGACAAACAGAAAACAAATAATAAGATGTTACACTTAACCCCAAATATATTAATAAATAACGACCGTAAGTTCAAACTGGATGGATACTCAAAAAGCAGACATGAATTTTTTTTTTTAAAGTCAGAGATTGTCAGACTGGATAAAAAGCAAGAACTAATTATGTTTGGTGTATAAGGGAAGCACTTTAATTATTATGACACAAATAAATTTAAAGAAAAAATGTGAAAAATATATATCCTGCAAACAGTAAATATAAGACAAAGTGACTTCAAAAACAAAGAAAGTATCACCAGAGATAAGAGAGACATTATAATGACAAAAGTTTAATCAGGCAGACATGACAATCCTAAAGAAGATAACTGAGCTTCAAATGCATGAAGCAAAAGCCGACAAACCAAAAAAGAAATAGATAAATATAATAATTCATAGAACATGTCAAAAAATCATGAATATATAAAATATGTGAACCAACTTGATCTGACATTTTTTGAACCTATATCCAACAACTGCAGAATACACATTCTTTTCAAATCTACATGGCATATTCCCTAAATATAAACTGTATTCTGGTTCATAAAATAAAGCTCAACAAATTCTAGAAGATTGAAATATGACAAGAAAGGAATTAAATTACAAGTCAATTACATCCAAATATCTATGAAGTTCCCAAATACAAAGTAAATAATACTTCTCTAAAAAGATCACGGATTAAAGAAGGAATCACAAGAGAAAATGAGAAATATTTTGAATTGAATTTTAAAATGAGAACATAATATATCAAAATGTGTAGGATGATTATAACATGTAGCATAAAATAAGGCACCATGACTTCATAATGATACAAGTAAATAAATCCAACTAATAAATATAAAAGTAAAGATAGAATTAGAAAATGACAATTTGGCAAACATCATAGTGATAATTTTCTAAGACAAGAATCCATAATGGATGCTATAACTGGTGAGAAAAAGTTTCATGAAAAACAGGATATTTACATAGCCTCAAAATATTTTCTCATGAAATATCTATGATTTACAAAGGGAAAAGGAATAACTTTGCAGTGGAGAAGGCTGGCAGATGCCCTGTTAATCAAGTAATCAAAATTTATATTTATATCGTCAATAATGGAAGAAATAAAAGTAATTTGTCACCTCATATATTGCAGTAAGAACACAACATCCGTTCCTTGGTATTCTTGAAAAAAAAATGCATAACCCAAATCTAGTCATGGGGAGTATCGATTGAACCTACATTGAGAGACATTCTAATAACCAGCCTATACTCTTCAAAAATGCTAAGTTCATAGAAAGTAAGAGCAAAGAACTATTCCAGATTAAAGGAGACTAAAGAAGCATTACAACTAAATGCATCAAGAAATGGATATTTGTGATAGGAAGGACATTATTTGAACAACTGGTGAAACTTCAGTGATTAAGTTTGAGTAATGATATCAGTGTTAATTTCATGATTTTATTGGTTTGATTGTGGTTATGTAAGTGAATGTCCTAATTTGTGGAAAAGAAACGCTGAGGTATTCAAGAATATGTTGGCAACTTACTCTGAAATGGTTCAGAAAAAAAGTGATCTTTGTACTGTACTTGAAACTTTTCTGTATCTTTGAGATTACTTAAAAAATATAAATTTTCACTTACTATCACAGATCTAGACTCTACTATTACATGCATTCTCTCAATAGATGCTGTGTGGTTTGGAAGTCGATTTGGCCACAGAAATGCTGCTTTTAATTCTTTGTCTTTAGGACATTATTCTGCTTTTGAAAATTCAGGTAACCTCTCCAAACTCATTATTACTGTGCCATAAAAGCTACTCATTTTACTTTACTCATTGTGGCATAAAAGCCACCCAAGATTGCATCTCTGGCTTCATGTTGGATGGCATGAGGATGAGTATGCCTTCTGAACATTCTCATGTTGGCATCCCTAATTACCTTGGCCATTGGCGCAGGTCCAGTTGGAATGTCAACTGTGCCATCTGATAATGCTATAAAAAGACCTATAGCTGCTGCTCTCCAGCCATCTGTGCCTTCCCTTGGCATGATACTGTTGGGTAGTTTGTCTTTCATTGGCATGATTTTTGTAGGATGGCTTACATCTGCCACTCCTAGGCACTTGCTTGGTGATCAAGTTGACATAGAATTGCTTTGTTGGCACTGTTTTTATATAGAGGAGTTTTATACCTGCTAACTTCTGAAACAAGACTTACCATTTATTACATACCTTATAATTGCAATTTTAAATATTATGAATATAGACTCGTTTTTGCCTCTGTTGACTCAAACCTAGCTTGGACTTTCAAGTTTAAATTCTCCCAATTGGAACTCTCCAGTCAGAAGAATTAACTATGAAATGAAATGTACTTCTGTTTTAAGATATTAGATTGAGTGTACACATAAATCTCTTCTACTTCTGTGCCAAATCTCTGGAAATGATGGAAGATGCATGTGTATGCATGTGTGTTTTAAAAATTTATAACTGGAATTCAAGACAAGAAATTTGATGGACCAGAGTTTGTGAGGAATCTATTGAAAACTGTAAAACAGAATGAAATAGAAGAAACAAAGCAGAAACCAAAATGTCAAGAGGAGAAGATTGCTACCAAAATTGGGAGGAGCACTAAAAAGTTCTTCATGCCCTGAGGAAAGGAATACTAGGAATGGGAAAGTGTTCCTGGGCAAGCAAGGATGAATAATTAGGGTGTTACAACAGGAAGAGTAGCGTGAGTGAGTGGAGAAAAGTCAGAATAAGTGGATACTGATTAAACCCTAGGTATTTTTAGAAAAATAAGTTGATATGAGTATGTTGAAAATTTAAGGATATTCAGCCAAAAAAAAAAAAAGAATGGATGGTGTCATGGACTGAATTATATCCACCCTTCCCCAGTTCATATGTTGAAGCCCTGACCTTCAATGTGACTATATTTGGAGATAGAACCTTTGAAGGAGGTAATTAAGGTTAAATGAGGCCATGAGGATGGGCCCCTTATCCAATATGACTGGTGTCCTTACAAGAAGTAGAAGAGACACCAGGAATGGGTGTGCACAGAAGTAAGACCATGTGAGGACACAGCAAGAAGGTGGCCATCTACAAGCCAAGGAGAGAGGTTCAGGGAGAAACCAAACCTGCCAGTTTGACAATGAATTTCCAGCTTCTGGAACTGTGAGAAAATAAATTTCTGTTGTTTAGGCCGCCCACTCTGTGGTATTTTGTTATGACAGCCTTAGCCGACTACTATAAATGCTATAACTTTAGAACTAGTAAATAGGAAAAACACAACAAAGAAAACTTGATAAAAAATTAAAAAGCAAATAGGAAATAATCAAAAGGAAATAGTTAAAGGTATGGTAAGAAACCACAGAATAAGCTAGCTAGAATATCTAAACATCATAAATTATAATAAATGTAAATGAATTAAATTCACTTGTTGAAAATCAGTGACCATAAGATTGGATTTTTAAAATATCCATGTCACGTGTGTCTGTGTGAAGAGACCACCAAACAGGCTTTGTGTGAGCAACAGGGCTGTTTATTTCACCTGGGTGCAGGCGGGCTGAGTCCGAAAAGAGAGTCAGCAAAGGGTGGTGGGATTATCATTAGTTCTTACAGGTTTTGGGATAGGCGGTGGAGTTAGGAGCAATGTTTTGGGGGCAGGGGGTGGATCTCACAAAGTACTTCTAAAGGGTGGGGAGAATTACAAAGAACCTTCTTAAGTGTGGGGAAGATTACAAAGAACCTTCTTAAGGGTGGGGGAGATTACAAAGTACATTGATCGGTTAGGGTGGGGCAGAAACAAATCACAATGGTGGAATGTCATCAGTTAAGGCTATTTTCACTTCTTTTGTGGATCTTCAGTTGCTTCAGGCCATCTGGATGTATATGTGCAGGTCACAGGGGATATGATGGCTTAGCTTGGACTCAGAGGCCTGACAATCCAGATATATATTACATTTAGAAAATTTAAAAATTTGAGTGTGGTGGTGTGCGCCTGAAGTCCTAGCTACTTGGGTGGCTGAGGTGGGAGGATTACTTGAGCCTAAGAGTTCGAGGCTGCAGTGAGCGATGATTGTCACTGCCCCTCAGCTTGGGTGACAGAGAAAGACCCTATCTAAAAAAAACAAAATGAGAGAGAGAGAGAGAGAAACTTGTTTCATGACCTTGTGTTATTATTTAATGTTCCATGTGTACTGAAAGAATGTATATTTTGCTCTTGCTGGGTGTTGCTCTTTAAATGATAATTAGGTCAGTTGGTTAACAGTGAAGTTTAAGTCTTTATATCCACTGACTTTCTGTTTGTTCTCTCAACTACTTCGAGAGGAGTGTTTAAATCCTCTTTACTTTAGAACTAGTAAATAGGAAAATCTATTTTTACTATTTACTATAATTGTGGATTTCATTACTTCTACTTTCAGCTCTTTCAGAGTTTGCATCAACTATTTTAAAGCCATTGACCTTTTTCATGAAATGGCTTTTTCCCCCAATAATAGTTACTGTTCTGAAGTTTACTGGTCCTTTATTAATATAGGCATTTCAGCTTTCTTTTGATTGGTGTTTGCATTATATATATTTTTTATTCTATTATTTCTACCTATCTTTGTCTTTAAAGTGGGTCTCCCGTAGACAAAATGTAGTTGATTCCTGCTTTTTCATCTAGTACAATAATCTCTGGGGTTTTATTTTTGGACTTTTTTTTTTTTTTTTTTGAGATGGAGTCTCACTCTGTCACCCAGGCTGGAGTGCAGTGGCACGATCTCAGCTCACTGCAAGCTCCACCTCCCGAGTTCACACCATTCTCCCGCCTCAGCCTCCTGAGTAGCTGGGACTACAGCCACCCGCCACCACACCCGGCTAATTTTGTTTTTGCATTTTTAGTAGAGCCGGGGTTTCAGCATGTTAGCCAGGATAGTCTTGATCTCCTTACCTCGTGATCCGCCGCCCTTGGCCTCCCAAAGTGCTGGGATTATAGGCATGAGCCACCTCACCCAACCTTATTTTTGGACTGTTTAGACCATCTTCATTTAATGTAATTATGTATTTCGATTTAAACCTGTCATTTCATTTTTTTATCATATCTGTTCTTTGCCTTTTCTTCTTTTTACCTTTTTTGGTGCTTCATTTGAATTAATTTGTTTTTGTTTTGTTTTGTTTGGTATTCCAATTTACCTTCTATTTTGGTTTATTAGCTATACTTCATTTTTAAATTTTTTTGTGTGTCTATGTCCATGTGCAAATGCTTGTTCTAGGGCTTAAAATACAATAGTCCCCTCTTATTACCAGCAGCTTCACCTTCCATGGTTTCAGTTACCCACAGTC
This sequence comes from Homo sapiens, assembly GCF_000001405.40. NCBI lineage: Eukaryota > Metazoa > Chordata > Mammalia > Primates > Hominidae > Homo > Homo sapiens. The sequence continues at coordinate 63,284,823 of NC_000002.12, read as the reverse complement.
AACTGCAGTCTAAAAATATTAAATGGAAAAGAAAATTCCAAAAATAAACAATTCATTTTAAATTGTGTGCCATTTTGAGTAGCATGATGAAATCTTGTGTTGTCCTGCTCCATCCTGCCCAGGATAAAAATCATCCCTTTGTCTAACATATTCATACTTTATACAGCTACCTGCCCATTTGTCACTTAGTAGCCATCTTAGTTATTATATCAACTGTAAAACTATTACAGTGCTTGTGTTCAAGTTACCTTTAGTTTGCCAAATTATGGCCCCAAAGCTCAAAAGTAGTAATTCTGACAATTCGGATATACCAAAGAGAAACCTTTTTAAAGTGCTTAATTTAAAAGAAAATGTGCAAGTTCTCAACATAATAAGGAAAGATTAAAAAATCATATGCTGAGGTTGCTAAGATATATGGTTAGAACATTTTCTGTCCATGAAATTGTGAAGAAGGAAAAATAAAACCATGCACAGTATATATAGGATTCAGTATTATCCATGCTTTCAGGCATCCACTGGGGACCCCCCACAGGTAAGGGGGGACTACTTTATGCATGTTTAAGTTATAACCATCTGCTTTCAAATAATATACCACTTCATGGATAGTGTAAGAACATGACAACAGTATATATTCATTCCTCCTATCTTCTGTGCTATTGTTATTAATTTCACTTTTATATATAATACATGCCATAATACATTGAAACTGTTTTTGCTCCTAGTTTTTAATGTAAAAAAAAAAGTCTTTTATATGTACCCATGTATTTACCATTTTGGTACTCTTCATTCCTTTATATCATTCCAAGTATCTATCCGATATATTTTCTTTTTTGACTGAATAACCTTGTTTAGTATTTTTGTTGCACTGGCCTTTACTGATAAATCCTCTCAGCTTTGTATCACCTTCATTCCTCATTAGAATTCCTCATTGTTCTCTAAGTTACTCCTAAGATACAGGAGCAAACAGAATCGAAACAACACAACTACCTCGTTGGTCATAATATACAGCACTGCCCTAGCACTGTTTAGAACCTTAGTGCCAGTGATACGGAATTACAGACAAAAAGTCACAACCCTAATTCCAAAGTACTCAAAATGTTACAGATTTTGAAGCATTTTGGATTTTTAGATTTGGGATGCTGTGCTTGTCCTGAGCGTGTTATTGTATTGGAGAAAGAGCTAGAACAGAGGTTGGCAAACTTTTTTTGTAAAGGCCAGATAGTAAATACTTCAGGCTCTGCAGGCCACAGTCTCTGTCACAACTATTCAACTCTGCCACTGCAGCTCAGAAACAGCCATCGGCAATATGTAAACAAATAAGTATGGCTACGTTCTAATAAAACTTTATTTACAAGAACTGGTCATAGGCTGTATTTGGCTCACAGGCTGCGCTTTATCAACATATATACAATGTTTATAGAATGTTTGAATAATTATACAAATATTAATCCTACTTGTAAAATTATAAAAGCATTCCAAAAGCTGGGTGTGGTGGCATGCACCTGTAATCCTAGTGACGCAAGGGGCTTCAGGCAGGCGGATTGCTTGAGCCCAGGCCTTTGAGGCCAGCCTGGGCAATATAGCAAAACCTCTTAAAAAAAAATTCTAAGATTTCTTTGCAGTTCTTTTCTTTGTAAATGCATCCCACAAGCGATTAAAAAACATTTATATTTTAAAGTGACTTGAAATCATGTTCTTCATAAAGTTATGCCACAAATTTGATACACAGTCAGGCCACTATATCTGTTAGTTCCCCATCCATGGATTCCACCAACCATGGATCAAAAACATTCAGAAAAAAAAATTCCACGAAATTCCAAAAAGCAAAACTTCAATTTTTCCCAAGCCAAACGCTATGTTGAATCCACATTAAAGAAATAATGTGTAGGAATTATAGTAAGTGTTATAAGTAATCAAGAGATGATTTAAAGTGTTTTGGGAATATGTGTGTAGGTTATGTGGAAATGCCAGGCCATTTTATATAAAGGACATGAATATCAGTAGATTTTGGTATTCTTGGGGGTGGGGGAAGTCATGAGACAAATCCCTCATTAATACTGAGGGACCACTATACTACTAAGTTCATTTAGTTAATTTTGCTTCTGATTATTGAGAACTGCCTTTCACTTTTATTTATTTTATAATTATGTAAAAATGTATATGGCTGTAAAGTAACATCATCAAAAAAATTACATTCAGAGAGATCCAATTTTAATCTATGTTTTATAAATCAGTTGGCTGTAAAGATGTAGATTTCTTTCTGAGTTCTCTATTCTGTTCCATCGATCTATGTGTCTGTTTGTTTGTTTATTTATTTATGAGACAGAGTCTCGCTCTGTCGCCCAGGCTGGAGTGCAGTGGCGCGATCTCGGCTCACTGCAACCTCTGCCTCCCAGGTTCAAGCAATTCTCTTGCCTCAGCCTCCTGAGTAGCTGGGACTACAGGTACGCACCACCACGCCCAGCTAATTTTTGTATTTTTAGTAGAGACAGGGTTTCACCATGTTGGCCAGGCTGGTCTTGAACTCCTAACCTCATGATCCACCTGCCTCAGCCTCCCAAAGTGCTGGGATTACAGGCGTGAGCCACTGCGCCCGAGCCCATGTCTGTTTTTATACCAGTTCCATGCTTTTTGGGTTACCATAACTTTGTATTATATTTTAGTAGCGTGCCTTCAGCTTTGGTCTTTTTGCTCACATTGCTTTGGTATTTAGAGTTGTTTGTGGTTCTATAATACTTTTAGGATTATTTTATCTATTTCTGTGAAGAATGTCATTGATATTTTGATAAGGATTGCAGTGAATCTGTAGATTGCTTTGGGTGGTATGGTTCATTTTATTTTTTTTTTATTTCAATAGGTTTTAGGGAAACAGGTTGTGTTTGGTTACATGAATAAGTTCTTTAGTGGTGATTTCTGAGATTTTGGTGCACCCATCACCCAAGTAGTGTCCATTATACCCAATTTGAAGTCTTTTATCATTCACCGCACCCCCACCATTTTCTCTGAGTCTCCAAAGTCCATTGTATCATTCTTACAATATTGTGTCGTCATAGCTTAGCTCCCACTTGTGAGTGAGAACATACGATGTTTAGTTTTCCATTCCTGAGTTACTTCACTTAGAATAATAGTCTCCAATTCCATCCAGGTTGCTGCAAATGCCATTATTCAATTCCTTTTTATGGCTGAGTAGTATTCCATAGTATATATATATCACATTTTCTTTATCCGCTCGTTGATTGGTATTTGGACTGGTTCCATATTTTTGCAATTGCAAATTTTGCTACTATAAACATGCAGGTGCAAGTATCTTTTTTGTATAATGACTTCTTTTCCTCTGAGCAGATCCCAGTAGTGGGATTTCTGGATCAAATGGTAGTTCTACTTTTAGTTCTTCACAGAATCTCCACACTGTTTTCCACAGTGGTTGTACTAGTTTACATTCCCACCAACAGTGTAAAAGTGTTCCCTTTTCACCACATCCACACCAACATTTTTTTAAAAAATTCTTTTATTATGGCCATTCTTGCAGAAGTAAAGTGGTATCACATTGTGGTTTTGATTTGCGTTACCCTGATAATTAGTGATGTTAAGCATTTTCCCATATGCTTGTTGGCCATTTGTTTATCTTCTTTTGAGAATTGTCTATTCATGTCCTTAGCCTACTTTTTTTATGGGATTGTTGGGTTTTTTTTTCTTGCTGATTTGAGTTCTTTGTAGATTCTGGATATTAGTCCTTCGTTAGATGTATAGATTGTGAAGATTTTCTCCCTTTCTGTGGGTTGTCTGTTAACTCTGCTGATTATTTCTTTTCCAGTGCAGAAAAACTTTTTTAGTTTAATTAAGTCCCATCTACTTATCTTTGTTTTTGTTTCATTTGCTTTTGGGTTGTAGTCATGAAGTCTTTGCCTAAGCCACTGTCTAGAAGGGTTTCTCTGATGTTATCTTCTAGAATTTTTATAGTTTCAGGTCTTAGATTTAAGACTTCAATCCATCTTGAGTTGATTTTTGTATAAAGTAAGAGATGATAATCCAGTTTCATTTTCTGCATGTAGCTAGCCAATTATCCCAGCACCATTTATTGAAACGGGTGTCCTTTCCTCACTTTATGTATTTGTTTGCTTTGTTGAAGATCAGTTAGCTGTAAATATTTGCCTTTATTTCTGGGTTATTTATTCTGTTCCATTGGTCTATGTGCCTATTTTTATACCAGTACCATGCTGTTTTGGTGACTGTAGTCTTAGGGTATGGTTTGAAGTTGGGTAATGTGATGCTTCCAGATTTGTTCTTTTTGCTTTGTCTTGCTTTGGCTCTGTGGGCTTGATATGGTTTGGCTGTGTCCCCACCCAAATCTCAACTTGAATTGTATCTCCCAGAATTCCCACGTGTTGTGGGAGGGACCCATGGGGAGGTAATTGAATCATGGGGGTCGGTCTGTCTCATGCTATTCTTGTGATAGTGAATAAGTCTCACAAGATCTGATGGGTTTATCAGTGGTTTCCGTTTTTGCTTCTTCCTCATTTTTTCTCTTGCCTCGGCCATGTAAGAAGTGCCTTTCACCTCCTGTCATGATTCTGAGGCCTCCCCAGCCATATGGAGCTGTAAGTCCAATTAAACTTCTTTTTGTTCCCACTTTTGGGTATGTCTTTATCAGCAGCATGCAAATGAACTAATACAGCGCTCTTTTTTGGTTCCGTATGAATTCTAGGATTGTTTTTTCTAGTTTTGTGAAGAATGATGGTGGTATTTGTAGACTGCTTTTGATTGCTTTTGACAGTATGGCCATTTCCACTATATTGATTCTACCCATCCATGAGCATGGGATGTGTTTCCATTTATTTGTGTTGTCTATTATTTCTTTCAGTGGTATTTTGTAGTTTTCCTTGTGGAGGTCTTTCACCTCCTTTGTTAGATATATTCCTAAGTATTTTCTTTTTTTTCTTTCCTTTTCCTTTTTTTTGCAGCTGTTGTAAAAGGGGTTGAGTTCTTGATTTCATTCTCAGCTTGGTCACTGTTAGTATATAGCAGAGCTACTGATTTGTGTGCATTAATTTTGTATCCTGAAACCTTGCTGAATTCATTTACCAGTTCTAGGAGCTTTTTGGAGTGTCTTTAAGGTGTTCTAGATATATGATCATAACATCAGCAAACAGCAACAGTCTGACTTCCTCTTTACCAATTTGGATGCCCTTGATTTCTTTCTCTTGTCTGATTGCTCTGACTAGGACTTCCAGTAATATGTTGAATAGAAGTGGTAAAAGTGAGCATCCTTGTCTTTTTCCAGTTCTCAGGGGGAATGCTTTCAACTTTTCCCCATTCAGTATTATGTTGGCTGTGGGTTTGTCATAGATGGCTTTTATTACATTAAGGTCTGTCCCTTCTATGCTGACTTTGCTGAAGGTTTAATCCTAATGGGATGCCGGATTTTGTCTAATCCTTTTTCTGCATTTATTGAGATGATCATGTGATTTTTGTTTTTAATTGTGTTTATGTGGTATATTAAACCATCCCTGCATCCCTGATATGAAACCCACTTGATCATGGTGGATTATCTTTTTGATAGGCTGTTGGATTCAATTAGCTAGTATTTTATTGAGGATTGTTGCATCTATGTTCATCAGAGATATTTGTCTGTAGTTTTCATTTTTTGTTATGTCCTTCCCTGGTTTTGGTATTATGGTGATACTGGTTTCATAGAATGATTTAGGGAGGATTCCCTCTTTCCCTATCCTCTGCAATAGTGTCAGTAGGATTGGTACCAATTCTTTGAATGTCTGATAGAATTCAGCTGTGAATCCATCTGGTCCTGGACTTTTTTTTGTTGGCAGTCTTATTACTATTTCAATTTCACTGCTTGTTATTGGTCTGTTCAGAGTTTATATATCTCCCTGGTTTAATCTAGGAGGGTTGTATATTTCTAGGAATTTATCCATCTCCTCTAGGTTTTCTAGTTTACACACAAAAAGGTGTTCATAGCAGCCTTGAATAATCTTTTTCTGTGGTATCTGTAGTAGTATCTGTCGCCCAGGCTGGAGTGCAGTGGCATGATCTTGGCTCACTGCAAGCTCTGCCTCCCAGGTTCACACCATTCTTCTGCCTCAGCCTCCTGGTAGCTGGGACTACAGGTGCCCGCCACCATGCCCGGCTAATTTTTTGTATTTTTAGTAGAGACAGGGTTTCACTGTGTTTGCCAGGATGGTCTCAATCTCCTGACCTCATGATCTGCCTGCCTCAGCCTCCCAAAGTGCTGAGATTACAGGCATGAGCCACCGTGCCCAGCTGGATGTTCTCCTTTGCTTGGTTAATCTCACTAATGTCTATCAATTTTATTTTTTCAAAGAAACAGCTTTTTGTTTTATTTATCTTTTGTATTTTTTTTGCGTTGTTTCAATCGATTTCATTTAGTTCTGCTCTCATCTTCGGTACTTCTTTTCTTCTGCTGGTTTTGGGTTTGGATTGTCCTTCTTTGTCCAGTTCCATGAGGTGTGACTTTAGATTGTCTCTTTGTGCTCTTTCAGACTTTTTGATGTAGGCATTTAGTGCTATGAACTTTCCTCTTAGCACCGCTTTTGCTGTATCCCAGAGATTTTGATGGGTTGTGTTACTATTCTCATTCAGTTCAAAGAATTTTTAAATTTCCATCTTGATTTCATTGTTAACCTAAAGATCATACAGGAGCAGGTTATTTAATTTCCATGTATTTGCATGGTTTTGAGGATTCCTTTTGGAGTTGATTTCCAATTTTATTCCACTGTTGTCTGAAAGTACTTGATAGAATTTAGGTTTTTCTTAAATTTAGTGAGACTTGTTTTGTGGCCTGTCATATGGTCTTCATATGCTCTGTCTTGGAGAATGTTCCATGTGCTGATGAATAGAATGTATATTCTGCAGTTGTTGGGTAGAATGTTCTGTAAATATCTGTTAAGTTCATTTGCTCTGGAGTATAGTTTAAGTCCATTGTTTCTTGACTTTCTGTCTTGACGACCTGTTTAGTACTGTCAGTAAAGTATTAAAGGCCCCCACTATTATTGTGTTGCCATCTATCTCATTTCTTAGGTCTAGTAGTAATTGTTTTATAAATCTGGGAGCTCCAGTGTTAGGTGCTTATATATTTAAGATTGTGGTATTTTCCTGTTGGACTAGCCCTTTTATCATTATATAATGTCTCTCTTCGTCTTTTTAAACTGCTGTTGTCTTAAAGTTTGTTTTGTCTGATATAAAAATAGCTACTCCTGCTCACTTTTGTTGTCCATTTGCATGGAATATCTTTTTCCACCTCTTTACCTTAAATTTATGGGAGTCCTTATGTGTTAGTTGAGTTTCCTGAAGACAAGAGAAACTTGGTTGGTGAATTCTTATGCATTCTGCCATTCTGTATCTTTTAAGTGAAGCATTTAGGCCATTTACATTCAACATTAATATTGAGATGTGAGGTACTATTCTATTCATCATGCTGTTTGTTGCCTGAATACCTTGTGGTGGTTGTGTTTTTGTTTTTTGTTTTCCCATTGTGTTATTGTTATGTAGGTCCTCTGAGAGTCATGCTTTAAGGAGGTTCGATTTTGGTGTGTTTTGAGGATTTATTTCAAGATTTAGCTTTTTTTTTTAGCAGTTCTTGGCATGCTGGCATGGTAGTGGCGAATTCTCTCAGCATTTGTCTGTCTGGAAAAGACTGTATCTTTTCTTCATTTATGAAGCATAGTTTCTCTGGATACAAAATTCTTGGCTGATAATTGCTTTGTTTAAGGAGGCTAAAAATAGGACCCCAATTCCTTTTAGCTTATAGGGTTTCTGCTGAGAAATATGCGTTACTCTGATAGGTTTTCCTTTATAGGTTACCTCATGCCTTTGCCTCACAGCTCTTAAGATTCTTTCCTTCATCTTAACTTTAGATAACTTGATGACTATGTGCCTAAACAATGATCTTTTTGTGATAAATTTCCCAGGTGTTCTTTGAGCTTCTTGTATTTTCATGTCTAGATCTCTAGCAAGGCTAAGGAAGTTTTCCTCGATTATTCCCTCAAATATGTTTTCCAGACTTTTAGATTTCTCTTCTTCCTTGGGTACACCAATTATTCTTAGGTTTGGACACTTAACAAATCCCAAACTTCTTATAGGCTTTCTTCACATTTATAAATTATTTTTTCTTTGTCTTTGATGGATTGGGTTAATTTGAAAGCCTTGTCCTCAAGCTCTGAAGTTCTTTCTTCTGTTTGTTCAGTTCTATTGCTGAGACTTTCCAGTGCATTTTGCATTTCTCTAAGTGTGTCCTTGATTATCAGAAGTTGTGATTGTTTTTTATTTATGCCAGCTATTTCAGTGAAGATTTTTCTTTTCATACCCTGTGTCATGTTTTTTATTTCTTTAAGTTGGACTTCACCTTTCTCTGGTACCTCCTTGATTAGCTTAATAATTAACCTTCTGAATTCTTTTTCTGGCAATTCAGATTTAATCTTGGTTTGGATCCATTACTGGTGAGCTGGTATGTTCTCTTGAGGGTGTTAAAGAACCTTGTTTTATCATATTACCAGAATTGTTCTGGTCCCTTCTCATTTGGTGGACTATATCAGAGGGAAGATCTGGAACTCAAGGACTGCTATTCAGATTCTTTTGTTCCATGGAGTGCTCCCTTGATGTGGTGTTCTCCACCTTTCCCCTAGGGATGGGGTTTCCTGAGAGTGGAACTGCAGTGATTGTTTTTGCTCTTCTGGGTTTAGCCACCCAGTGGAGCTACTGGGCTCTGGGCTGGTAGTGGGGAATGTCTGCAAAGAGTCCTTTGATGTGATTTGTCTTCAGATCTTTCAGCCATGGATACCCGCACAGTTTTTCAGTGTCTCAGGGAGCCTGCAGGGTGATCAAGTTCCTTCAAAGAGTCTATGGATTCTCTCAGCTTTCTTGGTATGTTCTTGCAGTAGTTCTTGGAGCAAAAGTTCATGATGTGAGTTTCTATACACTGTTTTGTCTGTCCAAGCAGGAGCTGCAAGCTAGTCCTGCCTCCTATGCACCATCTTTCTGGTGCTCTCTGATTCATTTTAATGAGATTAAATCTTCTGATCCATGAGTATGGGATGTCTTTCCATTTGTTTGTGTCCTCTTTGGTTTTTTTTACTGGTGTTATTTCATTTTCCTCATACAGGTCTTTCACCTTCTTGGTTAAACATTTCTTGTGTATTTTTTTGTGGCCATTGCAAATGGGATTTCTTTCTTGATTTATTTTTCAGCTAGTTCATTATTGATATATAGAAACTCTGATATTTATATGTTGATTTTGTAAACTGAAACTTTACTGAGTTCATTTATCATTTCTAATAACTTTCTAGGTATAAGATCATGCCGTCTGCAAATCTGACTTTGTTTTTTCTAGCTTTCCTTCTCTTGCTTGATTGTTCTAGCTAGTACTTACAGTACTGTACTGATCAGGAGTGGTGTAAGTGGGCATCCTTTTCTTGTTCAGTTCTTAGAAGAAATACTTTCAGCTTTTGCCTATTCAGTATGATGCTAGCTGTCTGTTTTTCATATATGGCCTTTATTATATTGAGGTAGGTTCCTTTTTTGCCTAACTTGAGAGTTTTTACCAGGAATGGATATTGAATTTTATCATGTTTGTTCTGCATCTATTTGATGATCAAATGGTTTTTGTCCTTCATTCTGTTTTTTATCGATTTGCCTATGTCGAAGCATCCTTGCATCCCTGGGATAAATCCCACTTGATCATGGTGTATTGTCTTGTTGATGTCTTGTTGGATTCAGTTTGCTAGTATTTTGTTGAGGATTTTTGCAACTGTGTTCATCAGGTATATTGGCCCGTAGGTTTTTGGCCTATAGGTTTTTTTCTTTGTCATATCCTTGTCTGGTTTTGGTATTGAGGTAATGTTGACCTCATAGAATGAGTTAGGAGAATTTTTGCTCTTCAGTCTTCTGAAATAGTTTGAGAGGAATTGGTATTCATTTCTAAGTTTGGTAGAATTCAATAATAAAACAGTTGGCTTTTCTTTGTTGGGAGAGTTTTTATTACTGATTAAATCTTGTTAATGAAGAAAAAACTCGCTCTCTTCAGGTTTTCTATTTCTTCCTGGTATAATCTTGGTAGGTTGTATATGTCCAGGAACTTATGCATTTCCTGTAGGTTTTCCAATTTGTTGGTGTATAGTTGTTCATAAAAGTCTCAGATGATCCTTTCTGTTTCTTTGATATCAGTTGTAATGTCTCCTTTACCCTTTCTGATCTTATTTCAGCTTTTCTCCTTTTTTCTTGTTAGTCTAGCTAGAAATGTATAGATTTTCATCTTTTCAGTGAACCAATTTTCTTGTGTTATTTATTAGTCTCTATCTTGTTTAGTTCTGTCCTGATCTTTATTATTTCTCTTTTTCTACTAATTTTGGGTTTTGTTTGTTGCTTTTCTAGTTCCTTCAGGTGCATTGTTAGGTAGTTTATTTGAAATCTTCTTACTTTTCTGATGTACAAAAAAGTACTTCTTAGCACTGCTTTGGCTGTATCCTATTGGTTTTAGTATGTTGTATTTCCATTTTCATTTGTTTCATTTTTTTATTTCCTTCTTAATTTCTTATTTGATTCAGGGGTCATTGAGGAACATATTGTTTAATTTCCCTGTATTTGTACATTTTCCATAGTTCCTCTTGGTATTGACTTCTACTTTTCTTCCTTTGTGGTCTGAGAAGATACTTGATACGATTTTTTTAAAATTTGTTGAGAGTTGTTTTGTGGCCTAACACATATGGTCAATCCTGGAGAATATTCCACGTGCTGACGAGAAGAGTACATATTTCGTAACTGTTGAATAAAATGTTCTGTAAATGTCTGTTAGGTCCATTTGGTCTGCAGTGCAGTTTCAATCCAATGTTTCTTTGTTAATTTTCTATCTAGATTATCTGTCCAATGCTGAGAATGAAAAGTGTTGAAGTCTCCAACTATTGTATTTAAGTCTGTCTCTCCATTTATATGTAACAATATTTGTTCTGTGTGTGTGTGTGTGTGTGTGCGTGTGTGTGTGTGTGTGTTTCTGCGTTGGGTGCATACATATTTAGAGTTGTTAGACCCTCTTGCTGAAATGATCCCTTCATCATTACATAATCACCTTCCTTGTCTCTTTTTAGTTTTTTATTTAAATTCTATTTTACCTGATATAAATATAGTTACTCCTATTCATTGTTGGTTTCCATTTGTGCAACACATATTTTTCTATCCCTTTACTTTGTTTATTGTACCTTTACAGGTGAAGTCAGTGTCTTATAGGAAGCATATAGTTGGGTCATGTCTTTTTAATACATTCAAGCTGTCTGTATCTTTTAAATGGGGAATTTAATCCATTTACATTCAAGGTTTTATTGTTAGATGAGGACTTATTTCTGGTTTTTTTTTTTTACATGTTTTAAGTTTGTTTTGTATATTCTTTATTCTTTTCTTCCTCTCTTACTGTTTATTATTGTAGTTTGCTGGGATTCTGTAGTAGTAACATTTGACTCCTTTCTCTTATTGTGTGTCTGCTCTACCAGTGAGTTTTATACTTTATGTGTTTTCATGGTGGTAGATATCATCCTTTTGCTTCCAGATCTAGGACTTCCTTAAATATTTCTTGTAGGACCAGTCTAGTGGTGATGAATTCCCTCAGTTTTTGCTTATCTGGGAAACATTTTATTTATTTTTCCTTCATTTTTGAAAAGCAGCTTTTCTGGGTACAGTACTCTTGGCTGACATGTTTTTTTTCTTTCAGTAGTTTGAATATATCATCCTATTCTCTCCTGTCTTGTAAAAAGAGAAATCCAGTGTTAGTCTGATGGGATTCCCTTATATGTGACTTGACACTTTTCTCTTGCTGTTTTTAGAATTCTGTCTTTCTTTGACTCTTAACAGTGACTATAACGTGGCTTGAAAACCTTTTTGGATTGTATCTATTTAGGAACGTTTTGATATTCCTGTATGTGAATGTCCATGTCTCTTGTAAGATTTGGGAAGTATTCAGCTATTATTTTGTTAAGTAGGTTTTCTATACCTTTGCCCATATTGTCGCCTTCTGGGACTCTGAAAATTCAAATATTTGGTAGATTTATGGTGTCAAAACTGTCTTCCAGTTCTTAGATTATTTCTTGTATTTGATCTAATCTGTTGTTTAAATCCTCAGTTGTGTTTTTTATTTCATTCATTGAATTCTTCAGTTTCAGAATTTTTTAAATGATATCTCTGTTGAATTTCTCATTCGGATCATGAGTTGTGTTTCTGATTGTTTTAAAATTTTTAGCTGTATCTCATTTTGCTTTAACATTTTTATTTTGAATCCTCTTTCAGGCATTTTACAGATTTCTTTTTCATTGCAATCTGTTGCTGGAGAATTATTATGTTCTTTTGACAGTGTCAGGTTTCCTTGCCTTTTCATGTTTCTTGTGTCTTTATGTTGATATCTGCACATCTAGTGAACAGTTGCTTCTTCCAGTTTTATAGATTGGCTTTCATAGGGTAAGACATTTTCCTAAATATGTATCTATAGTGTTGGTTGGGTAGGTTGATTTGGCTTTGATTCTGGTTGGGCATACTCATGTAGTTGTCATATGATTTCATTGGCTGTCATCAGAATTAGTGGTGTCTGTTAATTCCTCAGTTGCTTGGGCTGCAGTTGTTAGTGAAAGGTATAGTGAGGCTTTGCTGAGGATGGGAATGTCAGGAGGGCTGGTCTTCAGGCAGCAATAGTGGTGGTGGTGGTGGGCTGGATGTGCACCAATTCTTGGACCCCCAGGTGACATATGCGGGCACTGGTGGTAAGTCCATGCAGGCTAACCCTTGGACCTCCAGGTTGCTTGTTCAGGGACCAACAGTGGCAGTGGTTGGTGGGTGGGTGGGTCCTTGGGCAGCATGTATGATGTTAGCAATGACGGTAGCAGTGTTGGGACAACCTAGAGGCTCATAAGCAATACATACTGGCACCAGTGGTTGTAGCAGTCTGGGCAAGCCAGTTTCCTGTCTCCCAGGTGGCACATGTAGGTTGATGTTGGCAGCAGTAGTGGCAGCAGGCGGGGTGGGCCTGATGTCATGCTCTCAAAAGGCAGGTGCAGGTGCTAGTGTTGGTGGGTGGGATGGGTTGATTCCCCACGTCCTCAAATGGTGTGCTTGGGCAGTGGAAGCAGTGGCAGTGGGCAGAGTAGACCTATCTTCAGGTTTCTTTATGGTACATGCAGTCACTGGCAGTGGGCAGGGCAGGCCTGTTTTCAAGCCCCCTCCCCCGCACCACAATGGTGCATGTAGGCACCAGTGACAGTGATGGGATGAGTCAGTCCCAAGGACCCTAGATGGTGTACTCAGATGCCAGTGACCAGGGGAGACCTATTCTCAGGCTCCTCAGTGGTACATGTGGGCACCAGCAGTGGTGGCCAGATAAGCCAGTCCTGAAGCTCCTTAATGTTTCACTCAACCACAGGCTGTGGCAGACAAGCAGATCAATCCTCAGGGCCCTGGACAGTGCACTCATGCAGTAGTGGGTAAGATGGGCCTGTCCTTAGGCCTTAGGATGGTGCCCAGGTTGGCTGGTCTCTGGGCTCCTCAAAGGTATGTGCAAGTGCACATTGGCTTTGCTGCTGGGAGCAAGGAAGGGCTGCTGTCAGTGACAGTGGACCTAGGAAGTTGGCTCTCAGGCTCTGGTGAGCACACACTTTGGTTCTGGTCCCATTGTCCCAGAGGCAGCCTCCCCAGTACACATCACTGCCCATTTCCCAGGTGCAGGACAGTATGTGGGCTAGAGTGCTGCAAACCTGGGCATACCTGAGTCTAGCCGGTGCCTCAATGCTACAGCCCTCTGGGCTGATGTTGGGGGAAATGTCAGCAGGGCTCCAGTGATGTGGACATTCAGGGGCTATTGTGCCCCAGAGAAGCATATCATTTCTTGTGACTGGGCTCTCAAAGTGACATCATGCTACAGCTGCTTGAGTCTTGGGGGATGTGGGATGCAGCGCAAACTACCTGTCTGGAACAGTGCCACTGCATGGACTCCGAGAAGTCCCTATACTAGTCTCAGGGTCCATAAGGACTGAGGGGCTCTCCTGTGACTAGGACTGTAGGAGTCCATCATGGGAGAGCAGACTGCTTATAAACCTCTCACTTTAACCTTTTCCCTGCACTGGGGAGTTTCTCTTGGCTCTTTGTCAATCCTGGCTGGCTGGCAACTTTTCTTCCCTCTCCTTCTGTGTCTCAGAGGTTCCCTGTCACTTCTCTCTGAATTCTAATGTTCTCTCTTAAATGCTGTATTCAATATGTGATTATCTACTTGATATTCTGGTCCTTCTTTGTGGAGGTGGTGAGTGCTGGTGCCTCTAGTTAGCCATCTTGAAAGCCTCCTCCCCACCGTGAATAATTTCCAGAAAAATATAAATGGCTAAAATCGACATAAGAAATAAAAAAAAATTAAATAGTCCAGTAACCCCACAGAGAAAATTCAAACAGTAATCAAAAATAGAACTCCTGAAAGGAAGCACTTGGTTTTATTTACGAGTTCTACAAAACCTTCAAAAACATGTAATTCCTACAAGCTTATTCTAACATGAGAATATACAACAAGCCAAGTAAATTCTTAATTTGGTAAAATAAAATATCAATTCTTTCCATATATTTTCACTTTTAAAATGATGATTCATTGTTGTGACCTAATACAAGAAAGACTGTGGAACATTTATATAAATGTTAACAATTGATTACTAAAATTTTTATTTCTATTAACGTAACTCTGAGGTAAGTTATTTAACATACTTCCTTATCTTGAAAGTTACATTCATTCTCCTCAAAGCTACAAAATATGGTGCTTCTAAAATACAGCATTAGAAACGATATTTTTCCCCAATTCTTAAAGCTGCTTATTGATCAGATTTGTCCAAAGGAAATGTTATTTTAAAATAAACATAAAGAGGATTGTATCAATATTTTACACATTTATGTGTAGGTGAAATAGCATGAATTTGAATGTGTTGAAGGCAACTTTGACCAGGGTTTAAACCTGTAAAGCTGTAGAATACGAATAAAATTTTTCAATTATCAATGGATTTGAACTAATCAAAGCATCATACAGGACAAGAACACAGTAATCATAAATATGTATAAGCTGTTGCATGTCTTTGTTAGTGCTTCCATATCTCATAGAAACCTATCAATCCTAGGAACATTTCACAAATTAGAAAAGGTTATAACAACATCAATATGTTATAGTACTTATAATTATCTGTCAATAACTGATCCAAAGTATGATTTAAGATGAAACTCCATTCAAGATTTTTTTAGCTTTAAATGCTTTTTTTGCTGTAAATTTGCATATTCATTCTGGTAGCACATTCAGAAGTCTTCTGTGAAAGGTAATGAAGTCCCAGGAACAGCAAGTTTTTTATTTAGATCTTACATGTATAGACAGAATATGTGTACATTTTGAAATCTGGATCAAGTCCAGAGACTGTCAGTTTGTCATCTTTTGTTGAGTGGAAGCCAATTTCATTTAATAGTGCTAAATGATGATGCTAATATAAGTCAAATTGGCAAATGATAAATTATAAAATTGTCATTGAGAATGACAGAAACTAAGTGGTATTCATTCTTCTGAATATCTTTCTGAAAACTTGATTCCAAGTTAGTAACACTTTTATAAGTTAACCATCTATCAACTAAGTAACACTGGTTGGGTTGAAGTAAAAGTTAAAAATTGTCAATATGACACTTTTCAAATCTGTTATGTATATTGTCCATTTAGACTTGTGATATGACATTTTAATTTTATAAAGTGACTCCAAAAAGGGGCCAACAAATAAAAAAAAAAGACTAAACATCTTACAATGTTTCATGATGGCTCTCTCCAAGATGCATGATTCTTTTATATTTTTAATTGACAGATAACAATTGTGTGTGTTTATGGGGTACAATGTGATGTGTGTATATTTGTGGGGTACAATGTGATGTTTTTATCTATGTATACATTGCAGAAAGATTCCCTTGAGCTAATTCACATATTGTTACCTTACCAATTTATTTTTTATGATCATAACATTAAAAATCTTTTTTGAAGGCCAGGAGCAGTGACTTATGCCTGTAATCCCATCACTTTCTGGGAGGCTACAGTGAGAGGATCACTTGAGCCCAGGAGTTTGAAACCAGCCTGGGCAACATGGCAAACTTGTCTCTACAAAAAAAAATAAAAACAAAAACAAAACAAAACTAGCCAAGTGGGGTGGCATGTGCCTGTAGTCCCACTACTTGGGAGGCTGAGATGGGAGGATCACCTGAGCCCTGGAGGTCAAGGTTGCAATGAGCCATGGTTGTGCCATTGTACTGCAGCCTGGGTGACAGAGTGAGATCCTGTTTTACAAAATAAAATAAAAAGATAAAAAATAAAAATCTATTTTGAAATATACAATACATTGCTATTAATGCTGGTCATCATATAGTGTAAATGATCACTAAACTTATTCCTACGGTCTAACTGAAACTTTGTATGTTTTGATCAGCATCTTCCCTTTCCCCACCACTATCACCTCCAGCCTCTGTCATCACCTTCCTGTTTCTATGAAATCAATTTAAAAAAAATCCATATATAACAAGTGAGATCATACAGTATCTTTCTTTCTGTACCTAGCTTCTTTCACTTAGCATAATGTCCTCTAGTTCCATCCATATTGTCACAAATGAAAAAATTTTCTTATTTTTAAAGGCTATATATATAATATCTCATTGTGTTCATATACCATATTGCCTTTATCCATTCAACCATTGATGGACACTTAGGTTGCTCCATAACTTGGCTATTGTGAAAAATCTTGAAATATATGGGAGTACCAACATCTGCTTGACATATCAATTTCAATCCCTTTGGATATATACCCAGAAGCGCAATTGCTAGATCATATGGTGTTTTTAGTTTTTTTTAAGAAACCTCCATACTGTTTTCAAAATGGCTGTACTAATTTGCATTCCCAGCAGCAGTATACACAGGTTCCCTTCTCCTCATATCCTCACCAACACTTGTTCTTTTTTTCTTTTTTGACATTAGTAGCTATTCTAACAGGCATGAGGTGATATCTCGTTGTGGTTTTAATTTGTGTTTCCTTGGTGATTAGAGATGTTGAGTGTTTTTCATGTATCTGTTGGCATCTACCTCTCTTTTGAGAAATGTCTGCTCAGATACTTTTACCAGCTTTTAACTGAGTTTTCTTACTATTGAGTTGTTTGAATTCCTTATATATTTTGGATATTGGCCCCTTATCAGATGTATGGTTTGTAAATATTTTCTCCCAATACATGGTTTATCTCTTCACTGTTACTTCCTTCTTTTGCTGTCCATAATCTTTTTCATTCATTGCAGTCTCATTTATCTATTTTTGCTTTTGCTGCTTGTGCTTTTGGAATCCTAGCCAAGAAATCATTGCCCAGGCAAATGTTGAGGAGTTTTTCCCTCCTCCTCAAGTTTCAAGTCTTGTGCTTAACATACTATCTTTTATCCATTTTGAGTTGATTTTTATATGTGGTTTGATGTAAGGGTCCAATTTTATTATTCTGCACATGAATATCCAGTTTTCCCAACACCATTTATTAAATAAATTGGAAAGGACAATAAATTGTTCTTTCCCATTGCATGTTCTTGGCTGCTTTGTTGAAAATCAACTGACCATAAATACTTGGATTTGTATCTGGGCTTTCTATCTTGTACCATTCTTCAATGTGTCTGTTTTTATGCCAGTACTATGCTGCTTTTGTTTCAATAGCTTTATAATATGTTTTGAAGTTATTGTGTTGCCTCCAGCTTTGTTCCTTTTGTGCAAGATTGTTGGCTCTCTAGGGTATTATCTGGTTCCATATTGATTTTAGGACTGTTTTTTCTATTTTGCTAAAAAAAAATGACATTGGAATTTTGATAGGAATTGCAATGAATTAGTACATTACTTTGGGTAGTATGAACATTTTAACACTACTGTTTCTACTAATCCATGAATATGGGATATCTTTCCATTTATTTATTTTTTAATTTTATTGATTGATTGATTGATTGAGACAGAGTCTCACTCTGTTGCCCAGGCTAGAGTGCAGTGGAGTGATCTTGACTGACGGCAGCCTCCACCCCCCGAGTTCAAATGATTCTCCTGCCTCAGCCTCCTGAGTAGCTGGGATTACAGGCGCCTGCCACCGCACCCAGCTAATTTTTGTATTTTTAGTAGAGATGGGGTTTCACCATCTTGGCCAGGTTGGCCTTGAACTCCTGACCTCGTGATCCACCCGCCTCAGCGTCCCAAAGTGCTGGGATTACAGGCGTGAGCCACCGTGCCCAGCCGATATCTTTCCATTTATTTGTGTCTTCTTTAATTTCTTTCATCAATGTTTTACAGTTTTCAGTGTATAGGTTTTTCATCTGTTTGGTTAAATTTGCTCCTATGTATTTTCTTTTTTGGTGCTAGTATAAATGGAATTGTTTTCTTAATTTTTTTTTGGATAAGTTTTTGTATGTTGATTTTATAACCTGCAACTTTACTGATTTTATAAGCTGCAAAATCAACCAAATTTGGTTTTGCAACCTGCAAATTTATCAGTTTGAACAATTTTTTGTTTTTTCTGTATGTAAGATTGTGTCATCAACAAACAGAATTTCACACCTTCCTTTCCTATAAGGATACTTTTTATTTCTTTTCCATGTATAATTGCACTGGCTAGGATTTCCAGTGCTGTGTTGAATAGAAGTGATAAGAGTAGGTATCCTTGTCTTATTTCTGATCTTAGAGGAAAAACTTTCAACTTTTCACAAATGAGTATGACATTAGCTGTGGGCTTATCATATATGGCCTTTATTGTGTTGAGGTATATTCCTTCCATATTTTTTTGAGTTTTTATCATGACCAGATGTTGAATTTTGTCAGGTGCTTTTTCTGCATCTATTGAGATGGTCATGCAGTTTTTGTCCTTCATCTTGTTAATACACTGTATCACACTTATTGATTTATATATGTTGAACCATACTTGCGTTTCTGGGATAAATACCACTTCATCATGGTGAATGATCTTTTTTAATGTGCCACTGAATTTGGTTTGATAGTATTTTGTTGAGGATTTTTGCATCTGTGTTCATCAGGGACATTGGGCTGTAATTTTCTTTTATTGTAATGTCTTTGTCTGGCTTTGGTATCAGGGTAATGCTGGCCTCACAGTGAGTTTGGAAGTACGTCCTCTTCAGTTTGTTGGAAGGGCTTGAGAAGGATTGGTTTTACTTTTTCTTTCAGTGTTTGGTATAATTCAGCAGTGAAACCATCAGATCCTGGGCTTTTCTTTTTGATTATTTATTCAGTCTCCTTTCTCATTATTGGTCTGTTCAGGTTTTCTATTTCTTTCTTTCCTGACTTAGTAGACTGCATGTTTCTTGGAGCTCATTCATTTCTTCTGGGTTATCCAAGTTGTTGGTATACAGCTGTTCATAGTAGTAGTAGTATGTTGTGATTCTTTGTATTTCTGTGGTATACAGTTATAATGTCTCCTCTTTCATTTCTGATTTTATTTGAATCTTCTCTTTTTTCTTTGTTAGTTTACCAAAAGTTTAGTCAGTTTTGTTTATCTTTTCAAAAACCAACTTTTAGTTTTCTTGATCTCTTCTGTTATTTTTCTAATATCTATTTTGTTTCCTTTTTCTCTATTATTTCCTTCCAAGTTTGGGCTTATTCTTCTTTTTCTAGTTCCTTGAGGTGTAATGTTAGATTGTTTATTTGAGATATTCTTTTCTGAAGTAGGCACTTTTTACCATATACTCTCTTAGGACTACTTTTGCTGCATCTTATATGTTTTGGTATATTGTGTTTTCATTTTTGTTTGTCACAAGGTATTTGTAAATTTCATCTTTGGCCAATTGGTTGTTCAGAAAGATGCTTCATTTATACATGTTTGTGAGTTTTCCAAGATTGTTCCTGTTACTGATTTATAGTTTCATGCCATCGTGGTCAGAAAATATATGATTTCAGTCTTCCTAAATTTGTTAAGACTTGTTTTGTGGCCCAGCATATCATATGTTCTGAAGAATGTTCAATGTACTCTTGAAAAGAATTTATATTCTGTTTCTGTTGGATGCTGATGCTGTAAAATATCTGTTAGGTCCATTTTTTTAATTGTAGTTTAAATTGATGTCTCCTCATTGATTTTCTCTTTAGATGATCCAGTGTTGAAAGTGGGGGTAATGAAGTCTACTACCATTATTGTATTGCAATCTCTCTCCCCTTCAAACTTATTAATATTTGCTTTATATATTCATGGGCTCCAATGTTTAATGCAAATATATTTACCATTGTTATAACTTCTTGATGAACTGAACCCTTTATCACTATAAGATGACCTTCTTTTTCTCTTTTCATAGTGGGGTTTCACTGTGTTAGCCAGGATGGTCTCGATCTCCTGACCTTGTGATCCACCCGCCTCGGCCTCCCAAAGTGCTGGGATTACAGGCGTGAGCCACCGCACCCAGCCTTTTTACTAAAAGTATATCTTGTCTGATGGAAGTATAGCTATCTCCAATCTTTCCGTTTCTATTTGAATGGAATATCTTTTTCCCATCCATTTACTTTCAGTCTGTGTGTCCTCAGAGGTGAAGTGAGCCTCTTGTACACAGCATGTAGTTGCGTCTTCCAGACAAGTGATTCTAAACAAGTAGCATATAGTAACATAGTCCACTAGTCTGTTATAACCATGATAGCTAGGCATCTGGCCGGGGGTACATCCATGTTTTACAGGGCCTGAAGCTGATATAATTTGAGGAATTTTTTTTTTAAGAAAAAGGATTTACATTTTCAAATACAAAATTAGATACCAGAAAGGACTTCTACAAGTAAGTGGAAATGAAGCTTAAGCTTCATTAGCTTCATGGAAAATTCATCTCTGTATCTGGCACATAGTAAACATTGCATAGTTATTTGCAGAATGATTTTTGATTAGCTAATATCTGTTGATTAAAACTAATGTTACAATGAGTATGACTACCCTGCTGGTGGCCACTTGTTTGCAATTTCTTCAGTATATTTAGACTTAACAGTACCTTAGCATTAGTCTCAATGAGCTTTACTCCATGTCCATTATTCCTGTATGTGCTAGCCTACTCAGGTAAAGGACATAAAAATGAAATATACAGCCAAGTGGGTTTTATTTTCTTGATTCATTTAGACTATGACCATTTCCCAGACATTTGTTGTCTTAATCCGTTTTCTGCTGCTACAACAGCATACCACAGACTGGGTAATTTATAAAGAAAACAGATTTATTCAGTTAACAGCTCTAGAGGCTGGGAAGTCTGAGAGCATGGTGCTGGGATCTGGTAAGAGTGATCCCATGGTGAAGGGTAGACGGCAGAGTAAACACATGAGACAGAGAAAGGAAATTGGGCCAAATTCACTTTTACAACAAACCCATTTTTTTGATAACTAACCCACTCCTGTGATAACAGCATTAATTTGTTCATGATGGCAGAGACTTTATGACCTAATCCTCTCTTAAGGGCCCCACCTTCCAATACCATTGCATTGGCAATTAAGTTTCAACATGTGTTTTGGTGGGACATTCATATCATAGCATTTAATTGTGTAAATCAAACATTTAAACTAAATTCCTAGGCTAAATCTATCAAAAATTATTAAACGAAGTCAGAAGATAGCCACTTGAGAGGTGATATAGATACTAGATATGTCTTTCACCAGATCCTAAAGCTTAATTAACTCTGTCAGACCTCAGGGGCATGGAATTATAGAGATATACTCTTGAATGCATTTTGCTTAAGTCCACATTCAAATATATGAATAATGAGGAGGTCCACAAGTGAATCAGCAAATAAATGGACTGCATAGTATGTTTCCAAACAGATTATGAAATTAAGACTTTCATGGGAGAGATATAATATCAATTTAAGAACTATTAATGTTTGCCCTCTTAGCCAGTACCTGTAGTCCCACCTACTCAGGAGACTGAAGCAGAAGGTTCACTTGAGCCCAGGAGTTTGAATCTAGCCTGGGCAGAGTAAAACATGATCTTTTTTATTTTTATGTTTTAATTTGCCCTCTTCAAATCGACGACCCCAATTCCCTAGAACTTTTTTTAAAATACAGGGGAGAAATCAGAGAATTAAGGAAGAATGCAAAAATAAGAGACAGAAAATGTTCCAGAAATCATTTGTTGACCACAGATCTTATAGCCCACACTTACGTCTAAACATAAAGTACTCATAATAGTACCACAAATAGAACCATCTATATATGGGTATGTTTCTTGTTTCTTTTCTTTCTTTTTTTTTTTTTTTTTGGCTTATATGGTTGTATATCAGTGTTCTATAGTTTTAAAATTAACTAGAATAAGTTTTAGATATTCTTGACCATTTGTTTTGACCTATTAATTTTAAGATCAGTTTATCAAGTTGAGGGGATTTTGATTAGAGCTCCACTGAGTTTTACAGAATATATTGGGTCAGAATTGAAATCTTCATAAATGTATTGTCTTCCTAGGTATAAACATGTGTATGTCTGTATTTTAATCAGATGTTCATTTATGTTCTTTAGTAATGGTTGGTAATGTCTTCTCAAATGTATTGCATATTTTTTGCTTTCCATAATAAATACAAAGTTTATCAAAGAACAGAAAACAGGGAAAGCCACCTAACTCATTTTATAAGGCCAGTGTAATCTTGATACCAGTCAAGGGCAGTCCAAGTAAACAAAGTCACAGACTATTCTTAAGAGCATAGATGTAAAAATCTTAAATATTAGCAAAGTTGAAAAAAGTATATATTTTCAACTTACCAAATTCTTCTCTGAATATAAGGATCTATTATGAAAGTATCATGCTATTCTTGGATTAAAAATTAAAAACCACATGATTATTTTGATTGTACATTTTAGTTGCCCCCAGTTTTTCACTGTTATAAACAATGCTTTAATTACCAATCTTGGACACTGTCCCATCATTTCCTTAGGGAGATTTACCAAAAGTATATTTTAAATTATGATATATTGTTAAAATACAGGGCCAGCAAACCTTCTCTACAAAGGGCCAGATAGCAAATATTAGAGATTTGTGAGCCAAGAGGCAAAACTGAAGTTATCATGTAGGTACTTATATAACAAGACAGAAAATTTCCATAAATCTTTATTGATGAAATTAAAAGAGGACAATTTTTGTGATATAGCTCTATATATGTGAAGAATGGAATCCTTTTCAGAGGAGGTAACACTTCACTTAATTGGATTTGAAAGCTGGTGTTTCCTATCATCAAAATCTTTAGCTGACGTTCATCTGTTAATGCTTATCTACAATGAGATTTTACATACTTCACCTTTGAAAATGTCTTTCCACATATATAAGTACTGCCAAATACTGATATCAATCCATGAGTATATGCTTTTAATTGAGTATATTCAACAGACTGGCAGGCATTTTTAGAATTCTATTAGCTAAAAGGCTAGAATGCCTTTTAGCATGTCATTACATTGCAAATCACTTCCAATTAAAGTTCCTCAATTGCACAGTTAAATGGATTTTGGAATATGTAAATTTCCTTTGCACTTGCATCAAGGTCTGAAAAACACTGCTGTAGTTTGAAATCAGAAAATATATTGCTGAAAATTTGTGTAGGAATGGAGATTAAAAAAAAAAAAACAGAAAAAAAAAAAACCTTTCGACAGTGCAGGAAGTATGTGATGCAGCCTGACATTACTTGCAATTCAAACAATGTTCTCGTTGAAATGAAATGATTTTATCACAGTATGTTTCACGTATAAGCACTGTTTTACATTGTAACTTTAGCTTGAAACCTTTTCAAATCTGCAGCAAAAGCTAATTTCAAAGCCACTCAGCATTCAATAGCAGTGATTGAGCACAGTTCTTCCAACCATTAAAAATGTAAAAACCATTCTTAACTTGAGGACTGTATCAAAAGCAGGCTAGATTTGGCCCATGGGCCATAGCTTACTGATCCTTGGCTCTATAAAGTCTTTACCGGCCGGGTGCTGGTGGCTCACGCCTGTAATCCCAGCACTTTTGGAGGCCGAGGCGGGCAGATCACAAGGTCAGGAGTTTGAGACTAGCCTGATCATCATGGTGAAACCCCGTCTCTACTAAAAATACAAAAGCTAGCCAGGCGTGGTGGTGCGTGCCTGTAATCCCAGCTACTCAAGAGGCAGAGGCAAGAGAATCACTTGAACTGAAGAGGCAGAGGTTTCAGTGAGCTGAGATCATGCCACTGCACTCCAGCCTGGCAACAGAGTGAGACTCTGTCTCAAAAAATAAATTAATAAATAAAGTCTTAACCAATTATATTCCCAGTAAATGTTACATGCCTGTTTTCCCAAAACTTTGCAACCTGTAATTATTATTTACTTTTAAAGATTTATCCAATTTGAAATTACATTTTTCAGCTTGCATTTATTTGCATAAGGTCACATATCTTTTAATGATAAGCCATTTATATTTATTTCTTCACTGTAAACTGGTTGTTCATATTCTTTTCCCATTTTTATTTCAATAAAATTTTCATTCCAACAATCATTCCGCGTAGCAAAAAGAGATCTAAATCCTTTTTAGTGACTCCACTTGTTCAGTATTATTTTTCACTGCTTTCTCCCACACATCCAACACTCCTTCCATATCGAAAGATCTGCCATTGTCAGAGAGAGTTGTGTTTTCTCAAGCTTCTCTGCATATCTGCACCAGATGTCATTCATTCCCTGTCAGTCACCTTTTCTCCATTTTCCCCCTCTTATAGTGACTCTTATTCACCCTTCAAGACTACCATCAGAGATCAGTTCCTCCTCTTTGGCTCCACAGCACTCTGCACATATGTGCTATAAAATCTATCATACTTTTTTGTAATTAACTATTGGTTTACAGTGGTCTCTCTCCCCACTGGGCATACAGCTTTCTGAGATATGGTATTATAATTGATCGCCATACTCCAAAACAGTGCCCAGCAATTAGTCAGTACTAATTATTTGAGTTCAAAATACTAGTAATATTAATAATAACAAATATATGCCATATGCAGCAACAAATCTGTTTAGTATCCCTTGTATCGTGCTTAGCATAATATACAATTAAAATTTGAAGACACACTCTTGGATATTAATGTCTTACCAAAGAAAAATAGCAATTAACATTTTTATTCCCTGACAAAACTTTGTCAAACACTTTATTAAAAACTTGTATTTTCCCTCACAGCTTAAAATAATTTATTTAAATACTTGCCTTTAGTTATAGCTGTGATCTCCAATTCAGAAAAATTTGCTTATACTAGAAAACTAAGAAACTTAAAACACAGAAAAGAATATTTACAAACTGTTTCTATTTTGTAATCTGGACAATAAGTTTCCTTCAAAATCCTCCTTGTAACTTGGGCAAGGTTCATTTTGAATCAATCTTTTATTTTGCTTTATTTCCTCAGGATATTCATTACCTTGCACTAGATAAAGGTGAATTGGCACTAGCTGAAGTGGCAAGAAAAAGAGCTAGTGACATTGATGCAGAATCAATAACCTCTGGGGTTGGTAAGAATTAACGCTATTTTTAAGTGCTTTTTATTTTAATCAATAGTTAGTATCATTTCTATTTATGTTTGGAGGACATGGATGGTTAATTTGAATTACTTTGTTTGTAAAGACAGTGCCTTATAAAAAGAAGAATTAAGCTTTGACAAACAGCACAATGTTGATACACAAGTTGGAATTGTGTTTATGTGAAAATTTCTAATCAGTGATTACTATAGTCATCATTTAGCAAAAAGTCAAAAGGATATTCTTTTCATAAGATTTTGGGAGAAAGAGCTTAGTATTATCATAGTGCTGTTACTAAAATTAACCAACACAGAAATTTATATAATCCTTTATTTATACACAGACATGTCATTTCTCAAAAGAATTCTCTCCTATATCAGGCAAAGTATTTCATATGAGATTTTGGGTTTGATGGGTGATTGTTTTTGTTTAGAAGCTGCTAGAATCATTTTAAACCATAGTATTCTGAAGAAGACAGATCAGAAGCCTTAGAATGAATTTGAAAGTCCATTTAAATTTTATAACATAAAAAATGAAAGTTTATAAAAATTACTGTAATATCAATGCTAACATCTTTTTTTAAAACTCAGTTTATCTAATGCTGCTAAATTGAGCAATATTGATACTTACAAATCCAATTCCTTTTCTTCCTGAGTATTTATTATTCCTAAAGTAGGCAAAGAACCCTCAGGATTGTACTAGAATTCATTTTTCTGTGGAACTCCTCTGAAACAAATAAGTTTTAAAAAGATTTCCACTTTTAAGTGCTTGAAAAATCTTATACAAGCCTTTCCATTGACAGATCTTGTGCTTTGTTTTTGTAATGCTGTTTGCAGCCAAAGGGACCAATTGTCAGCTTCTCTCTGATGCCACCACATAGATCTAATCTTCAAGGTGGTACTGAAGGACTCAAAGCCATTCCAGCAGGGTAGCTCTAAACCTGAATACCAGGGCTGACAGGTACTAGCAAGATAATCCCATTCTCCTTCCCCCATCCTGAAAGAGTTCCAGATTGATTAGACCACTTTCATATCTCTGTTTCTAATGGATAGGGAATACTCACTATTAATGCAGTATTGGATAAGAATAACTGTAATTGACCTATCACTATATCTTGTTACTTTCTAGGGAGGGATATTAATGTGTGTACTACTACTAATAATAGCACTTAATATTTATTGAATGTTAAGTTACAGATAACTAATTTTCACCACAACTCTGTGAAGTAAGTACAATTTATATTTGCTATGAGAAGTCACTTCTAACTAAATGATGAAAGCATACCATGTTTATAGGAATGATGACGTTATATGATGGGGAAATATCCTCCATCCCTATCCCTCTAGCCATTTAGGAAAACAAAGCAGGAAGTTAAGTCCTAACCAATTTTCTGGGAATTTTCCTTAGTTGTCCTGTACCCTGCCTTTTATTCCAGGGTATCAGATATAATGAGGGCCATCTTTGCATTTTAAAGCTATTTAAAATTAGTAAGAGTGAAAGAGAATGTGAAGAGATTATCACAAAATTTCAGCAAAATGAAGAAACTCCCCAATTCACCAAAATGCATCTCACTTCCTGTGTATTCTCTGATGAGGTTACTGTGGCCAGCGGATAATTCCTAGCCAGAAAGCTTAGTGTACCCACTTTGAGCCCTGCGTCATTTCTAGCAAATATATTTTCACTGATACCCTGTGACTTCCCTTTTCTCAGCCTTGTCTCAGGCCTCAGCCTTTGACCTAGATTACTATGTTTTGACAAAGATACTATTAAATAACATCAGTAACTTTCAAGAGGTTGCCCTATTACATGAATGTTCTACTCCAGTTTTGCTGCAGAAAACTGGGTGATTCTCACTCATAATTCCGAATGGAATTAACAAAGAATTTCTTGTTTCCTCATCATGGTCTCTACCTAGTTCTTTTTTGCAGCCCACATCATGCTGGGGAAAGCTAATTTTCTTTCAAATTCCCTCAATTTAATTCAATTATTCTCTTAAACTTATCCCAAAGCTGAAAGTTATTAAATTTTTGGCTTTCAAAGTGGTTCTTTGATGCAAGCAAGGAGCCAAATTATGTGAGATAGCAAAAGAGTAGTTCCATTTACATGGGAAAGTCTGTAAAAAAGCATCAGACATAAATACTGCCACCATAGTTAAAAGCAAGAGGCGCCAAAGGAAAAGCTGGATGATGATAATCTGAACAATTTGGTAATTTTTTAAACTTTTTATTGAAGTCTAACATGCATACAGAAAAGTGCACAAAACATAAGCATGTGACTCAATGAATTTCACAAAGTGAACACATCCTTGTAAACAGTATCCTGACCAAGTAACATATGTTACCAGGACCCCAGAAGCCTTCCTATACCCACTTCAAGATGCTATAATCTCAGCCCAGCTGTCCAGATTTGTAACATTATAGACTAATTTGCCTTTTTTCAAACTTAAATGGATTCATACCTATATTCTTTTGTATTTGGCTCCTTTTATTCAACATTATGAATCTGAGAATCTTTCGTATGTTGCATATAGTTATAATTCTTCCACTCTTCTTGCTGTATAACAATATTCCAATGCATGAATGTACTTCAATTTATTCTACTTTAGATGGATATTTGGGTTGTTTCAAGTTTGGGGCTAATGCGAATAGTGTTGCTATGAACATTCTTGTGTATGTCTTTTAATGGACATAGGTAGGCAGATCTGTTTGACTGTGCTTAGAAGTTGAACTCCTGTGACGTAGGATATGCAGCCTTAGTAGCTACTTCCAGTTTTCCAAAGTAGTTGTTAACAATTTCCCTTCTCACCAGCAGTATGTAAGAGTTCCAGTTTTGGCCATCCTCAATGATGCTTGATATTGTCTCTCTTTTTTATTTTAGCCATTCCGGTGGAAAAGGTATTGTAATTTTGTATATGTGACAGTATAATATATAGGCTGTTTCTGGATCATGTTCTATTTTATTACTCTGTTTGTCTATACTTGCACAAATATCTCACTGCTTTAAGCAACTCTGGCTGTCAATGTTATTATTTAGTAGTGAAAATTGCCCAGCTTTGTTCTTTAAGATAGACTTGGCTATCCTTCCATATAAATCTCAAAATCAGCTTATACCCTGACTCACTCAAGGAAAAAAAAGAAACAAAAACAGTGGGGGCTGAAATTCTGGTTAGAATCTCATTTAATTCATAGATACATTTGGGCTGAATTTATTTCTTTATAATATTGTTTTCCAATCCATGAATATGATCTATCCCTCCATTTATTTAGGTCTTCTCTATTTCTTATGAAAAATGTTTTGTAGTTTTCATAGTAGTGGTCTTCCACATCTTCCTTTAGATTTAAGTATTTCTTTTTCTCCTTTGTATGTGGTAATCTTATTTTTAAATTTCATTTTCTGTTTTATTTCTGGTATATATACAATTGACTGTTGTATATATTGACCTTATATCTAGCAATAAGTGATAAATTCGCTTATTAATGCCAACAGTTAGTAAATTCTTTTGAATTTTCTGCATCCACATCATGTCGTCTGGAAATGTGTTAGTCTCTTTGCATTGCTATAAAGGAATACCTGAGACTGAGTAATTTATAAAGAAAAAAGGTTTATTTTGGTTCAAGGTTCTTCAGGCTATATGAGAAGTATGGTGCTGGCATCTGTACCTGGTGAGGCCTCAGGAAGCTTCAAATCATGGTAGAAGGTAAAGGGGGAGATGCCATATCACATGGTAAGAGGGGAAGAAACAGAGAGAGGAGGAGGACCCAGGCTCCTGTAAACAACTAGCTCTCATGTGAACTAACAGAGCAAGAACTCAGTTCTTACCATGGGGAGGGCACCAAGCCATGTAAGAGGGATCTGCCTTCATGACCCAAACACCTCCCATGAGGCCCTACCTCCAACATGGGGGATTACATTTCAATATGAGAGTTGGAGGGGACAAACATCCAAACCATATCAGCAAATAAGGACATTTTAATTCCTTCCTTTCTAGTTCTTATGCTTTTTACTTCTCTTTCCTTATTATTGCACTGACTAGAAGCTCTAGTATAAAGATAAGTAGAAGTTGTGACCGGCATTATTTTCTATTTCTTGATTCTTAGGGAAAGCTTTCAATAATTCACCAGTTAGCATAAAGTTTTCCCCAGGTTTTTAATAAACCTTTTATTCATATTAATAAAGTTCCCTTCAGTAACTAGTTTGCTAAGAGTTTCTATCATGAATAGGTATTGAATTTTATCGAATACTTCTCCTGTGCCTATCAAGATTATCATGATCTTTCTCCTTTGTTCTATTAATATCGTGAATTGCATTGATTTTCAAATGGCAAACTAACCTTACGTTCCAGAATAAATACTTCTTAATTGTGATGATGTATTTTTACATATTCCTGCATTTCATTTACTATTTTTAAATGTTGGCATTTACATTCATGAGGGATCAGACTTACAGACTCATGGTTTTGCTTCAATATCTCTGCCTAGTTTTGATATCTAGATTATTTTGACCTAATGCCTAAATGTCAAACATCTAGAAAGGATACATTTGAACATGTAATAGTACTTTATGATCCAGCTCTTTATATATGGCATATGTAACACTTCCTACAACTTAAAAATTTTACATTAATCTTGACTGTATTAATGTGAATATTTTGGTTGTAACATTGTATTAAATTTTTGTAAAATATTATCATTGGAAGAAACTGGATAAAAGAGACATGGGACTTCTCCATTATTTCTTAGAACTGCATATTAATATATAATTATCTTTAAAAGTTTAATTTTTAAAGTTTATATTAATATAGTGTCCTATGTTAAGTACTGTGACAAACATTACCTTATTTGGTCCTCCCAAATTATCTCTAAAGGAGAAACTACTGTATTGGTGAATTTTTTAGAAGTTTTTTTCTTTAATAATTTCAACTTTTATTTTAGCTTCAGGGGGCATATGTGCAGGTTTGTTACATGGGTATATTGCATGATGCTAAGATTTGGGGTATGAATGATCCCCATCACCCAGGTAGTAAGCAATAGTACCCAAGAAGTAGTTTTTCAGCCCTTGCTCCTTGCCCTTCTATTAGTCCCCAGTGTTTATTATTCCCATCTTTATGTCCATGTGTACCTAATGCTTTACTCCCACTTACATATGAGAATATGTGGTATTTGGTTTTCTATTACTGAGTTAATTCACTTACAGTAATGGCTTCCAGCTACAACTATGTTGCTGCAAAGGATGTTATTTCAGTCTTTTTTATGGCTGTATAGTTTTCCATGGTGTATATATACTACATTTTCTTCATTCAATCCATCATTGATGGGTTCCTAGGTTGATTCCATGTCTTTGCTATTGTGAGTAGTGCTGTGATGAACATACAAGTGCATGTGTCTTTTTGGCAAAACAATTTATTTTCCTTTGGGTATATACTCAGGAATGGGATCAACGGGTTGAATGATAGTTCTCAGTTTTTGAGAAATCTCCAGACTGTTTTCCACAGTGGCTGAATTAATTTACATTCCCACCAGCAGTGTATAAGCATTCCCTTTTCTCCACAACCTCACAGCATATGTTATTTTCTGACTTTTTAACAAAAGCCATTCTGACTGGTGTGAGATGGTATCTCATTGTGGTTTTGATCTGCATCTCTTTGATTAGTGACATTGAGCATTTTTTCATGTTTGTTGACTGCTTGTATGTCTGCTTTTGAGTAATGATTGTTCATGTCATTTTCATGCTTTTTAATGGACTTATTTGTTTTTATCTTGTTGATTTCAAGTTTTTCATAGATTCTGCTTATTAGTCCTTTGTTAAATGCATAGCATAGTTTGCAAATATTTTCTCTCATTCTGTAGGCTGTCTGTTTACTTTGTTGATAGTTTTTTTGATGTGCAGAAGCTCTTTGGTTTAATTGGGCCCCACTTGTCAATTTTTGTTATTGTTGCATTTATTTTTGAGGACTTACTTAATCATAAATTTTTTACCAAGGCCAATGTCCAGAAGGACATTTCCTAGGTTTTCTTCTAGGATTCTTATATGGTATGAGGTCATACATTTAATTATTTAATTAATCTTAAGTTAATTTTTGTATATGGTGAAAAGATATGGCTAGCAAGCTATTCCAGAACCATTTATTGGATAGGGAGTCCTTTCCCAACTTCTTTTCTTGACTGTCGAAGATCAGATGCCTGTAGATGTGTGGCTTTATTTCAGTGTTCTCTATTTTGTTACATTGGTCTCTGTGTCTGTTTTTGTACTACTACTATGTTGTTTTGGTTACTGCAGACTTGTAGTATAGTTTAAAGTTGGGTAATGGTGATCCCTCCAGCTCTGTTCTTCATGCTTAGGATTGCTTTGGTTATCTGGGCTCTTTTTTGGTTCCATATGAATTTTAGAATGGTTTTTGTTCTATTTCTATGAAAAATGACCTTGGTAGTTTGATAGATACAGAGTTGAATCCATAGATTGCTTTGGGCAGTATGGACATTTTAATGATATTGATTTTTCCAATCCAGGCACGTGGAAGTTTTTCCATTTGTTGGTGTCGTCTGTGATTTCTTTCAGCGGTATTTTGTAGTTCATTCACTTCCTTGGTTAGGTGTATTCCTATGTATTTTATTTTGTTTGTGTATTGATATTGTAAGTGGGATTATGTTCTTGACTTGGCTCTCAGCTTGAATGTTATTAGTATACAGAAATGGCACTGATTTTTCTGTTGATTTTTGTATCCAAAACTTTACAGAAGTCATTTTTCAGGTCTAGGAGTCTTCTGGTGAAGTCCTTAGGGTTTTCTATGTACAGAATCATATCATCAGCAAAGAGAGATAATCTTTTCCTATTTGGATGCCTTTAATTTCTTTCTCTTCTCCTGATTTCTCTGGCTAGGACTTCCAGTACTTTTTTGAACAGGAATGATGAGTGTGGGCATCTTTGTCTTATTCCTGTTCTTAAGGGGAATGCTTCCAGCTTTTGCCATTTAGTATGATGTTGGCTATGGGTTTGTCATAGATGGCTCTTACTTTGAGGTCTGTTCCTTCTATGCCTAGCTTGTTGAGGGTTTTTTATCAAGGAGGATGTTGGATTTTATCAAAGGCTTTTTCCATGTCTATTGAGATAATCATATGGTTTTTGTTTTTAATTCTGTTCATGTGGTGAATCACGCTTATTGATCTGCATATGTTGAACCAACCTTGCATCCCAAGAGTAAAGCCTGCTTGATCATGGTGAATTAACTTTCTGATTTGCTGCTGGATTCAATGTGTTAGAATTTTGTTGAGGATTTTTGCATTTATGTTCATCAGGCATATTGGCCTGTGGTTTTCTTTTTTCATTGTGTCTTTGCCAGGTTTTGGTATCAGGGTGGTTCTGGCTTCATAGAATGAGTTATGAAGGAGTTCCCTCCTACCTGATTTTTGGAATAGTTTCAGTAGGATTGGTACAAGTTCTTCTTTATACATCTAGTATAATTCAGCTGCAAATCCATCTGGTCCGGGGCTTTTTAAAAATTGGTAGGCTTTCTGGCTAGGCACGGTGGCTCACGCCTGTAATCCCAGCACTTTGGGAGGCCGAGGTGGGCAGATCATGAGGTCAGGAGATCGAGACCATCCTGGCTAACACGGTGAAACCCCGTCTCTACTAAAAATACAAAAAATTAGCCAGGCATGATGGTGAGTGACTGTAGTCCCAGCTACCTGGGAGGCTGAGGCAGGAGAATGGCATGAACCCAGGAGGCAGAGATTGCAGTGAGCCGAGATCATGCCACTGCACTCCAGCCTCGACGACAGAGCGAGACTCTGTCTCAAAAAAAAAAAAAAAAAAAAAAAGGTAGGCTTTTTATTATTGATTGAATTTCATAACTTGTTTATTGTTCTGTTCAGGGTTTCACTTTCTTTCTGGCTCAATCTTGGGAGGTTGTGTGTTTCCAGGAATTTATCTATTTCCTCTACATTTTCTAGTTCATGTGCATTCAGATGTTTGTATTAGTTTCTAAGGATCTTTTGTATATCTGTGGGATCACTGATAATATTACCTTTGTCATTTCTGATTGTGCTTATTTAGATCATCCTTTTTTCCTTTGTTATCAAATGAGTGGTCTATCATACCTGTTTATCCTTTCAAAGTATAAACTTTTGGTGTCGTTCATTCTTTGTATGGATTTTTGGATCTCAAGTTCATTTAGTTCTGCTCTGATATTAGTTACTTCATTTCTTCTGCTATCTTTGGGGTTAGTTTATTCTTGTTTTTCTAGTTCCTCTAGGTGTGATGTTAGATTGTTAATCTGAGATCTTTCTAACTTTTTGGTGCAGGCGTTTAGTTCTATAAACTTTGGAGAGATCTTTTTTGTATAGGCAATGAAATGAGGTTACAGTGGAAATGCTCCATAAATTGCAAAAAATTGAGAGCCAGTGCTCTATAGCAATTCTAATCAGTTTTCTATGGATATAGTTCCCAGATTGAACTCCTTAATATAATAGTGCCATAAAACACTCAGTAAAATAAAATATATATGGCTAAATACTTGAAGGATATATTAAGACAAACTAATTTCTTTAAAAATTTCTGGTGTACATGAAATGTTCTCAGAAATCACAAACTTAACTGTTTGTTTATCTTAACATTTCCAAAAATTTTGACCATACAACCCTCATCTTTCTCATTGTTCTAGGCAAGAGCTATAAATTCACAGAACTTGAGATTTTTATAATTCACATGGGGAAACTTATAGCTTAATTGCACAGCTGTAAATCTTTATCCTTACTAATAGGCTTAGCATGATGGTACTAGCCATTAAAATAGTAATAATCATTCAATTGAGGTAAAGAACTCAGATATTTATACTGCTATTATAGTAGTCTCCCCTTATCTGCTAATTTCCTTTCTGTGGTATCAATTACCTGCAGTCAACCACAGCCCAAAAATATTATATGGAAAATTCCAGAAATAAATAATTCATAATTTTTAAATCGTGCACTGTTGAGTAGTGTGATGAAATCTCACACTGTCCTATTTTGTTTTGTCCAGGATGTGAATCCCTTTGTCCAGTGTACCCACACTGTATATGCCACCTGCCCATAAGTCACTTAGCAGCCATCTTGGTTAAAAGATGGACTGTAATGGTGTAGCACTGCTTGTATTCACGCAACCTGTATTTTACTTAATAATGACTCCAAAGCACAAAAGTAGTGATGCTGGCAATTCAGATATAACAAAGAGATGCATCTTATGGTGCTCTCAGTGAGTAAAAAGGTGAAAGTTCTCAACTTAATAAGGATATATATCATATGCGGAGCTTGCTAAGATCTATGGTACATTACATATGAATCCTCTATCCATGACATTGTGAAGAAGGAAACAGAAATTCATGAGTTGTGCTGTTGCACCTCAAACTGCAAAAGTTACAGCCACAGTGTGTGATAAGTGCTTAGCTACGATGGAAGTCATTACATTTGCAGGTGAAAGACACAAACAGAAAGGTGTTCGAATTGACAGCCATCAGATTCGGTAATATCTGCTATTTCAAGCATTCACTGGGGGTCTTTGAACATATACCCCATGGATAAAGGAAGACTACCATACCTGGAAAATTCCTCTCCCCTCAGCCTCTTCCTTCTTTCAGTTCCACACTCTGAGTGACATACAGCCAAATTTCAGAATAGGAAGCTCTTTGTCCTTGTTACCCCACAGTTAACATAAAAAATCAGAGGTAAAGACATGTGCAGCTGGTAATGTCTCAGACTTTCTTGACAAAACTGGAGAGATTAAATAAGCATTCTCATGAGGGGTTATATTGCCAAAACCCATGATCACTGTAGAGGCTAGATAAACATCTTTATTAGGGATTATCTATGCTACAGGCATTGTCTAAAGAACTTGCTGCAGAACACCTTGGTATGTAGGAGTCAAACATCCGTCATCATGTCAGTTTTGCTTCAAGATGACATCACTGTTGCCATGCAACAGGCCATTTTCTTACAGAAATTAAGGCATTCAAAAGCAGCCATGTATACAGGGGAATTGAGAAAGCCACACACAGGCCCAGTCAACACACATTTCAGAAAAGACCTGACAAGACCATAAGCTTTTACCTCAGGCCAATTCCTATGCTCAGAGCAAACCTAGCTAATTAGTGGGACTGTCCCGGCACACAGCTAGTCTGCAAAGACCGGGAAAGATGGCTTTTTCAAATGCCCAGTTTCACACACACACACCCCACAAGGCATACAAAGAAACAGGAAAACATGGCCTATTCAAAGGAGCAAAATTAATTGGTAGAAATCAAACCTGAGAAAGCACAGACATCTTACTAACTAGGCAAAGTCTTTAAAACAGCTGCCTTAAATATGTTCAAAGAGTGAAAGGAAACCATATAAAGAACTAAAGAATATTAAAAAAAAAACACATAAGAACAAAATGAAAATATCAAAAAAGAAAAATTATAAAAAGGAACCAAACAAATCCTGAAGCAACTGAAAAGTCCCATAACTGAATTTAAAAATTTACTAGAGAAGTTCAAGGTTTGAGTAGGCAGAAGAAAAAAAATCAGCCAACTTTATGATACGATATTTGAAATTATCAATTCTAAGGACCAAGAAGAATTATGAAAAGTGAACTAAACCTATGAGATTTATGGGACATCATCAAATATACCAATATATACATTATGGGAGTCCCAGAAGGGGAAGAGAGAAAGGATCAGAAAGATTATGTGAAGAAATAATGACCAAAACCCTCCCAAATTTTAGGAAATACATGGATCCACAAATCCAAGATGCTCATTGAACAGAGAAAGGATCAGAAAGATGATCTGAAGAAATAATGACCAAAACCCTCCCAAATTTGAGGAAATACATGGATCCACAAATGTAAGATGCTCAATGAACTTCAAGTAGAATCAACCCAAAGGATACCTTATAATCAAATTGTTGAAAGAGAATCTGCAAGCAGCAAGAGAGAATAAACTCATCATATACAAGGGATTCTCAATAATGAGGGATTCTGACTTCTCAGCAGAAGCTTTGGAGGCCAGAAGGTATAATTAAAGTGCTAGAAGAAAAATAAAGATTAACCAAGAATTATATGTCCAGGAAGACTGGGCAGTCAAATATAAAAATCAGTATTATTATAATTTTAGTTTGTAACTCTACTTATTATTATCAACCTGAATTAAAACACAAAGGCA
Source organism: Homo sapiens (assembly GCF_000001405.40). Classification (NCBI taxonomy): domain Eukaryota; kingdom Metazoa; phylum Chordata; class Mammalia; order Primates; family Hominidae; genus Homo; species Homo sapiens. Next base: position 63,248,130 of record NC_000002.12, on the reverse strand, counting down.
TAAAAATAATTATAAAGCTCTTTAGTAGGTACACAATATATAAAGATGTAATTTGTGACATGAATAACAAAGTAGGGGAAGTGACAATGCTTTATAAGAGTTTTTGTATACACTTGAGGTTAACTTGATATCAATTTAAATTAGATTGTTGTAACTTTAGAATGTTATATATAATTCCCATGATAACCACAGAGAAAATAACTATCGAGTGTGTACAAAAGGAAATGAGAAGGGAATCAAAACATGTCACAACTAAAAACAAAAGAAGGCAGCAATGGAGGAAATGAGTAACAAAAAGCCTATATGTAAAAAACAAAACAAAACAAACAAAAAAACAGCTCTAAGACATAAGTCCTTCTCTCAGTAATTACGGGTTAACTGTTCACTGTCTGAAATGCTTGTTACCAGAAGTATTTTGGATTTGGGGTTTGTTTGGTGGTGTTTTTTTTTTTTTTTCAATTTTGGAATATTTACAGGTACATACTGAGATATCTTGAGGATGGTACCCAGGTCTAAACACAAAACACCTTACACACATAGCCTGAAGGCAATTTTATATAATATTTTTGATAATTTTGTGCATGCAACAAAGCTGTCTACATTGAACCAATGGAATGTAAAGGTGTCACTGTCTGAGCCACCCATGTGGACAATCTGTAATTGTTTGGCATCACCATCATTCCTGACTGAATTTATATGCTACCAATAAGCAGTCATTTTCTTACACATTCATTCATAAGTACTTAAGAGTAAACGTGTGACATACCATTACTACAGTAAAAAAATGTGTTCAGGATAACTAAGTAGTACAGTAGCATCATCAGAATACCTGTTATCAGCTGTTACACAACAGCAACAACAAACAATGGCAAGCTTTCTGCCTCTACCTACAATGTTGTGTTCTGAGTAAAAGATTACTGCATAGGGCATTTTATTTTTCTGGGTGAGAAAAACAGCAGCAGCAGTTAAAGAATCCGGAAGTGGGTCATCTAGGGATAAGAAGGAATCCTGTTCGATGGCATTTTGAAGTGTTTCCTTTAGAGTTATCTGCCTCATTAACAAAGGTTTTTGTCTTACAAATTTCTTTTTGGTTTTATAAACTGACATGATTTCTTGTTCATGCTGCTCTAGTCTTTCAATAAGCCCATCACACATTTTCACAGTGTCACTTCCAGGCACTTTTTCTGCAGTGTTAACAGTTTCATCATCACTATTATCATAATCACCTTGATTCAGAACCATTTTGGCTATTTCACCATTGGTCAATGAATGAACAACTGGATGCTCATTAGTGATGTTAAAAACCACTTCAATATCCATCTCTTCCAGCTTACTGATGGACTCTGAAGGTATATTTGTTGCATATGTAAGGAGGTCAGACATTTTTCTCTCACTTGACATACAGAATCCTTCAAAGTCACCACCTTGTTTATCATCATCAGTTAACGTAATCACAGGCCAGAGATTGTGCCAGTCACGCACAACTGTGTCTTTAGTCATGTGTTCAAAGTGTTGGCAACAGCACATGTGGCATCCTTCATGCTAAACATCCTTTTGAAAACCTTCTGCACCCATGCTTCTGCTCACTGCTGATAGGATGCTCTTTAAGAAAGTGTTTTTATATTTACTCTTCATTGATCTAAGGATACCCACCCTGGTCACATGGCTGAATTAATGAAGTCACACTTGGGGGAAAATACATGGCATGAACATTTTTTAATGAGAATTTCAGATGGAAGATGAGCAGAAGTTATCAAGGAATAACAAAATCTTGCAGTCATCACCCAGGCCAGCTTCCCTGCAGTGAGCACAAACCACTGGTGTAAAATGTTTATGAAACCGACCAGGAAAGATGGCCCTGGTGATCCATGCCTTTTTGTTAGCATAATAATGGACTGGTGAGAAATTCACTCCTGGAAAATAGCAAGGATGCAAACTTTTGCCTATCATAGCAAGTTTATAATTATGTGGGCCTGCTGTATTAATATATCTCAGCAGAGTTCTTCTGTCATTGGTATCCTTAATTCATATAGGGGCTGTCTCACCTGGGGCAGTAACAAAAACAGTGATGTTTCATCAATATTATAGACTTGTTCTGGTGTCAGATTTTTATTTCTGATGACCTTAGTGAACTCGTCAGTGAATCTGTCCACTGCTTTATAATCAGCAGATGCTTTATCACCACAAATTTTTAAAACAACTAAGAAAGCAGAATTGTAATGTTCCTAACACGAAAAATAGTAAGTGCTAAGGTGATGGATACCCCAGTTATCCTGATTTATTACATATTTTATCCCTATATCGAACATCACATGTACCCATAAATATATAGAACTATTATGTGCCCATAATTAAAAGTAATAATAAAAATTTAATGCCATATCTTCCTTAAATTTCTGCAACCAGCTTATTGAATATCCACAGTTCCCTTCAATTTTTAGTTCATCATGATCTTTGCTGGTTTCATGATCAGTATACCATTAAGTGGCATGTGTTCACTGCAATACTGATGGATCTACTCAATACATGATCAAAATCTTCATTTTTAGCTTTATGGCATGCATTGTTTTTCTATTTTTCATTAACTTAATCACTTTTAGCATAAAACAACAGTTTATCCTCCTGTGTATACAAGTCATTTATAGTGGTTGTTCCAACACCCTTCTGCTCTCCAAGATGTTTTACAGTTACACCACTGTCCTTTTCTCAAAAAGCTCGACTTTCTGTGCAATAAATATAAATGCTTCTTCTTTTTCTTATCACTGTTACCCGTACAATTATTTAATATAGACTATTTGGACATTTCATGAATATCTTTACAAAGAGCAGAGAATACACAAAACGACACAGTGAGTAATACACATAGGTCTTGGCCTTATGCAGGGTATCATGGGGAACCTGACATTGGCACACCTGGCTTGCACTTGTGCCATTTTATTAACCTTTGTGGGTGTGCTTGTGTGAGGGCATCTAGCTGTGTCTGGAAAAGATATGACAGCTGAGGGGGCGGGGGAAAGTCTTTCTTCCTTGGGAACATTTAATAAACTGTGCGTGCATGCATTTTTATTGCCACCTGTCACAGGCGGTCAGATGTAGAATTTCCACTTATGCCATCAATATTGGCACTCAAAAAAATATGAGGTTTTGGATCACTTCAGATTTTGGATTTTTGGATTGAGGATGCTCAACCTATGCTTTAAATGTAATGGATTAAACTCTCTAGTCAACTTCACACTGATAGAAGTTGCAGATAGGACTTGGCTTGTGAGTTATGTGAATAAGGATAACTGACCGACACCCATCTCAAAATAAGTGAAAATGGGAATACGTCACTGCAATCATGGGATACATACTAGCAGCAAAGAGGGGAAATGTGGCTGTACCTCAGAAATAGCTGGACTTATTAAAAATTACTTATTTGATTTCGGAATTTGTTATTGGTCTGTTTAGGGTTTTAATTTCTTCCTGGCTCAGTAGTGGGAGGTTGTGTGTTTACAGGAATTTATCCATTTCCTCTAGATTTTCCAGTTTGTGTGCATAGAGGTGTTCATCGTAATCTGTAAGGATCTTTTATATTTTTATGGGATCAGTTGTAATGTCATGTTTGTCATTTCGGATTGTGCTTATTTGGATCTCTCTTTTTTTCGTTGTTAATCTAGCCAAGCTAGCAGTCTACCAATCATTTATCCTTTCAAAGAACCAACTTTTGGTTTCATTGATCTTTTGTATGGATTTTTGCCTCTCAATTTTGTTCAGTTTTGCTCTGATATTATTTCTTTTCTTCTGCTATCTTTGGGGTTAGTTTTTTGCTGTGGTTGTTGTTCCTCTATGTGTGATGTTAGATTGTTAATTTGAACTTTTTCTAACTTCTTGATGTAGGTGTTTAACTATAAACTTTCCTCTTAATACTGTGTTTACTGCACCCAGAGATTTCGGTAAGTTGTGTCTCTGTTTTCATTAATTTCAAGAAATTATTTGATTTCTGCCTTAATGCCCAAAATAATTCAAGAGTAAGTTGTTTAATTTCCATGTAATTGTGTGGTTTTGAGAGACCTTTGATATTGATTTCTATTTTTATTGCACTGTGGTCTAAGAGTGTCGTTTGGTATGATTTTAATTTTTTTTTTCATTTATTGAGACTTGCTTTATGGCCAAGCATGTGGTCAATCCTATGTGGTCAATCCTAGAATATGTTGTGTGTGCAGATGAGAAGAATGTATATTCTGTGGTTGTTGCATGGAGCATTCTGTAGATGTTTATTAGGTCTAATTGGCCAAGTGTCGAGTTGAAGTCTAGAAGTTCTTTGTTACTTTTCTGCCTTGATGACCTGTCTAATGCTGTCAGTGTGCTGTTGAAGCCCCCGAAGTCCCCCATTATTATTGTACAGCTGTCTTAGTCTTTTCATAGGTCTAGAAGTACTTGTTTTATGAATTTGGGAGCTCCAGTGTTGGGTGTATATACATTTAGGATAGTTAAGTCTTCTTGATAAATTGAACACTTTATCATTATATGATACCCTTCTTTGTCCTTTTTGATGCTTGCTGGTTTAAAGTCTGTTTTCTATGATCTAAGAATAGCAACTCCTGCTCTTTTTTGTTTTCTGCTTTCATGAAAGAGCTTCAGCACAGCAATAGAAACTATCAATGAAGTAAACAGGCAATCTACAAAATGGGAGATGTTCACAAACTATGCATACAACAAAGGCCTAATATCCAGAATCTGTGAGAAAATTAAATAAATCACAAGAAAAAAATAACCCAATTAAAAGTGGGCAAAGGACATGAACTATGCAAAAGAAGACATACAAGCCCCCAAGAAACATGAAAAAATGCTAATCATCACTAACCATCAGAGAGATGCAAATCAAAACCACAATGAGACACTCTATCAATCACACCAGCCATTTGTGTGAGGAAAGTAATAGAGATGGCCATTCAATAAGTTTTCCCTTAAATAAGACTGTATTTTTATATTGTGTCATTTCTAGCATAAGCCTGAGAAGTCAGATTGACATATGTCTACAGTACAATACAGTTATGAAGTGAAATAGTCTAAGCTACTGTAAAACAAGAGACCATGAAACCCAGTAACTTCAGCAAGAGAATTTTCTTTCCTTCTTGTATAACAATCCTGGGACGTGTTCCAGGACTGGTAAGGCATGCTGGTATTAGATTACTAGGCCTTATCTATTGTGTTACTTTGTCATCTCTAGGGTAAAGCCTTCATCTACATCATTGAAGATTTGCATCCCAGCCTACAAAAGGAGGAAAAAGGAGGCAGGCATAGTCCTATCTTGTTCAGGCTACAACCCAGGAGTTGTTACATATCACTTCTGTACATATCCCATTGGACAGAACCTGTTCCTAAGGCTACACTAACCATAAGAAAGTCTGGGGTGATTATGCACCCAGCAAAACACCAGTTACTGTAAAAGCAAAAGCCATTTGGGGACAGCTAGCAGTTCATCTGTTACACTGAGATTTGAAGAATAGCATTTATTTATTTTTTAGAGACAATGTCTCGCTCTGTTGCCACGGCTAGAGTGCAGTGGCGCCATCATAGCTCACTGCAGCCTCAAACTTCCAGGCACAAGCAATCCTCCTGCCTCAGCTTCCTGTGTAGCTGGGACTATAGGAGTGCAACACCATTCCTGGTTAACTTCTTATTTGAAGAATATTATTTAGAAAAAGAAAAACATGGAGAAACAACTTCTTTTATATAATCCTCATATGCAGAGAAATGAAAATATAAAAGAAATCCTTTTCAAAGACATCCCAGCTGTACTTAATGTGGCGGTCTACAAATTTGCATATTATGAAATCCTTCCAAATGCATTATATTTCCAAATACATTTATCATATATGATCTTGCAGATACTATGCTATAAAAAAGCTGTAGCATTATAAGTTGCCATCTCCTTTTAAAATGTATTTTAAAATTCTGATATAAAAGCTTATTCATGCTTAAATGGGTAACATTAGAGAATGTAATATAAAGAATGTAAAAGATAAAGATCACTCATATTATTACCTGGAGATAACTGATAAAAAGAGTTATTTTAGTGTATTTAATTCCCTTTTTTCTATGCATATATTTAACAAAATTGGAATCATTATTTATCTTCCTATTTGTTACCAGAGACATGTCATCACTACATTACCATGTCATTTTAAAAATCATTCAAAAGCTTGATTTTTTATGTTATCTTCTTCCTAAAATGGCATTAAAGTCATGAGCCTAGGTGCAGTGGCTCACACATGTCATCCCAGCACTTGCAGAGGCTGAGGCAGGAGGATTGCTTGAGCCCAGAAGTTTGAGACCAGCCTGGACAGCACAGTGAGACCTCATGTCTACAAAAATTAAAAATTTAGCTGGGCATGGTGGCAAACACCTGTAATCTAGCTACTTGAGAAGCTGAGATAGAACATCATTTGAGCCCAGGAGTTTGAGGTCACAGGGAGTTATGATCAGGCCACTATACTCTAGCCTTGACTACAGAGCAAGACTGTCTCTAAAAATACTTTAAAAATTAAAAATCATGGTACCATTGTAAACATATATAAAAATTCTATCCAAGAGGTGATACATGGATGAAGGTAAAGATTTGCTCTTATACTTTAAATATCTTATTGTAAATACAAAATTCTTCTAAACTGAAGCTACAAAAGCAGTTTTTAATTCTATAAACAATTGAAACTGCGGCCAACTCTTTAACTTCCTACACTGTGCATTACAGGGTGCGTTATATTATTTGTTTGACTTAGGTATATTCCTGCCAATCTACTTTTGGCTTCACTTCACCTTTCCTCCTTTATTATGTAATGATGTCAGTTTTGATCTAAACCTTACTACCTATAGGCATCTTTCCCTAAAGACATCCTAAATATTTCATAATTATGAGCACATCAAAGACTAACTGCTTGCTTGACTGCAGAGGTCTATACAAGACTGTATTACTTGTATATCTTAAGAGATGTACAGTTTTCAGTAATCTTATTAAGTATGCTATGATTATCAAACCTTTGTTCCTTTCTTTGTGGTGACATAATGTCAATCACAGAATGTGACATATGGTAATTAAGAATTGGTGTTATTGAATAAGTATGGATTTTCTCTAAATTAGTTATTTTCAGATGGAAACTTTCCATAATTTAAATGTTATTTAACATATTTTTGAATTCTGAAATACTAGATTACTATATTCCAAAACAAGTTGTCAACTCTTCAGAACTTACCTAGTCATAAAATGACAGTTACTAAGCAAAAGGTAGTGGTCTTTTCCTGTGGAGAAAGGTACAAATGTTAAATGTTATGCTTTTAGCCCTTCTGTTTTTCTTTCTGAGACAGGAGTTGAAAGTCTCAAACCTCTTTCTCTGCTTTACTTATTAGACTAGCAAATTATGCCAATCTGGGGCAGAATAACCCGTATTCACATTTTCTATAAGAAAATAATGAAAGAATTTTGCTCAAGGATTGGTATATAACATTAAGGGTAACTAATGAAACTATGTAGTTAAAGAATAAACAGAATACGTGTCCAATGTAGCTAGTGTGGAGTATAACAAAAATATCTTCTATCAATAATTCCAAAATGTGGATGGACAAGTAGATTTATGCAGTTATATGGTACAAACTAAGAATATACTAAGGATGGGCCAGTCATGGTGGTTCATGCCTGTAATACCAAAGACTCAAGAGGCCAAGGTGGGAGGATAGCTTGAGGCCAGGAGTTTGAGACCAGCTTGGGCAATATATCAAGACCACAACTCTACCAAAAATTTTAAAGCTAGCTCGGGGTGGTGGCACGCACCTGCAGCCCTAGCTACTTGGGAGGCTGAGGTAGGAGGATCACTTGGGCCAAGAGTTTGAGGTTACAGTGAGTTGTGATCATGCCACTGCACTCCAGCCTGGGCAACAGAGCGAGACCCTGTCTATAAAAAACAAAAAATACTAAGAGTGATGGGAAAGCTGAGGTCTAGTCTTGGCTAAACTAGTAAAGACTAGCCAAATAACACTTCAACAGTCCCTTTTTGGGGTCTCAGTTTGCTCTATTATAAAATAAAGATACAGAAGAGTCTGTCTTTTCCAGCAGTAAAATTTTATGCATGTGATTAGATATGACAAAATAGAATCCAAACTCAGGCACTATAAAATTCTAGCCAACATATAACTCTGTGAAAAAATCATTTATTCATATCCATTTAATAGTACAAACAAACCCATACTAAAATAATAAGCTTGAATATTCTCTTAGAGGATTTCCTTAGAGGGGAAATTGCTTTATTCAAAAGATACTTTTAAATTAAATCCTCTTAGATACTGCCTTTAAAAGACGTTATACTAAATTTAAAAGTGTAGCAAAAAGCATAACATTAAAGTGCCCAAGCAGAGGAGCTATTATAGAAACAAGAATTTCTAAATAAACAGAATGATTTAACATATATTAGCTAACAAAACTCATAAAATTATCGAACTTTAGAGCTAAATTTGGACCTCTTACAGATATTTTACATGTATAAAATTCTCAGTATGTCAGAATTTATATCAATTCTGAAGGTAATCTTCCTATGCCCTTATTATGTCCCTAGGAAATCTCTATTCACAAATGTTTGTTATGTAGTTGGCCTACTAAGTTTCTAAGTTACAATCATGTATCTTGTTTTATCAAAATTAAATGTCTTCACCTGTTTTTACCATTTTACAATTTACAAAATGGCTTCATATAACCATAAATCTATATTCTCAAGGGGAATTTGGAAAGAATCAGAGTTTTTATAGTCACTTAGTTTCCAAAGGCTTAAAGAAAATGAAATGCCCTGAACCCAGGAGGCGGAGCTTGCAGTGAGCAGAGATCACGCCACTGCACTCCAGCCTGGGTGAAAGAGCGAGACTCCGTCTCAAAAAAAAGAAAAGAAAATGCCCTACTTTCATAGAAATAATAATCCTATAATACTTTTTTGCTATAGGGCAGAATTTAATTTAAAGCTGATCTATTTCAGCTCCCACATACACCCATATATACACACACATATCTTTCAAGAATATAGATGTCAGCAACTCAAAGTATTCCAGTGCTGCACTGAGGCTGTATTCTACGGCCTCATGAGTGCCAATTATGTGCATCTCTTCCCAACTGTATGTTCAGTGACCATGTTGGTAGCTCAAAATTGGCCCTGGTAGGAATATTTATGTCGTGGAAATTGGCAAACTCTACAAATTGGTTGTTTTTTGGTTTGGGTTCTGGTTTGGTTTGTGGAGAGCTAGTTGTTAATCATTTAATAGTGCATAACTGAAGTAATGCCAGGTCATAGTTCATGAAGGCCATGTCTTCACCTATCAAAGAAAAGACCTATTACTCCCCTATTCTACAAATACAAGAACTGAAATTTTTTACTTTCACATATACTATTCCAACTTCCTAGGTTTGGACTAGAAGGATTAAAAAAGGGAGTAAGGTCCATGTCATATATGGTTTGTTGTGTGTCTTTAAACCTGTGTAGCAATGATGTCCAATAGAAATATAATGCAAGCCACAGACAGAATTTTAAATTATCTGATACATCTTAGGGTACATCTCAAATCAGATGTTAAATTTTCATTGGAAATACATGATCTATATTCATATTTCATAAAATTTACAGTTGAAGTAGTTTGTTACCCAAGTCGTTGTACACATTCTTTAAAATTTCACAATTACTAGATAGAATATCAATTTTTTAATTTAATTGAAATTAAATAAAATTTTAAAATGTAGTTCCCCAGTCACATGAGCCGTGTTTCAAGATTCAGTAGTCACATGCAGTAGTGTCTACCATATTGGAAACTGCAGCTTTACAACATCAATAATTCAGGAGTTTCCCAGAAGCTTAGGCCTTTTTCTGTGCTAGCTTATATTGTAGAATCAAAAATGAATTATTTCACTTTTCAGTGGTGTAATTATCTGAGACAAAAATAACCTTTGAAGAATGAGTTGCTAATAGTTATTAATAGCTGTCTAACAAAAAAATTTGTATTATTGCTATAATCATGAAAAGGTTCACATGATATACCACCTGCCATTTTGGGCATGTCATCTTATTTAACAATTAACTCATGAAGCTGTAGCTGCATTTTGTTGTTTTTTTTTTTAGAAAATATTTATTTTTAATTTTCATTTGAGACTAGGGGAATGCATGTACAGGTTTGTTACAAGGGTATATTGCCTAATGCTGAGGTTTCGGCTTCTATTGACCCTGTCACCCAGAGAGTGAATATAGTACCTAACAAGTTTTTCAGCCCTTGCCCCTCTCTTTCCCTCTTTCCTTTTGGAGCCACCAGTGTGTGCTGTTCCCATATTTACATCTGTGTATACCCAGGGTTTAGCTGCTCCTACTTTATAAGAGAACATAGAATATTTCATTTTCTGTTTCTGCATTATTTCACTTATGATAATGCCTCCAGTTGCATCCATGTTGCTGCAAAGGACATGATTTCATTCTTTTTTATGACTGACTACATAGTATTCCATGGTGTATATGTACCACATTTTCATTATCCAGTTCACCATTATGGGCACTAAGGTTGTTTCCATATCTTTGCACTTGTGAGTAGTGCTACAATAAGCTTACAAGGCCGGGTATCTTTGGTAGCACAATTTTCCTTTGGGTATAAACACGGTAGTGGGATTACTGGATGTAATTGTAGTTCAACTCAGTTTTTTTAGAAATCTCCAAACTGCTTTCTACTGGGGCTGAACTGATTTTTGCATTCCCACCAACAGTGTATAAGCATTCCCTTTTCTCTGTAGCCTTGCCAACATCTGCTGTTTTTTAATTTTTTAACAAAAGCCATTCTGGTTGGTGTGAGATGGTATCTCATTGTGGTTTTGATTTGCATTCCTCTGATGATTAATGATATTAAGCATGTTTTTAATGTTTGGCCACTTGTATGTCTTCTTTTGAGTAGTGTCTTTTCATGTCCTTTGCCCACTTTTTAATGGGGTTATTTTTTTTTTCTTAATGATTTGTTTAAGTTCCTTATAGATTCCGGATATTAGTCCTTTGTTGGAGGTGTAGTTTGTAAATATTTTCTCCCATTCTGTAGGTTATCTATTTATTCTGTTGATAGTTTCTTTTGCTGTGCAGAAGTTCTTTAGTTTAAGCAGGTCCCGATATTTCATTTTTGTTACTGTTGTAATTGCTTTTGAGGATGTCTATCAAGTCATAAATTCTTTGGCTGTGTCAATTTCCACAAGAGTATTTCTTAGGTTTTGTTCTAGGATTTTTATATTTTGAGGTTTTACATTCAAGTCTTATTCATCTTGACTTAATTTTTGTATATGTTGAGAGGTAGGGGTCCAGCTTCATTCTTCTGCATATGGCTAGCCTATTTTCCCAGCATCATTTATTATATAGGGAGTCCTTTCCCCATTGCTTATTTTTGTTGGCTTTTTGAAGATCAGTTGGTTGTAGGCGTACAGCTTTATTTCAGCATTCTCTATTCTGTTCCACTCTATTCTGTATATCTGTTTTTGTACCAGTACCATGCTGTTTCGGTTACTGCAGTCTTGTAATGTCGTTTGAAGTCAGATAGTCTGATGCCTCCAGCTTTATTCTTTTTGCTTAGGATTGCTATGGCTATTCAGCCTCTTTTTAAATTCCATGTGAATTTTGGAATAGTTTTTTCTAATTCTGTGAAAAATGACCTTGGTAACTGGATAGGAATAGCATTTAATCTGTGGATTGCTTTGGGTGGTATGGACATTTTAGTGACATTAATTCTTCCAATCCATGCACATGGAAGTTTTTCCATTTGTTTGTGTCATCTATTATTTCTTTCAGCAGTGTTTTGTGGTTCTTGTGGAGACCTTTCACTTTCTTGGTTAGGTGTATTCTTAAGTATTTTATTTTGTGTGTGGCTACTGTAAGTGGGATTAAGTTCTTGACTTGGCTCTCAGCTTGAACGTTATTGGGATATAGAAATGGCACTGATTTTTGTACATTGATTTTGTATCCAAAACTTTACAGAAGTCATTTATCAGGTCTAGGAGTCTCCTGGTGAAGTACTTAGGGTTTTCTACATACAGAATCATATTATCAGCAAAGAGAGATAATTTGACTTCCTTTTTGGATGCCTTTGATTTCTTTCTCTTCTCCTGATTTCTCTGACTAGGGCTTCCAGTACTTTTTTGAATGGGAGTGTGGGCATCTTTGTGTTGTTCCTGTTCCTAAGGGGAATGCTTCCAGTTTTTGCCCACGCAGTACGATGTTGGCTGTGGGTTTGTCATAGATGGCTCTTATTATTGTGAGGTTTGTTCTTTCTATGCCTAGTTTGTTGAGGGTTTTTATCAAGAAGGATGTTGGATGTTATCAAAGGCTTTTTCTGTGTCTCTTGAAATGATCATATGGTTTTTTTTTAATTCTGTTTATGTGGTGAATCACATTTATTGATTTGCGTATGTTGAACCAACCTTGCATCCCAGAAATAAAGCCTGCTTGATCATGGTGAATTGACTTTTTAATTTGCTGCTGGATTTGATGTGTTAGAATTTTGTCGAGGATTTTTGCATATATGTTCATCAGGGATGTTGGCCTGTGGTTTTCTGTTTTCATTGTGTCTTTGCCAGGTGTTGGTATCAAGGTGGTTCTGGCATCATAGAATGAGTTAAGAAGGAGTTGCCTTCTACTTAATTTCTGGAATAGTTTCAGTAGGATTGGTACAAGTTCTTCTTTGTACATCTGGTTTAATTCACCTGTGAATCCATCTGTGCCAGGGCTTTTTTTGATTGGTAGCCTTTTTATTACTGATTCATTTTCACAACTTGTTGTTTACTGTTCTGTTCAGGGTTTCACCTTCTTTCTGGCTCAATCTTGGGTGGTTGTGTGTTTCCAGGAGTTTATCTGTTCCCTCTACATTTTCTACTTTGTGTACATTGAGGTGTTTGTATCAGTTTCTGAGGATCTTTTGTATATCTGTGGGATCTGTTGTAATGTCTCCTTTGTCACTTCTGATTGTGCTTATTTGGATCTTCTCTCTTTTTTCTTTGTTAATGTAGCTAGTGGCCTATTAATCCTGCTTAGCCTTTCAAAGAACCAACTTTTCGTTTATCCTTTATATTATTTTTGGTGTCAGTTTCTTTAGTTCTGCTCTAATTTTAGTTATTTAGCTTCTTCTGTCTTCACAGCATTTTGAAGAAGAGCTTAATGATGTTTATATTAGTGGTAATAAATGCTAAGCATTTATGGAGTACTTTTCATCTTTGAAGGGCTTTACAAATAGTTATTAATCTGATAACATAAAAATATATCATTTCTGTTAGAAGTGAATTATAGAGCCAAAGAGGGCATTTCTTCTCAACAAAAACCATGAGTACGCTTGTCATACATTCTATACTACAATGTACATAAACTTGTGTTAATATCTTATTCCTGAATAAGACAAAATATTCATATTAACTAAGTTTTCTGATTCTAAGTACCATAATAAACTAATCACAGAGAAAAATGATTCTTCTTTAATGTTTATCACCTGTGTATTGTCTACAAAATTAACAAAAGCCAGCCACAGCTTTCTTGATTATATGTACTTTAAAATGGCATTTTTATGTTATTTATCCTCTCAACTGCCATCCAAATTATTATATCATCCATTTTGTAGACATTCCAGCTTTCAAAGGGATTACTTGCATCATTTTTTTAAGAGATGAAATCTTGCTCTGTCACCCAGGCTGGAATGCAGTGGCATGTTCATAGCTCACTGCAGCCCCAAACTCCTGGGCTTAAGCAATCATCCTGCCTCATTTTCCCAAGGATCTGGGATTACAGGTGCAAGCCACAGTGCCCACTTCATTTAATATTGTTATCTCAACAACACTAAAAGATAGATGGTAACAGGTGTTGTTATACCCATTTATTCTTTTCGATGAAACTCAGGCTAGGTGACTTGCTCAAAGTTAACATACTGATTGGTGCAAGAACTAGAGCCAGAATCTAGGTATTGTGATTTTAGCCACCCTTATTTAGTATTTACTGTATGATGGAGAATGTGTTGAACACTGTTCATACATTATCTCATTTTATGGTTACGGCCACCTCACAACATATCTATTTTACCCATGAGTAAAAATTATGATGCTGAGAGACTGTTACATATAGGTCTTTTTACCCTAAGCATATGTTCTTAATTTTTATAATACTATGCTGAATCTACAAATGGAATACTGGGTAGGTTGGCTGGGCACAGGAGATGGCTGCACCTCCTGCAGAGTTAACCTTGGCTGAGCAAGAGGCTCCAGGGCTGGGCACCAGATCAACCTCATACCCCTAAGTGAGGGCATCATTAATGTCTGTGGCCTGCAAGTCGAGGCATGCAGGCAGTCACTGGGTCAACATCTGAGCACTCCTGGACCAGAACCAGTGCATTCCAGAATTCTTGAATTGAGGATACTAAGACAGGGATTCATAATGCCCTCTGCTTGATGTGCTGGTGGTTGCCAGGAGGCTTGGCTTCAGATTCAGAGGAAGATACCAAAAAACTGATCGTTTCCTTGAATTGGCTTTTCTATTTACTTCGTCTGTGTCTCTCATATTGAATATCCTAAGAGAGATGCTGGAATATTTTGGCGTTCCTCTAGAAGAAGTTTTACCGATTGGAGAAAATAAAGAATGTGGATCAAGTAGGAATATCATTTGTATTATTGGGAAAATACTTCCATTAGAACTTTGTAGAGGACTTAATTTTGAGTTGGTCCCACTCTTGAACTGTGTAGACTCTGTGGATTTATGGTTCCATCTTTTGCTGATATTTTCTGTGTGGCAAATGATGAAGAAGCCAGCTAGCTCTGATTTTTTAATAGTATACAGAAAAAAGAAAAGAACAAAATTGAATTTTTCCATATTTTGCAACTAATTTGGGATCCATTGTCCCTACCCTAAGACATAACAAACCGGTGAAAAAAGATCTGCCTGCAAATGAAGCTGCAATTTAAAAAAGTAGTTGTCCTTGAAGTTAATTTTTGTTTTGGCTGTCACATTGCTGCAATTGTGGAAATGCAGGAACTTAAAAAGAGTACAAATTCTAGCTCCTTTGGCTTGAACGACAGGCCCATTAGTTTGAGACAAATGCCAACATGGGGGGCTGCTCAGATGAGTTTCCAACTTAAAGTCAGATCAGTTTCCAAGTTCAATGCTTTCTTTTCCTCCTTGCTTCCTTCTCCACCACCACCACTTCCTCCTCAGTTTTCTTCTCTCCAGCCTCCATATTCCTCCCGTACAACCAGGATCTAATATTTGTAACTCAGATAATCCAGCTACTGAAATAAACAAAGAGCATGCAGGTGCTAGTAAGACCAATTATAATTATCATTAAAAAAAGCCAGAGAAATATATTCCAAACATATTGGATGTTCTAAAGGATATGAAAAAGGTTAAGCTTAATGTGATTGAATGGTCACCTAGCAGCAAACCCATTCATAAGAGGAAAAGACAAAATTCATATTAGGACCCGATGTCTTTAATATCTCATGCACTTATGCAGAAATTTGCATTTCAAGATTCTTTTGAGAAAGTAAATACATCTTGAGAGTCTTCCCCATTTTCTAGTTCAATAACTTCAAGGTTTGGACATCACATTTCGCAGTAAGGACAGTGAACTAAAGCAAAACTGATAAACACAGCAGCTGTTGGCCAAGGTATCAGCAACAAAATCTGTGTCTAAACTTAGAAGGAAAGATTGCAAAAATACACCAGCCTGTCTTTCACTACATTTCAAAGGATCTTCTCTTCTGTTAAATGAAGTTAAAGAAACTCTGTATGCTGGAATATGCTAGTGTGGAGGTCCGAAAAGTCTGGACTCTTAAGAATACCTTGTCTCAAAGTCCTTGGCCATGCCTATGGTCTGAATGGTATTTCCTACGTTTGCTTCTAGGGTTTTTATGGTTTTAGGTCTAACATTTAAGTCTTTAATCCATCTTGAATTAATTTTTGTATAAGGCGTAAGGAAGGGATCCAGTTTCAGCTTTCTACCTATGGCTAGCCAGTTTTCCCAGTACCATTTATTAAATAGGGAATCCTTTCCCCATTGCTTGTTTTTGTCAGGTTTGTCAAAGACCAGATGGTTGTAGATGTGTGGTATTATTTCCGGGGGCTCTATTCTGTTGCATTGGTCTATATCTCTGTTTTGGTACCAGTACCATGCTGTTTTGGGTACTGTAGCCTTGTAGTATAGTTTGAAGTCAGGTAACGTGATGCCTCCAGCTTTGTTCCTTTGGCTTAGGATTATCTTGGCAATGTGGGCTCTTTTTTGTCTCCATATGAACTTTAAAGTAGTTTTTTCCAATTCTGTGAAGAAAGTCAATGGTAGCTTGATGGGGATGGCATTGAATCTATAAATTACCTTGGGCAGTATGGCCATTTTCATGATATTGATTCTTCCTATCCATGAGCATGGAATGTTCTTCCATTTGTTTGTGTCCTCTTTTATTTCATCAAGCAGTGGTTTGTAGTTCTCCTTGAAGAGGTCCTTCACATCCCTTGTAAGTTGGATTCCTAGGTATTTTATTCTCTTTGAAGCAATTGTGAATGACAGTTCACTCATGATTTGGCTCTCGGCTTGTCTGTTATTGGTGTATAGGAATTCTTGTGATTTTTGCACATTGATTTTGTATCCTGAAACTTTGCTGAAGTTGCTTATCAGCTTAAGGAGATTTTGGGCTGAGATGATGGGGTTTTCTAAATATATAATCATGTCATCTGCAAACAGGGACAATTTGACTTCCTCTTTTCCTAACTGAATACTCTTTATTTCCTTCTCTTGCCTGATTGCCCTGGCCAGAACTTCCAAAACTATGTTGAATAGGAGTGGTGAGAGAGGGCATCCCTGTCTTGTGCGACTTTTCAAAGGGAATGCCTCCAGTGTTTGCCCATTCGGTATGACACTGGCTGTGGGTTTGTCATAAATAGCTCTTATTATTTTGAGATATGTCCCATGAATACCTAGTTTACATGTGGTTTTTGTCTTTGGTTCTGTTTATATGATGGATTACGTTTATTGATTTGCATATATTGAACCAGCCTTGCATCCCAGGGATGAAGCCCACTTGATCGTGGTGGATAAGCTTTTTGATGTGCTGCTGGATTCAGTTTGCCAGTATTTTATTGAGGATTAAAACGCCAAAAGCAATGGCAACAAAAGCCAAAGTTGAGAAATGGGATCTGATTAAATTAAGGAGCTTCTGCACAGTGAAAGAAACTACCATCAGAGTGAACAGGCAACCTACAGAATGGGAGAAAATTTTTGCAATCTACCCATCTGACAAAGAGCTAATATCTAGAATCTACAAAGAACTTAAACAAATTCACAAGAAAAAATCAACCCCATCAAAAAGTAGGCAAAGGATATGAACATACACTTCTCAAAAGAAGACATTTATGCAGCCAGCAGACACATGAAAAAATGCTCATCATCACTGGCCATCAGAGAAATGCAAATCAAAACCACAATGAGATACCATCTCACACCAGTTAGAATGGCGGTCACTAAAAAGTCAGGAAACAATAGGTGCTGGAGAGGATGTGGAGAAATAGGAACACTTTTACACTGTTGGTGGGACTGTAAACTAGTTCAACCATTGTGGAAGACAGTGTGGCGATTCCTCAAGGATCTAGAACTAGAAATACCATTTGACCCAGCCATCCCATTACTGGGCATATACCCAAAGGATTATAAATCATTGCTGCTATAAAGACACATACACATGTATGTTTATTGTGGCACTATTCACAATAGCAAAGACTTGGAACCAACCCAAATGTCCATCAATGATAGACTGGATTAAGAAAATGTGGCACATATACACCATGGAATACTATGCAGCCATAAAAAAGGATGAGTTCATGTCCATTGTAGGGACATGGATGAAGCTGGAAACCATCATTCTGAGCAAACTATCACAAGGACAGAAAACCAAACACTGCATGTTCTCACTCATAAGTGGGAATTGAAGAATGAGAATACTTGGACACAGGGTGGGGAACATCACACACCAGGGCCTGTTGTGGGGTGGGGGGAGGGAGGATGGATAGCATTAGGAGATATACCTAATGCAAATGATGAGTTAAGGGGTGCAGCACACCAACATGGCACATGTATACATGTGTAACAAACCTGCACATTGTGCACACGTACCCTAGAACTTAAAGTATAATAAAAAATAAAAATAAAAACTAGTTACGCTTATTTTTTTTGTCTTTTTTTTTTTTTTTCCTTTTTCTGGAGAACAAGGCATCATGCTACCTGACTTCAAACTACACTACAAGGCTACAGTAACCAAAACAGCATGGTACTGGTCCCAAAACAGAGATATAGACCAATGGAACAGAACAGAGCCCTCAGAAATAATGCCGCATATCTACAACTATCTGATCTTTGACAAACCTGACAAAAACAAGAAATGGGGAAAGGATTCCCTATTTAATAAATGGTGCTGGGAAAACTGGCTAGCCATATGTAGAAAGCTGAAACTGGATCCCTTCCTTACACCTTATACAAAAATTAATTCAAGATGGATTAAAGACTTAAATGTTAGACCTAAAACCATAAAAGCCCTAGAAGAAAACCTAGGCAATACCATTCAGGACACAGGCATGGGCAAGGACTTCATGTCTAAAACACCAAAAGCAATGGCAACAAAAGCCAAAATTGACAAATGGGATCTAATTAAACTAAAGAGCTTCTGCACAGCAAAAGAAACTACCATCAGAGTGGACAGGCAACCTACAGAATGGGAGAAAATTTTTGCAACCTACTCATCTGACAAAGGGCTAATATCCAGAATCTACAAAGAACTCAAATAAATTTACAAGAAAAAAACAAACAACCCCATCCAAAAGTGGGCAAAGGATATGAACAGACACTTCTCAAAAGAAGACATTTATGCAGCCAAAAAACACATGAAAAAATGCTCATCATCACTGGCCATCAGAGAAATGCAAATCAAAACCACAATGAGATACCGTCTCACACCAGTTAGAATGGTGATCATTAAAAAGTCAGCAAACAACATGTGCTGGAGAGGATGTGGAGAAATAGGAACACTTTTACACTGTTGGTGGGACTGTAAACTAGTTCAACCATTGTGGAAGTCAGTGTGGCGATTCCTCAGGGATCTGGAACTAGAAATACCATTTGACCCAGCCATCCCATTACTGGGTATATACCCAAAGGATTATAAATCATGCTGCTATAAAGACACATGCACACGTATGTTTATTGCAGCACTATTCACAATAGCTAAGACTTGGAACCAACCTAAGTGTCCAACAATGATAGACTGGGTTAAGAAAATGTGGCACATATACACCATGGAATACTATGCAGCCATAAAAAAGGATGAGTTCATGTCCTTTGTAGGGACATGGATGAAGCTGGAAACCATCATTCTCAGCAAACTACCGCAAGGACAAAAAACCAAACACCATATGTTCTCACTCATAGGTGGGAATGGAACAATGAGAACACATGGACACAAGAAGGGGAACATCACACACCGGGGACTGTTGTGTGGTGGGGGTAGGGGGGAGGGATAGCATTAGGAGATATACCTAATGCTAAATGACGAGTTAATGGGTGCAGCACACCACCATGGCACATGTATACATATGTAACAAACCTGCACGTTGTGCACATGTACCCTAAAACTTAAAGTAAAATAAAATTTGAAAAAAGAATATAGAATCAATCAAAAAATTCAAAAAAAAAAAAAAAAAAGAAAAAGAAAAAGAACAAAATAAAACAAAAATAAAAGAATACCTCATCTCTTGTTTTGGAAGATCCAGCAACATATTACTGATTATAGTTAGGTGTAAGGATTTTTTTTCATGTGTTAATATTACTGAAAGTTGAATATATACTTCAAATAGTTTTCCTAAGCAATTGTGACTTGCTAATTTAAGAGCCTTTGAATCTTTTAAAAATTGGCAGTGATCTGATGTACATGACCTCCAGCAACTTGGAGATTTTCAGAAGATAAAAGTAAACTTTTTTCATTAAGAAAGTCATAGTTTGAGTCATATATGTTGAGCCTTCTAAAACTTCTTCCTGAGATGATAAATTATTCTTAGCAACTGATTTTGACTATTAAATGATACAAGTAGTAACATTTAAAGAAAGACTCTTCTCAACAAATTTTGCTATACTTGGTATGTAAATATGTATGCCTGTCATTTTTGTTTCCTTTGTTCCCTGTTAGATTTATACTCTGTTCCTTTGTAAATACAGTGTAAAATAAATGTACCTTTTGAACTTGAAATAAATAAAAATGGAATATTATCAAGGTTAGGGAATATAGGAACCAATCTTCATTAAAAATAACTACTATTAGCACATGCTATTTGCAAGCCATAATGCTAAGCTCTGTAATTACTATCATATTTCATATTTACAACTACAGAGTTAAATATTAGTTTTCCCATTTACAAATGAGGACACAGACTCAGACTGTCAGTGGCAGATTTTGAAACCATGCCTGTTTGACTACAAATCTCATACTCTAAATCACTTTACTAGTCTGCTTTTTAAGTCCACTGCCATTTCCCATATTTTTTACCACCATAATGTTGCATGTTACAGATTAGTTGTGTGGTTCTTTTTTAATTTTGGCATAGAAAAGATAGCAAGAAAGGTTTTCTTTGTCTTGTTTACCATATTATATTAACAATGCTACAAGCAAGTGCTTACACCACTTACATAGCACAGTGCAGCAAAGTAGCTTTGAGCCCTGTATCATACAATCACTGTAACACCTTTGCATGGTATCATACTGACAGGTTTTAATACTAATGTGGAACTGGAGGTTTTTACCTTAGACCTTGATCTAAGCAATTCCTTCAGTTATGAAATGGAAACTTCTACAATTCCTCTAGAACTAAAGGAAGTTGTTCATTCAGTGGGCATTTTAAAGCTATATTTATAATAAAATATGAGATAGAGGATAAAACATTGCTTATCATAGCTAAATAATTTACATTAATGGGGACTGTTAATTATGTGCATAGAGTGATTCCTTTTCCTTAGGAAAATTTTTTTCTACATTACCTGAATATCCTTCTGAGAGCCTCACTTTATTTTGCCTTATTAATCAAAAAAGAAGTGTTTGGAGCTATTCTAGGTTACTTAGATGTTCATAATAATGCTTTTTCATAACAAATCATGTGTTAAGTTCCATAAACACTTTCTGGCCAAATTTTCTGTTAACTTTCAATTAGTTCTTTCTTCTTTATTTTCTGGCTAAATTCCACTTACAGTAGATAGTTACCATGTTGTGCATAAGACTGCTTCCAAGAAAGAAGTAAAACAAGTTTGTACATGTACATTCATATGAAAAGACAAAATGTGAAAGAGAAACATAATATTTCTAGTAAAACTCTACCCTTATCTAGAATTAAGTATACTCATAAATGTATGTTCTACAGTAATACAGAGAGATTACTCTTCCATTATTTTGTAAAGTGTGTAATTTTTCCAAGCTAATAATCTAGGTATTTGAGATGCATTCATTTAAGCAGAAGGAATAGCTGGGAAATATTTTCATGTCAGGTGGTATGCATGCTAGGTTTTTATAACCTTTCTTCTGTTTATTCGATGTAAGGTAACTTAATGTGACAGGGTGTGACACATCACAAAGATGACTCAGGTCAGGAATTTCAAGAAATCTTGAAAACAATACCTTAAAATGATTTAAATAAATAGTATTTTAAGGTTGTATAGAATATATAGTCTTTTTTTTCCTATCAAAGAATTTAGTTCAAATGCTTAGGAAAATCTTTTACTCAAAAAAAGGAAAATATATGGCAATTGAAGGGAGGAATCCCTAGGTTTCTCTGGGTTAGAGTCCCTTCCAGCAGACACAGCTATTTAGTTAGAGTTTACACATTCCATTGTTGACCAAACCATTCTAGTAATAAAATTATGTTTTCCTCATCTACCTTTATTTTTCTAAAGCCTCTGCAGTATATTTAGCTGTCATCACAAACTCCTGTTCCAAAGCATGGGATTTCAACATAGAGTATGGGTAGATGAGTTGATAACAAGATTTGCTTTGGAAGAGCCAAATTTTGTTTCTATTATAGTGAATATACATATTGTAAGTGTTCAACTCAAAGAATTTTGACTAAGTGAACACACACATATAATTGGCATCCAGACCATGAAACTAAATTTTACCAGCACTCCAAAAGGCTCTTTTGTCCCATCTTCTTATACTGCAAAGGATTAAAGTTCCTGCCTTCTAATACTATAAATCAGTTTCACCTGGTTTTGGAAGAGAATTACACATCCTTATCCAGAAATAAGTTCATTCATAAATATATATACTGTAGTAATACACACAGATGACTATTTGCACCTTTCTGTGTGTTGGCAGAGGTAGATGAGGAAAACATAATTTTATTACTATTATGTTTGTGAAATGCACCCATATTGTTATGTATATTATCCCACTGTATACCACAATTTGTTTATTCATTTCATCATTAAGAAACATTTGGGTTGTCTCCAGTTTGAGGCTATTATAAATATTATCCTGCATGTCCTTTGTGAATGTATATACCCATTTCTTTTGGGTATAATATCTGGGACTTGAATTGTTGGGTCTTAGGGCATGTGTTTTTTCGGCTTTAGTAGATACCTCTTAGGATTTTTCCAGAGTAACTATAGCAATTTATGTTCTCACTGCCAATACGTGAGAATTCTCTTACATCCCCATCCTTGCCAACACTTGGTATCCTCAACCCCCAACCACCACTACCATTTTACTTAATTTGTATTTTTCTGATGATTCACAAAGTTTCTTTTTATATGTTTATTGGGAATTTGGATATATCTTTTGTGAGGTGCCCTTTCAAGACTTTTGCCTTCTGCCTATTGTTCTATAGAGTTATCATCCCTATTCTTACACTTTCCAAGAGTTCTTCATATATTCCTTATACAAATCTTTTGTTAAATGTATGTACTGCAGAACAACCCCAAAGTCTGAAAAGTATTTTTTCATTCCTGAGTATCTTTATAAAAATTATTTTAATAGGTTTCTTTTTTTTTTTTTAGTCATTGTAGGTTCACAGCAAAATTAAGCTGAAGGTACAGAGATTTCCCCTATAACCCCAGTTCCCACACATATAACAGTCTTCCCCTATAACAACATCCCCTTCTAGAATGGTACATCTGTTACAATTGGTGAGCCTATATTTATACATCATTATCCTCCAGAATAATAATTTAATTTACATTAGTGTTTGCTCTTTGTGTTGCATATTCTATAGGTTTAGACAAATATATGTACAATGACATATATCCACCATGTAATATCATATAGACTAGTTTCACTGTCCTTAGAATCCTCTGTGCTCTGCCTGTTCATCTCTCTCTCCTCCCTAGTCCCTGGTAACCACTGATGCTTTTATTGTTTCTATAGTTTTGTCTTTTCTAGAATGTCACATAGTTGGAATCATACAGCCTTTTCAGATTGGCTTCTTTCACTTGGTGATATGCATTTAATAAGGTTTCTTCATGTTTTTTTCATTGCTTGATATCTCGTTTACTTTTAGTGTTGAATAATACTCCATTATCTAAATGTACCACAGTTTATCTAGTCATCGACTGAAGAACAACTTGGTTACTTCTGAGTTCTGGCAGTTATGAATAAAGCTATGATAAATATCTGTGTGCAGGATTTTGTGTGGACATAAGTTTTCAGTTCCCTTGGGTAAATATCAAGGAGTGCAAGCATTGGGTCATACAGTATGAGTATGTTTAGTTTTGTAAGGAAGCACCAAACTTTCCTCCAAAGTGACTGTACCATTTTGCATTCCCACCATTGATGAATAAGAATCCTTGTTGTTCCACCGCATTTTATGTCATGAGTGTGCTAGATTTTGGCCATCCCAATAGGTGTGTAGTCATATCTCCTTGTTATTTTCATTATTGAAAATTGCATTTCCTTAATGACATATGATGTGGCGTATCTTTTCCTATGCTTATTTGCCATATGTATATCTTCTTTGGTAAGGTGTCTCTTTAGGCCTATAACAGTATTTTTGGTGTAAACTGACAACTGATTATAAGATGAAAATGGAAATGCAAAGGACCAAGAATAGTTAAGGCAATTCTGAAGAACAACAAAGCTGGAAGACTTACAGTGCTGGAAATCAAGAACTTTTACAAGTCTATAGTAATTGAATAGTGATATTGATGCAAGAATAGACAAACAGACCAACGGAAGCAAATAAGCCAGAAACACACCCCATATATAGTATGGCCATATGATTTATGACAAAGGTGACACTGTAGTGCAGAAGAGAAAGGATAATCTTTTAAATAAATGGTGCTAGGTTATTTGGATATCTATGTGATTAAAATGTAAGTTTTTAAACCCCCGCCTAATAGCATACACACAAAGCGATTCCTTATGGATTAAATAGTTTAGAAGCAGAGGGCCAATCTCCTGAAACATATTGCTGCTAGGTATTTACCTGGCCATGCTATAGCCCTGCCACCATATGCCACAATTGTAGTGAGTCTTATGTTTCGCAGAATTCACTCAATCCTTGCCCACTTACTGCCCTGGAATAAGGCCTCTTGTAAGCTCCACAGAAAAGCACAGACTGGATTATTACTATTTAGTTTCTCTTTGCCAGGGGAGCCTTTATGTAACTGTACGAATATTGCCTTTATAATGGCTAGTTTGTGAGTGCCAATCAGATTTTCACAACCAAACAATATGCTATCTCGGGATTCTCACACGTGAGGGTGGTAAAACGTTCTCTGATAATATCATTAGGTTAATGAAGAATCTAGGTCTTTGCTGATTGCCATCTGTGTATAAGAAATTATCCAAATAGTTGCAAATGCATTGCCCAATTTAGTCAAAACTCACCCAACATTCAAGTATGAATAGAATTCATAATCATATTTGATAGCAGGTGAGTTGTTTCGTCAAATAGGAATTGCTAGCTTTCTCATTTAAAATGTAAGACATCCTACATATAGACATATTTATATTTAGTACTGATACAGTCATATTTTGTTTAATTAAGGACTAAAAGATTATACCCATTTTATCTTATCTGGTTATAGATAATTGGTTTGTTAGGATCATTTTCCCATATTTTCTTATGTTTTATATCAATCAGGTATTCTTAACCCTCTTAGACCTTTTCCCCCTTTTAAAACATATTTCAAAGAAGATCAATTTTACTTTACTCAAATCGAACTCATAATGAACACATGTATATGTACACATATTATTAATGACAATGAAATGTCATAACTTTATAGAGAAGAGATAAATGGAAAATAATTTATAAGTTAAAAAAATAGATTCATGTAACAATTCTATACTAAAAGACATAAATTATTTAGTTGCTTATACCTGTACACAAAATCACAGTAAATGTTACAGCTACAAATGCAGCTGATACAGCTATGTGTAGTGCTGACTTAAACTATGATAAGCTTCACCTCCAGGCACTGCCTTAAGCATAGTCTGCAAACTACCTACCTAGATGTGCCATCTGCTCTATCCACTCCTAAAATTCTAACCAAATGTACTGCTTCCTATAGGTCTTCTCAGATGAGGAGACAGAGGAGTTACGTTGTCACCAGAACTGCAGGTGAAACACTAGGTGCTTGACATGATAAACAAACAGTGTATTTAATATCTAAGCCAGAGGCCCTTGCTCCCACATTCCTGATCTATGGCCACGCCAGTGTCTTGTTTTTTAAAGGTTGGGAGTTGAGGGAATCCTGTTGTGCTAAATCCCCACAAGTCTGATGGTAGAAGTTTTAAAGAAGCTAAACTTAAACAGTAGAATTGTAAGTGAGGAAGCCTTCCAGACACTGTTAAAAGTGTCTGTTACTAAAACTAACTGGTGATGTTCTTAAGTCCATAAAATGCTATAGGCACATTACAAAGGTTGGTCTGTAATATTAGGAGTAAACATATATATAGAGAGATGAAACTGCTTTCTCTCTTTAGCCTCAACTGCATATGAGTCTCTGTCCAGGCACAGGTGAATTGCCTGCAAGAGTACTACCACTGGACCAATCCCTAAAATTGTATCTTTGAGAGCCTGGTGGTGACTCTTATAAGTAATGTTCTCTCCAACTATGGGAAAGGATCCAACCCAGAATGGGACAGCCCGCACCCCTCCTCAAAGATATTTAAATGTTCCTAGGATTTGCAGGTTATTTCATCACCCATTTTTCTAATGTCATTGCCCTACCTGATGAACTTTCTCAAAAAAATACAAGGTTTTGCTTGAGTTCTGGTCATAAATTCTCTACACAATTTTAATTAACTGAGATAATTAGGAGGAAACAACAAGTGGACACCTACATATAGCAATGCCTGACCTAATGGAGAACCTTTTAGAGTCAAGCCCCTGAAGATAAGGAATGCAGGCCAGGAAATGGAGGGGAAGTTATCTACCAATACACCTGGTTCTATGTATCTTTTAAAAAGCTCCAGCAAAGCTTTACTTTTGTGATACATGTACCTCCAGCAAAGACCCACAACGTCCAAGAAGTTGCTACATCTGAACTGTCTTCTAAATACCTTTAGGAAACTGTTGCTATGGATGTTATAACAAACATGTCCTCTCAAGGATGACCTTTAATCCTGATAGTGGTAGATGTGCTTATCGAAATGGCTCTATTACCTTCACTGGGCCTATTGGCTCCTCTGTTCTATTAGTATATCATTCATCAAAGTTTTCTACCACTATTAACTTCCCCACAGCCTATTCCCTTATCCCACAGTTTATGTATGCAATTGTGGAAAGCATTACAAAACAGCTGCTTTAGCTGGAAGAATTCATATTCTTCTATTCACCATTCAGATGAAGGGAAGAGAAAACTAATACTACATGAATCCTGGAAAAATAGTTCTACAGCGACATATGATATAGACAACACTCCTGGTTCTCTTATCTCATTGTTGAAAAATAGGCATATACTATTCACAATAGCAAAGACATGGAATCAACCCAAATGCCCATCAATGATAGACTGGATAAAGAAAATGTGGTACATACACAACATGGAATACTATACAGCCATAAAAAGAATAGGATCATGTCCTTTGAGGGACAGGGATGGAGCTGAAAGCCATTATCCTTAGCAAACTAATGCAGGAACAGAAAACCAAATACTACATGTTGTCACTTGTAAATGGGAGGTGCACAATGAGAACACATGGACACAGGGAGGGGAACAACACACACTGGGGCCTTTTGGTGGGCAGGGGGAGGGAGAGCATCAGGATAAATATAGCTAATGCATGCAGGGCTTAGTACCTAGGTGATGGGTTGATAGGCAAACCACCATGGCACATGTTTACCTATGTAACAAACCTGCACATCCTGCACGTGTATCCTGGAACTTTAAATTAAATTTAAAAAAAGAAAAATATGCATATAATAATGTACTACATTCATTTATACATCACTGCATAGTAACTTTAACTTCCATACCTGCATTTTGTCTGCACTACTGGGTAATTTCACAAACCCTTGCCAATCGACAGCTAGAAAGAACTTCAGACAAAAAAAAACTACAACGACTCAGAGTAAACCTTCTAATATGCCAAGCAATAAACAGTAGTTATCAGAAGACATAATCCAAGTTGGAGACACCATTTTCCTCCAAAACATATCCATACTATCAATTTTAGCTAAACATTTCCTAGAGCCATTCAGGGTCACAGATGTAACCAACCACCTAATATTCAGCCTAGAGTTGTTTATGTTCAGTCAGATTTAGCCCCCTTCTCTTTTTCTGCTGATCCCTACTTCTCTCATTAAGTTCTCACCCCATTCTCCAATCCCAGAAGCTAACAAATTCTCAAAAACTCCATGGCCAGCTCTGAAATTGATGATAATGGGAATCAATCAGTTTTCTAAAACCAGAAAGTGCTAAAATACATGTGCAACTTTTATTGGCTTAAAATCTGGCTTCAGCTACCCAAATCTATGCCTTTAAGTTAAAACTTAAGGATGACATATTTCAGGTAGCAGAAGAAGGAGGTGCAGTCAATGTCGCCAAAGGCTTTTGTTGTTTGTTGTGTTTTTACTATACCTTTTTATTTTTTATTTTTTTTTGGGAGACAGAGCCTCACTCTGTCGCCCAGGCTGGATTGCAGTGGCGCGATCTTGGCTTACTGCAACCTCTGCCTCCTGGGTTCAAGCGATTCTTCTGCCTCAGTCTCCCGAGTAGCTGGGACTATAGGTGCTGCCACCACCCCCGGCTAATTTTTGTATTTTCAGTAGAGATTGGGTTTCACCATATTGGTTGGCCAGGCTGGTCTCGAACTCCTGACCTCGTGATCTGCCCGCCTCAGCCTCCCAAAATGCTGGGATTACAGGCGTGAGCCACCGTGTCCGGCCTGTTTTTACTATATCTTAATATGCATACATTCAGTGAAAATGATACATATTTTAATTCATTCACATTAGAATTTTTTAGATGTGTAAAAATTATAGAAAATGTTGGAAGCAAGATAAATAACCAAAGTTTTAACAATTTTGTTAAAATATTAAGTTTTTATCATTCTTACATCAATCACTTTAAGAAAATACAAGACTACTCTTTTAAATGGAAGAAAAGTATCTGCTTGAGGACTTCAACTTTAATCTGGGGTTTTCAAACACTGATATGGTTGCATGGCCTTTTAAAAGCCTTTGGGCACAAAACTGATAAAATGTGGTTTTACTTATTGGCATGCCTGTGCAACAAAGCATTTGAGAGGCATGACTGACAGGCCGGAAGTATGTATGAGGGAAAACCTATGCTTATGTCTGCTTCAGTGACTTTTTTAGCCACACCCTACTTGTAAATTGTAAACTGTCATTCAGAGTAGCATAGTGATGTTTCAAACAAGTCAGGTTATAATACCTCTACTTCTTTTGTCTTAATGCCCAGAGGTGAATTCAGAAAATGTTCCTATGTTTTGGCTCGTAAAAGCATCCATCTGGAAAATACTAAATAACAAACCCTAATAGTAAAGAGCATTGCAAAGATTTATGACACTATGCATACATGTAAATTGTATATTTAAACATCATAATTAGCTAACTCAGCCTTCATTGTAGTTCAGCACGTATTTCAGGTTGAGGACAAAGAAAAGCATTCTATTGTTTTGTGTCAGGTTTTAAGCCATATTTTAAAACATACTATTAACCCTATATACTGAATTAAAATTGCAATTAATAACAAAAACTTCATTGGAGATTTTTAGTATCTAAAAAGAACTATAGAACAATCTGTATTTTCGCTAGCTGCAGTGGCTCACACCTGTAATCCCAGCACTTTGGGAGGCCGAGGTGGGCAGATCATGAGGTCAAGAGATCAAGACCATCCTGGCCAACCAACATGGTGAAACCCTGTCTCTACTAAAAAAATACAAAAATTAGCTGGGCGTAGTGTCGCACGCCTTTAGTCCCAGCTACTCAGGAGGCTGATGGAGGAGAATCGCTTGAACCCGGGAGGCGGAGGTTGCAATGAGCCGAGATAGGGCCACTGCACTCCAGCCTGGGTAACAGAGCGAGGCTCCGTCTCAAATAATAATAATAATAAAATAAATAAATAAAAGAACAATCTGTATTTTAAAGCATGCTGTATTTTATGAGAAACATCCAATTTAACTTTAAGATATTAAACAGAAACACATATATGTTCCCATCATACTTTTCTTACAACTGTACAGTTCTGAACTGAAATAAGGCATGAAAACAAATATTAGTTTGACTTTTATTAATAGTGCTAATATCCCTTCCTGAATATAAGATAACGCTATCATATTTCTAATAAAAGTAATATATATTCATTTGTAAAATTCATACAGTACAGGAAAGCATAATATATTCAATAAAAATGCCCCATAATCCCCTCCTTCACTGACCAGAAACTTTACTTAAAACAAAATAATTTTTGTGGTCTAAATTTCAATAAGGGTAGTAATTCAAATGTATAGCTTTTAGATAAGTATTAAAGGTTTTAATCCATTTACCATAAATTATCAAATTGAATTCTCATTAGTACTCAAATTTTAAGGTAAAGAGCATTCTGTATAACTGCTCAGTAAATTAGTACTCAATAATGATACTTCAAATTTTTCATTTCTGAAGGATATCTCCACAGAGGCAACCTTAAGGGGACAACCTTAAATAGCCTAATCTTTATCAAGGAGTTCAATTGTGGGATTCTTGGGTTTTTCTTTTTGAGGTGGACCAAACTGCAAAATGATGTCTCAGGAACCCCATTTATCTGACAACTAAGAAAAGATAAACACCTGTAAGTCGATGTTTAAAGCCCAAACTAGTTTTGAAGTAACAAGAAAGAGAAAGCTAATAGTTCAAATTTCAGTCGCTTTTCATCTAAACCCATCAATGTGTGCACTGGTCCATTAATTATGTGGCTCAGCACAAAATGATATGTTAGTCTTCCCTTTTACTCTAAGATGACAGCTGAGAGGTAAAGTTTTAGTTCAGGAGAAAGAAAGCTATTTCAAATACTTTATTTGTTGGTCTCAAGAATGTACCTAAATCATGAATGAAAATGAAAAATTTTCCTAATTGAGGATCAAACCAATTATTTCTTTGATCACTCTGTTAGAACCTAAATAATACTAAGGTCAAGGATTTAAAACTCATGATACTAATACACCCAGCTTTTCCAGATTAATGAAATATTTTAAAGCAGAGGTAGGCAATTTATTTTTCTGTAAAGGGCCAGATAGTATTTTAGGTTTTGTGGGCCACACAGTTTCTGTCACAACTACTTGACTCTGCCCTTGTAGTCCAAAAGCAGCCATAGATGATAGATAAATGAATAATCAAGGCTGAGTTCAATAAAACTGAATTTATGGACATAAATATAAATTCTATATAACATTGACAGATCTCAGAAAATTCTTTTGATGTTTTTCCAACCATTAAAAAGTAAAAACCATTCTTACCTCAAAAGTTAAAGACTAACAGGCATCAGCCTGGATTTTGTCTGAACTTAGTTTGGTGAACCCTGTTCTAACAGATTGTTTTGGTTCTTGATTTATAGACTGTACCTATGCTTCAAAGGAAAAACGTATCACTGAGGTATTTTTTTAAATTTTGTTTAAAGTATTTGATAGGTTCAAGAATCCTACCAATTGCCAGAATAATTATTGGAAGTAATGCCATTTAAAATATTTCTTTCAGGTGAACCCAATTCAGTGTCTTTAGACCACATTTTCATTATAGTAGTCCTTAGTAGAAAACATCAGTTTTCAGTATAAAACCTTTTGTTCCATTTACTTCATTAAAAAATTTCCTAAGCTAATAAATTTTTAGGAAAAAAATTAAGTTTGGCCATGTTCTACATTAACTATTTTATTTATTTTTTTTTAGTTTTTTTTTTATTAAACTTTAAGTAAGTTCTAGGGTACATGTACCCAATGTGCAGATTTGTTACATATGTATCATGTGCCATGTTGGTGTGCTGCACCCATTAACTCATCATTTACATTAGGTATGTCTCCTAATGCTATCCCTCTCCCCTCCCCCAATACCACGACAGGCCCTGGTGTGTGGTGTTCCCCATCCTGTGTCCAAGTGTTCTCATTCTTCAATTCCCACCTATAAGTGAGAACACATGCGGTGTTTGGTTTTCTATCCTTGTGATAGTTTGCTTAGAATGATGGTTTCCAGCTTCATCCATGTCCCTAGAATGGACATGAACTCATCCTTTTTTATGGCTGCATAGTATTCTATGGTGTATATGTGCCACATTTTCTTAATCCAGTCTATCATTGTTGGACATTTGGGTTGGTTCCAAGTCTTTGCTATTGTGAATAGTGTTGCAATAAACATACGTGTGCATGTGTCTTTATAGCAGCATGATTTATAATCCTTTGGGTATATGCCCAGTGATAGGATGGCTGGGTCAAATCGTATTTCCAGTTCTAGATCCTTGAGGAATTGCCACACTGACTTCCACGATGGTTGAACTAGTTTACAGTCCCACCAACAGTGTAAAAGTGTTCCTATTTCTCCACATCCTCTCCAGCACATGTTGTTTCCTGACTTTTTAATGATCGCCATTCTAACTGGTGTGAGATGGTATCTCATTGTGGTTTTGATTTGCATTTCTCTGATGGCCAGTGATGACGAGCATTTTTTCATGTGTCTTTTGGCTGCATAAATGTCTTCTTTTGAGAAATGTCTGTTCATATCCTTTGCCCACTTTTGGATGGGGTTGTTTTTTTCTTGTAAATTTATTTGAGTTCTTTGTAGATTCTGGATATTAGCCCTTTGTCAGATGAGTAGATTGCAAAAATTTTCTCCCATTCTGTAGGTTGCCTGTTCACCCTGATGGTAGTTTCTTTTGCTGTGCAGAAGCTCTTTAGTTTAATTAGATCCCATTTGTCAATTTTGGCTTTAGTTGCCATTGCTTTTGGTGTTTTAGACATGAAGTCCTTGCCCATGCCTATGTCCTGAATGGTACTGCCTAGGTTTTCTTCTAGGGTTTTTATGGTTTTAGGTCTAACATTTAAGTCTTTAAATCCATCTTGAATTAATTTTTGTATAAGGTGTAAGGAAGGGATCCAGTTTCAGCTTTCTACATATGGCTAGCCAGTTTTCCCAGCACCATTTATTAAATAGGGAATCCTTTCCCCATT
The DNA here is from genome assembly GCF_000001405.40 of Homo sapiens. Taxonomy (NCBI): domain Eukaryota; kingdom Metazoa; phylum Chordata; class Mammalia; order Primates; family Hominidae; genus Homo; species Homo sapiens. The sequence goes on along the minus strand of NC_000002.12, from coordinate 63,215,450 downwards.
TCTTGTTTTTGTCAGGTTTGTCAAAGATCAGATGGTTGCAGATATGCGGTATTATTTCTGAGGGCTCTGTTCTGTTCCATTGTTCTATATCTCTGTTTTGGTACCAGCACCATGCTATTTTGGTTACTGTAGCCTTGTAGTATAGTTTGAAGTCAGGGTTATTTCTGAGGGCTCTGTTCTGATCCATTGGTCTATATCTCTGTTTTGGTTACTGTAGCCTTGTAGTGTAGTTTGAAGTCAGGTAGCATGATGCCTCCAGCTTTGTTCTTTTTGCTTAGGATTGTCTTGGCAATGCGGGCTCTTTTTTGGTTCCATGTGAACTTTAAAGTAGTTTTTTCCAATTCTGTGAGGAAAGTCATTGGTAGCTTGATGGGGATGGCCTTGAATCTATAGATTACCTTGGGCAGTATGGCCATTTTCATGATATTGATTCTTCCTATCCGTGAGCATGGAATGTTCTTCCATTTGTTTGTGTCCTCTTTTATTTTGTTGAGCAGTGGTTTGTAATTCTCCTTGAAGTGGTCCTTCCCATCCCTTGTAAGTTGGATTCCTAGGTATTTTATTCTCTTTGAAGCAATTGTGAATGGGAGTTCCCTCATGATTTGGCTCTCTGTTTGTCTGTTATTGGTGTACAGGAATGCTTGTGATTTTTGCACATTGATTTTGTATCCTGAGACTTTGCTGATGTTGCATATCAGCTTAAGGAGATATTCGGCTGAGATGATGGGGTTTTCTAAATATACAATCATGTCATCTGCAAACAGGGACAACTTGACTTCCTCTTTTACTAATTGAATACCCTTTATTTCCTTCTTTTGCCTGACTGCCCTGGCCAGTACTTCCAACACTATGTTGAATAGGAGTGGTGAGAGAGGGCATCTCTGTCTTGTGCCAGTTTTCAAAGGGAATGCTTCCAGTTTTTGCCCATTCAGTATGATACTGGCTGCGGGTTTGTCATAAATAGCTCTTATTATTTTGAGATACATCCCATGAATACCTAGTTTATTGAGAGTTTTTAGCGTGAAGCACTGTTGAATTTTGTCGAAGGCCTTTTCTACATCTATTGAGATAATCATGTGGTTTTTGTCTTTGGTTCTGTTTATCTAATGGATTATGTTTATTGATTTGCATATAATGAACCAGCCTTGCATCCCAGGGATGAAGCCCACTTGATCATGGTGGATAAGCTTTTTGATGTGCGGCTGGATTCGGTTTGCCTGTATTTTATTGAGGATTTTTGCATCAATGTTCATCATGGATATTGGTCTAAAATTCTCTTTTTTTGTTGTGTCTCTGCCAGGCTTTGGTATCAGGATGATGCTGGCCTCACAAAATCAGTTAGGGAGGATTTCCTCTTTTTCTATTGACTGGAACAGTTTCAGAAGGCATGGTACCAGCTCCTCTTTGTACCTCAGGTAGAATTCGGCTGTGAATCCATCTGGTCCTGGAGTTCTTTTGGTTGGTAGGCTATTAATTATTGCCTCAATTTCAGAGCCTGTTATTGGTCTATTCAGGGATTCAACTTCCTCCTGGTGTATTCTTGGGAGGGTGTATGTGTACAGGAATTTATCCATTTCTTCTAGATTTTCCAGTTTATTTGTGTAGAGGTGTTCATAGTATTCTCTGAGGGTAGTTTGTATCTCTGTGGGATCGGTGTTGATATCCCCTTTATCATTTTTGTTGTGTCTATTTAATTCTTCGTCTTTTCTTCTTTATTAGTCTTGCTAGCAGTCTATCAATTTTGTTGATCCTTTCAAAAACCCAGCTCCTGGATTCATTGATTTTTTGAAGGGTTTTTTGGTTCTCTGTCTCCTTCAGTTCTGTTCTGTTCTTAGTTATTTCTTGCCTTGTGCTCGCTTTTGAATGTGTTTGCTCTTGCTTCTCTAGTTCGTTTAATTGTGATGTTAGGGTGTCAATTTTAGATCTTTCCTGCTTTCTCTTGTGGGCATTTAGTGCTATAAGTTTCCCTCTCCACACTGCTTTAAATGTGTCCCAGAGATTCTGGTATGTTGTGTGTTTGTTCTCATTGGTTTCAAAGAACATCTTTATTTCTGCCTTCATTTCATTATATACCCAGTAGTCATTCAGGAGAAGGTTGTTCAGTTTCCATGTAGTTGAGCGGTTTTGAGTGAGTTTCTTAATCCTGAGTTCTAGTTTGATTGCCCTGTGGTCTGAGAGACAGTTTGTTATAATTTCTGTTCTTTTACATTTGCTGAGGAGTGCTTTACTTCCAACTATGTGGTCAATTTTGGAAAAAGTGCGATGTGGTGCTGAGAAGAATGTATATTCTGTTGCTTTGGGGTGAAGAGTTCTGTAGCTGTCTATTAGGTCCACTTGGTGCAGAATTGAGTTCAATTCCTGGATAATTTTGTTAACTTTCTGTCTCATGGATCTGTCTAATGTTGACAGTGGGGTGTCTGAGTCTCCCATTATTATTGTGTGGGAGTCTAAGTCTCTTTGTAGGTCTCTAAGGACTTGCTTTATGAATCTGGGTGCTCCTGTACTGGGTGCATATATATTTAGGATAGTTAGCTCTTCTTGTTGAATTGATCTCTTTACCATTATATAATTGCCTTCTTTGTCTCTTTTGATCTTTGCTGGTTTAAAGTCTGTTTTATCAGAGACTAGGATTGCAACCCCTGCTTTTTTTTTTTTTGTTTTCCATTTTTGTGGTAGATCTTCCTCCATCCCTTTATTTTCAGGCTATGTGTGTCTCTGAACGTGAAATGGGTCTCCTGAATACAGCACATTGATGGGTCTTGACTCTTTATCCAATTTGCCAGTCTGTGTCTTTTAATTGGGGCATTTAGTCCATTTACATGTAAGGTTAATATTGTTATGTGTGAATTTGTTCCTGTCATTATGATGTTAGCTGGTTATTTTGCTCGTTAGTTGATGCAGTTTCTTCCTAGCATCGATGGTCTTTACAATTTGGCATGTTTTTGCAGTGGCTGGTACCATTTCTTCCTTTCCATGTTTAGTGCTTCCTTCAGGAGCTCTTGTAAGGCAGGCCTGGTGGTGACAAAATCTCTCAGCATTTGCTTGTCTGTAAAGGATTTTATTTCTCCTGCACTTATGAAGCTTATTTTGGCTGGATATGAAATTCTGGGTTGAAAATTCTTTTCTTTAAGAATGTTGAATATTGGCCCCCACTCTCTTCTGGCTTGTAGAGTTTCTGTGAAGAGATCTGCTGTTAGTCTGATGGGCTTCCCTTTGTGGGTAACCCAACATTTCTCTCTGGTTGCCCTTAACATTTTTTCCTTCATTTCAACTTCGGTGAATCTGACAATTTTGTGTCCTGGAGTTGCTCTTCTCGAGGAGTATCTGTGGCGTTCTCTGTATTTCCTTAATTTGAATGTTGGCCTGCCTTGCTAGCTGGAGAAGTTCTCTTTGATAATATCCTCAAGAGTGTTTTCCAAGTTGGTTCCATTCTCCCTGTCACTTTCAGATACACCAATCAGACGTAGATTTGGTCTTTTCACATAGTCCCCATATTTCTTGGAGGCTTTGTTCATTTCTTTTTACTCTTTTTTCTCTGAACTTCTCTTCTCGCTCCATTTCATTCATTTGATCTTCAATCACTGATACCCTTTATTCCACTTGATCGAATTGGCTACTGAAGCTTGTGCACGCATCACATAGTTCTCGTGCCATGGTTTTCAGCTCCATCAGGTCATCTAAGGTCTTCTCTACACTGTTGATTCTAGTTAGCCATTCGTCCAGTATTTTTTCAAGGTTTTTAGCTTCTTTGCGATGGGTTCAAACTTCCTCCTTTAGCTCAGAGAAGTTTGTTATTACCGATTTTCTGAAGCCTTCTTCTCTCAACTCGTCAAAGTCATTCTCCATCCAGCTTTGTTCTGTTGCTGGCAAGGAGCTGTGTTCCTTTGGAGGAGAAGAGGCACTCTGATTTTTAGAATTTTCAGCTTTTCTGCTCTGGTTTCTCCCTATCTTTGTGGTTTTATCTACCTTTGGTATTTGATGATGTTGACGTACAAATGGGGTTTTGGTGTGGATGTCCTTTCTGTTTGTTAGTTTTCCTTCTAAAAGTCAGGACCCTCATCTGCAGGTCTGTCGGAGTTTGCTGGAGGTCCACTCCAGACCCTGTTTGCCTGGGTATCACCAGCGGAGGCTGCAGAGCCATAAATATTGCAGAATGGCAAATGTTGCTGCCTGATCCTTCCTCTGGAAGCTTCGTCTCAGAGGGGCACCTGGCCGGCTGTATGAGGTGTCAGTCAGCCCCTACTCAGCGATGCCTCCCAGTTAGGCTACTCGGGGGTCAGGGACCCACTTGAGGAGGCAGTCTGTCCATTCTCAGATCTCAAACTCCATGCTGGGAGAACCACTACTCTCTTCAAGGCTGTCTGACAGGGACGTTTAAGTCTGCAGAAGTTTCTGCTGCCTTTTGTTCAGCTATGCCCTGCCCCCCAGAAGCAGAGTCTACAGAGGCAGGCAGGCCTCCTTGAGCTGCAGTGGGCTCCACCCATTTCGAGCTTCCTGGCTGCTTTGTTTACCTAGTCAAGCCTCAGCAATGGCGGGTGTCCCTCCCCCAGCCTTGCTGCCCCCTTGCAGTTTGATCTCAGACTGCTGTGCTAGCAGTGAGCAAGGCTCCGTGGGCATGGGACCTGCCAATCCAGGCATGGAATATAATCTCCTGGTGTGCCATTTGCTAAGACCATTGGAAAAGCGCAGTATTAGGGTGGGAGTGATCTGATTTTCCAGGTGCCGTCTGTCATGGCTTCCCTTGGCTGGGAAAGGGAATTCCCTGACCCCTTGCACTTCCTGGGTGAGGCAATGCCTTGCCCTTCCTCGGCTCACAGTCCATGGGCTGCACCCACTGTCCTGCACCCACTGTCTGACAAGCCCCAGTGAGATGAACCCAGTACCTCAGTTGGAAATGCAGAAATCACCTGTCTTCTGCATCACTCACGGTGGGAAATGTAGACTGGAGCTGTTCCTATCCCGCCATCTTGGAACTTCCCCCTACATTAACTATTTTAAATGAGTTTTAAATGTGTGTAAAGTTAATTTACACAAATTTTAATTTAAAAAATTTTAATTTGTGTAAATTAATTACACCAAAGAAGTTTTAATCTGTGAAACTTTTAATTTTAAATTACATTTAATTTTTTGAATAATAAATACACACATGGCTCAGAATTCCAAAGGTTTCTAGTTAAAGGGTCTACTGCCAAACTTGTTCTGTAGTCATCCAGTCTTCTCTTCAGAGGCAAATAATGTTAACTGTTAGAAACCTAACAGCCTATATTAGGTTTGCAATTACATATGTATATTCTGTAAATATATAACATTTATAATTTTATATGTATATTAATTTTATCTTAATTTTATAGCATAGCCATTGTTTTCAAAATGTACTCTTCTTTCTAATGACAAGTTAATACATTCACATTACATAAAACTCAAACATTTAGAAAATAAGAGATCTGTATAATGCCACCAACCAGAAAAGGAATCTTAACACAGTACATATTTTCTAGCTTTTCCCCTTTCACATATTTTTAACAAAATATAATCATGCTTCCTGTTTTGCAAAATGACTTTTTAAAAATTTAACAAAATATTTTGGAACGCTATATGTCAGTATACGTTGACTGACCCCTTCTCTTTTTTATAGCTATATTATTCAATTGTATGAATATATTACAATTTAATCAGTATCCAATTAGTGGGTGTTTGGATTATTCCTTGTTTTTACTAAAATCTGTGCTGCTAGATAATTCTAAAAAGATGCTGTCATTGAAGTATTTTAATCCCCTGGAACCTCTCTTAACAGAAAGAGCAACTACAATAATGAACACCAATATCCATGGACAGCATCTACAACAAGCTTTAGTGACAACATATTCTTATAAACCCCAAAACATAAGTGGACAGGGATAAATCACCAACAGCTACAGGACCCACTAAAAACTTCATGAGGTCTAGAGGGTCCACAGTGGGTGTTGAAGCAATGTGATTTCTGTGCAGTCCTCTGAATGCCAACATGAAAAAATTCAATGAGGCTCAGGTAAGTGGCAGTAGCAACTATAGGTCTCTCAAGGAACCCTAAAGCTTGGTCATTTAATTAGTGACACGCATGAATGGATGACCAAGATTCCTACTGTTCCTACCTACTGTCCAGTGAAACCTCAGCCAAGGGAATGAGTATGGCAGAAACAGCTATGAAAGGTGAACAATAAGTGTGAGGGAGAACATTTATTCTATTTTATGGAATAAAGTGTTATGCAATTCTACAGTTACAAAAAGTAAAATAATTAGAGGCACCCCTGTGAAGGAGTGGGATGGAGGCAGCCTTTTGGGCTGCCTGTGAAATATATCACTACTCTTACTGTTTTTGTTTTTGTTTTTTACTGGCCCAGTATGGGGAGAGTAGAAAGCAAGCCCTAATGGGCTGTTACTTCTGGCTGTAAGCACCCAGTCACACCAGCCAGATACAACCCTTGCCAGAGCCAGGGCCAAATGGGGAGTTAAACTGGGGGGAAGCAGTGTGGGAGGGTGCAGGTATACCTATGAAATAATAATGCAGGTGTTCCAAGGCAAGCTCAGGGAGGGTATAAACCTCCTATGGAGCAGAAGGGCAAAAGCTGACTTGATCTTGATTTTCAGTATAAATACAGACCATGAAAGCAGAGTCTCACACAAACAAAAATAACAACAACAACAGCTTCATGGGAGAAACACACGGAAGGTAGGGGGACTTCTAATGGTCCAGACAGATGAAAACTTCAACTACTAATTGGAAGATTTTGTGAAGTCATTCTCAGAACAGCAGCAGAAAATAGAGATGATTCTGTAGATTCCAATTTGTGGATACAAGAAAACTGTAGAAAGTATGGAGGTGCTGGGATGGTCTAGATTCTGGATCCTATAAATGCTTAAGACTAACAAATCAAAATAATCTTTCTAGATGAATCCCCAAACTTAGGAGAAACAGTTCAGAGTAGAGCCCAAATTGAGCACACCAGGCACAATGGGGGAAAAGGAAAAAGAATGTAGAAATTAAAGGGGTAAAATAGAAGACCATATTTTTCTCTATATGATGAACACAACAAACTCAGAAGCTCCAGACCTATGCAGATAAGAAAGCTTTCTTGGCACACTCACCCCCTTAAAGGTACAGAAAAGGCAGTTTTCCATAAAAATGAACAAGAACAAAGGGTTGCAATCACATCTCATACAAAGCAGCATTTGAAAAACAGAATAAGAATAATAATTTCCCTATCAACAATGAAAGCACTCTAGAAAGACATGCCCACAAATAGATGAGAATTGACCCCAATATTTTAAAATAATCTTAAATACAGTGATATAAGTTATGAAAGAATAATGTAAATAAGGATAACAAACTCAGAGGTGATTAAAGAAGATTTTTTAGAGAATGAAAGAATAAGAAACAAAAAAATCATGTTAGAAATGAACATTAACTTAGAAGGATCACAAGACTAAGTAAACACAATTGCTTATGATAACTAGAGAATTTAAAAGAGGAAACACTTAAAAATGAAAGATAAATGAAAATGGACTCAAGAAAAAGTGCTAGAGAAAGATGATAGGCAAAGAAGATCCAACATACATAAAATGAGAATTCCTAGAGAAGAAAAACCAACGCAATACAGCAGAATCCTGAAAAACTCTTAAGAAAAATTTCCTGAAATAGAAAAAAACTTTATAGTAGTAATGAAAGAGCACATCATGACCTGGAAACACCAGCCCAAGTTGGTCGACATCAAGACATATTCTAATGAAATCCTCTGAGCATTCAGATGAAAAGACCAAGTTCTTATAAATGAATGAAAATGGATTATGATCACTTTTTGTCAGCAACACTTTATGCCAGAACGCAATACAGAAATATATTTAAGATACTCAAGAAAAAGGTGAGCCAAAACGACCTATTTGCATTAGGTCCATTCTCACATTGCTATAAAGAACTACCAGAGACTGGGTAATTTATTAAGGAAAGAGGTTTAATTGACTCATAGTTCCGCAGGCTGTACAGGAGGCATGGCTGGGGAGGCCTCAGGAAACTTACAATCAGGGTGGTAGGGTGAAGGGGAAGCAAGCTCCTTCTTCACATGGTGGAGAGGGAGAAAGAGAGTGAAGGGGGAGGTGCTACAGAAACAACCAAATCTTGTGAGAACTCACTGTCATGAGTTTGACATGAGATTTGGGTGAGGACACACAGTCAAACCATATCACTATTATTTCCATGAGCCACTACTAGGAAATCTATTGGATAATGAGATTCAAACAGCCAACATGACTTGAGACATCTATGTAAGGACTAGTGATAAGCATAATAAATACATCTACATTTAAAACTAACTGATGAAGCCAGTCACAAAAGGGTAAATACTATATGATTCCAGTCATATGAAGTAACTACAGTGGTCATAACTCATAGAAACAAAGTGGTGGTTGTCAAGAGCTGGAGAAAAGGGAGGAGGAGAATTAGTTTTTAATGGGTTTCAGTTTTGCAAGATTAAAAAGAAGTTCAAGCAATTTGTTGCCCATCAATGTGAGTATAGTCAACACTACTGAAGTATTCACTTAAGAAAAGTTACTATCTTAACCATTTTTATGGGTTTTTTACCACAGTAAATGAAAAACTATTAGCTTGTAAGTAAATTAAAAATAAAACTAAATGATGGTTAAAGTGAGATAATGATACAACCCAAAACAAATAAAAATATAGGGAGAATAAGAAGAGTAGAATAAAAATACAATAAGTGGGATGCTGAGACAGGAGGATCACTTGAGCCCAGCCTGCGCAACATGGCAAAACTCCATCTCTATAAAAAGTACAAAAATTAGCCAGGCATGGTGGCACACTCCTGTACTCCCAGCTTCTCAGGAGGCTGATGTGGGAAAATTGCATGAGTCCAGGAGGTCAAGGCTGCAGTGAGCCATGAGCCACTGCACTCCAGCCTGGATGACAGAGTGAGACTGTGTCTCAAAGAAAATGAAAAAAATAAAATTAATAAAGGACTGCCTTACAGATGCTGGCTAGAAACAAGAAGTGTATTACTTCATATCTGACACTGGGAGAGAAAAAGGATAAAGGGGGAAATTGGTTACTAATTCGAGTAATGCTCATAGTAGAGAACCAACAGACAGTACTCCTCTAAAAATGACAGGAAAAAAAGAAAGCAACTGGTGAATATCTCTGATGAATATTGATGCAAAAATCCTCAACAAAATACTAGCAAACCAAATTGAACAATACATTAAAAAGAGCGTTCATCATGACCCAGTGAAATTTATTCCTGGGAGGAAAGGATGGTTCAAAATACACAGATCAATGAATGTGATACATCATATCAACAGAATGAAAGACAAAAGCCGTATGATCATTTTCATTTGATGCCAAAAAAGCATTTGATAAAATTCAACATCACTTCAGGATAAAAACCATCAAAAATGGTGTAGAAAGAATATACCTCAGCTTAATAAAAGCCATATATGACAGACCCACAGCTGGTAACATACCGAATGAGAAAAAAACGAAAGCCTTTCCTCTAAGTATGGGGACACAACAAGGATGCCCGCTTTCACCACTGTTACTCAACATAGTACTGGAGGTCTTAGCAAGAGCAATCGGACAAGAGAAAGAAATAAAGGGCATCCATATTGGAAAGGAAGAAGTCAAACTGTCCTTGTTTGCAGATGCTATGATCTTACACTTGAAAAAATTTAAAGAATCCACACAAAAGAACTGTGAGAACTGATAAATTCAGTGAAGCTGCGGGTTACAAAATCAACCTACAAAAATCAGTAGCATTTCTATATCCCAACAATGAACAATGTGAAGAAGAAATTTAAAAAGTAATCCCATTTATAATAGCCACAAATAAAATAAAATACCTAGGAATTAATTTAACCAAAGAAGTGAAAGATCTGTATAATGAAAACTAGAAAACACTGATGAAAGAAATTGAAGAGAACACCAAAAAGTAGAAAGATATTCCATGTTCATGGATTGGAAGAATCAATATTGATAAAATGTCCATACTACCAAAACAATCTACATATTCAATGCAATCCATATCAAAATACCACTGACATCCTTCACAGAAATAGAAAAAAAATCCTAAAATTTACATGGAACCACAAGAGACGCAGAGTAGCCAAAGCAATCCTAAGCAAAAAGAATCATATTACCTTACTTAAAATTATACTACAGAGCTATAGTAACCAAAACAACATGGTACTGGCATAAAAATAGACATGCAGACCAATGGAACAAAATAGCTAACCAGAAACAAATCCACGCACCTCCAGTGAACTCATTTTCAACAAAGGTGACAAAAGCATACACTGGGGGAAAGACAATCTCTTCAATAAATGGTACTGGGAAAACTGGATATCCATATGTAGAAGAATGAAACTAAACCTGTATCTCTTGCCATATACAAAAATCAAAATAAAATGACTGAAGACTTAAATCTACAACCTCAAACTAATACAAGAAAATATTGGGGAAATGCTCCAGGGCATTGGTCTGGGTAGAAACTTCTTAAGTAATACCCCACAAGCACAGGTAACTAAAGCAAAAATGGACAAATGGGATCATATCAAGTTTAAAAGCTTCTACCCAGCAAAGGAAACAATCCACAAAGTGAAGAGACAAGCCACAGAATGGGGGAAAATACCGCAAACTACCCATCTCACAAGGGATTAATAACCAGAATATATAAGGAATTTAAACAACTCTGTATGAAAAAAAACATGTAATAATCCTATTTAAAAATGAGCTAAAGATTTAAATAGACATTTCTCAAAAGTACAGGCCAGGCGCAGTGGCTCATGCCTGTCATCCCAACACTTCGGGAGGCTGAGGCGGGCAGATCACCTGAGTTCAGGAGTTTCAGACCAGCCTGGCCAACATGGTGAAACCCCGACTCAACTAAAAATACAAAAATTATCCGGGCGTGGTGGCAGGTGCCTGTAATCCCAGCTACTCGGGAGGCTGAGGCAAGAGAATCGCTTGAACCTTGGAGGTGGAGGTTGCAGTGAGCCAAGACTGCACCATTGCACTCCAGCCTGGGTGACCAGAGTGAGACTCTGTCTCAAAAAAAAAAAAAAAAAAAAAAGGCAAACGGGCATATAAAAATGTGCTCAACATCACTGATCATCAGAGAAATGCAAATCAAAACTACAGTGGGATATCATCTCACCCCAATTAAAATGGCTATTATCCAAAAGACAGGTAATAAGAAAAGCTGGTGAGGATGTGGAGAAAAGGGAAAACTCATACACTGTTGGTGGGAATGTAATTTAGTACAACCACTGTGGAGAACAGGTTGGAGGTTCCTCAAAAAACTAAAAATAGAGCTACCACATGAGTCAACAATCCCACTGCTGGGTATCTACTCAAAAGAAGGTACATTAGTCTATCAAAGAGATATCTGCACTCCCATGTTTGTTGCAATGTTGTTCACAGGAGCCAAGACTTGGAAGCAACCTAAGTGTCCATCAGCAGATGAATGGATAAAGAAAATGTATATATGCACAATGGCATACTATTCAGCCATAAAAAAGAATGAGATCCTGTTATCTGCAACAACACGGATGGAACTGGATGAAATAAGCCAGGCACAGAGAGACAAACTTCTCATGTTCTCATTTATAAGAGCTAAAAATTAAAATGATGGAACTCAGAGAGAGTAGAAGGATGAAAGACAAACTTCTCATGTTCTCACTTATTTATAAGAGCTAAAAATTAAAATAATTGAACTCAGATAGCGTAGAAGGATGGTTACCAGAGGCTGGGAAGGGTAATGGAGGTAGCGGGGAAGTGAGGATGGTTATTGGGTACAACAAAATAGAATGAATAAGACCTAGTATTTGCTAGCACAACACAGTGTCTATGGTAAAAAATAGTTGTACATTTTAAAATAACTAAAAGAGCATAATTGGATTGTAAAATAGAGAGTAGAAGGATGGTTACCAGAGCTGGGAAGGGTTAGTGGGGAGTTGGAGATGGTTAATACATACCAAAAAAAGATAGTTAGAAATAATGAATAAGACATAGTATTTGACAGCACAGCAGGGTGACTTTAGTCAATAATAATTTAATTGTACACTTTAAAATGACTAAAAGAGTATAATTGGATTGTTTGTAATAGAAAGGATAAATGCCTGAGGTGATGGATACCCCATTTCCACAATGTGATTATTATACATTGCATGCCTGTTTCAGAACATCTCATATACTCTGTAAAGATCTATACCTACTATGTACCCACAAAAATTTTTTTTAAAATTAATAAAAAAGACAGGTGCCAAGGGTATTATATAAAGCAACTGATATAAATGCAACTATTGGAATAAATACAAACTTTACTAAGTATTAAAAGTTTATACACACACACATATGCACCCCAAATAAGGCAGACAACACAGACTCTGTACGTGTGTACAATGAAACAATATGACAAATTTGAGGCCCGATATAAAGATCTTATCAATGAATGTAAATGGGCTGAACTCACTTATAAAAAGTTCAGATTAGTAACAGAGCAAAATCTAAAACTAGGCTGAATGTAAGATACACAGATAGATACACAGACAAGGGAAGGAAGGAGGAGGAGGAAGAATGAGAGATTGATTTAGAATGGTTGAAAATAAAGGATAAACAAAGATGCAGACAAATGTAATGTGATGCGCAGTCTTGGTATCTGAGAAAGGTATATAATTCAGATCAAAAAGAGACAGAAGGAGGGCTTTCATAATGCTAAATACTACAATTCACAAGGAAGATGTAACGCTTTATGGAATCTCCTAATAACACAGCAACAGCTTTCATTAAGCAGAAGTTACAGGGCTGCAAGTAGAGATAGAAAGAACTGCACTATAAAAGGAAACTTTAACATACCTCTCTCAATTTAAGAAAAATCACGTGGAAAAAAATTATGGAGGAAATAGAAAATCTAAACAACATAATCAATGAGGTAGATCTTTTAGATCTGTAGTAAACTCTGAATTCTGATAATGGAGGATATGCCTTTTTTTAAGTGCTGATGGGAACATTCAGGAAAAGTTGGCCATATCTTAGGCAACAAATGAAACTTCAATCATAAGTCAATTTCAAAGAACAGAAACAATAGAGAAAAATACACCCTGATGTGAAAGCAATAAAATGAGAAATGATTAACAAAATACAATCAAAAGGCCTGCTATGTGGCATCTTAATAACTATTGAATAATTCTTAAACTGCAGAATTTCTTGAAAATAAAACTAAAGAAAATCCTATATATATATAAAATGATTGAGTTATTAGGGTAAAATATATAGTACTTAATGTTTATATCAATAAAAATGAAATTTAAGAAAATCAGAAAATCTTAAAAGCTGTGAAATAGAGCAGTCCTCAAAAAAAAAGGCAGAAGGAAGGACTGAATTAAAAAAGCAGAAATTAATGCTAGAATTTATAGAAGTTAAATCTAGAAAATAGAAAAACAACAGAACTAACAAATCCCAAATTTAGCCACTTGAAAAATGAATCACAAAAATAATCAGCTGTTGGAGGAAGGGAAAAGGCACAAATATACAAAATAGAAATGATGAATAATTACCAAACAGAAAATTTTAAGTATTATAAGAGAATACTTCATACAACTCTATGCAAATATATTTGAAGAGTCACATTGGATGGATAATTTCTAAGAAAATTACGGTTTACCAGACTAACATTAAGTCCTAAATGACAAATTACCTTAGAAGAGAATAAGAAACTTAAAGTGCTCCCCCCACAATAATAGTCCTGGCTCAAAAAGTTTAGTGATGAAATTCTACCTAACCTGTAAAAATCAGATTACCTGTGGTTCTTAAACTTTACTAGAACATTAAAAAAGAGGAAATTGTCAAAATTGATATTATAAAGTACAACATTGATCTAAAACCTTAAAACCTATTGTACTGCAGATCATTCTCACTCAATGAGTATCAGTGTAAAAACTTTTAAGTATTAGCATGTGGAATCCAAAGCACGTTTTTAAAATACTATATCATGACCAAGTGGGGTTTATTCCAGTTTGCAAGTATGATTTTTGTATTTGTCCATTCTCACATTGCTAAAAGGCACTACCTCCTGAGACTGGGTAATTTATAAAGAAAATAGGTTTAATTGACTCACAGTTCTGCAGGCTGTACAGGAAGCATGGCTGGGGAGGCCTCAGGAAACTTATAATCATGGTGGAAGGCAAAGAGGAAGCAGGCATGTCCTACATGTCTGGAGCAGGAGGAAGAGAGTGAAGGTGAAGGTGAAGGTGCCACACACTTTTAAACATCGAGATCTCATGAGAACTCACTCTCTATTATGAGAACAGCAAGGGGGAAATCCTCCCCCATGATCTAATTACCTCCCACCAGGCTCCTCCTCCAACATTGGGAAATACAATTTGACATTAGATTTGGTAGATTTGGGTGATGACACAGACCCAAACCATATCATTTAGCCCCTGGCCCCTCCCATATCTCATGTCCTTCTCACATTTCAAAACACAATCATGCCTTCCTAACAGTCCCCCAAAGTCTTAACTCATCCTCACCTCCCCACTACCCTTCCCAGCTCTAGTAACCATCCTTCTACTGTCTATCTTACATACAATCCAATTATACTCCTTTAGTTATTTTTAAATGTACAATTATTTTTTACCGTAGATACCCTGTTGTGCTAGCAAATACTAGGTCTTATTCATTCTTTCCATTTTGTTGTACCCAATAAACATCCTCACTCTCCCCCACTACCCTTTCCAGCCTCTGGGTTCCTCTGGGTTCTATTCTCTCTGAGTTCCATCATTCTAATTTTTAGCTCTCATAAATAAGTGAACATGATAAGTTTGTCTTTCTGTGCCTGGCTTATTTCATCCACTTCCATCCGTGTTGTTGCAGATAAAAGGATCTCATTCTTTTTTATGGCTGAATAGTATACCATTGTGTATATATACCACATTTTCTTTATCCATTCATCTGCTAATGGACACTTAGGTTGCTTCCAAGTCTTGGCTCCTGTGAACAACATTGCAACAAACATGGGAGTGCAGATATCTCTTTGATAGGCTAATATACCTTCTTTTGAGTAGATACCCAGCAGTGGGATTGTTGAATCATATGGTAGCTCTATTTTTAGTTTTTTGAGGAACCTCCAACCTGTTCTCCATAGTGGATGTACTAAATTACATTCCCACCAACAATGCATGAGTTTTCCCTTTTCTCATCTTAAAAAAGACAAGTCCCTTCCACCTATGAACCTGTAAAATCAAAAACTAGTTACTTCCAAGATACAATGGGGGTACAGGCATTGGATAAATACACCCATTCCAAAAGGGATAAATCAGCCAAAACAAAGGGACTACAGGCCCCATGCAAGTTTGAAACCCACCAGAGCAGTCATTAGCTCTTAAAGCTCCAAAATAATCTCCCTTGACTCCATGTCTCACATCAAGCACATGCTGATGCAAGCAGTGGGCTCCCAAGGCCTTGGACAGCTCTGCCCCTTTGGCTCTGCAGGGCTCAGCTCCCATGGCTGCTTTCATGAGCTGCTGTTGAGTGCCTGTGGTTTTTCCAGGTGCACAGTACAAGTTATTCGTGTATCTACCATTCTGGGGTCTGGGGGATGATGGCCCACTTCTCACAGCTCCACTAGGCAGTGCCCCAGTGGGGACTCTGTGGGTCGGTTGGGGGGCCTCCAACCCCACAGTTCCCATCTGCACTGCTGTAGTAGAAGTTCTCCATGAGGGTCCTGCCCCTGCAGCAGACTTCTGCCTGGACATCCAGGCGTTTCCATACATCCTCTGAAATGTAGGCTGACGTTCCCAAGCCTCAACTCTTACACTGTGCACCTGCAGGCTTAACACCACATGGAAGCCACCAAGGCTTAGGGCTTGTACTCTTCTGAAGCAATGGCCCAAGCTATACCTTGGCTCATTTTAGCCATGGCTGGAGTTGGAACAGCCACAATGAAGGGTGCCATGTCTGGAGGCGGCACAGAGCAGCAGGGCCCCGGGCCTTGCCCACAAAACTATTCTTCCCTCCTAGGCCTCCAGGCTTGTGATAGGAGGGGCTGCTGCAAGGGTCTCTGAAATGCCTTGGAGGCATTTTCCTTATTGTCTTTACTAACATTCAGCTCCTCTTATGCAAATTTCTGCAGCCTCCCAGAAAGTAGATTTTTCTTTTCTACCACATGGTCAGGCTGCAAATTTTGCAAACTTTTACACTCTGCTTCCCCTTTAAATATAAATTCCAGTTTCAGATCATCTCTACTCACTCATATGACCGCACATTGTTAGAAGCAGCTGGGCCAAACCTTGAATGCTTTGCTGCTTAGAAATCCTTCCACCATATACCCTAAATCATGACTCTCAAGTTGAAAGTTCCACAGATCCCCAGAGCAGGGGCACAATGCTGTCAGTCTCTGCTAAAGCATAGCAAGAGTGACTTTACTCCAGTTCCCAGTAAGTTTCCATCTCCATCTGAGACCACCTTAGCCTGGACTTCAACAATTTAACCAGTCTCTAAGAAGCTCCAAACTTTCCCTCATCTTCCTGTCTTCTTCTGAGCCCTCCAAACTGTTCCAACTTCTGCCCACTACCCAGTTCCAAAGTTGCTTCTACATTTTCAGGTATCTTTATAGCAATGCCCCTCTCCCAGTACCACTTTTCTGTATTAGTCCTTTCTCACACTGCTATAAAGAACTATCTGAAACTGGGTAATTTACAAAGTTAAGAGGCCTCAGAAAACTTATAGTCATGGCAGAAGTTGAAGGGCGAGCAGGAGGAAGAGAGTGAAGGTGAAGGTGCCACACATTTTCAAACAATCTGATCTCCTGATAACTCACTCACTATTACTAGAACAGCAAGGGCAAAATCTGCCTCCATGATCCAATCACCTCCCACCAGGCTCTTCCTCCAACACAGGGGATCACCCCTCCCAAAGTTAACTTACAAATTTAACATTATGCATATAAAAATACCATCAGACTGTTTTTCCCTGGCATCCACAAGTTAATTGTAAAATTTATTTGGAAAGCCAATTAAAAAAAAATCTGGGAATATCCTGCAAAAGAATAGTAAAAAGAACCTAGCCCCATAGACATTTAAACATACTGTAAAAACTCTTTAATTAAAATTCCAGAGTATATTGGTATCCCAATGGAAATGAGCAGAAAATCTGTATGGAAATTTAGTGTATGATAAAAGCAGTTCAAATCAGTGGAGAAAAGATGAACTTCAGCTTTTTAATAAATGGAATTTCCATAAGTGTATTAGATTTTTTAATGATAAAATTGGATTCACTCCTCACACCATAATAAATTCCAGAAGGATGAGGGATTTAAATGTAAACAAACGAAACCATATAAGTACTAGAAGAAAACAAAGGTCAACTCTGGTATAACCTGTAAATGGGAGAACCCTTCCTAAAAATGAGCAGTAGACAAAATATCTCCCCTGAGAGATGTTCACATTCTAATCCCTAGAACCTGTCAATATGCTACGTTACATGGCAAAAGGGACTTTGCAGATTTAACTAAGATTACAGAGAAATTATTCTGTATTATCCAGGTGGGCCCAATCTAATTAAATGATCCAGAGAACTTTCTTTGGCTAGGTAAGATGTGGTAGAAAAGGAGGTCTTGCAGCAACATGGATAGAACTGGAGGCCATTATATTAAGTGAAACAAGTCAAACACAGAAAGACAAATATTGCATGTTCTCACTTATAAGTGGGAGCTAAATAATGGCTAGTTTCAGATATGTTGAAATTTCCATAATAAATAATGTATGTTTAATCACAAGCTTCCATAAGTACCCTTATACATATCTTCATGCTCATTCTATTGATGTTTTTTACAGGATGTACTTCAATAGGTAGGCTTTCTAGGCCAAAGAGTATGAATATTTTTATTTTTATTCTTATTAATACTGCCAAATTGCCCTTTTAAAAGTACAACTAACCCTTGAACAAGGTGGGGGTTTAGGGGCACCCCCATGAAGTAGAAAATACATGTATAACTTCTGACTTTACCAAAGCTTAACTACTAGTAGCCAACTGTTGATTGGAAGCATTACCAATAGCATAAGCAATCAATTAACATATGTTTTATGTTATATTATATACTATCTTCTTACAATAGAGTAAGCTAGAAAAAAAGAAAATTTTATTATAAAAATCATAAGGAAGGGAAAATACATTTACCATTAAATGAAAGTGAATTATCATAAAGGTCTTCATCCGTGTTGTCTTTGTGTTGAGTAGGCTGAGAAGGAGGAAGAGGAGGGGTGGGTATTGCTGTCTTGGGGTGGCAGAGGCAGAATACATGAAGGAGGTTGAAGGAGAGGCAAGAGAGAGGTAGGCATACTTGGTGTAACTTTATGGAAATACATCATAATTTGTTTATTTCTTTTTCATTTCTCTAACAATGTTTCTGTATTGTACCAATCCTTCTTCCATTGTTTGCTTTAGTTTCAGTGCTTGTTTCATAGAAGGGTCTGTGTCAGAAGTAGTCAAAAGCAGTCTTGAACAGTCAGAACCCTTCTGCCAGATTGTCTGTCAATTTGTTTTCTGGCACTGGTTCTTCTATGTCTTCTTCCTCATGGTCTGACTACTCATAGTCGGAGGCACTCATGTCTTCCTTACTAATAAATGTCCTTTGTGGCATTTTTTTCCCCAAGAGTCAAGCACTTTTGTCTACATTAAACACCTCAGGTAGATATCCTTTCTTCTCAATGATTTTCTTAATGGTGGCTGAGAACTTGTCTGCTGCTTCTTGGTCAGCAGAAGCTGCTTCTCTTGTTATCTTGATATTTTTAAAGCCAAACACCTGTCTAAAATTATCAGACCATCCTTTGCTGGCATTAAATTCTCCAGCTTTAGATCCTTCACCTTCCTTTTGCTTTAAGTTGTCATATAATGACTTCACATTTTCTCAAATCATTATAGTCTATGGATATGTCTTTCTCATAGGAATCCTGTACCCACATGAAAGCTGTATTTTCAAAACAAGATAAAAGGGTATTTTGCAAAAAGTGCAAGATTTTAGCACCTGCTGGCATAGCTTCAGTGACAGCTTCATGAATTTCCTTTTCCTTTTTTAGAATGGTCCTCATGCTGGATTCATTTATCTTGAAATGGTGAGCAACCACAGCTGCAGATCCCCAGTCCATTGTACATATCAAGCAATTCAACATTATTCAACATTTTCTTGTAACGTCAGGACTTTTCTCTGCTTCTTGGCAGAAATTCCAGCATCACTAGTGGCACTTCACAGGGAACTGATAGTGTTATTCAAGGTTTCTGGTATTGCACTAAATATAATGAAAAATACACAAGAATCACAAAAGATCACTTTTTACTATGATACACAATTTACTTAAGAGACAAACTGCTCATGCATAGATGATTAGCATCATGCAGCATTTTAAGCAGATACTCAAAAACCTCAAATCCACCACAGTAGCAACAGGAGGTGGCTATACAATTATTACAGTAGTACATTATGTGTACTACAGTTAATTTGATGCTATTATGACTTAATGTTCAATCTTTATATTTGTTAACATTTCTTTTGATTGAATGGTTCCATGTATGGTCTATAAGTGTGTGTATACATTTTGATAAATTTTAACTTTTTATAACAGATTGTATTTATCTTAGACTAGTATCTACATGTTTTTTTGAATTCATGAAATATCCTTTTCTTAATTTTTTTGGATATTTTTAGCCTACGTGGTTCATCTGTGAGTTTTTTCAAATTGTCACAAACCTCCAAAAACTTTTTTTTAATATATTTGTTGAAAAAATCTATGTCTGTCCTGGCATGGTGGCTCACGCCTATAACCCTTTGGGAGGCTGAGGCAGGAGGATCACTTAAGCCCAGGAGTTTGAGGCTGCAGTGATCTGTGATCACTGCACTCCAGCCTGGATGCCAGAATGAGACCCTGTCTCAAAAAAAAATCCATGTATAAGTGGACCCATGCAGTTCAAACCCATGTTGTCAAGGGTAAACTGTATTGATTTACCAATAATATGTAAGATGCCCACTTCTAAATGCCACTTCCAACAATCTGAGAGATTACGTGACCTGCTTAAGATCACATGGCAGAGTCTAGAATAAATCTCATAATTATCAGTAATTATTGTTGCCTGACTCAGTACAGTTTATTTGAACAGTTTGTAAATTTGCGTATATGAAACACTGAATAAAAAGGCTCATCAGCCTTTGACTCCTCTACCAATTATAAAAATGTCATCTTGGTTTTGAGTCAATAAAAATTTAAAGAATAAGTGCAAAATAAGTTAAATATTAACTCTAAAAGAAAAAATTTCTGAAATGTAAAGATTAAGTCATTTAATCAAGACTAGTCACTTGTTTATATATTTCCTAGCCCTATATTTAACTATAAAATTACCATACATTTTTGAGAAAATATATTTTAAAAAAACAGTAATAACTAGTATCCTACCAGTACATTTTAGATGTAAAAAACCATCTGATTACTACTGAAATACAATAAACAGATTTTGTGATTCCTGATATTGATTTTATTTTCTACTTGCAACAAGCAATGAAAACTGAAATCTGATCTTGTTTAAGAAAGTTTCTTTTCCTATCAAGTTATGCTGGAATAAACTGGTTCAAATATCTACTTTTTCCTGTGATATGCTTTGATAATATATAGACACTGAAACTCAATGTATCAATCAATACATAGTAATGATAACTGAAAATGAAATTTTTAGAAAATACTTTAATCTCAATACCTTTACATCTCCCCAAAGAATGACTACTTATTTCCATATAGGCACATCAACTCATATCAAAGATTTCTAAGATGAGAAGGGAAAACTCAATGTTAAAGACAAACTTTTGTACATAAATATAACACATTATAATTGCATATTTTTCCTGTTTTGCTTACTTATTTTTCTAATGAAAAGAACTGTCAACAATATATATGTGGGTATTTCTTACACAGGAAGGCATAACTTCCATAGAGATCACATCAACACTTTGAAGTAACTAAGACCAACAGTATGGGACTTCATAACATTTACCCTAAAAGATAAGTTGCCTGTTATCACCCTTTTGGGTCAAGGTAACACTATTTTTTTTTCTTTCTTTCTTTTGATAAGCTGCTGACACTTATTGAACATCCTAACACTTCCTCCATCATCATCTTAGTCTCTTGCCTTCTTCTAGTTCTAAAAAAATGGAAAAATATTATTTTCTTTAAGAGCAGCATGGAAAATACTGTATTTGGAAGGACAACAAAGTGTGAACTAAGTGAACTTGAAGGTAGAAAAAATAATATCAAAACATTTTTAAAGGTTTGTAATAATTCCATAATTTATAGGGATATTTAAAAATGAAAGTATGTGGTTTTCTCAAGCTATTAGTATATCACAGATTTAGAAATCACTACCAGAAGGTTTTCTTTCTTTTCAATCTAATGGTCTTACCAGTAAGTAGAAGTCATTAAATAAATCAGCAAGCTCATGTTATCAAGGATCATGACCAGTATCATTCTTCCATTAACTCAAAATTTCGCAAAAAGCCACCTTCACGTACATATAAACTTTTTTCCTTATGAATAAACCTGGGTTGTAAAAGTTACATATGACTGCTCTATTTTGATAAAATTAATTTTACCCAACAATGCAAATTTTTAATGTTTACTTTTTTAAAAAAAATCACTTAGCTTATATATAAAATATCAAATTACTAGCCTAGGCAACATAGTTAGACCCCATATCTACAAAAGTAATTTAAAAATTAGCCAGGCATGGTGGTTCGTGCTTGTACTTCCAACTACCCAGGAGGCTGAGCTAGGGAGGATTGCTTAAACCTAGCAGTTAGAGGTTGCAGTGAGCTGTGATCATGCCACTGCACTCCAGCCTGGAAAACACAGCAAGGCCTTGTTTCTAAATAAATAAATAATGTCATATGAACAGATAAAGGCATAAAATGCAAATGTTCAGTTACTTTTAAACATTTTTGTTAACATATGTTGGTTTGCTCTCTTGATCTATTTTCCACAACTTCTAATTATTTATATAAGAAACTTGGCTGTAATTCTAGTAGAATATAAAATGCAACTGAGTTCAATAGAGATTCATTCATATGTAACTATCTTCTAAAGACAAAGCTTTTTTTGGAAAAAAATAAAAAACACCTAAAATGTAAAGCTTATTAAAGGATTATGTTTGGGGGTTCCGTAAATTGTTTCCAAGATCAGTATGGAAAATTCTTGTAAACAGTTCAGTTCTTACTCAGCCTGTGTCCTTTTAACTTAAAAGGCTTTGTAGTATAATTGCTGTGTAAATATCAGAATTTTCCATATATTGTGCAATGTACATAAAGAAGTCACCAAATGGCTTATCTTGTACTTATCAACTAGTTTATTTTTATGCCTCCAAAAAGCTGTATTTTTTTACAAGAGCAGCTGCTACTTTGTAAATATTTTAATGGTTTCTGTTAAGTAGAGCTGTCAGTTTAACAAACAATATTATAAAAGATTTTCATTCTTCCATGTGATTGAACATCTTGAAAAGTGTTTTACCTTGAAAATCCTTTGGAGATTTTAGACTGGAAAGGATATCTCCTTTGAAGGCACAAAGCCAACAAAAGAATAGATAGGTTTAAAAAATAATGTATAAGATCACCAGAGAAACAGTGCCATTTATTTCAGAAGACAAATGTATAACAGCAATAAGTTCTCTTAGCTCACTTCTCTTCTTTTGACTTCAGCAGTTTGTTGAAATGGAAGAGCACTGGCTTTGTGCCAGACATTTCAGGTATGAACCTTGATTCTTCTGCCACTTAATAGATATTGGTTTAGAGCAAGCCAATTAACCTCTTTGACCCTCAGTTTCTGTATCTGCAAATGGGGTAATGATACCTACCTTAAAGGGTCATTATGAGAATTAGAGATAATATATGCAAATGGGCTAACTGAATAAAGGTGGCAATTATTATTCTATCCTACCTACCTAGCAACCAGGAGTCTCCCAATCATTCTTTAGTCTTTGTCCTTTACATTTTTTTTCACCCAGCTTATCTCTTCTTTCTTTTTTGTCTACTTCATGGAATTGAAAGTAAGAAATATTTTAGAGATGATCTAATTTAGCACTTTTGTTGAACAAATGAGGAAATAGAAGCTCAGAGAGATTAAATGACTTGTCTAAGATCACAGATAGTTAAACACAGAGATCAGAACCCTGGTCTCCTGAGTTTTTCACTGTTTTCATTCTTGCTGTGAAATGGAATTTGATAAGGTAATTCTAGCCTGGATCTAAAGGAACATGTTAAGATAGGATAGCAAAAAAACAGTGAAAGAGACAAGAAAAGGAAAAAATTTAAAGGGGGGTAAGGAGAGCTTTTCCTTTTGTTCTGCATCAAGGCTGAGCAAATTTTTTAAAGGGCCAGATAGTAACTAGTTTAGGCTTCTCAAGTCATATGGCCTCTATCTCAACTACTCAACTCCGACACTATAGTACAAAAGCAGCCTTAGACAATATGTAAACAAACAAGCATGGCTATGCTCCAATAAAACTTTATTTGGACACTGAAATTTGAATTTCATATAATTTTCACATCTAAAAATATATCTTTCTTGTATTTTTTCAACCATTTGAAAATATAAAAACCATTCTTAGATTGTGGGCCATAAAAAAAACAGATGTAGGGCTGCATTTGGCCCATGTGATCTATAGTTTGATGCCTTTAGAAGTATAAGCCTGATAAGTAGAACAGATATTCAGCCTTGATGTCATAGAAATAATAGAGTTTAATGGGGACTGGGATGAAGTGGAGTGTGCCTGCCCCACTAAAGTGGGCAGTAGCCATTCTGATTAAGGAGACTGTGGCTCTTAGGAATTGGAGGCCAAATACTGCAAAATCTGAGTTTTCAAAAAGCCTGAACACTGGATTTTTATGCTAAATCCCTCCATTTTTTTATGAATTAGGGTAGCTTCCATTGCACAAAACAGAATGAAAGGTCACCTAAATGTCCCAATTTTTTCTTTTTTTTCTTTTGAGATGGAGTCTGGCTCTGTCACCCAGGCTGGAGTGCAGTGGTGCAATCTCAGCTCACTGCAAGCTCCGCCTCCCGGGTTCACGCCATTCTCCTGCCTCAGCCTCCCAAGTAGCTGGGACTACAGGGGCCCGCCACCACGCCTGGCTAATATTTGTAATTTTTAGTAGACACAGGGTTTCACCGTGTTATCCAGGACGGTCTCGATCTCCTGACCTTGTGATCCGCCTGCCTCAGCCTCCCAAAGTGCTGGGATTACAGGCGTGAGCCACCATGCCCAGCCCTAAATGTCCCAATTTTTAAGTGTTGGTAAATAATTCAAAATAGTTGTTAAATACTGTAGATCAAACATCTATAAACTGAATTTGGCACATGGACTCCCAGTCTAAAATCTGTGTTCTAGGAAGACAAAGCAAAATTCTAGGTAATTCATGCTTCCGAGCAATAATTCAAATTTACCCAATTCAGGATCTTTCAGACCAAACACTTAACCTTTCCATAAACTGAACACAAAGGTGATTATAAAGTAATAGGTCATTCAGGCTATAATCACTCCCTATCCCATCCTGTACCCCACCCCCACCAAAATTCTGCTTCTTTGTAGTTCATTAGTTTAAGACATTAAGCTTTGTTTAGTAGGTGGTACCAAAGTACTAGTCACATCTAGAACCTTTCCTGGAATTGAGTACACTCAGTATTATATTTCAAAAATATAATCACATATTATAGCTGTAATCTAAGACTATCAGATTTAAAATAGTTAATATAAATTTTTTTTCTAACTCTTGGTGTCCTTTCTAAAAGTTATAACCATATTAAGTTGCTGCCACTATGGATCTTACTTTCATTTTATATTGAGGAAAACACAATTTAAACATATTTACAAATATAAAGGACCCAAAATATGTCCTTTAGCATCTTCTAAAAACTTTTCTCCTCTACTTTTTTTTTTTTTTTTTTTGAGACAAGGTCTCACCCTGTCACCCAGGCTGGAGTGCAGTGGCATGATCACGGCTCACTGCAGCCCTCAACCTCCCCAGGTCAGGTGCTCCTCCCATTCAGCCTCCCAAGTAGCTGGGAGTACATGTGTCTGCCACCATGCTTGGCTAGTTTTTGTATTTCTTTTTTTTAAGAGATGGGGTTTTGCCATGTTGCCCAAGCTGGTCTTGAACTGCTTGGCTCAAGCAATCCGCCCGCCTCAGCCTCCCAAACTGCTGGGATTATGGGCGTGAGCCACAGCACCCGGCCTCTTCTCTACTTCTATGTTGTCACTATTTGTTTATTTTTTTCTGCCCCCTCTCCCCACCCTGTTATCACACTGTAAGCTCATTAAGGATGGGATTATGTCTGCTTCATCTTTATATCCCCCAATCAGTAAAGATATCTGCACAAAATAGACCTTCAATAAATGTTTGCTTTTAAGAATGAACAATGAAACCTAATTTTCACATTTGAAAATGAAACCATCTAAGAACTCCATTTACTGGTAGAGATACATTTTCATTTTATCTTACTGAATAGCAAAGAGTACAATTGATCCATGTAGTGATATTCTGGAAAATAAGTATGTTAATAGAAGGACCTACTACACTTTTCATCCTTAAAATAGTACTAGCATATCCAAGCAGAATGTATTACAGAAAGTTTTGGGAGGAGACAGTCCATATGCTATATGTATCTTCTAATGGAATATAAAAAGAAATTCAATAACAGTAAGGATTGGGAAAAGGACTCAAGGTGAGAATAAGTACAATGTTTTGTCTGTCAAGGAAAAAGCATTTAGTCCTCACCTGCTGCAGTTTTCAAATATATATATCTATGTAGATCTATATACACACTGTGGAAATAATATACATAAGTGACATTAGCAAGATGGCAGATTAGGAAGCTCCAGGCCCTCATTTTTCTATGGAGACAAATCACCTGTAACATATACATAAAAATAGCTTTGTGATAAATCTAGAAATTAGTTAATGGACTACAGGACTCAGGCAAGTGCAAAAACAAGAGAATGGATGGTGCCTGAGAGGGTAAGAGAGTTCATTGCATTTTGCTTGCCTGACACCTCCCTTGGAACAGAAGAAATAGAGTGAAACTTAAGTCCAGCATGCTAACTTGTTTGTGGGTTGCAGTGCTTTGCTCAGGGAACTGATGAGAATGACAGTTTGCATAGTTTGGGTACAAGATTAGAGGCCACTGAAAACAGAGGTTAATGCCTTAGCATGTTAGACAGGAGAGACTCTGCGGTTCTGCAGGCAGGCTCTAGGGGGAGCAAGAGATTAAGGGCAGAGGACTACAACAGAAACGGCTCCCGCGAAGACACAGGAAAGAAGACAGTCAGAAGCACCCAGATACACTAAAAGTAAACATACAACCCCAAAGAAAACGCATCCCCAGGAAAAATCTGAGAGGTCTTAGAACCTCTAGCCAGCCTGACTGGTCACAGTTTTCCCCTAAGTAAAAGTAGTTCATAAAGATTGAGAAAGGTGGCTGTTTCTTCAAATGCTCAAATCCCAACAAAAGACGACAAGGCATACAAAGAAACGGGACCATGGCCTGACCAAAGGAACAAAATTAAGCTCCAGAAATTTGCCTTAAAGAAATGCAGATCTGTAAGCTTCCTAAAAAAGAATTTATAATAACTCTCATAAAGATGATCAAGACCTACAAGAGAACACAGAACTGCACAGAAATCAGGAAGACAATGCATGAACAAAATAAGAATATCAACAAAGAGAAACTATTTTCAAAAAATTATAAAGCCAGGCATGATGGCTCAAGCCTCTGATCCTAGCACTTTGGGAGGCTGAGAAGGGAGGATTGCTTGAGCTCAGGAGTTCAAGACTAGCCTGGGCAACATAGCAAGACCCTGTCTCTTGAAAAAAAAACAAAAATAAACTGTGGACCTGAAAAATATAAGTGAACTAAATAATTCACTAGAGGGGTTCAATGGCAGACTTAAGCAAGCAGAAGAATCAGTGTTCTTGAAGTTAGCACATTTGGAATTATTGAGACTGAGGAGAAAAAAGAAAAAAAATGAAGATAAATTAACAGAACCTGAGCAGAATAATATATGTAGTATAGGAGTCTCAAAAGGAGGAAAGAAAGAGAAAGGGACAAAGAGCTTATTTGAACAAACAGTGGCTACAGACTTCCCAAGGCTGATAAAAGAAATGGACCTACAAACTCAAAACTCAATGAACTCCAACTATGATAAACCTGAAGAGACCCATACCAAGACACATTATAATCAAACTGTTATGAGTCAAAGGAAGAATCTTGAAACCAGCCAGAGAAAAACAACTCATCACGTACAAGTGAGCCAACTAAGGTTATCAGCAGATTTCTCAATAGAAACCTTGAAGGCTAAAAAGAAATGGGATGATTAAAGTGCTAAAAGAAAAAAAAATCAACTAAGAATACTGTATCCAGCAAAACTGTCCTTCAGAAATGAAGAAGAAATGAAGACCTTTCCAGATAAACAAAAGCTGTTTAGTCAATGTTACTAGACAATAAATACTAAGGAGAGTTCCTCAAATTAAACAAAGGATGGTAGGCACCAACATAGTAATATGAAATTATAAAGTTCTCCACTAATGATAAACATTTAAATAAATATAGAATCCTATATTGTAATTCTAGTGCATAAATCCACTTTTAATTCTTGTATATACAAGTCTAAATGAGTAAATCACAGACACACACAATTATAAATCTATGTTAATTGGTACACAATATATATAACAGGTAATTTATGACAATAACATAAGGGGGGAAATGGCAGCTGTAAAGGAGAATTTGTGTATGCAATTGAAATTAAGTTATTAGCCTAAAATAGATTTGTTATAACTTTAAGATACTTTCTGCAATTGCAGTGGTAACCACAAAATATCCATACAATGCACACAAAAGGACAAAGAAGGGAGTCAAAGACAGACAGTAACAGAAGAATGAGGGTCCAAAAAGCCACAAGATATACAGGAAACAGGTAACAAAATGGCAACAGAAAATCCTTCCATATCGGTAATTACTTTAAAGTGAGGCAATTAAACCCCTCAGCCAAAAGACATATTGGCTAAATGGATAAAAAAAATAAAAATAGGATCCAGTGATATGCTGCATAGAAGCACTTTAGATCTAACACCACATAAAGGCTGAACTTGAAGGATGAAAAAAGATATGCTATGCAGACAATAACCAAAAGACAGCAGGGATATCTATACTAATATGAGGCAGAATAGACTTTAAGTCAAAAACTGTCACAAGAGACTAAGAAGGATACTATATAATGATTAAAGGGTCAATTCACCAGGATGATATAGTAATTATAAATATTTATGCACTAAATATCAGAGCTCTTAAATATGTGAAGCAAACATTGACAGAATTGAAGGGATAAATACATATCAACACAGTAATAGTAGGAGATTTCAATAGCCCACTTTCAATAATGGATAGGACCACCAGATATAAGATAAGATCAATAAAGAAATAAAGGACTTCTCTTTTTTTTCCCCCAAGGCGGCAGATCAGAGACTCTTTTAGCATGCTTCACCTATTTGGAAGCAAAAAAAAAAAAAAACACACACACACACAAAACAGTGCACAGTCATATAGTGCTCTTTTATTCAAGAAGGAGCACAGAAATTCAAATCCTGGAAAATAAAAGGTGAGAAGGCACCCTGAGTAGCAGCATCTGGCTGAGAACTGTGAGTGAAGTCCCCGATATGGTAGAGGAGCAAATTGTGTACCTCTGTGATCTACCTTTCCTCTGAGAAACCATGCCACCCAGGCCATGGGAAACTACCTCGGCCCTTCTAAGCCCTGGGGCTAACATGGCGAGAGGCCAGGAGACTGAGAAAGAAAAATGCTGGGAAATGCTCCAGTATTTTTCTCAGACCTGGGATCTAACAGGAGGATGCTCTTCTCAATCTTGGCTCACAACAAACTGGGCAGGATTCAGTAACCTGGCAACAGTAGCCATGGGCATTAGAGATTCTTGGGCTGGAGAATGGAGTGCTGGGACTGGAGGTGGGGAAGGGCCCCCACATCCAGAACTGAGTGGTGGTTGTGGAGTGCATTCAAGCCATGGGTTCTGAAATTGGGCTTTCCCCCTTTGTGGAACCAGAGAGGGAGGAGATTTGCTAGAGAGCCATGGTTTTCCCCAAGTGGCAAGATTTGTGGACAGGGATGGCACTGTGATCTAAAGCCAGTCTGCACTGACTTTCCTGAGTGCCCCAGCTCATGCCAGGGTGGGATTCAACTCCATTGGTTCTAAGGAGTGAGAGGGAGGCAGATTCCCACACCAGCTCACCTGGTCTAGGAGCTTTGGCTGCCCTGGTCTTCACATGTGAGGAACCTGGTGCAGCAGCAGTGTTTCTACCCTTTACTGGGCATATCTCCAGGCATTTGGTGACTGCTCCCTAAACTCTCCTCAGAGATAGTGGTTGCATTCACTGTTTGGGAGGTGGGGGGGCCGGGAGGTGGGAGCAGCGAAAGTGCAGGGTTGCCTGGTCCAGCTCTGCCCAGCTTCACACACTCTCTCAGGCTGAGGATAAAACCCAAACCACTGAGCATTCCATAATCCAGCCCATTGCCTGGGACACTGGAGAGTTTCTCTTGGTAAACAAAGATCAAGCATGAATTTTACTACTACCACCACAGCCAGCTCTTACTTACAAGTGCCACTGACTGGCCTGGAGGTCAACCTGCACAATACAGGACAAAATCTGGTAACACAAGCCCATAGCACTTATGAATGAGATGAGCTCCTTGTGACCTATAACCCTGGCTTCACAGGAGGTCATGCGCCTGCTCACCTGCCTGGTATACCGCTACTACAAACAGCATTTGAAAAAGCCACCACATGATGGTAATTTACAACCAAGGAATTCATACATAGTCTTTGCCACTGAATGCACCCGGAAGCAAAGCCAAACAGCCCTGCACAACATATATTACAGTCACATCCTCAAGGATTTGGGGGTGGGGGAGAGGGGGGGAAGTCCTGTCCAAACCCAAGTAAATTCAATAATAAGAAGTGACTATTTCTCCAAATGAGAAAAAATCTGCATAATACTGGAAGCATGAAAAGTCAAGTCAGGGAGTTATGACACCCCTCAAAGGATTACACTAACTCTCTAGCAATGGATGCTGACCAAAAGGAAATTTCTGAAATGCCAGATAAAGAATTCAAAATATTGATTTTATAGAAGCTCAATCAGATCCAAAAGAAATCCAAAAACCAATAGAAAGAAATCAGAAAATTAATTCTGGATATGAATGAGAAATTTATCACGGAGAACTTCACCAGTTTTTTCTTATCTAAAAATGAACAAACATAACTTTTGGAAATGAAAAATTCACTGAAGGAATTACAAAATATGGCTGAAAGGGTCAATAACTGACTAGATAAAGCAGAAGACAAAATCTCAAAATTTGAAGAAAATCCTTTGAATTAATCTAGTTAGACAAAGAAAAAAGAATAAAATAGAATGAATATTTTGAGAAGCATGGGATTATATAAAGAATCTAAACTTACGAATCATTGGTGTTCCTGAGGGGGAAGAAAAAACAAAGTTTTGAAAATCATTTAAGGAAATAATAGATGAAAATTTCCCTAATTTTATAAGAGATTTAGACATGCAAATACAAGAGGCCAAATGAATACTAGGAGAACACACTGCCAGGTGGATTTCACCACAACGTATAGTCATTAAATTGTCTAAAATTAATATAAAGGAAGAAATCCTAAAATCAGCAAGAGAAAATCATCTAGTCACTTGTAAAGGAAGCTCCATCAGACTAACGGTGGACTTCTCAGTGGGAACTTTATAAGCCAGTAAAAGATTGGGATTCTATTTTCAATGTGCTTAAAGGAAAAAAAAATTGTCAACCACAGATTTTGTATTCTGCTAAAATAAGTTTCATAAATAAAGGAGAAATAAGGTACTTCCCAAACACTGATGGAATTTATCACCACTAGACGAACCCTATAAAAATATTCAAAGGAGTTCTAAACATGGAACAAAATGGTCAATGTTTGCCATCATAAAAAATACACAAAACTATAAAACTCACAGGTCTTATAAAAACAGTTAGTTACACAAAGGAGGAAGAGAAAGAAATCAAATTACAACAGGACAGAACTCCACCAAACAACAAAGACAAACAGAAAGAGGGAAAAAAAGATGCAAATAATGTACAAAGCAATTTGATAACAATTAACATTATGATAGAAACAAACCTCACATATAACTATGAACATTGTACATAAGTAGATAAAATGCTTAATTTAAAAGGTATAGATTGGCAGATGGGTTTTTTAAAATATGAACCATATTTTCATAAGAACTATAAGAAACTCCCCATATTGGTAAAGATTCTTATAGCCTGAAGGTAAAGGACTAGAAACAGATCTCCTGCACAAACAGAAACTAAAAGTGAGCAGGAGTATCTACGCTTATATCAGATAAAACAGACTTTTAATCAACAAAAGTAAAAAAAAGACAAAGTCAGTCATTATATAATGTAAAGGGATCAATTCTACAAAAGGACATAAAAATCCTGAATATATACACACCAAACACTGGAGCAGTCAGAGTCACAAAACAAATATTACTGGACATAAAGAGATAGACAGCAATATAATAATGGTGGGAGACTTCAACACTGTACCTGTAGCAGTTCACAGATCATTGAGACAGAAAAACAAGGAAACACTGGGCTTAAATTGATCTTGAGACCAAATGTACCTGACAGACATTTACAGAACACTCTACCCAACAACAGCGGAATATAGATTCTTCTCATCAGTGCATGCAGCATTCTCAAACACAGACCATATATTAGGTCACAAAACAAATCTCAATAAATTTTTAAAAATTGAAATCATACCAAGTATTTTCTCAGACCACAGAAAAATAAAACTATAAATCAATACCAGGAGGAACTGTTGAAACTATACAAATACATGGAAATTGGATAACATATCCCTGAATGGTCTTTAGGTCAAAGACAAAATTAAGATGGAAACTTAAAAATTTTTAGAAATGAATGAAAATGAAAACAACATACCAAAACCTCTGGGATACAGCAAAAGCAGTGCTAAGAGGGAAGTTTATAGCATTAAATGCTTACAGCCAAAGAACAGAAAAATCAAATTAACAACCTAACATCACACCTCAAGGAACTAGAAAAAAAAGAACAAAGAAAACTCAAAGCTAACAGAAAACAAATAACAAATCAGGGAAGAAGTAAATGAAATTGTGAACAAAAGAACATTATAAAGGGTCAAAGAAACAGAAAGTTGGTTCGTTGATAAAATAAAGTTGACAAACTGCTAGCTAGACTAATCAAGAAAAGAAGACAGAAGATCCAATAAACAATCAGAAATTTAAAAGGAGACATTAGAACTGATACCACAATACAAGTGATCATCAAAGACTACCATGAACACCTCTACACTCACAAACTAGAAAATCTAGAAGACATATAAATTCCTGGAAACATAAAACCACCCGAGATTGAACACATAGAAATCCTAAGCAGACCAATAACAAGTAGTGACACTTAATCAGTAACAAAAAAGTCTCCTAAGGAAAAAAAAAAAAAAAAAAAGTCCAGGGCCAAATGGATTCACAGCCAAATTCTACCAAATCTACAAAGAACTGGTACCAATGCCCTCTGAAATGCTTCCAAAACTTCAATGAGAAGGGAAGCCTCCCTGACTCATTCTACAGAGCCAGTATTATTCTGATACTAAAGCCGGACTAGCACACAACAAAAAATGAAAACTATAGACCAAAATCTCTGATGAACATAGATGCAAAAATCTGCAGCAAAGTACTAGCAAACCCAATACAACAGCACATCAAAAACATAATACATCACAATCAAATGGTTTTATTCCAAAGATGCAAGTATAGTTCAACATACTCAAGTAAACAAATTTGATTCATTACATAAGGAGAATTAAAAACAAACTATATAAATATCTCAATAGATACAGAAAAAGCATTTGATAAAATTAAGGATCCTTTTGTGATAAAATCCTCAACAAACTAGGCATAGAGGGAACATACTGCAAAATAATAAAAGCAATATATGATAAGACCACAGAAAACATTATACTAAACAGGGAAAATTTGAAAGCAGTCTCCCGAAGAACTGGAACAAGACAATGATGACCACTTTCACCACTCCTATTCAACATACTAGAAGCCCAAGCCAGAGCAATCAGGCAAGAGAAGAAATAAAAGGCATCCAAATTTGGAAAAGATGAAGTCAACTTATCTCTGTTTGCTCATGATATGATCTTATACCTAGAAAATCCCAAAGACTCCCAGATTTCATAAGTTCAGTAAAGTTTCAGAATATGAAATTGGTGTACAAAAATCAGTGTCATTTCTATACATCAACAACAAACTGAGAACCAAATCAAGAACTACAATAGCTACAAAAAAAGTAAAATATTTAGGAATATATTTTAAACAAGGGGGTGAAAGATCTTTACAAGGAAAACTACAAAACACTGATGATAGAAATCATACATGACACAAATGGAAAAACCTCCCATGTTCATGGATCACAAAAATCAATATCATTAAAAAAAAACCATACAGATGTATAGATTGAATGTAATTCCTATTTTTAAAATGTAATTTTTCATAGAATTAGAAAAAACAATCCTAAAATTCATATAGAATGAAAAAAGAGCCTGAATATCCAAAGCAATTGTAAGCAAAAAGAACAAAGCTGGAGGCATCACATTACCTGACTTCAAATTATACTATGAGGTTACAGTAACCAAAACAGCATGGTACTTGTATAAAAATAGACATACAGATCAATGTAACAGAATAGAGAACTCAGAAATAAAGCCATATACCTACAGACAACTGATCTTTGACAATGTCAACACAAACATACCCTGAGGAAAGGACATCCTTTACAATAAGTGGTGCTAGGAAAATTGGATTACCTGTGCAGAAGAATGAAACTGGACTTCTGTCTCTCACCATCTACAAGCCAACTCAAGATCAATTAAAAGCTTAAATGTAAGACCTGAAACTATAAAAATACTAGAAGAAAACCTACGGAAAACTCCTCTGGACATTGGCCTAGATGAGCAATTTATGACTAAGGCCTCGAAAGCAAATGCAACAAAAACACAAATAGACAAATGGGACTTAATTCAACTAAAGAGCTTCTGCAAAGCGAAAAGAAATAAGAGAACAGACAATGTGTAGAATGGGAGAAAACATTTACAAACTATGCATACAACAAGGGACTAATATACAAGGAACTCAAACAACTCAACAACAACAAAAACAAATAAAAGAACATAAATATTTTCTCATCCTTTACCCACCTCCTACACTACTGAATGGGCAAAGAACATGAATATTTTTTCAAAAGAAAACATACAAATGTCTAACCTGCATATGAAAAAATTTTTAACATCACTCACAATCAGAGAAATGCAAATTAAAACCACAATGACATATTTCACGCAAGTCATAATGGCTAATACTAAAAATTCAAAAAATAACATGTTGGTAAGGATGCAGAGAAAATGGAACACTTACACACTGTTAGTGGGAATGTAAATTAGTATAACCTGTATGGAAAACCGTATGGAGATTTCTCATAGAACTGCAAATAGAACTGCCATTCTAGGCAGCAATCCCACTACTGGCTATCTACCCAAAGGAAAAATAATTAGATCTAAAAGATACCCACACTCATATGTTTATCACTGCACTATTCACAATACCAAAGAGATGGAATCACCTACGTTTACATCAGTGAAGGACTAGATACAGAAAATGTAGTATATATGTGCAATGGAATACTACTCAGCCATATAAAAGAATAAAATCATCTTTTGCAGCAACATTGATGGAACTGGAGGCTATAATCTTAAGTGAAATAACTCAGAAACAGAAAGTCAAACACCACATGTTCTCACAAGTGAGAGCTAAATAATGTGTACATATGGACATAAAGTATGGAATAATGGACACTGGAGATTCAGTAGTGTAGGAGGTGGGTAAAGGATGAGAAATAAATTAATGGGTACTATGTATATTATTCAGGTGGTGGTTACACTAAATGGCCAGACTTTACCACTACACAGTATATCCATGTAACAAAACTGCACTTGTACCCCTTAAATGCATACCAAAAAAAAGTAATAGAGGTCTTCAACAACACAGTTACCACCCTCCCACTGTTCTGAGGCTCCAGTGTCTATTATTGTACACTCTATTTCCATGTGTTCACAGTATTTAGCTCCTATTTATAAATGAGAACATATGGTATTTGACTTTCTGTTTTCTGAGTTATTTCACTTAAGATAATGACCTCCAGGTCTATATAAAGAACAGAACATATACAGAACACTCACCCATCAACTGCAAAAAAAACACATTATTTTCAAGTGCACATGGAACATTCTCCAAAACAGACCACATGAAGGCCACAAAACAAATCTTAACAAATTTTAAAAGACAGCAATCACAGAAAATATCTTCTCTGATTACAGTGAAATGACACTACACATCAACAACAGAAGGAAAACTGGAAAATCCACAAATACATGAAAATTAAGCAATGCACTCTTAAACAACAGGTCAAAGAAGAAATCACAAGGAAAATTAGAAAGCCTCTTGAGACAAATGAAAATGAAAAAAATGTTCCTGTGTTAGGCCATTCTTGGATTGCTATAAAGGAATACTCCAGACTGGGTAATTCATAAAGAAAAGAAGTTTTATTGATAGTTCTGCAGGCTCTACAAGCACAGTGCTGGCATCTACTCAGCTTCTGAGGAGGCCTTAGGGAGCTTTTCCTCATGGCAGAAGGTGAAATGGGAAGAGCAAGGGAAGGCTGGAGAAGGAGAAAGAGAAGGGGGAGGTGCCACACACTTTTAAACAGCCAGATCTCATGAGAACTCACTATTGCAAAGACAGCACCAAGGGGATGGTGCTAAACCATTTATGAGAAATCTGCCCCCATAATCCAGTCACCTTCCATTTCACCTTCCTCCATGAGGAAAAGTTCCCTGAGTCCTCCCCAGAAGCTGAGCAGATGCCAGCATCATGCATGTATAGCCTGCAGAACAATGAGTCAATTAAACCCCTTTTCTTTATAAATTACCCAGTCTCTGATATTTCTTTTTTTTTTTTCCCCCCGAGACAGGGTCTCACTCTGTCACCCAGGCTGGAGTGCAGTGGTGCAGTCTCAGCTCACTGCAACCTCCATTTCCCTGGTCAAGCGATTCTCCAGCCTCAAATTCCTGAGTAACTGCAACTACAGGCATGAGCTACCACGCCTAGGTAATTTTTGTACTTTTTGTAGAAATGGGGTTTTGACATGTTGCTCAGGTTGTATGGTATTTCTTTATAGTGATGCAAGAACAGCCTAATACAAGGTCCCACCTCCAACACTGGGGATTACATCTCAACATGAGATTTGGAGGGAACATCCAAGCCATATCAGTGCCCAAACTTGTGAGACGCAGTGAAAACAGTACTAACAGAGAAGTTTATGGCTATGTTTACATTAAAAAAGAAGAAAGATTGAAAATTAATAACCTAACTTTGTACCTTAAGAAACTGAAAAGAAAGAAAAACAAACTAAACCCAAAGCTAACAGAAGAAAATAATAAAGTTTAGAGCAAAGATCAATGAAATACAGAATACAAAAGCAATAGAAAAAAATCAACAAAACTTAAGAGGTGGTTTTTCTAAAATATCTACAAAACTGACCAATTATTAGGTATACTAATTAAAAAAAAGAGAGAAGACTCAAATAACTAAAATCAAAAGTGAAAGAGGGGATATTACAGCCAATACGACATAAAATAAAGAGGGTTGTAAGAGAATATTACAAACAGTCATATGCCAACAAACTGGAAAACTTACATAAATGGACAAAATCTTTTAAACACACAACTAACCAAGATTGGATAATGAAGAATTACATAATCTGGACAGACTTACAACTATTAAAGAGATTGCATCAGTAACCAATACTCCACACAAAGAAAAGCCCAAGACCTCATGCCTTCATTAGAATATTCCAGCAAATATTTAAAGAATTAGCACCCATTCTCCTCAAACTCTTCCAAAAAAATTAAAAGAAGGGAAAATCCCAAATTCATTATATAAGGCCAGCATTACCCTAGTAACAAAGCCAGATGAAGACAAAGAAAACTACAGACCAACGTTCTTGATAGATATTGGAGCAAAAGTCATTAACAAAATACCAGCCAACGAAATTCTTAGGCATAGTAAAAAGATAATACACCATGATCAAGTAAAATTTACTGATGTAAAGTAAGGATGGTTCAACATAAGAAAATCATTCTAATCACATTAACAGAATGAAAGATGAGAACTACATAATCATCTCAATTGATACACACACAAAAAAGCATTTGACAAAATTTGATGTTCTTTCATGCTAAAAATGTTCAACAAACTAGGATGTAAGGAAACTATTAATACTCCAACATAATAAAGGCTATACATGAAAAGACCACAGGTAACATCAGTCTCAATGGTGAAAAACTGAAAGCCCTTTCTCTAGGATCAGGAACAAGACAAAGATGCCTGCTTTCACCCCTTCTATTTAACATAATACTGGAATGTCCTAGTCAAAGCAATTATGCAAGTGAAATAAAAGGCACCAAAATCAGAAAGGAAGTAAAATTGTCTCTGGTTATAGATATCTTAATTTCCTATGCAGCAAGCCCTAAAGATCCCATTTAAACTTTAGAATAATTGAATTCAGCAAAGTTGCAAGATACAAGTCAACATACAAAAATTCATTGCATTTCTGACACTAAAAATGAGCAATCTGCAAAGGACAGCAAGAAAACAATTTCATTTACAATAGCATCAAAAAGAATAAAATACTTTGGAATAAACCTAACCAAGGAGGTAAAAGACTTAAAACTAGAAAACACTGCTGATAGGTATTAAAGACACAAATAAATTGAAAGACATCCAATATTCATGGATTGGAATACTTCATGTTGTTAAAATGTCAGTATTGCCCAAGGTAATCTACCAATTCAGTGCAATCCCTATCAAAATCCCAATGGCATCTTTGGAAATATAGAAAAATCCATTTAAAAATTCATATGGAATCACAAGAGATGCTGAATAGCCAGAACAATCTTCAAAAGGGAAAAAGAGGTCTTTCTGATTCAAAACATATTACAAGGCTACAGTAATCTAAACATTAGTACTGGCATAAACACAGACATATAGACCAACAAAAATGAACAGAATTGAGAGCCCAGATATAAACCATTAACCATATGGTCAAACAATTTTTGACAGATGTCAACACCATTCAATGCAAAAGGAACTATCTCTTCAACAAACGTTGCTGGGAAACTGGATATCCCCATGCAAAAGAGCAAGTTGGACCCTTTTGTTACACCACAAACAAAAATTAACTCAAAATGAATTAAAGACCTAAACATAAGAAACAAAAGTATAAAACTGCTAGAAGAAAACATTAGAGAAAAGCTTCATGATATTGGATATGACAATGATTTCTTGTATGTGACACCAAAAGCATAGGCAACAAAAGCAAAATAGACAAATGGGACTACAAATGGGGCTTAATCCAACTTAAAAACTTTTATGCATTAAAGGACACAATAAAGTACCAATAAAGTGAACAGACAGCCTAAGGAATGGGAGAAAATATTTGCAAATCTGACAAAGCATTAATATCTAGACTACATACAGAGCTCCTACAACTTAAAAACAAAAACAACCTAATTAAAAATGGGCAAGGGGGCTGGGTGCCATGGCTCATGCCTGTAATGCCAGCACTTTGGGAGGCAGGATTACAGGCATGAGCCACCACAGGAAGTGGGAAGATTGCTTGACCCCAGGAGTTCAAGACCAGCCTGGGCAACCTAGTGAAAGCCCCTCTCTACAATAATGTTTTTTTTAAATGAGTCATGCATTGTGGTACACACCTGTAGTCCCAGCTACTCAAGAGGGCTGAGGTGGGAGGATCACTTGAGCCTGAGAGGTCAAGACTTTAGTGAGCCATGATTGTGATACTGCACTCCAGCCTGGGCAACAGAGTGAGACTCTGTCTCAAAGAAAAAAAGGACAAGTGACTTGAATCCACATTTCTTCAGTGAAGGTATACAAATGACCAACAAGCATATAAAAAGATGCTCAGTATCACTTATTAGAGAAATGCAAATCAAAACCATAAGGTAGCATGTCACATTCATTAGGATGACTAGTTTTAAAAAAACAGAAAATAACAAGTTTGTCAAGGATTTGGAGAAATTAGAATCTTTGTGCACTGTTGGTAGGATTGTAAAATGGTGAACCACAATGAAAACAGTATGGCATTTCCTCAAAAATTTAAAGATAGATCCACTGTATGATAGGCAATCCCCCTTCTGAGTATATGTCCAAAAGCACTGATAGCAGGGTCTCGGAGATATCTGCACATCCATGTTCATAGCAGCATTATTCACAATAGCCAAGAGGTGGAAGCAACCCAAATGTCAATAGATAGAGAATGGAAAAACAAAGCATGGTATATACATACAACAGCTTACTATTCAGTCTTAAAAAGGAAGAAATCTTGTCACATACTACAACACGGATAAACCTTGAGGACATTATGCTAAGTGAAATAAGCCAGTGACAAAAACGTGAATACTGTATGATACCACTTATACAAGATCTAAAGTTATCAAATTCATAGAAACAGAAAATAACACGTTGGTTATCAAACTGGGAGAGGGGCAAATGGGGAATTGTACAATGGGTGCAGTTTCAGTTTTGCAAGACAAAAAAGTTCTGGAGATTTGCTTCACAACAATGTGAATACACTTAACACTATTGAACTGTATGCTTTAAAATGTTTAAGATGGTAAAAAATATGTTTTGCCATACACGGTGGTCCTAAGAGGTTTTTTTTTTTGGTTTTTAATAAGGTTTATGTTTCTTACAAAAAATATATTTTTCACAGCTTCATTATGTTTCAAACAACATTTTTAAACAATGCCCTGTCAAAGTTGCCAATATCTCTCTATACACCTCTGTACATCTCTAAGATATGGGAGTATATATCTCCCTATAAAGTTTAAAATGCTAATTGAAAGCAAATATTGGGAAAGATATTTTCCTTTTCTTTTCAAGTTATGTGCTATATGTGAAAGAGTAAAATCACTTCCTGCAATATTCCAAGATAAAATATTCCAGTAATTGGCTAACAAAAACAAAAAAATTTTATAAATAATATGCTCGTTAAAAACACTACACATAAGCAAGATATAAATGAATTTTTTAAAATCTATACTTGAAAACATTCACTATTCTGTTATCAAACTGCTGAAGTAAGTATAAGAATGACAGAAGTCATAGGGAACTAGGACAACAAGATTTTGAAATTGACAAAGAAAAAAGTTCCACTGGGATATGTGAATGTTGTTCTGTAATCTTACTTATAAGGGAGTTAGCAGAAATTGTACTTAGTATTTCACTCACATATTAATCATTTTCAACAGAACTCCTGGGACCCTTGGACAGAGGGGATATGCTAAATGAAGCATTTATTGGCCTGTCTTTAGCACCTCAAGGAGAAGACTCATTTCCAGATAACCTCCCTCCCTCTTGCCCAACCCACAGACATATTTTACAACAAAGAATACTGAATGGCTCTTCTAACAGGTAAGAAATGTTGAACTGAGGAAATTGCTCCATAAAGTATTTAGTATTACCTGTTCAAATGCGAACTAATAGCAAAGCAAGAATATTTCAAAATGTCAAGGAGAAAAATTTGCATTTCTCATGGCTCAGACTTTGCAGTAGTTTGGTTATTTGGAGCAGGCATAATGAATGGCAGAAGTGAATGTAAAAATAATATTGCTACAATAAATGTTACTCTGGGCCAAAATGAAATTACTATAACATATTGAATTGTTTGTATTCTGCTGTTAAATTCTAGGATTGTTAGGCTACCTTTAATAAATATTAATTTTTAGAATATGTAGTTTGAATTATAATTTATATAATATTTATTTAATGCAAGTTTACCATTAGTTTTTGAAATCTGATAAATGATAGTTTAAATATCTGATATCTGTCCAGTTTGCTACATGGGGTTATTGAGAAGATAAAGAATAAATATGAAATTTAAAAAACAAACAAAAGTAATAATGTTATTTAAAGTGATAATTATAATATTAATTATGATAATGATTCTCTCAAGCAAGGGTCAGCAAGCTTTTTGTGTAAAGGGCTAAAGAGCAAATATTTTAGGCTTTGCAGCCCAGACAAACTTTTGCAACTACTCAATCCTGCTGTTACAGTAAAAAAGTGGCCACAGACAATATATAAATGAATGAGAATGGCAGTGTTACAATAAAACTTCATAAAAATAGGCAGTGGGTCAGATCTGTTCCCTGGTTTATGCATAACATCCCTGCTTTTGAGGATCCTATTTTCAGTAATTGTAAAGAGGCCACATTAAAAAATACGTATATATCAATTATACATACCCACCTATAATACCCTCAAGAAAAATGCCTCAAACTGTACACATTAACAGCAAATAAAGAGGGGGAGGATTTCCAAGTATCAAAGAGTTTATTTGGATATCAGCAAATCCTCTCCCCAAGAAACAAATATAAAACTAGACAAAAGCCATCATTTCTGGGCTTTGGAAATCACACAAAGGCAAACAACAAATTGAGAAGCATTTATTCATGAAAAATTGCTGAACTTCTAGTAATAAAGTAGAAGTCTCTTATTTTCTTGCCTGTAGCTGCTTCCATCCTCCTGCCCATCCCCAAACTAATTCTACCATGGTAGGACTGGCTTTGAAAACCAACAGCTGACTTGAGCTGAGGGTGGGAGAACTCTGCCTAGCAGCATTGTCTAATAAAAGTAGCAAACTATTGTCAGTAAAATTGACAAACTTGATAGGAAATGCCAGTTCTGCTCGCCTCATTAGGGCAAGTGACAGAATGGCAAACTAGCCAAAAATTCAACAGGGAGAGGCTGGAAATGAGAAAAACAAAGAGGGGCTAATTAAGCTCTCCACAATTTTTTCTTTTTTTTTTTTTTTTTGCGACAGAGTTTCGCTCTAGTTGCCCAGGCT
The DNA here is from genome assembly GCF_000001405.40 of Homo sapiens. Classification (NCBI taxonomy): domain Eukaryota; kingdom Metazoa; phylum Chordata; class Mammalia; order Primates; family Hominidae; genus Homo; species Homo sapiens. Next base: position 63,173,237 of record NC_000002.12, on the reverse strand, counting down.
GGAGTGCAATGGCATGACCTCAGCTCACTGCAACCCCCACCTCCTGGGTTCACGCGACTCTCCTGCTTCACCCTCCATAGTAGCTGGGATTACAGGTGCCCACCACTGTGCCCTGCTAATTTTTTATTTTTTATTTTTAGTAGAGACAGGGTTTCACCATGTTGGCCAGGCTGGTCTCAAACTCCTGACCTCAGGTGATCCAGCCGCCTCAGCCTCCCAAAGTGCTAGGATTACAGGCATGAGCAACCACACCCAGCCCACAAATTCTTGATGGGATTGTATGACCTCTCATTTTTTGGTTTTCTCTTGTCCAGTATTTTCCTCCTTATGCTTCTTTCTTCCTTCACACCCAAATGCCAAAAGTGCCCCTCTCTTTCTGCCTTTTCCCTGAGAAGCTATCCTTTTTGAAAACTGCCTCTTCAGATTGCATGGTACTTTATAGCGTCTTCCCTGTAGTCCATGCTCCGATGTACCAGAATATCAGGAGCTAGAGAGATCATGCATTGGCATTTGGTGTTTTTTCCATTTTATTTACAATTATTTTGAAGTTTGGACATTCTCTGTCTTCAAGTCATGCTAAGAACATGATTGTCATGTAGTTTCATTTTTCCTTGTATAATGTTCTGTATTGTTTATAAAATAAGTATTGGGAGCTAGAACATAGGCTACTGCTGTTATCTTCAGCTACCTAGAAGTCCTACCTCTTTATTATTATTTTTTGGAGGGGTGGGGGGCGGCATCTCAGTCTGTCACCCAAGCTGGAATGCAGTGGTGCGATCATGGCTTACTGCAGCCTTGACCTCCCAGGCTCAGGTGATTATCCCACCTCAGCCTCCCGAGCAACTGCAACTACAGGCACGTGCCACCATACCGGGCTAATTTTTGTATTTTTTCTGTAGAAACAGGGTTTCACCATGTTGCCCAGGCAGGTCTCAGACTCCTGGGCTCAAGTGATCCTTTTGCCTCGGCCTTTCAAAGTGCTGGGATTACAGGCGTGAGCCACCATATCTGGATACTTCTTTAGAAACAATTTTACTGAGATATAACTTACATATACCATAAATTCACCCATTGTAAGTATACAAGTCAGTGATATTTGGTAAATTTATAAAGCTGTATGACCATCACCACAGTTTAGGTTTAGAGCATTTCCATCACCCCCAAATAGTTCCCTTATGCCCAATTTCCACTCTCCTAACCCAGCCTGAGGCAAACATTGCTCTGCTTTCTGTCTCTAGAGAAATTTTATAAAAATGAAATCATATAATCTGGACATTTCATATAAATGAAGTCATACAATATATTGTCTTTTGTATCTGGCTTCTTTCACTTAGCATTATGTTACTGAGGCTCATGTAATGTGTAGTTTATTCCTTCTTAATTGCTGAATAGTATTCTATTACATGGATGTGCCACATTTTGCTTATCCACTCACCAGCTGATGGTATCTGGGTTATTTCCATTTTGGGGCTATTATGAATAATGTTGCTGTAAACATTCACATTTAAGTTTCTAAGTGGACATATATTTTCATTTCTCTTGGGCAGATATCTAGGAATTGAATTGCTGGGTCTTATTCTAAGTTTATATTTAATTCGCTAGTTTTAAGAAACTGCCAAATTGTTTTCCAAAGTGCCTGTAACATTTTACATACCCACCAGCAATATATAAGGGTTCCAATTTCTCAGTATCCTCACCAATATTTAATATTGTCAATGTTTTTTTATTATAACTATTCTGTTGGGTGAAGAATGGTATCTAATTGTAGCTTTAATTTGCATTTCCCTAACAACTAATGATGTTGAACATTTCTTATTTGCTCATTAGCATTCTTTGTTGTTATAGCTATTCAAATTTGTTGTCCATTCTTTAGTTGTCTTGTTATTGAATTGTAAGATACTTCTATGTATTCTGAATACAAGTTCCTTATTAAATACCTGATGTGCAAGTATTTTCTCCGTCTGTGATCTGCCTTTTCATTTTCCAGTAGTGTCTTTTGAAGTGCAAAAGTTTCCAAATTTTGGTGAAGCCAAGGATAGCAATTTTTTCTTTTTTTGATTGTCTTTTATGTGTTGTACTTAAATTTCTTTCTAATCTGAAAATGTGGATATTTTCTCATGTTTTCTTCTAGAAGTTTTATAGTTCCAGCTCTTAAAGTCCATTTTGAGTTAATTTTTATGTAGGATGTGAATAAGGGTCTAAGGTCATTATGTAGTACATAGAAATACACGTTTCCCCAGTATTTTTTTGAGGAAGAAAAAAAACTCATTTTCCCCACTGAATTGCCTTTACACCTTCATCAAAAATCAACTGACTATAGGTGTTAAGTGTTTATTTCTGGATTTGTCATTCTGCTCTATTGATCTATATGTCTATTCGATGAATATATGCTAACAAGTGCCTAGACTTTGCTCTACTGAGGACCCCACTGAACTAGGATCTCACAAAACATAGCCAATACCACAAAAATAAGCAGGAAAAAGATGAACAGTTTCATACAAAGTAACAGAAAATGAAAACTACACACATCAGTTAAGGAAAATTATCCTCCCCCAAAACAATCATGATGTCAAAGAAAACTGTATAACACCACACCAGGCAGAATTAGATACATTGGAATAAGCAACTGGGTATATTGAAACCCACTCTGAATTATAAAGACAAAATGAGGCCAGGCACGGTGGCTCACGCCTGTAATACCAGCACTTTGGGAGGCTGAGGCGGATCACCTGAGGTCAGGAGTTCAAGACCAGCCTGGCCAACATGGTGAAACCCCATCTCTACTAAAAATATAAAAATTAGCCTGGTGTGATGGCACATGTCTGTAATCCCAGCTCCTTGGGAGGCTGAGGCAGGGGAATTGCTTGAACCCAGGAGGCGGAGGTTGCAGTGAGCTGAGATTGCACCATTGCACTCCAGCCAGGGTGACAGAGTGAGACTCCATCTCAGAAAAAAAAAAAAGAAAGAAAGAAAAAGAAAAAAATGGAAAATAGAAATGGACAGGAGAGGAGGAGGGAGGGATGGAAGAAGACACCAAGAAAATTGTCCAGGTGTGGTGGCTTGCACCTGTAATCCAAACACTTTGGGAGGCCAAGGTGGGAGGATCCCTTGAGCCCAGGGACTCAAGACCAGCCTGGGCAACATAGCGAGACCTCATCTCTACTGAAAAAAAAAAAAATTAGCCTGGCATGGTGGTCCACGCCTGCAGTCCCAGCTACTTGGGAGACTGAGGTAGGAGGATCGCTTGGGGCCCTAAACATTAAGGCTTCAATGAGTCCTGATTATGCCACTGCACTCCAGCCTGGGTGGCAGAGTGATAGGGTCTCAAAAAAAAAAAAAGTCCACTGAAACAAATAAATGAAAATAAAAAGCATAATATTATCCAAAAATGAAAAATAAGTTACAGGGTACCCAAATGAGAATAAACTCATAATAAAACTTAATTAAAAACATTGAAAATGGCGGAAAACAAAAGAAAATGAGAAGTAAAAAAGTCAAAGAAAAAGTAATGGAATGGGAGATAAGACAGAGAAGCAACAGCGTTTGTATAATTGGATTCCTTGAAAAAGAAAAAATAAAACAATGTAACAGATACTTGAAACTAAAAATCCAAGAAAATGTTGCAAAATATATTCATGTACTTTTGCTTATGTAAGTTATTTGATCTTTTTACCAGAAGGCCCTAAACATTTTTTAAATTAATCATTGAAATATAAGAGTATAGCTAGGATATTTCTTGGAGCTGATTGTTCTAATTTTTCTCAGACACCCAAAGTGCACTTTCAGGAAAAAAGTATCGAACTTTTCAAACAAGTATCAAACTTTTCAAAAAAATAAAATATAAGGCAAGGCAAAAGCAGAACTACAGTTTTCAAAAACTCAGTGACTGAAAGTGTGAACCAAGGATAGTATAGTCATCCATGATCTCCTTCAAGTATGAACGCTAAAAGAAACAGTTTTCAATATAGGAAATTCTGTACCCATGAACCCTTCTTGAGGAATACTAGAGGAAGAGTTTCATCTAACCATGAGATGAGTAACAAAGTGTCAGTACAAGGACTGACTATATTTTAATAAATATAAATGTAGGCAGAAGATAAAAGGGGTGGAAGACCCATATACAAATACTGTATGTTAAGTAGAAGTAATACAACTTTAGAAAATGGGAGTGGAACAGAGAGTGAAAGAGTAAGATAGAATAAGCTCACTGATGGTTGTATAGCCAATAGTTGGGAGTTAAAAGAGACAATAAAATCTCATATGCCACATAATAAAAGGTTAACTAGGAAAAGAAGAGACTAAAGGCATTAGAAAAGACACAAGTACAAAGGTAACCACTAGAACAAAACCACAAGCCTTACTAACTACCATTTACTTTTTATTTTTTAAGAGACGGAGTCTCACTGTGTTGCCCAGGCTGGAGTGCAATGGTTATTCACCAGGCACAATCCCACTACTGATTGACCCCCTTTCCAGTCTGGCCCGGTTCACCCCACCTTATGCAACCTGGTGGTCCTCAGCTCCCAGGAGGTCACCATATTGATGCCAAACTCAGTGTGGTACCCAATGGGCATTTTGCAGCCCACAACTCCTGGGCTCAAGTGATAAATAAGTGAGAAGAAAGGAAACACATACCTCAGAGAGAAACACAGCAAATATATCAAAATTCACAAAATTATAAAATATTAGTAAAAGAGTTGAAACCTAGCATATCAGTCATATCAATTGATGTAAATGGACTCACCTCACCTATTAAAAGAAAAAGATTCAATTTGCTCATAAAGCAAGATCCAGCTATGTACTGTAAGAAAGACATACATCTAAATAAAATGATTCAGAAAGGGTAAAAATAAAGGAATGGGGAAAGATATTCAGGCAAATGAAAATAATAAGAAACCAATAGTAACCATACTAATTACAGAATTCAAGCCCAAAAGCATAAAATCCAACAAATAAAAAAAAAATTAATGCAAATTTCACATAGATAAAACACTTAAGAATATTTGTACAACAAATAATATAGAAGTCACCTTTATAAAGGAAAATCTATAAAAGATGCAAGGAGATATAGAGAGATATGAATAATAGGAGATTTTAACTTACTATTCCTTTTTTTTTTTTTTTTTTTTTGGCAGGGTCTCACTCTTGCCTGGCCTGGAGTGCAGTGGCGTGATCATGGCTCACCACAGTCTTGACCTCCTGGGCTCAGGTGATCCACCTCAGCCTCCTGGGTGGCTGGGACAACAGGCATGTGTCACCACATGCAGCTAATTTTTTGTATTTTTTGTAGAGATGGCGTTTTGCCATGTTGCCCAGGCTAGTCTTGAACTTCTGGGCTCAAGTGATCCACCTGCCTTGGCCTCCCAAAGTGCTGGGATTATAGGCGTGAGCCACCACACCCAGCCTAACTCACTATGCTTACTACAGAATAGATCAAGTAGGCAAAAAGTAACAAGAAATAATACCTAAACATAATAATGTAGATATTATGAATATTCATCAAATTCTATTCCTTGATAAAAGAAAATAAGTTTTCTTCCTAAGAATTCATGGACTATTTACAAAAAAGGTATGTTACTTGCTAAAATATATCATTAAATTTCACTAAATATTACAAACACTCTCCAATCACAATGTAATACAACCAGCAATGTTTAACAAGAACCAACATGCCCTTTCTTGTGGAAATTTTAAAACCTTTTATTAAACAATTTTTGGATGAAAGAAGAAATACAACATGAAATTTCTAAGAAGTAATTATAATAAAACACTACATATCAGAATATATGGGATGTATTTAAGTAATAATCAGAGGAAAACTGATACCACTAAGCACTTTTACCAGAAAAAAAAATGAGAAAAGGGAACAATTGTAACTCAAAAGCTTTAAAAAATAACAAGACACTACACCAAAATAAAGCACAAGGAAAGAAATAATAAAGATAAAACCAGAAATTAATGAGGCAGAGCAGGGATTGGCAAACTTTTTTCCTAAATGGCTTCAGTGTAAATATTTTAGGCTTATGGACCATATGTTCTCTGCTGCAACTATTTAACTCTGTTGTAGCACGAAAACAGTCATAGACAATACATAAATGAACCGATGTGGCTGTGGTCCAATAAAACTTTATTTACATGGAACTGGAGAACATTATGTTAAGTGAAATAAGCCAGGCACAGAATGACAAACTTCACATGTTCTCACTCATTTGTGGGAAGCTAAAAATTAAAACAATTGAACTCATAGAGATAGTGAATATAATAATGGTTACCAGAGGCTGTGAAAGGTAATTGATGGCGGTGGGGATGGTTAATGGGTACAAAAATACAATCAGATAGAATGAGTGAGATCTAGTATTTGATAGCACAACAGGGTAATTACAGTCAACAGTAATTTATTGTATATTTTAATAAAAATAAATAAATGAGTATAATTGGAATGTTTGTAACACAAGGAAATGATAAATGCTTTAGGTGATGGACACCTCATTTACCCTGATGTGCTTATTACACATTGTTTACCTATATCAAAATATCTCATGTACAGCCAGGCACGGTGGCTAATGCCTGTAATCCCAACATTTAGGGAGGCTGAGGCAGGCAGATCACTTGAGGCCAGGAGTTCGAGACCAGCTCGGCAAATATGGCGAAACCCTGTCTCTACTAAAAATACAAAAAAATTAGCCAGGCGTGGTGGAACACGCCTCAGGAAGAGTGAGGCATGAGAATCGCTGAAACCCGGGAGGCAGAAGTTTTAGTGAGCTGATCGCGCCCCTGCACTCCAGCCTGGGTGACAGAGCAAGACCCTGTCTCAAAAATTTCATGTACCCCATAAATATATACACCTACTACGTATCCAACAAATTAAAAATTAGCCAGGCACGGTGGCTCATGCCTGTAATCCCAGCACTTTGGGAGGCCAAGGCAGGCGAATCACGAGGTCAGGGGTTTGAGACCAGCCTGGCCAACATGGTGAAACCCCGTCTCTACTAAAAATACAAAAATTAGCCAGGTGTGGTGGCATGCACCTGTAGTCCCAGCTACTTGGGAGGCTGAGGCAGGAGAATTGCTTGGACCCGAGAGGCGGAGGTTGCACTGAGGCTAGACTGCGTCATTGCACTCCAGCCTGGACGACTGGGCTAGACTCCGTTTCAAAATAAAAAAATTAAAATTAAAATTAAAAAAAAGAAATTTACAAAGCAAAAAACAAAACAAACAAAAAACTTTATTTACAAAAACAGGCAACCAGTCCATAAGCCATAGATTACTGACACCTCAGGTAGAAGACAAAGAACAAAACAAAACAAACAAACAAAAAACTGTAGTAAGATATCAAATCCAAATGTTTTTGAAACAACAAAATGGACCAACTTGATCAAAAAAAGGAGAGAAAACAAAACATACAAAATTAAGAAATGGCAGAGGGAGGAAGGGAGAAATTAACCATTTAAACAAGGGAGGGTTTTTTCTTTTTAATCATAAGAGACTACTTCGCAAATTTCTATGCAAATGAATTTGAAAACTTAGAAAACAATAGATAACATACTAGATAAATACAGATTGCCAAAAGTGTCCACCACTGAATTTAGAAATCTGAAGCACACCAATTTTCATAAAAGAAATAGACAAGATTATTAAGAAATTACCCTGTAAAAGAGCAAAAGGCCCAGATGACCAGGTAGAATTCTACCAAAACCTTCAAAGATCAGATATTCTGAATGCTCTATAAATTATTCCAAAGCATTGAAAATAAAGAAAAACTTTTCCACAGAAAAATGACAAGCCAATATCATTCATGTAAAAAATATTAAGTAAAATATTAGTGAAAAAAATCCAACACTTGGATCCACCCTGAAAATACAAGGTTGTTTTAGTGTTACCAAATCCATTAATATCATATACCATATTAATAGATCTAAGGTTGATAAAAATCATACAATTATTTATATAGATGTTGAAAATGCCTTTGACAAAATTCAGCTCAATTCAGCTCCCAGTCCTGATGAAAACACAACAGGAATTGAGGGACACTCACTTTACGTAAGAAAAACAATATATTTTTTAAATTCTCTTTTAAAGTTTCCACTTTGTCTCTTACATAGTGTCACATATCTTAAAAGATTTGAAAGTGATTCTTTTTAAATTCATTCCACCAATCTCTTCCTTTTAATTGGAGGGTTTAATCCATTTATTATTAATGTAATTACTAAATAAGTCAGGATTTACATCAGTCATTTTGCTGTCATATTCTACATTCCTTGTAGCTATTCCTCTATTCCTCACTTATTGCCTTCTCTTGTGTTAAGTAGGTATTTTAATACCCTTGTAATTTCTTTGGAGGATTTTTCTTTTGTGGTTCACCTGATGATTATAAATCTTAATTTATAACAACTTAGTTTGTTTTAATATCAATTTAACAACAATAGTATATAAAAACTTTGCTCCTGTATTGCTCCATTCCTCTCTCTTGCTCCTTTGTGTTGTTATAAATTACGTCTTTATACATACACATTTGTGTGTAATAAAGCCTTAAACATTATATTGGTTTGTCCTCACATTCTTATAAAGAAATACCTGAGACTGGGTAATTTATAAAGAAAAGATGTTTAATTGGCTCACTCTTACTCAGGCTGTACAGGAAGCATGATGCTAGCATCTGCTCAGTTTCTGGGGAGGCCTCAGGAAACTTATAGTCATGGCAGAAGGCAAAGGGGGAGCCAGCACTTCACATGGTCAGAGCAGGAGGAATAGAGGGGTTTGGGGGGAGGTGCCACACACTTTTAAACCACCAGATCTCATGAGAACTTACTTGCTATCACAAGAACAGCACCAAGGGGACAGTGCTAAGCCATTCATGAGAAACCACTCCCACGATCCAATCACCTCCCACCAGGTCCGACCTCCAACTCTGGGGATTACAGTTTGACATATCTAATGTCAAATTTGATTTGGTGAGGACACAGATCTAAACCATGTCAGACACTGTATAAACAAAATGAATGATCCTAGGACTAAATTAAAAATAATTAGATTAGGTACAGCCCTAAACTAGTTCTTGTATTTCAAATAAGTCAACTTCTCTGGTTGCCTCAATTTTCTCATTTGTATTAGATTATCCTTTCCAAGGTCTAAAATTATTTATTGTAGAACAAATAAACCTTGTATTTGCAGTAAATATATCTACTTTGATATTTACAGCTAGAAATTAACTACAATACTGGTTGGTTTCCTGCTATTATAATGAACCAGTATTGAATTCATACATAAGAAACTCCAAATGAAATACTATCTTGTTAAAAGTTGTTAAATTTTGGCGTGATTTTATTTGATTCATGTCTAAGCAGTTTTCCTTTAAGTTGGAACAAACCAAAAATACTGATCTATTCAGAATCCTGGTGTGTGCCTATAAACAATATAATGGATGAAAATTTTCAGTGTTTACAAAACAAAGAAATTGTCAACAGAATGCCTGGCAGTAGACTTACCAGAAAAAAAAAATTACAGCCTATAATTCATGAAGATTGGCTCAAAACAAACTGTCCCTGCCAACAGAAAATCTGACAATTATTCTGTTGTCTAATTTGGCTCAGCCTAAGTTGACCTTGTTTATTCATCTCAGTCTTTTAATTCTTGTTAACTTGGCATGAGAGGAGAACATATGGCATATGTCTAGGAGTCCATTTCTGTATCTTAAACTGAAATAAATGTAGAATATACTAAGCATTTCCAGTGTGTTGAGCTCTTAAGGTAGCTTTAATGTATATTACATAAAACTGTAAGTTCATATTGTGCCCACCAGGTGCTTTATGTTTGCTGCCTATAAAACCAGAAACTCACTAGAGACATCCTTTTCTAAGCCTTGGTATATGATTAAATGTGTCTAATTTTAAACATCTTTCCAAAGAAGATAAACAATCTTAAGCTCTTTTAAAACATAAAAATGAAAGGGTATAATCAATTTGGCAATCTAAAGATGTTTACACGTTTTCACTGACTCTATAGCTATTTTTAAGAAAACTGATAATGTGAGAAAGACAATGGGAGTTGAAGAACAAAAAGATTTCCATTTTCTCTCCAGCTTAATCTGGCCTATTTTCTTAGTTTCTTTTTCTGATCCACTAAAGCTTATTGAGTAAGAGAAGTTATATTTTATTGTGGCTTTAATATGTCTCAAGAAAAGCTGGAAGGAAATGAGCTGCTTTATAGATTCACAGCTCTTTTATGGAACTGCAGTTAGTTCTCCAGTACCAGAACTAGACAAATGAAAAACTTAGAAAATCTAAGGCACCAAAATTTATGTATTTTAAGAAGTGTTTTCACTTGGAATGTTTCATTTTCTTTTTAGTAACTAAGTCAAATGAGGTATAATTTCATGTATAAAGCCTTATCTATATTACATATTTTGAAATCCTTAACCTTTATTAGTGGACTTTATGTGACATTTACTATTTGCATAGTACTTTTATCCCACAAAGCTCAGAGCATTCAAACTTCATAAGTTGCATTCAAAGATATAATTTTTTAACTACAGGGGTTCCTAATTACCCAAATATTCATTATCTGAGACCCTGTAGTTATGAGTTTACATAGAACAATAGTCCTTATAACATGAAATATTTAATAATAAGTTAACTACTTGTAAACTCAGTCCTCTCCCCATTCAAATATCCCTCCTCAGTGAAGACTAGCATTTATCCCCACCTATGAAATATTAGTTTATCAGTATTTTCACTGATTGTCAGCTCTTTAAATACCCAACACAGCAATACAAACATATTTCAAAACAACTAAAAATCTTGCAAAAACAATGTTTCATGAAGTCAATGAAAGAGATGTTACAGAAATGTCCAGATCTCATGTAAAACTATTGATAAATCAGGAAAAGGAACTTAGACCAATTAAAAAGAGAAATTCAACAAGAATAATAAAACTGCAAATGAATTTATCAAAGTATTAATAGAATCCCTCAGAAAAGTGATTAAGTCCTTGAATATTTTTTGAAAAAAAAAATGGTCCTCTTTCTGAACTTGCATGCTGTGCAAGTCGAATATGAAGTTAAATATGCCATATCATACTGTAAGACAATTTGGTCAGAAAAAGTAGACCCATTCCCCACTCTCCAGATCAAACTGACTGACTTTGTTCCATCTAAGAATTTACGCACAGATGGCTGGGCACAGTAGCTCACGCCAGTAATCCCAGCATTTTGGGATGCTGAGGCACACAGATCACTTGAGGTCAGGAGTTCAAGACCAGCCTGGCCAACATGATGAAACCCCACCTCTACTAAAAATAAAAATACAAAAATTAACTGGGTGTGGTGGCACATGCCTGCAGTCCCAGCTACTCAGGAGGCCGAGGCAGGAGAATCGCTTGAACACAGGAGGAGGAGGTTGCAGTGAATTGAGATCGTGCCACCGCACTCCAGCCTGAGCAACAGAGCAAGACTCCGTGTCAAAAAAAAAAAAAAGAAAAAAATGAATTTATGAACAGTTGAAATTACAACATATATTTTATTAATACAAGTAAAATAAGCTTATCTATATATTTTTACCTCTTATTTTTAGTCAAATTATATTGTCACCATTTATTATGATTTTCAACCCCAGTTTAAATTGATTCACTTTAAGGGGCTTTTTTTGTTTTATTTTCTGAAAGCAGTTATTCTCAGATATGGACCTCCTGCAGCTTTGTTAGTGAATAATGAAATATTGAAGTGTGTGTTTCAAAATCATGAAATATTGCCATTGCAGAACAGCCAGAAATGTCCTTTTCACTATTTCTTTGGGTCTATTTATTATCTCTGTGCCATATTCTTTGAATCTAGGTTCACATACCTTTCTGTGTCAAGAAGGAGTGACAAAAAGGTTAAGAAATTCAGACTTTCAGAGAGGGAATTATGGAAAGTGAAAAGCACATAAGGAATATGGCGCCATTTATATATATATATGCAAAAATTATAACTAAATAATAGATGCTTTTGTCTTTGGTGTTTCCTGCACAACTGAAAATGGAGCTAGACAAGGGTACTGAACTGCCTTCTGCAGATATGGCAGAGGCCCAGAAAATTCCTTAAGTATGCCCTGACTCACTTCCACAGCATCATGTAGTATTTTCCTTACAGACCATATCTATTAACTATGGTTCAACGTACATCAAGCTTTGTATGCTTCTTCCCACAGATACACTGCATATCTGGAACAAGGGAGAAGAGCACATGTCATCTGCAAATCCCCTATATTTATACATTTTTATTATTTTGCTTTCTTACTTATGGTTCTATAAGCAAATTTGGGGAAATTGTTGCTTTGTGTCCCAAGTAATGCATAGTAGATGGTGCTGTGGGCTTCCTATTACATCACAACATGAGATATATAATGTATTTTAGTGAAGCAAAGACTGATTAATGGAATTCTCCATTATAAACTTCCCCATCAACCTTTCACCTGATGTTTTTTAAATCACTGATGAACATTGCCTAGATTATTTTATTAGGGGTTGTGAAATGATGATTTTCTAATTTTGTAACTCCTTCTGCATTTATAAGTTTGAGTACTTCTATACATAATAAAAGTTTCCTTATCAACTATTCAGTTACCTCGAAAGGCAGAGTAAATGCTTGATAACTTCCCTAGATTTATCAGTTTTTAGGATAATAAATTAACCCAGCAACCCCCAGTAGTGGCCACTGTTTGGGTAGTAGGGGAGGGGAGGTTCATATGGATTTTTAAATATCATTTGATGTATTTTAATGAATTGTGGTCAATATTCTTTGTGATAGTCAAATTTGTAAATCAGTATCAATCTTTCAGAAACTAATTTTAGCAACATATAACAAAAGCCCAAAAATGCCATAACTTTAAATTTCATTTTTGTAATATAAACATAAAAATGTTAATCACATTGTTATTGTATAAGTGAATGACCTAAAAATATATGTGGGGAATTAATGACTAAATTACAGTATATCTAAATAACAGATACTATATACTCACTTAAAAATCACGATTATCAGGTTCTGGTTCCTGGTAAGATGGAGTAAGCACATTCCTCCTGTCTCACCCATTGAATGCAGCTAAAAATCCTAGGTAGAATATATTGGAGCAGCTGTTTGGGGAGTCTGAAAAGTAAATAATACAGAAGAAATAAGGACGAAGACAAGAACTTAAGGTGCCTCTGAACCTATGGCAAGTTTACTAGTGTGTTTTCCTTTAGTTCACCACCACTTGGGCCTAGTCAAGTGCAACCATGGAGGTACATGGAAGCATAAGATAACTAAAGATGCAGCTTCCTGGATCCAGAAAGCACCAAAGGAGATTGCAGACATGAAAGCTTGTGAAAACAACCCCATTAAATTGTTTATAAACTCCAGGGCTTACCCCAAGGTATGCATGTGTGGATCTGATTCTAACCAGTATATAAAAGACTTTGAGATCTAAACTGATAGATAAACTATCACCCAGGTTATATATTTGCTACTGGATGGTACACACACTGACAGCACTGCAGATATCACCAAATAGCACGACAAACAGCCCTGCAAAGAGGCTTTGAAAAGTAAACTGACATACCATAGCTCACAGAGGAACACTGTAACTTGAAGCCTAAACATAAGATAATTGCTTGCTAAAACAAAAATAACATTCATCACAGAATTTTAACAAGATCAAGTCTTAAAATACTCAAAATGTCCAGGATACCAAAAATTACTTGATATATAAAGCGGCAGGAAAATCTCAACTCACATGAGAAAAGATTAGTAAAAGACAATAATGCTGAGATGACAAATGTTGGAATTATCTGACAAACTTTAAGGAGCTCCAACAATCATTAAAATTACTGAAACAAGCCAGGCATGGTGGCATGCACCAGTAGTCCCAGCTACTTGGGAGACTGAGGCAGGAAGATCACTTGAGCCCAGGAGTTGGAGGGTAGCCTAGGCAACTAGTGACACCTCATCTCTTTAAAAAACCAACAAACAAAAAAAAACCCAAGTATCAAAAAGAAATAGAAGGTATAAAGAAGAAACAAATAAAGAATTCAAAAGTAAATTAACCAAAAAAAAAAAAAAAGTTTTTTTTTGAGATAGGGTCTCATTCTGTCTCACAGGCTAGATTGCAATGGTGCAATCACAGCTCACTGCAGCCTTAACCTCCTGGGCTCAAGCGATCCTCCTGCCTCAGCCACCCAAAGAGCTGGGACTACAGGGGCATGCCGCCACACCCTGCTAATTTTTGCTTTTTTTTTTTTTTTTTTTTTTTTTTGTAGAGATGAGGTTTTACCATGTTACCCAGGCTGGTCTCGAACTCCTGAACTCAAATGATCCAACCACCTCAGCCTGCCAGAGTGCTGGCATTACAGGTGTGAGCCACCATGCCTGGCCCCCACAAAATTTTTTAACTCATTGATAGGTTTGATAATAGCAGAATAGAGATAACAAAGGGAAGTCAATGAACTTGAAGACAGATCAATTGAAAGTATCCAATGAACAACAAAGAAAACATATTTTTTTAAAAAAATGAACCGAGGGACCTGTGAGGCAATGCCAAAAGGTCTAACATTCATGACATTAGAGCTGTAGAAGGAGAGGATAAAGAATGCAATGCTGAAAAATATATATATACAAAGAATACCTGAAAACTTCAAATTTGGTGAAGGAAAACTTAGTAAATATGTTTCCAGTAGATTTGTTACTAAAGAATTACTAAAAGTTCTTGAGACATAAGGTAAATGATACCAGAGGGAAACTTGGGACACCAGCAAAGAAGGAAAAGATGATAAAAGAGCCAATTTATCAAGAAAGCATAACAATTCTAAATGTGTTTGCATCTGACAAGAGAATGTCATAATATATAAGAAAAAATGATAGAGATCACAATGGGAACAGACAAATCTACATTTGCATTTGAAGACTGCATCAGTCCTTTCTCAACAACTGATAGAACTAGTGACAGAAAATCATTCCACCCAGAACACACATCCTTTTGCACGTGAACATTTACCAAAACAGACCATATCCTGGGTCATAAAACAAACCTAGAAGAATATACAAAGTATGTCCTCTGACCATAATGGGAATAGATTAGAAATAAATAACAGAAAGAAATAGAGAAAATTCTCCAAACGCTTAGAAATTAACAAACTTCTAAATAATCCCTAGGTCAAAGAGATGGTCTTAAGGAAATCAGAAAAGATTATAAACTGAAAAAAAAAATCACAGCTTAAAATAAGAATTTTACTCAATTAAATGCTTATATGAGAAAAGAAGAAATGCCTCAGTCAACAATCTAAGCTTCCATCTAAACAGACTAAAGGAAGAAAAGCAAAGTAAACTCAAAGGAAGCAGAAGAAAGGAAATAATAAAGAGCATATATCATTGAAGTTGAAAACAAAAAAATTAATGAAGTCAAAAGCCTGTTTGAAAAGATCAACAAAATTGAAAAAACTCTAGTCAGACAAAGAGAAAAAGAAGACATAGATTATTGATATCAGGAACGAAAGAGGGTACATTATCTTAAACTTTACCGACATTAAGTAGATAAAAAATAATGTCATGAACTACTGTATGCAAATAAGTTTAACAACATAGTTTGAATGGAATAATTCCTTGAAAGCCACAAACTACCAAACTGGCAGAAAATGAAAGAGATCATCTGAATCCTATGGCTATTAAAGGAATTAAATTTGTAGTTTAAAACAAAACAAAAAACTCTGTAAAAGAGATCTCCAGGTCCCGATGGTTTCACTGGTGAATTCGTTGAGAGAAAAATATACTAGCAATTGTGCACATTTCTTTCAGAAAATATGAGATGATAATTCAACACATCCCAGCTCATTTTCTGAGGCTATTACCCAAAGACAGTACAAAAAAAGATATCAAGCAGTCCCATGGAATTTTTTACAAAACGAAAGAAAAAAAAGTACAAAAAACTATAGACTACTGTCTCTCATACATATAGAAGTAAAAATCCTCAACAAGGATTAAGAATTTAGTAATATATAAAAATAATAGTATACTAGAATTAAGTGGGATTTACCTTGGGAATGCACAGCTTATTCAATATTCAAAAATTAATGTAATCCACAATTTTAGCAATATAAATAAGAAAAATCAACTGATCAAATCAACTGGTACAAAACGCATGTCTGACAAAATTCCATACCCATTCATAATTAAAAAAAAAAAAAAAGCCCAGAAAACTAGGAGTAGAAGGGGGCTTCCTCAAACTATAAAGAGTTTCTACCAAGAAGGAAAAAGAGAATACTACAGCTATTATCCTACTTGATAGAGAAAGACTGAATGTTCTCCTCCTAAGATTGGAAACATGGTAAAAATGTCCACTTTTACCACTCTTATGGAACACTGTACTAAAGAAGAAATGAAACCATCCCTTTTTGCAGACAAAATGGTTCCTACAACTAATAAGTGCATTTAGCAAGGTCACAAGATATATGGTCAACACATAAAAATCAATTGTATTTCTTTTGTTTCTTTTTTTTGAGACAGAGTCTCGCTCTGTCACCCAGGCTAGAGTGCAATGGCACGACCTCGGCTCACTGCAACCTCCACCTCCCTGGTTCAAGCAATTCCCCTGCCTCAGCCTCCCTAGTAGCTGGGATTACAGGTGCATGCCACCACGCCTGGCTAATTTTTTTGTATTTTTAGTAGAGATGGGGTTTTACCATGTTGGCCAGACGGGTCTCGAACTCCTGAACTCAGGCGATCTGCCTGCCTCAGCCTCCCAAGGTGCTGGGATTACAGGCATGAGCCACCGCTCCCGGCCCAATTGTATTTCTATATACTAGTAATGTACAATTGAAAACCAAAAAAGCTTTTTAAATTACAGTAGCTCCAAAATAAAAGAAATACTGTGTTATAAGTCTAACAAAACATTCCATCTGTATGCTAAAAACTTAAGAAGATTAAAATAAATGGGCCTGGCATGGTGGCTCATGCTTGTAATCCCAACACTTTGGGAGGCCTAGGAGGGCGGATCACATGAGGTCAGGAGTTCGAGACCAGCCTGGGCAACATGGTGAAACACCGTCTCTGTTAAAAATAAAAAAAAAATTAGCCGGGTGTGGTGGCACACGCCTGTAGTCCCAGCTACTCGGGAGGCTGAGGCAGGAGAATCGCTGGAATCCGGGGGGCGGAGGTTGCAGTGAGCCAAGATCCCGCCACTGCTCTCCAGTCTGAGCAACAGAGCGAGACTCTGTCAAATAAATAAATAAACAAATAAATAGACGTGTTTACGGTTTGGACTCAATATAGTAAAGATGTCAGCTGTCTCCTGACTAATCTAAAGATTTCTGATTAATCTAAAGATTTGATAAAATTCTGATCAAAATCCCAGAAGGATTTTTTAAAGATATCAACAAGCTGATTCTAAAATTTATACAAAGAGACAAAGAAGCTAGAATAACAAAAAACATTTTGAAAAAGGAAAATAATGTTGGAAGGATCATACATGATCTTAGGACTTTTGCTAAAGCAGGGGTTGACAAACATTTTCTGTGAAGGGCCATTTAGTAAAGATTTTTGGTTTTGCAGGTCACATAGTCTGTCACAACTACTTAACTGTCATCATAGCAAGGAAGCAGCCATAGATAATATAAAATGAAGGTGTTCCAATAAAACTTTATTTACTAAAATATGTATGAACTGGATTTGGCCTAGGGACTGTGGTTTGCCATCCCCAAAGCTATAACTAATCAAGAAATTACAGTATTAGTAAAAGGACAGACACACAGATTAATGAAACAGAACATATAACCCAGAAATAGACCCATATAAATATGCCCAGCTGATTTTTGACAAAAGTACAAAGGTAATTCAATGGAGAAAGGATAGTTTTTCAACAAATGGTATTGGCACAATACACATCTATGCACACACAGACACACAAAGAATCTCAAACTAAACCTCACACATTACTCTCAAAAATTAACTAAAAATAAATCATAGATCTAAATATAAAATGTAAAACTATCAAACTTTTAGAAGAAAGCATAGGAGGAAATATTTGTGACCTGGGATTAACAAAGAATTCTCCAACTAGACACCAAAAGCATGATCCATTTTAAAAAAATTGGTAACTTCATCAACTGTTGTTCCTCAAAAGGCACTATTAGGAGCCTGAAAAGACAAGCTACATGATGGGAGCAAATATTTGCAAGTCACATATCCAGCAAAGGAGTTGTATCCAGAATATATACAGAACTCTCAAAGCTCAACAGTAAGAAAACAAATAGCCCAACTACAGTGGTCAAAAGACTTGGACGGACATTTCAATAAGGAGATATATGGATAGCAAACAAATAAATTTAATATCATGAGCTATTTGGGAAATTGAAATTAAAACCATGATGAGATAGATACCTCTGTACACCTATTAGAATGTCAATAATTTTTAAAAATACTGACAATTCCAGGTGCTGGTGAGGATGATGCAAAGTAACTGAACTCTCATTCATTGTCGCATGAAATGTAATATAAAATGGTACAACTCTTCTGGGAAATGGTTTTGCAGTTTCTTATAAAGTTAAACATGTATTCACCATATGATTCAACAATCCCATTAAGTATTTACACTAGAAAAGTAAAAACAGGTTCACACAAGAAACTGTACATGAATGCTTGTAGCAGTTTTATTCATAATTTTCAAAAACTGAGAAAAATACCCTTCAACAGGTGAATAAATAAACTGGTACACACATCTGTAATGGAATACTGCTCAGCAATAAAAAGCAGTGAACCATTGATACACGTTTAACAACTTGGATGAATATCAGGGCATTATACTGAATGACAGAAGTCAGTCACAAAAGTTTATATGGTATAATTCCAATCATACAACATTCGTGAAGTCAAAACTATAGTTATGAAGAAGATATCTGTGGTTGCCAGGGTGTATAGGTTGAGGGGGTGTGACTATAAAGTATATAAGGGAGGGTTTTTTGGCATGATGAAACTGTTCTATATTCTGTTTGTAATGGTAATAACAGGAATCTAAACATCTGTTAAAATTCACAAAACTCTATACCTTAAGAAAGTCAGTTTTAACATATAAACAGTACAAATTTTAAAACAAAAAAAAATAAGTGAAAGATGATGACATGAAATTTCACAAGACCACATTATCTCAGTTTTATTTTTTTAAAAGATACATAATAATAAGTAGTGGAGCTAAATATCCAGAGAACAACTCTGGATATTTATATTATTCTTTTTCTATGTTTTGGTGGGGGGTTTTCTACATCAAAAGTGAATTACTTTTACAAGTTTATAAAACTTCATCATTCATTTTAATTTTGTAATAACCATGAGTTCAGAGCATCACATTTGGTTTCCATGATTGTTTCTCTTAAAACTTCATATGTAAAATACATTATCTGTATGTTAAAGTTTAATTTAACTGCTCTTTGAAATGTCCGGTAAAATATTTAATGGTGGAAAAATTAAAAGTGGCTTTCTCTGTTTTTAAATATAATGGTATTTAAATGATTACTATATTGTTGAAAGTTTCCAAAGAAATTTTTTAATTACATTTTTTAACCCAGAAACTTTAAAATATTTTAATACTTTAAAATCTATAACTTATACCTAACCTTAAAATTTTCTTTTTTAATCCTTTTTCCAATTAAAAACACCCATATACTGCAGACAAATAATTGACAGAAGGAATGAACTTGAAAAAGACATCTGTTCTGGATTTTTGATGACTAATACCTGTAATGCAGAAGGTAATGGTATTCAAGACACCCAAGTATTCAAAGTATAACAGAAAAACTATGTTATAGCTTGCAAGAACTTTCAGTAAATTAATAAAAATAAGAAAACTCTGAGCATTTCTAGTTGGTATAAGACTGCTTGTCATTGATATAAAATACCAAGTTGCCTGATTATTACAAAGGTGAAATTTCAATGATCATACAAATAAATATAGATAAATTTGGAGATCTTGTTAAAAAGTTGATTCTGATTCAGTAGATCTGGGCTGGAGCCTATGGCTCTGCATTTCTAATAAGCTCTCAAGTGATATGCTGCTAGTATATACTATAGTATATACTGTACATAGTAAATACTGTAATGCAAGGTAGCCATACACATATATATGAAAATGATTGGCACTTTCATACTATGTTAAGGTTTGGTTTTTTATTTCTCTAGAGTTCTCAGCATTGTAACTTGTTATTATTTTAAGCATTTCTGTTTTTAGTGTTGTAAAAAAATTTTCTTAAGGTCCATTATTAGACTTTTAAGATAATTAATGTTTTAATCTTTTACTTTAGACGGAGAACTGAGAGAAGACGGCAGAGAACAGGTAAAACACTTTCTCTGTTTATTACTAGACATTTAAATTCTAAGAGAAAAGCATAATGTATGTGATTATTTTGAACTCAAGAAATGCTATCTATTGGTCTACATTAACTGGACTACATTAACTAGATTAACTGGTCTATATTAACTACACTAACAGCTTCTAAAAAACTATTCAGCTTTTCAGTATTCCCAAGTTGTAATTATTATTTAAAAGCTATTTTAAAATAAAATTGTGCATAACAGAGTAGGTACAAATGAAATTACACATCTTCAAGTTGACTCAAAATGATTCAGTAGGGAGAAAGTAGAAGGGATATAGGTGAATTAAGAGTAACCAGATGTTGGCAGGGCGCGGTGGCTCATGCCTGTAATCCCAGCATTTTGGCAGGCCGAGGCAGGTGGATCACTTGAAGCCAGGAGTTTGAGACCAGCCTGGCCAACATGGCAAAACCCTCCCTACTAAAAATACAAAAATTAGCCAGGTGTGGCGGCTGCACCTGTAATCCCAGCTGCTTGGGAGGCTGAGGCATGAGAATTACTTGAACCCAGGAGGAAGAAATTGCAGTGAGCCAAGATCATGCCACTGCACTCCAGCCTGGGTGACAGAGCAAGACTCTGTGTCACAGAAAAAAAAAAAAAAAAGAGTAGCCAGGAGTTGATAACTGATGAAGCTGGGTAGCGGGTAATACAGCAGTTTGCAAATGTCATTCTCTCTTTGGTATATGTTTGAAATTATCCAAAGTAAAAAATTTAAAAATAAAAGGTGTATAATAATGATTAAATTATTCAATATATTTTATTACATATAATTTTTATAAATAATGCATATAAAATATCACATCTGACAGGTAGTTCTGAACCCTTCTCCCTCTCTGTCTCTGACATCGCATCTCAGTTCATTTTGAGAGGAAATAGCAATTCCCTGTTATACCAATTACAGAAAGGCTAGGATTTATTGTGAGACTTGAGTCTGAATGATAGTCCCACAATTTCTAGCATTATAACTTTGGGCGAGTCATTTCATCTCTCTAAGCCTCAACTTCTTCATTCCTAAAATAGAGATAATGCCACACACTCCACGGGATTTTTATGAAGCTCTTTTGTGAACACAAATGTGATAGGACTTTGCTAATTATATGGAACTATACTAATGATAGTAATGGTCAATATCATTGCTTCAATCTACTTCTTTCTGGACATACCTGCATTGAAAATAAAAATAATAATCTTTATTTGCTTGGAGGGAAATACGCCATATTACAGTTGAATATACATGCCTAAGAATTTGTTTAATTTGCGAAAGCTTCAAGAAACTTTACCATAAATTGTATATATTTTAAATAGCTTATTTTTTTAGAATACTTGTTTTAAAAAAAGAACAACAACAACAACATCCTGGCCAGGTGCAGTGGCTCACACCCAAGCACTTTGCGAAGCTAAGGAAGGTGGATTGCATAAGCCCAGGAGTTCGAGACCAGCCTGGACAACATGGCAAAACCCCATCTCTACTAAAAACACAAAAAGTAGCCAGGCACAGTGGCGTGTACCTGTAGTCACAGCTACTCAGGAGGCTAAGGTGGGAAGATCACTTGAGCCCAGGAGCTGGAGATTGTAGTGAGCTGAGATCACACCACTGCACTCCACCCTGAGCAACAGCAGAGTAAGACCCTGTCTTGAAATAAGCAAACAAACAAAAAAACAGCATCCTGTCACAACTTTACAGACACATCCACTTGGATAAACAAGTGTACATGAAATTCAATCAAGAAACTGACTTCCCAAGGATCTTTCTGGAAGGGTCTTTATAGAGAATAAGGGAAATATCAGTTTGTGTACTAAAGTATAGGATGGTTTTTGTAATGTAATCTGTCACAACACTGAGTTCAGTTACTAATATAGCTTAAATTCAGATTAGCACTAACTCATATACACTTTATGTTCAGTGCTCTGGTTTCTTGTTTAGAAATTGCTATTAAGTACAGATAAGATACAGATTATAACAGGCTGTCATTGTTTGCAAAGTCTTCTTGTGAAATTTCCACATGCTACATTTTAAAGTAGGGTTTCTGCATATGTGTGTCTTTGCATAATTTTCTATTGCTATAATAACTATTTTTCAACATATTTCTCTTAATCAACTTTTTTCTCAACCAATTGAATATATTCAACAAAAATAATAATAAAACATTATTGTTAGAATTTATCAAGTACTTCTTATTTGTCTGGTTCTGGACTCAGTACCTTATGTTTTAATTCAGTTAATTCTCACAACAAACCTATGAGATGGATACTACTATTAGCCTCATATAAACAATGATACTGAGACATAGAGATTAGTAATTTCCCATAGTCTCCCAGGTTGTAAAGTGCAAAGCTGGAATTCAAACCCAAAGAGTCTGGCTCTTAGAACAGGGTTTCTGAACCTTAGCGCTATTGACATTTTGGGCCAAATAATTATTTGCTCTTGGGCTGTCCTGTGCATTGTAGGATGTTTAGCAGCAATCCCTGGCCTCTGTCTACTGAATGCCAGTAGTTTCCCAACCCCAGTCACGGCAACCAAATAACTCTCCAGACATTGCCAAATGTCTCCTGGGGGGAGGAAGATAGTAAAAAGTCATCCTTGGTTAAGAACCACAACCCTAGAGAAACCCCTATATGACATCACCTCTCTGAAAGCCACACATACAAAAATATGGAAAGCCAGAAAACAAAATAAAAATCACCTTCATCCCACCATTGAGAGAAAAATCATTAACATTACCGGTACCTTTGAAGTCCCCTGGGTGTCCCTCCTCAATTACATTTCTTCTTCCATCTACTCTCAGTCTTAAATTTTGTCTTAACCATTCCTTTGCTTGTCTTTATGGTTTTCCCATATGAGGCAAGTTCCATAAATAAAATCTTTTTTTTTTAAGAGAAAGAGTCTCACTCTGTCACCCAGGCTGGAGTGCAGTTGCATGAATACAGCTCACTGTAACCTCAAACTCCTGGGCATAAGCAGTCATCCCACCTCAGCCCTCTGAGTAGCTAGAATTATAGGTGCATGCCACCATGCCTAGCTAATTTTGGGCTTTTTGTAGAGACAGGGTCTTGCTATATTGTTGGTCTCAAACTCATTTAACAACTTGTTTAGTTTTACTTCTTTCTGAACTTTATATAAGTGGAAACATAGTGCATTCTTCTTGTTACTTACTTTTTTCACTAAATATTATTTTTGAATATAGCCATGCTGACATATGTAGATGTAGGTATGTTCATTTTCACTGCCTATAGTATTTCACCGACTGAATACAATTTATTCATCCACTACTCAGTTTATTCATTCTTCTGTTAGTGGACATTTATGTTGATTCTAGCTTTTTCTATTACAAACAGGGCAACTATATATTCCTAGGGTATATACTTAGGAGTGAAATTTCTGGTCACAGGCAATACACATCTTTAATTTTAATAAATAATTCCAAATATTTCCTAGAGTAGTTTTGCCAATTTATATTTCCACTAAACAAGTATAAGAGTTTCCATTTCTCCACATCTTGCTAATACTTAAACACTCAGGTTTTTAAATGTTTGCCATCCCTAGTAGCTGTGTAGTGGTTTCTCATTGAGGTTTTAATTTGTATTTGCCTGATTAATAATGAGGTTGAACATCTTTTCATATGTTTCTTGTCATCTTGTTTCTTCTTCCTTGAAATGCCTATTCCTATGTTTTACTCATTTTTCCACTGAGTTCTTTGCCTTTTTCTCACTGATTTGTAGTAGTCTTTATATATTTTAGAAACTAATCCTTTGTCAGTGTTACAAATAACTCCTCCCAAGTTGTTGCTTATCTTTTTCCTGTCTTTGTGGTTGACGAAAAAAATTTTTGACTATATTAAAGACAAGAATGCACCATTATACCTTTATGGTATGCTTTTATATCTTGTTTAAGATGTCCTTCCTTATTTCCAATCTCATACAGATAATCTCCTTTTATTAAAGTTTTTACCTTTCACATTTGTCTTTAATCCATTGGGGTTTGGGATGTGTGTGTGTGTGTGTGTGTGTGTGTGTTGGCTCCTGTGTCCTTTTAACCCTATTAGTCTTTGGCAGCAGCTTAACTTTTATGGCATGAGATGTCCCAGACTCATCTTGTAAATTCCTTGTAAATTCCCTGTCTTACACCTAGAATCTACTATTTCTCCATTTCTTCTGTTTTCTCTGGGTTAATCTTGGCTTTTAGACTTTTTTAGTGGACAGAAAAGAAAATACTTTTTTTTTTTTTCTCAGCCAGGAGTAGTGGTTCACACCTGTAATCCCAGCACTTTGGGTAGTGGGTGGATCACGTGAGGCCAGAAATTCAAGACCAGCCTGGTGAACATGGTGAAACCCTGTCTCTACTAAAACAAAAACAAAAACAAAAACAAATATTAGCTGGCGTGGTGGTACACGCCTGTAATCCCAGCTACTCGGGAGACTGAGACACAAGAATCGTTTCAACCCAGGAGGCAGAGGTTGCAGTGAGGAAAGGTCATGCCACCGCACTCCAGCCTGGGCGACAGAATGAGACTCTGTCTCAAAAGGAAAAATGAAAAACTTTTTTTTTCTTGATACAGTGTCTCATTCTGTCACCCAGACTGGAGTGCAGTGGTGTGATCACAGCTCACTGCAGCCTTAACCTCCCAAGCTCAAGCCATCCTCCCACCTCAGCCTCCTGAGTTGCTGGGACATTTTTATCAACTCTCAGGAATCAGCAACAGAAAGACATTAATTGGTATCTCCAGTCCAGGCTTCATCCCAGGCTTCAAACTGATAATACCTACAAGCCAATGTTAAAATAACTGTTCCTTCTAGGAAGTTCCATACCATCTTGTACTTTTCCTATCACCATAAATATCACTTTTTATTATAACTCTGGTTTAATTATCTCCTTCACTAGGCTGTAAGTTTTTTTTTTTTTTTTTTTTTGAGACAGAGTCTTACTCTGTCACCCAGACTGCAGTGCAGTGGCACGATCTTGGCTCACTGCAACCTCTGCCTCCGGGTTCAAGCACTTCCCCTGCCTCAGCCTCCCAAGTAGCTGAGATAACAGGCACGTGCCACCACTCCCAGCTAATGTTTGCATTTTTAGTACAGATGAGGTTTCACCATGTTACCCAGGTTGGTCTCGAACTACTGAGCTCAAGTGATCTGCCCACCTTGGCCCCCCAAAGTGCTGGGATTACAGGCATAAGCCACCGCACCCAGCCTATTAGGCTGTAACTTTCTAAAAGGCAGTATCTGTATCCATTTTGCTCAACATCTTACTGTTAGCAACAGACATGGAATTCTATCGTGAATGTTTTTAAAATAACGTAGGCAAAAATGCATGGATAAAGAAGTCTTTGACTAGATAATATCCAAAACATAAGATGTCTTAAACTAAACTCATCATTTTCCCCTCAAACTCCAAACTTGCTCCTCCATATGTGGTCTCTGTCGTTCTTGATTCTCTATAACCCACTTACAATTAATCCAACCAATCAAATTCAATTGATTAATGCTCCTAAATATTTCTAGAAACTAGCCCTATAACCATTGGAATTTAGGTTAATCAATCATCTTCACTTGGAGTACTGCTTCCTAATTATTATCTTTGTCTTTAGTCTATACCCACTACCACCACCACCACCTCCTGAAATCTAGCCTCCACAATGCTGCTAAAGTAACCTACCTAAGTATCATTCCCCTCCCTAAAACCCCATAGGATAAAGTCCAAGCTCCTTATCATGGTGTATAAGACTCTCCATTAACTAACCTGTGCTTTCCAGTTTTATTTCCTGCCACTCTTTACCTCAAAGAGTCTGAGTTACTTCATTCTTACATCCCTAATACTTATTATATCACTTTGAGCACTATAGGTGTCACTAAATGTTGACTGAACCAAACTAGACCTATGCAGGCTTAGGTACCTTCTCAGTAACACTAGTTTTACCAAAATTTTATTATGAAAAGTTTTAAATATACAGTAAAGTTCTAAGAAGGTACAGTAAACATCCGTATGCCCACTATTTGGATTCGACCATTAATGTCTTACAATAATTGCGTTATCACTTATCTGTCCATTAACCTGTCCCTTTATCAATCCATCTTATTTTTTTCAACTTTTATTGCATTGAAACATCTTATTTTTGATACATTTCAAAGTAAGTTGCAGATATCCATACACTTCGCCTCTTTAGCCACTTTAGCATACATATCATTAACATGTTAAAAACTCTCGGCCGGGAACAGTGGCTTACGCCTGTAATCCCAGCACTTTGGGAGGCCGAGGCGGGTAGATCACGAGGTCAGGAGATCAAGGCCATCCTGGCCAACATGGAAACCCCATCTCTACTAAAAATACAAAAATTAGCTGGGCATGGTGGCGTGTGCCTGTAGTCCCAGCTACTCAGGAGGCGGAGGCAGAGATTACAATGAGCTAAGACTGCACGACTGCACTCCAGCCTGGGCAATACAGCAAGACTCTGTCAAAAAAAAAAAAAAAAAACACGCTCTCAATAAACTAGGTACTGAAGGAACATACCTCAAAATAATAAGAGCCATATATGACAAACCCATAGCCAAAATCATACTGAATGGGCAAAAGCTGGAAACATTCCCCTAGAAAACTGACACAAGACAAGGATGCCCTCTCTCACCACTCCTATTCAACAGAGTATTGGAAGTTATAGCCAGAGCAACCAGGCAAGAGAAAGAAATAAAGGGCATCCAAATAGGAAGAGAGGAAGTCAAACTATCCCTGTTTGCAGACAACATCGTCCTATATCTAGAGAACCCCATAATCTCAGCCCAGAAGCTCCTTCAGCTGATAAACAACTTCAGCAGTTTCAGGACACAAAACCAATGTACAAAAATGACTAGCATTCCTATACACCAACAATAGCCAAGCCAAGAGCCAAATCAGGAACACAATCCCATTCACAATTGTTACAAAAAGAATAAAACACCTAGGAATGCAGCTAATCCAAGAGGTGAAAGATCTCTACAATGAGAACTACAAAACACTGCTCAAGGAAATCAGAGATGACACAAACAAATGGAAAAACATTCCATGCTCATGAACAGGAAGAATCAATATTGTTAAAATGGCCATACTACCCAGAGCAATGTATAGATTCAATGCTATTTCTATTAAACTACCACTGAGATTCTTCACAGAACTAGATAAAAACTACTTTAAAATTCAGGCCCTTTTCTTTTGCAGCTGGGAGGCAGGTAGCCCAGGACAAGTTTTCAAGCCCATCATGCCCTCTGCCTGGAAAAAGACTCAGGACTGTTGTTGGGGGGCATGGTGGGAGTGAGACAGGCCCTTCAGTTTGCATGGGAGCTGGGTGAGGCCAGTGACTGCCGGCTTTCCCCTACTTCCCTGAGAAACTGCATTTCTCAGCAGAGGCAGCCATAATCCTCTTAGGTACCCAACTCCAGTGACCTGGGGATCTCACCCCCATCCGCCACAGCAGGCACAGCAAGACCTGCCCAAGGAGAGTCTGAGCTCAGACATGCCTAGCCCCACCCCCACCTGATGGTACTTCCCTATCCACCCTGGTAGTAGAAGACAAATGGCATATAATCTTCGGAGTGCCAGGGCCCCACCCACCACTGGTCCCTCTCTATATTACTACAGCTGATGCTTTCTGGAAAGCGCACCTCCTGGCAAGAGTCCAACCAGCCCAAAAATAGAGCATTAAACCACCAAAGCCAAGAACCCTCACGGAGTCCATCACACAGCCCTGCCATCTCCACTGGAACAGGCACTGGTATCCATGAATGAGAGACCCATAGATGCTTCATATCACAGGACTCTGTGCAGACAACCCCCAGTACCAGCCTGGAGCCAGATAAACCAGCTGGGTAGCTAGACCCAGAAGAGAAACAACAATCACTGTAGTACAGCTCACAGGAAGCCACATCCATAGGAAAAGGGGGAGAGTACTACATCAAGGGAACACCCTGTGGGACAAAAGAACCTGAACAGCAGCCTTCAGCCCTAAACCTTCCCTCTGATAGAGCCTACCCAAATGAGAAGGAACCAGAAAACAAACCCTGGTAATATGACAAAACAAGGCTCTTCAACACCCCCAAAAAATCACACTAGTTCAGCAGCAGTGGATCCAAATCAAGAAGAAATCCCTGATTTACCTGAAAAAGAATTTAGGGAGGTTAGTTATTAAGCTAAAGAGGGATGGACTAGAGAAAGGTGAAGCCCAATTTTAATGCGAGGAAATCCAAAAAGTGATGCAACAAGTGAAGGGAGAAATATTCAAGGAAATAGATAGCTTAAAGAAAAAACAACCAAAAAATCAGGAAACTTTGGACACACTTTTAGAAATGTGAAATGCTGCCCAGGCATGGTGGCTCACCCCTCTAATCCCAGTACTTTGGGAGGGTGAGGCGGGCAGATCACAAGGCCAGGATTTTGAGACCAGTCTGGCCAACATGGCGAAACCCCATCTCTACTAAAAATACAAAAATTAGCTGGACAAAAATACAAAAATTAGCCAGGGAATCACTGGAACCCAGGAGGTGGAGGTTGCATTGAGCCATTGAGCCGTGCCACTGCACTCCAGCCTGGGTGACAGGGCGAGACTCCGTCTCAAAATAAAATAAAATAAAATAAAATAAAATAAAATAAAAAGGGTAAATGCTCTGGAAAGTCTCACCAATAGAATTGAACAAGGAGAAGAAAGAAATTCAGAGCTCGAAAACAAGGTCTTTGAACTAACCCAATCCAACAAGGTCAAAGAAAAAAGAAGAAGAAAATATGAAGAAAGTCATGAAGAAGTCTGGGATTACGTTAAACAACCAAACTTAAGAATAATCAGTGTTCCTGAGGAAGAAGAGAATTCTAAAAGCTTGGAAAACATATCTGGGGGAATAATCAAGGAAAACTTCCCCAGCCTTGCTAGAGACCTAGACATCCAAATACAAGAAGCACAAAGAACACCTGGAAAATTCATTGCAAAAAGATCTTCGCCTAGGCACATAGTCATCAGGTTATCCAAAGTTAAGACAAAAGAAAGAATCTTAAAACCTGTAAGACAGAAGAACCAAGTAACCTATAAAGGAAAACCTATCAGATTAACAGCAGATTTCTCAGCAGAACCCCTACAAGCTAGAAGAGATTGGTGCCCTATCTTCAGCCTCCTCAAACAAAACAATTATCAGCCAAGAATTTAGTATCCAGCAAAAGTAAGCATCATGTATGAAGCAAAGATATAGTCGTTTTCAGACAAACAAATGCTGACAGAATTTGCCATTACCAAGCCACCACTATAAGAACTGCTAGAAGGAGCTGTAAATCTTGAAACAAATTCTGGAAACACATCAAAACAGAACCTCTTTAAAGCATAAATCACACAGGACCTATAAAACAAAAATACATGTTAAAAAGCAAAAACAACAAAAAAAACAAAGTACGCAGGCAACAAAAATCACAATGAATGCAACGGTACCTCATATTTCAATACTAACATTGAATGTAAATGGCCTAAATGCTCCTCTTAAAAGATACAGAACCACAGAATGGATAAGAACTCACCAACCAACTCTCTGCTGCCTTCAGAAGACTCACCTAACACATAAGGACTCACATAAACTTAAAGTAAAGGGGCAGAAAAAGGCATTTCATGCAAATGGACACCAAAAGCGAGCAGGGGCAGCTATTCTTATACCAGACAAAACAAATTTTAAAGTAACAGCAGTTAAAAGAGACCAAGAGGGACATTATATAATGGTAAAAACCTTGTCCAACAGGAAATATCACAATCCTAAAAACAGAGGCACCTGCGGTGACATGTGCCTGTAGTCCCCGCTACTCCACGAGGCTGGGGCAGGAGAATCGCTTGAACTTGGGAGGCAGAAAGTGTAGTGAGCCAAGATCGCACCACTGCACTCCAGCCTGGATGACAGCAAAACTCTGTCTCAAAATATGTATATAGATGGGTGTGTGTGTGTGTGTGTGTGTGTGTGTATATGTATGTGTATATATATGTATGTGTGTATATATGTATGTGTATATATGTATGTGTGTATATATATGTGTGTACACACACACACACACACACACACACACACACCCCTAACACTGCAGCTCCCAAATTTATATAACAATTACTAATAGACCTAAGAAACAATTACTAATAGACCTAAGAATAGACCTAAGACCTACACTACTCCACTGACAGCACTAGACAGGACATCAAGACAGAAACTCAACAAAGAAACAATGGATTTAAACTATACCTTAAAACAAATGGACTTAACATATATAAACAGAACATTTCATCCAACAACCACAGAACACACAGTGCATGGAACTTTCTCCAAGATACAGCACATGATAGCCCATAAAACGACCCTCAATAAATTTTAAAAAATTGAAATTATATCAAGCACGCTCTCAGATCACAGTGGAATAAAACTGGAAATCAACTCCAAAAGGAACCTTCAGAACCATACAAATACATAGAAATTAAATAACGTCCTCCTGAATGAGCATTGAGTCAAAAATGAAATCAAGATGGAAATTAAAAAATTATTTGAACTGAATGACAATAATGACACAACCTATCAAAACCTCTGGGATACAGCAAAGGCGGTGCTAAGATGAAAGTTCATAGCCCTAAGCACCTACATCAAAAAGACTGAAAGGGCACAAACTCACATTCTAAGGTCATACCTCAAGGAACTACAGAAACAAGAACAAACCAAACTCAAACCCAGCAGAAATAAGAAAACTGCCAAGATGAGAGCAGAACTAAATGAAATTGAAACAAACAAAAAATACAAAAGATAAATGAGACAAAAAGCTGGTTCTTTGAAAAGATAAATAAAACTGATAGATCATTAGCAAGATTAACCAAGAGAAGAAGAGAGAGAAGCCAAATAACCTCAATAAGAAACGAAACAGGAGATATTACAACGGACACCACTGAAATACAAAAGATCATTCAAGTCTACTATGAACACCTTTAGGCACATGAACTAGAAAACCTAGAAGAGATGGATAAATTCCTGGAAAAAATACAGCCCTTCTAGCTTAAATCAGGAAAAATTAGATACCCTGAACAGACCAATAACAAGCAGCGAGATCGAAATGGTATTTTTAAAATTACCAACAACAACAAAAAAAAGAGTCCAGGCCAGATGGATTCACAGGAGACATTCAGATTCTACCAGACATTCAAAGAAGAATTGGTACCAATCCTTTTGATACCATTCCACAAGATAGAGAAAGAAGGAACCCTCTGTAATTCATTTTATGAAGCCAGCATCACCCTAATACCAAATCCAGGAAAGGACATAACCAAAAAAGAAAACTATAGACCGATATCCTTGATGAACATTGATGTTAAACTTCTTAACAACTACTAGCTCTAGCTAACCAAATCCAACAACATATCAAAAAGATAATCCACCATGATCAAGTGGGTTTCATACCAGGGATGTAGGGATGGTTTAACATATGCAAGCCAATAAATGTGATACACCACAGAAACAGAATTAAAAGTAAAAATCAGCTGGACATGGTGGCTCATGCCTGTAATCCCAGCACTTTGGGGGGCTGAGGCGGGTGGATCACGAGGTCAGGAGTTTGAGGCCAGCCTGACCAACATGGTGAAAACCTGTCTCTACTAAAAATACAAAAATTAGCCGGGCCTGGTGGCGCACGCCTGTAATCCCAACTACTCGGGAGGCTGAGACAGGAGAATCGCTTGAACCCAGGAGGCGGAGGTTGCAGGAGCCAAGATTGCACCATTGCACTACAGCCTGGGCAACAGAGTGAGACTCTGTCTCAAAAAAAAAAAAAGTAAAAATCACATGATCATCTCAATAGATGCAGAAAAAGCATTCGACAAAATCCAGCATCCCTTTATGATTAAAACTCTCAGCAAAATCAGCATTCAAAGGACATACCTTAATGTAATAAACTCCATCTATGACAAACCAACAGCAAACGTGATACTGAATGGGGAAAAGTTGAAAGCATTCCCTCTGGGAACTGGAACAAGACAAGAATGCCCGCTGTCACCACTCCTGTTCAACATAGTACTGGAAGTCCTAGCCAGAGCAATCAGACAAGAGAAAGAAATAAAGGGCATCCAAATCAGTAAACAGGAAGTCAAACTGTCACTGTTTGCTGATGATACAATCGTTTACCTTGAAAACCCTAAGGACTCCTCCAGAAAGCTCCTAGAACTGATAAAAGAATTCAGCAAAGTTTCTGGATACAAGATTAATATACAAAATCAGTAGCTCTTCTATACAACAACAGCAACCAAGTGGAGAATCAGATCAAGAACTCAACCCCTTTTATAATAGCTGCAAAAAAAAAAAAAATACTTAGGAATATACCTAACCAAGGAGTTGAAAGACCTCTACAAGGAAAACTACAAAACACTGCTGAAAGAAATCATAGATGACGCAAACAAACGGAAACACATCCCATGCTCATGAATGGGTAGAATCAATATTGTGAAAATGACCATACTGCCAAAAGCAATCTACAAATTCAATGTAGTCCCCATCAAAATACCACCATCATTCTTCACAAAATTAGAAAAAACAATTCTAAAATTCATATGGAACCAAGAAAGAGCCCACACAGCCAAAGCAGACTAAGCAAAAAGAACAAATCTAGAGGAAGCACACTACCTGATTTCAAACTATAATATAAGGCCATAGTCACCAAAACAGCATGGTACTGGTATAAAAATAGGCATACAGATCAATGGAACTGAATAGAGAACCCAGAAATAAATGCAAATACTTACAGCCAACTGATTTTCAACAAAGCAAACAAAAACATAAAGTGGGGAAAGGACACCCTTTTCAACAAATGGTGCTGGGATAATTGGCTAGCCACATGTAGGAGAATGAAACTGGATCCTCATCTCTCACCTTATACAAAAATCAACTCAAGATGGATTAAGTACTTAAACCTAAGTCGTGAAACTATAAAAATTTTAGAAGATAACATTGGAAAAACCCTTCTAGACATTGGCGTAGGCAAAGATTTCATTACCAAGAACCCAAAAGCAAATGCAATAAAAACAAAGAGAAATAGCTGGGACCTAATTAAACTAAAGAGCTTTTTCACAGCAAAAGAAACAGTCAGCAGAATAAACAGACAACCCACAGAGTGGGAGAAAATCTTCACAATCTATACATCTAACAAAGGACTAATATCCAGAATCTACAACAAACTCAAATCAGTAAGAAAAAAACAATCCCATAAAAAAGTGGGCTAAGGACATGAATGGACAATTCTCAAAAGAACATATACAAATGGCCAACAAACATGAAAAAATGCTCAACATCACTAATGATCAGGGAAATACAAATCAAAACCACAATGCGATACCACCTTACTCCTGCAAGAATGGCCATAATAAAAAAAATCAAACAGTAGATGTGGGCGTGGATGTGGTGAACAGGGAACACTTCTACACTGCTGGTGGGAATGTAAACTCATACAGCCACTATGGAAAACAGTGTGGAGATTCCTTAAAGAACTAAAAGTAGAACTACCATTTGATCCAGCAACCCCACTATTGGGTGTCTACACAGAAGAAAAGAAGTCATTACTCAAAAAAGATACTTGTACATGCATTTTTATAGTGGAGCAATTCACAACTGCAAAATCATGGAACCAACCCAAATGCCCATCATCAACAAGTGGATAAAGAAACTGGTGTGTGTGTGTGTGTGTGTGTGTGTGTGTATACACATATATACATACACATATACACACACATACATGTATATATGTGTATATATGTGTTTATGTGTATATACACGTATATATATACACACACATACATACATACACAGTGGAGTACTATGCAGCCATAAAAAGGAGTGAATTAATAGCATTTGTAGTGATCTGGATGAGATTAGAGACTATTATTCTACGTGAAGTAACTCAGGAATGGAAACCAAACATCGTATGTTCTCACTGATATGTAGGAGCTAAGCTATGAGGACACAAAGGTATAAGAATGATACAGAGGACTTTGGGGACTTGGGGGGAAGAGTGGGAAGGGGGTGAGGGATAAAAGAGTACTAATATGGTGCAGTGTATACCCATATTTGATGGGTGCACCAAAATCTCCCAAATCATCACTAAAGAACTTACTCATGTGCCGGGCACGGTGGCTCATGCCTGTAATCCCAGAACTTTCGGAGGCTGAGGCGGGTGGATCACGAGGTCAGGAGATCGAGACCATCCTGGCTAACATGGTGAAACCCCATCTCTACTAAAAATACAAAAAATTAGCCGGGCGAGGTGACGGGCGCCTGTAGTCCCAGCTATGGGGGAGGCTGAGGCAGGAGAATGGCATGAACCCCGGGGAGCGGAGCCTGCAGTGAGCCGAGATTGCACCACTGCACTCCAGCCTGGGCAACAGCGAGACTCCGTCTCAAAAAAAAAAAAAAAAAGAACTTACTCATGTAACCAAATACCACCTGTACCCAATAACGTATGGAAAAATTAATTAATTAATTAAAATAAAATAGCAATATCTGGCGTTGCCAAGGTTGCAAGGAAATGGGCACTGGTATACACTGCTGAGCATGCACACATTAGCACAACCTCTCCTCAGGGCAGCTTGACACTATGCATTGAAAGAGTTAAATGTGAACTGTAATTCACTCTCTGGAAATTCATCCTAAAAAGATAATTAAGGATGAGTACAAAAATTTAATCATAAGGATGCTCACTGCAGTGCAATTTTTTATTACAAATAAAAGTGGGAAATAATCTAAATCACCAAACAGAGGAGTGTTAAATAAACTATGTGCACCAAAAAAAAAAAAAAAAAAATCATATGGAACCTAAAAAGAGTCCAAAAGGCCAAGGAAATCCTAAGGAGAAAAAAAGAAAAACAAAAAGCTGGAGGCATCATTGCTACCCAACTTCAAACTATACTACAGAACTACAGTAACCAAAACAGCATGGTACCTGTACAAAAACAGACACATGGACCAATGGAACAGAATAGAGAATGCAGAAATAAGACTGCACACCTACAACTATCTGATCTTCAAAAAACCTGACAAAAACAAGCAACGGAGAAATGCATCCCTATTCAATAAATGGTGCTGGGATAAGTAGCTAGCTATATGTAGAAAATTGAAACTGGACCCCTTCATTAGATCATATACAAAAATTAACTCGAGATGGATTAAAGACTTAAATGTAAAACCCAAAACTATAAAAACCCTAGAAGAAAACCTAGATAATACCATTCAGGACACAGGCATGGGCACAGATTTCATGATGAAGATGCCAAAAGTAACTGCAACAAAAGCAAAATTGACTAATGGGATCCAATTAAACTAAACTAAAGAGCTTCTGCACAGCAAAAGAAACTATCAACAGAGTAAACAGATAACCTGCAGAATGGGAGAAAATGTTTGCAAACTATGCATCTGACAAATGTCCAACATCTATAAGGAACTTAATATACAAGAAGAAAAAAAATCTATTAAAAGTGGGCAGCAGACACAAGCAGATACTTTTCAAGAGAATCATACATACAAACAACAATCATGAAAAAATGCTCAACATCTTTGATCATCAGAGAAATGCAAATCAAAACCACAATGAGATACCACCTCACACTAGTCAGAGTGACTATTAAAAAGTAAACAACAACAACAACAACAACAACAGATGATGGCAAGTTTGTGGAGAAATGGGAATGCTTATACATTGTTGGTGGGTGTGTAAGTTAGTTCAACCACTGTGGAAGAGAGTGCAGTGATTCCTCAACGTCCTACAGCCAGAAATGCCATTTGACCCAGCAATCCCATTACTGAGTATACACTCAAAGAAATATAGATCATTCTGTTATAAAGACATGCATGCATATGTTCATTGCAGCACTAGTCACAATAGCAAAGACATGGAGTCAACCTAAATGCCCATCAATAATAGACAGGATAAAGAAAATGTGGTACATATATACCATGGAATACTATACAGCCATGAAAAAGAACAAGATCATGTCCCATTCAGGGACATGGATGGAGCTGGAAGCCATATCCTTAGCAAACTAATACAGGAACAGAAAATCAAATTTTGCATGTTCTCACTTACAAGTGGGAGCTAAATGATGAGAACACATGGACACATAGAGGGAAACAACAGACCATGAGGCCTATTGGAGGGTACTGGAGGGTGGAGGGTGGGAGAAGGGAGAGGATCAGTAAAAATAACTAATGGGTACTAGGCTTAATACCTGGATGATGAAATAATATGCACAAAAAACCTCAAATCCCCACTACACAAGTTTACCTATGTTACAAACCTACACATGTATTCCTGAACCGAAAAGTTAAAAAAAAGAATATTTGTTTATACTCCTTTCCCTCCCCCGTAAAATGCACCCATCTTAAGTGTTCTATTATGTGTCTGTATATAATAGATAATACATTATATATTTTATTATACCCATATTATAATAGATTGTCTCTTTCTCTTCCTCTCTCTCACTCTCTCCATCAATCCCTGCAGGGCTTTTTTCCCAAATAATTTTCTTAAATTTCATATTCTGCTCAGACCTGAAGTTAGTTTACAATTAAAGTAAGCAATGAACTATTTTTAAAATCACTACTTATTTTAACCATTACCTAGCTCTAGGCTTCATGAGATTATAAACTTTAATTCTAAGAAAACTGTTTGGGTAAAAGTCCTCTGGGGAATATATATAGAGAGAGAGAGAGTAATTCAAGTATAAAGTTCTCTGACACTTTGAATTAGTTTACTAAACCTTTGGTACTACAATGGCTACATCTTTAATAGAATACATTACTGCCTGTTCACTTCTCAAGAAAAAGTATGTCCCTCAGATTTCCTTGTTCAGTGCAGTGGCTCACACCTGTAATCCTAGCACTTTGGGAGGCCAAGGTGGAAGGATTACTTAAGGCCTGGAGTTTGAACCAGCCTGGGCAACATAGCAGGACCCCATCTCTAAAAAAAAATTTTTTTTAATTAGCCAGACACGGTACACGTGCCTGTAGTCCCAGCTACTCAGAAGGCTGAGGCAGGAGCATTGCCTGAGCCCAGGAGTTAGAGGCTGCAGTAGGCCATAATCACACCTCTGCACTCCAGCCTGGATGACAGAGTGAGACCCTGTCTCAAAACAAACAAACAAAAAAACTTAATTTCCTTGTTCATATTCTCTTTTGTGGAAAAACATAAAGAGAGGATTATGTTGCCATAATTATGAGAATTTTATTAACTTGAAATAATAACATTTGGCTGGGCACAGTGGCACATGCCTATAATCCTAACGCTGGGAGGCTGAGGTGGATGGATCACCTGAGGTTAGGAGTTCAAGATCAGCCTGGCCAACATGGTGAAACGCTGTCTCTCCTAAAAATGCAAAAATTAGCTGGGCGTGGTGACGCATGCCTGTAATCCCAGCTCCTCGGAAGGCTGAGGCAGGAGAATCGCTTGAATCCGGGAGGCCGAGGTGGCAGTGAGCCAAGATCGCGCCACTGCACTCCAGCCTGGACAATAGAGCAAGACTGCATCTCAAAATAAAAGAAATAACGACATTTGAAGAACAATTATATTAGCCTTTGTGAAAACAAAAATATGTTCTGACAGTGCTTGGCTAATTCCTCCTTAAAGTTTATGAACACGTTCACTGAGATCTTAAAAACATCACGTGCCCTGAATTTAGTAGACTATTCTCTGATGGATGTGGTCCATTTTAAGATTTTTGCACACTTTATCCAGAGCTTTTTGTTTTCTTTTATTTGAGACAGGGTCTGGCTCTGTTGCCCAGGCTGGAGTGCAGTGGTGCGATCTCAGCTCACTGCAACTTCTACCTCATGGCTTTAAGTGATCCTCCCACCTGAGCCTCCCAGGTAGCTAGCACTACAGGCCCGTGCCACCACACCTGGCTAATTTTTGTATTTTTTGTAGAGACAGGGTTTCACCTTGTTGCCCAGGCTAGTCTCAACCTCCTGAGTTCAAGCAATCCACCTGCATTGGCCTCCCAAAGTGCTGGGGTTACAGGTGTGAGCCACAGCGCCCCCCAATCTTGAGCTTTGAAAAACACATTTAAATGGACCTTAACTGAGATACACAGCAATTTCCCTATACTCAGCCACAATGAAGAAAAAATAAGGAAATTCATAATTTTTTAAATACATACTTCAAAGATGGACACAATATTGACTTAATCAGAAGCCATCAGAGGTCACTAATAAATGAAGCAATTTGCATATGTGAATTTTACAAGTTTCATATTTGATACCAAGAACAAAATGTTCTCAGAATTTCATATTAAAAACACCAGTGTTCAAAGTGCTCATAGTATAAGCCAAGTATCTAAAACCTTTGAAAACACAGCATTCTATGAAAACAATATGTGTACATGTATGTGTATGTCTGTGTGGGTGTTTGTGTATGCATATATATAAATTTACTAAATACTTTTCTGGCATTCTGTGAAACTTAGCCAGAATTTAATTTTTATTTCCTTTATTTACATGCCGAGTGGGTATTATTGATCATAATTGTGATCTATTATATTGGAGCAGGAAAGGATATGAGTTAAATCATAGAAATAAAATGTGAATTTTGGAGGAAAAATAAAATAAAACTGGGAAAGAGAGATACTACAGAGAAATTACATTCTATAACCACAGAAGTGGGGTGGGCAAAATAACAAGGATTTGACCAGGTGGGATTAGAATTTCACTAAAGTTCTCACACTGCATATATTATTCAGGGTTGTATTGACAATGGAGTCCCCTTCCCATGCAGTAAGGAAACCACATACAACCAGAGGAAACAACGATTAGAAAACCCCTAGGAAGAATGACATCAGCAAAATGTGACTAAGAAGCTTCAGACCCTCATTCTCCTTAATAAACATTAAAGAAACAACTATACAGTGACTAAATAACTTTATAGGAACTCTGGAAAACAGTCAAAGGTCTACAGAAACCAAGTAAACAATCAAGAACAAGCTACATCCCGAACAGTAGGACATGTCATGGCATTTTTGCTCACCCTTGTTCCACTCCTCCCCAGCCGTTGTCTTGGTTTGGAGGAGATGGCAGTTCCTAATTCCACCTGTATTAGTCCATTCTCATGCTGCTATGGATAAATATCTAAGACTGGGTAATTTATAAAGGAAAGAAGTTTAGTTGACTCACAGTTCTGCATAGCTGAGGAGACCTCAGGAACCTTATAATCATGGCAAAAGGCAAAGGAGAAGCAGACAGGACAGAGTGAATGCCAGCAGGAGAAATGCCAGACGCTTATAAAACCATCAAATCTTGTGAGAACTCTTCACTATCATAAGAACGGCATGGGGAAAACTGCCCCCATGATTCAGTTACCTCCACCTGGTCCCACCCTTGACACGTGGGAATTATTACAATTCAAGGTGAGATTTGGGTGGGGACACACA
This sequence comes from Homo sapiens, assembly GCF_000001405.40. NCBI lineage: Eukaryota > Metazoa > Chordata > Mammalia > Primates > Hominidae > Homo > Homo sapiens. Next base: position 63,133,457 of record NC_000002.12, on the reverse strand, counting down.
GCCAAATCATATCACCATCCCTTGAACCAAAACGAACAAGGCTGACCTTATTTGCAACATTCTAACTTGTCTAAAGGCTGCCTGAAGAATTGATCCCTGATTCACCTAACTCAGATCTCTGCTAGGAGACAAGCATGGCCTTAATCTCAGATGAGGAGAAGCAGTAGTCATGGCTCAGAAAGCTGCAGAGAGACCCTACAGATTCCTGGGGCAAAAGATTATAGGTGGAGACATATGACAGACCATCAAGACCCCACAAAGATCTCTTGGGAAATTTAAGACAATTAAAAGCAGCCATCTATACAGAGATTCAAAAAACCACAAACAGGTCCAGGCAAGATGCATGCTCAGTAAAGACCTGAGAAGACCTTTAGCTTTCTCTTTGATGTGATCTCAAAATTCAGAAGCAAGGCCAAGATAATTAGGAAAGGACTTCCATGGCAAAGAGCCAGTCTACAGAGAATGGGAGAAGTAGCTGTTTTTCTTTTTGTTTTCAAATCCCCAACATAACTATTGTGAATTTAAAATCCCAAAATCACAATGCATAAAAAGAAACGGAAACATGGACCATTCAATAATAATAATAAATTGGCAGAAACTATCCCTGAAAAAATACAGGTATCAGACTTACTAGAAAAAGATTTTCAAACAATGTTTTAAATATGTTCAAACAGTAAAGAACAACATGGACAGAGACCTAAAGGAAATCAGGTAAATTATATGAACAAAGGGGAATTTCAACAGAGATAGACATTATTAAAAGAACCAACCAGAAATTCTGGAAATGAAAAATATAATGGGCACACTGGGGATAGTCAAACTTAAAAATTCACTAGAGGGATTCAATAGCAGACTTGGACAGAAGAAAGAATAAACAAGCTTAAAGATAACTTATTTGAAATTATCTAGTATGAGGTACAAAAAGAACAAAAGAATAAAAAAGTGAACAGAGCTTAAGAGACACTATCAAGCAGGACAATATATCCATTATGAAGATCCCAGAAGGAGAAGACAATAAGAAAAAGGTAGGGAACTTATTTGAAATATAATGGCCAAAAACTTACCCAATCTGAGGATAGAAATAGACATATAAACTCAAGAAGTTCAACAAATTCTAAGTATAATAAACCCAAAGAGACATACAACAAGACACATTACAATCAAACTGCTGAAAGTCAAAGACAAAGAGATAATCTTGAGAGCTACAAGAGAAAAATGACTCATCACATACAAGGGAGCCTAATAAGATTATCAGCAAAGTTCTCAGTATGAATCTTGCAGGCTAAAAAGGAATGGGAAAGTATATTCAAAAACATCAACTGGGCCGGGTGTGATGGCTCACACTTGTAATCCTAGCACTTTGGGAGGCCGAGGCAGGCAGACCACTTGAGATCAGGAGTTCAAGACCAGCCTGGCCAACATGTTGAAACCCCATCTCTACTAAAAATACAAAATATTAGCCAGGCATGGTGGCACACGCCTGTAATCCCAGCTACTCAGGAGGCTAAGACAGGAGAATAGCGGAACCTGGGAGGTGGAGGTTGCAGTGAGCTGAGATCGCACCACTGTACTCCAACCTGGGAGACAGAGCGAGACCCCATCTCAAAAAAAAAAAAAAAAAAAAGAATACTGTATCTAGCAAAACTGTCCTTCAAATGTGAAGAAATGATGACATTCCCAGATAAAAGATGTATAGTCAACACCACTAGATGTTCCCTACAAGAAATGCTAAAGAGGGTCCTTCAAATTGAAGCAAAAAGATACTAGACAGCTATACAAAGTCACATGAAAGTATAATGTTCTCCATTAAAGGTAAACATATGGGCAACTATAGAATCCTGTGTTATTGTAATTCTGGTGCACAAATCCACTTTTAATTCTTGTATAGAATCTATAAAATTACTCACACAAAAAATCTATAAATCTAAGTTAATAAGTACACAATATATAAATGTAAGTTTTAACAATAAAAAAAGGAGGAACTGTAAAGGAGAATTTTTGTATGCTAATGAAGATTAGTTGTTATCAGTGTAACATAAATTGCATAAATTTGAAATGTGTTACGTAATCACAATGCTAGCCACCAAGAAAAATATCTATATAGTGCACACAAAAGGAAATGAAAAGGGAATCAAAGTATGTCACTATAAAAAAAAATCAATGGATTACAAAGGGAGGGCAGTAAGAAAAGAAATGAGGAACCAAAAAGCCACAAGACATACAGAAAACAGGTGACAAACCAGCAATAGTAAATCCTTCCATATCAATAATTACTTTAAATATGAATAATCCAACTACTAGTCAAAAGACATATTGACTGAATGGATTTTTTTAAAAACTCTAACACTCTGCTGCACACAAGAGACTCATTTTAGATTCAACACATAAGCTGAAATGGAAAGGATGGAAAAAATATTTCATGTAACTAGTTACCACAGGAGAGCAGGGGTACCTATAATGGTATCAGATAAAATAGACTTTCAATGAAAAATCATCACAAGAGACTAGGAAGGATAATACATGATTAAAGAGTCAATTCACCAAGATATAATTATTATAAATATGTATGTACCAAACATCAGAACTCTTAAATATATGAAGCAAACATTAACATAATTGAAGAAAGAAATAGACAGCAATGCAGTAATATTAGGAGACTTCAATAACCTGCTTTCAATAATCGATAGGACAACCAGACAGAAGATCAATAAGGACAACAGAAGACTTGAAAAACACTACAGACCAACTGGATGGAACAGACACATACAGAACTCTCCACTCAATTCCTATCAAAATCTCAATATATCTTTGCAGAAATAGAAAAAAAAAATACTCATCCTTAAATTAATATGGAAAATCAAGGGACCTTGAAAAGCCAAAACAATCTTGAAAACAAACAATAAAGTTGAAGAACTCACACTTTCTGACTTCAAAATTTACTACAAAGCTACAGTAATCAAAATATGGTGCTAGCATAAAGACAGACATATAGAACCATGGAACAGAATCGAGAACCTAAATAAAACCTTTGTGTATGTGGATAAATGATTTCTGACAAGGGTGCCAAGACCATTTAATGGGGGAAAAGACAGTCTTTTCATCAAATATTGCTGGGAAAACAGGATGTCCATATGCAAAAGTATGAAGTTAGACTCTTACCTTACACCATATACAAAAATCAACTCAAAATGTATCAAAGATCTATACACAGGCCTAAAACTATAATTCTCTTGGAGAAAACGTAGGAGAAAATGTAGCATTGAATTTGGCAACGATTTCACAGGTAAGACACCAAAAGTACAGGCAATAAAAACAACAACAAAAAAACAGATAAACTAGACTTCACTAAAATTATTGTTTGTCCATCAAAGGATACTATCAACAGAGTAAAAAGGCAACCCACACAACAGGAGAAAATACAGTTGGCCCTCTGTATCCATGAGTTCCTCATCTGTGGATTCCACCAACAAGAGATTGAAAACATTGGGAAAAAAACCATCTGTCCTAAACATGTACAGACTTTTTTTCTTGTAAATTATTCCCTAAATAATACAGTATAACAATGATTTACATAATAATTACATTGTATTAGGTATTATAAGTAATGCAGAGATTATTTAAAATATATGTGAGGATATGTATAGATTATATGCAGATACTACGCATTTAATATCAGGGACACAAGCATCTGCAGATTTTAGTATCTCTAGGGGGTCCTGGAATCAATCCCCACAAATACTGAGCGACAACTGTATTTGCAAATCACATATATAATAAGTGACAAATAACCAGAATATAGAAGAACTACAACCCAATAAAAAAATGTAATGTGCAAAGAACTTCCAAGATATACAAATGGACAAAAAGTACATGAAATGATGTTCAACATCACTAATTGTTAGAAAAATGCAGATCAAACCACAACGAGAAACTACATACATTGGAATGGCTATTATTTGATTTTAGCCAAAAGGCTGAGAAGCAATAAGATGGCCATTATCAAAAAACAGAAAGCAAAAAGTGTTGATAAGGATGTGGAGAAACTAGAACAATTGTACATTGCCAGTGGGAATATAAAATGGTGTTGCCCCTGTGGAAAACAGTATGGTAGTTCCTCAAAAAATTAAACATAAAACCATTATATGATCCAGCAATTTTACTTCTGGTATACACCCCAAAGAATTGAAAGCAAGGACAAGAACAGATATTTTCACACCTGTGTTCATAGCAACATTAGTCACAATACCCAAAAGGTGGAAACAACCAAAATGGCCACTGACAGATTAATGAATAAACAAAAGGTGGTATATACATATAATGAAATATTATTCAGCCCTAAAAAGGGAATGAAGTTCTGATACCTGCTACAGCATGGATGAACTTTGCAGACATTACGCTAAGTGAAATGAGGCTCAAAAGGACAAATATTGCATTACTCCACTTATATGAAGTACCTGGAATAGTCAAATTCTTAGAGACACAAAGTAGAACACCGTGCACAGTGGCTCACGCCTGTAATCCCAGCACTTTCAGAGGCCAAGGTGGGTGGATCACCTGAGGTCAGGAGTTCAAGACCAGCCTGACCAACACGGAGAAACCCCATCTCTAATAAAAATACAAAATTAGCAGGGCATGGTGGCACATGCCTGTAATCCCAGCTACTCGAGAGGTTGAGGCAGGAGAATCGCTTGAACCCAGGAGGCGGAGGTTGTGGTGAGTCAAGATTGCGCCACTGCACTCCGGCCTGGGCAACAAGAGCAAAATTCCATCTCAAATAAGTAGAACAGTGGTTATCAGAGGCTTAAGGAAGTATGAAATGGGAAATTGTTATTTATTGAGTACAGAATTTCAGTTGAATGATTAAAAAGTTCTGGAGATGGAGAGCGGTGATGGTTACATGATGATGTGAATGTGCCTAATCCCACTAAAGTATACACTTAAAAATAAAGTGGTAAATTTTATGTTAAATATATTTTACCACAATAAAAAATAAAGGAAAGGGAAAGGAAAGAAATGAAACCACTAGTGATCTAGTTACCTCTTGGGAACATTCTGGAAAAAATTTGTGGTAAAGACAGAAACGGAAGGAAAAAGTTTTAATTATCTTTTAAACTTTAATAGGTAAATTTAGAGGTTATCTTGGGGCTACATGTTTGAGTGAGTTTCTAGGTATGGGGCAAACCTCTTGTTTCCTCCCACTGACTTTGCTCATAGTCAAGGGTAATAAATCATGTAGTTACCTATCTACATTGTCTTGTTTGTACTATTCATTGGCATACTGTCTGAAAGAAATCTTATATTTATTTATTAATTTTTTTTGAGGTGGAGTATCATTCTGTCACCCAGGCTGGAGTGCAGAGGTGTGATCTCAGCTCACTGCAACCTCCGCCTCCCGGGTTCAAGTGATTCTCCTGCCTCAGCCTCCAGAGTAGCTGGGATTACAGAAGCACGCTACCACACCCGGCTAATTTGTTTATTTTTAGAAGAGACAGGGTTTCACCATGTTGGCCAGGCTGGTCTTGAACTTCTGACCTGAAGTGATCCAGCCGCCTTGACCTCCCAAGTGCTGGGATTACAGTCGTGAGCCACCATGCCAGGCCACAGAAATCTTGTATTTAGAAATGGCAGAAACCCATTCTTTTAATGTGGAATTATGGTAGATATAGCAACCTGCTGCACTTCCTGTTTTTACTATCACCCAAAGAGGGGAGTAATACATATAGAATAGGGAGTGTGTGCATATATATATGTGTGTGTGTGCGTATATATATATATATATATATATATATATATATGCACATACACATACACGGTATTTACATGTTGACAATTACATTAATAGAGCATCTTGAAGTATAAGTGTATAACCTCTAAAAATGATAAAGTAGCAATTTTTGTGTTTGCTACTACTTCTATCATAAGTTTATCAATTTACTTGATGGAATACAGTATCTTCAAGTATTGGTTGAGATGGAGTAATTGATAAACTATTCTCATTCTTTCCTCTAAAAATTGATTTTTAAAAAATATTTTCAGGCCGGGTGCGGTGGCTCACGCTTGTAATCCCAGCACTTTGGGAGGCCGAGGCGGGCAGATCACGAGGTCAGGAGATCAAGACCATCCTGGCCAACATGGTGAAACCCCGTCTCTACTAAAAATACAAAAAAAATTAGCTGGGTATGGCGGCTCATGCCTGTAGTCTCAGCTACTCGGGAGGCTGAGGCAGGAGAATTGCTTGAACCTTGGAGGCGGAGACTGCAGTGAGCCAAGATTGTGCTACTGCACTCCAGTCTAGTGACAGAGCGAGACTCCATCTCAAAAAAAAAAAAAAAAAAAGTTAAATATGTCAACATACTTTATCTCAGCATTTATGATCTATTTACTTTCTGAAAGATTTGGGGCATTTCACTAAAGTATTTTATATATCATATCTAAAATAAATTATATACACAGCAAAAGTCAATTAAAAGTTGCAGGCCAGGCATGGTGACTTACGCCTGTAATCCTAGTGATTTGGGAGGCTAAGGCAAAAAGTTCGCTAGAGCCCAGTAGTTTGAGACTAGCTTAGGCAACATAGCAAGACCTTGTCTCTACAAAAATAAAAGTTTAAAAAAATTATCCAGGCACAGTGGTGCACACCTGTAGTCCCAGCTACTTGGGAGGCTGAGGCAAGATCACCTGAGCCCGAAAGTTTGAGCTGTACTTTTGCTGTGAGCTATAATTGTGCCACTGTTCTCCAGCCTGGGCAACAGAGCACAACCCTATCTCAAAAAAAAAAAAAAAAAAAAAAACACAAAACAAGTTGCACAGTTATGTGATGTTGAATATCGGGCTGTTTTATACAAGTTAAAACTGTGTTTAGCTCTGAATTTGGGAAGGCAAAGGCAAAAAAGTGAAATAGGTTTACTTTGAGAAGCATCATGGTATAACAGAAAGAATGCAGTATTATAAGCAAACTGTCTCAGTCTAATTTTGTTCCACTACCTCCTCACTGCTACACACCTCTATACCTGTTTCTTCATCTGTAAAATGAGAATGGTTATGTTTAATTTAGTAATATTACATGATTAATCTGTCAAATTAGGTAATGGAAAACCATTCTGTTCTAAAACATGGTTCATGATTATTGTTTTTATTAATTTTTTAACACATGCAAATAGTAAATTTATCTAGATGGAAACACTTTTTCAGCATTCTATATTCACACTCAAGAATGTTTGTGCAGCCCAGGTGCATTGGCTTACACCTGTAATCCCAGCACTTTGGGAGGTCAAGGCAGGCGGATCACTTGAGGCCAGGAGTTCAAGACCAGCCTGGCCAAAATGGTGAAACCCTGTCTCTACAAAAAATACAAAAATAGCCTGGTGTGGTGGTGCATGCCTGTAGTCCCAGCTACTTGGGAGGCTAGGGTGGGAAAATCACCTGAGCCTCGGAGGTCAAGGCTGCATTGAGCCTTGATTGTACCACTACACTCCAGCCTGGGTGACAGAGTGAGACCTTATCTCAAAAAAAAAAAAAAAAGCTTGTGTAAAAAAAAACTGAAAAGCAGCCTGGCGAGGTGGCTCACGCCTGTAATCCCAGCACTTTGGGAGGCCAAGGTGGGGAGATTGCCTGAGGTCAAGAGTTCAAGACCAGCCCGGCCAACACGGGAAAACCCCATCTCTACTAAAAATACAAAAAAATTAGCCAGATGTGGTGACGTGCGCCTGTAGTCTCAGCTACTCAGAAGGCTGAGGCAGGGAGAACTGCTTGAACCCGGGAAGCGGAGGTTGCAGTGAGCCGAGATCACGCCACTGCACTCCAGCCTGGGCAACAGAGCAAGACACCGTCTTATTAAAAAACAAAACAAAAAAAACTGAAAAGCAAGCTGGGTGTGGTAGTGTATCCCTACAGTCCCAGCTCCTTTGGAGGCTGAGGTAGGGGAAGTGCTTGAGCCCAGGAGTTTTAGGCCAGCATGGAGAACCTAGCAAGACCCAATCTCTAAATTTTTAACTGAAAAACAAACTAAACATGTCTTAGAGTTTTGAAAAGGATAGACATTCTAGTCACATAGATGTTTCTTATTATAACTCCTCTTTATAAGGTAAAATACTTAAATCATAATTCACTAAAGGCATTCCTGTGGAAAGGTGAAATGACAAGTTCTAAGTACACTCCTTTCTGATGGCTTACTTAACACAGAAGTTAGAAAGTTAGTTAGCTTATCTATAAAACTTGTCTCTCGTATGTACCAGAAGCCTCAAGCCAACCTTTGGCAAGTGCTAGACTACAGTCAGTTTGAGACTGCATTTTCTACAAAAAATGTCAAGTACCAAACTCTGCCATGTTGATGAAAAAGAAACCTATATATGATACCAAATATGCAAGAAGCAGAGTTCAATTTCACAATGTTCAGTAGTGAAACTTGAATAGCTGGTCAACTTACTCAGAAAAGCGTCTCCTGCCACATAGGGTGGACCACTAGCTAGCATGCTTATAAGCAAAAGCCTTAAATGAGAGGAATAGGGAATCAGAGAAGTTAATCATAAAGCAGCCTGTGGAACAAGTATTGTTAGTACATTAAAAAACTATAGTGGAAAAAAAAAAACCCTTTACAGAGAAATACGAACAAAATTATAATCCCAACTCTGCCACTAACTGACTTTGGACAAAACACTTAACCCATATGAGCCTCAACTTGTTCATCTATAAAATAAAACAATTTCAGATTAGGGAGTTTTAAGATTTCTTCCATGTCTAAAATATTATACTTCTGGGATTTAATTATTATTAAACCAAATCAGAAACTTCAAGACAGACTGTTAGTAACACAGAGGAAACCTAACATAATAAACTGAGATGATCACTTACTGTATTAAAATTTAAAAATCTGCATTAAGTGAGCCACAGGTCAAAATCCAGTTTATAGCAAAGCAAAGCTTAACTTGTCTGCTGAATTTACTTACAAAAGTCTGTGTACATTTAAAGGAAAGTGACCTGATATCACCCAATATTAGGTAACAGCAAAAGGGTGTGGCTCAGAAAATGCACTTAACCACATGTAGAAAGCAATGAGGGACTGGGGAAAACCCTTTCGTTGCTGTAAAATTACTACAAGAATTAACACGTAGTTTCATTCAGTCAAGGCTGAGCACAATTTCAACACATTAAAAAAAAAAATGAAGATCAGTCTTCCTTGGAACCACAACTTCCTATTATTGAACAAAATCACCTCCTCCCAAACTAGGAAACAAACAAAGCAAAACTACCAATTCTACAGTGTTTATCCAGAAGCTTAAAATTTCATAGCTTTTGGTCCAATAATTCTATTTCTACAGTTCTATACCAAGGAAATAATCCTACAAACAGAAAAAAAAAAAAAAACTTCATGCCTATCTATCATAGGGTTATTTATGAAAAAGAAGAAATTGGAAACAATATAAATTTAACCAAAAAAGGAGTGGTTAAATAAAGCTATAGTATTTAATGGAATAATAAAATTCAGCCATTAAAAACAGACTATGTAGGAACATTAAAAAGTTTTGAAGTGTTATAAGGCCAAAAAAAAAAAGAAAAGAAAAGATACAGAATTATATATATATATACACAATATAATTCAAGCTGTGTTTAAAATAAATAAATAAAACGTGGAGAAAAAGAGACTAGAAGCAAATTCATGTTAACTTTAGTTTTGTATAACTAGTAGGACTATGGGTAAATTTTCATAGTTTCCTGTTTTCCAAATTTTATTTAATGATTATGTTTTACTTCAAATAATGTTTAAAAACTTGAATGTAAAATAAATTATTTTATAAATCTTCAAAATATCCGTCTAAGGTACGTAGAGTATAAGTCAAGGTTATATAGCAATGGAAACCTTGGAAATGCCCTGAAGTCTTTTTAAAATGCAATGGATTTTAAAGAAAATCCCCCAAAGGAATATTTTTTGTTTTGTTTTTTTAAATCCTGGAAGATCTTGAGAAGTTAATTCTATGATTCTTACTTTTTAAAATGTAATTCCTAAGGTAAGAGAGGATTAAATCATGGATAGAAGACACTACATAACAACAGCAACATGGCTGAACGACACGATAGTTCTTAGGTATGCCATCAGCCTTCTAGCAACAAGTATATCTAGATATTAAGAAAATAAAATAATTTACCTAGGATCTCTGCCAGTTGATGAACAAGGCCAAAACCTAACTCATTTTCTCAATGACCATTCTCGTGGTATAGAAACTAGACTTTGGTATGGTAGTTTATAAGCCAAGAGTTGAAGCTTATGTTTTAAAAAATGACAGTGCTTAGTTTTCTTTTTAAATTGAAAGCTACCTAAAAGCCTGGAACTTGCCAGCACACACTCAAGCCTCAGGCACTATTAAATTACGCATTCTTCTTGCTACCTGTTTTTCCAGGTTTTTTTTTTTTTTTCAATTTTGTGTACATCAAGGTCTACAGGCACATACCTACATACATGTGTTGCCCTTATTTTTTAGCCGCATATCTGTTTCCTTTGATATGTGACTACTTAAAATAGTATAAATGCAGACTTTCTGAAAGGCTTTTCTTAGTAAAAATAACTTTTAAGATATAACTTACAGAATAACTTTAAATTTATTTTTTAAAATTACTTTCACCTATACTTTAAGTAAAATGTCTCCAATTATGACATGATAGTGTAAGTGCTGTTATCCCTACTCTCTTTACCTTTTACTTTTACCATTTCAACTCTAAGTAGGTTATCTTCAAATTTTAAAAACTGTCCCCACTGTATTATTTTTCACATAATATCACTCATCTTTAGTCTTATCTTCACACATCATCCAACTTCAGAAGCCCATAAGATCTTCTGTTTTTCTGTAACTGACAGGGATGGGCAGAAGGTGCAAAAGAAAGAATAACAAATGGGAAATAGATGAAGTTGTTAATATTTCTTTGCAGCTTCATAAAATGTTATGAAAGTCTTATAAAACCACAATCTTTTCTATTTTATAAACTATTATCTCAATAGCCATTATCAAATACTCAGTAAAACACCAAAATTAGGAAATATATGCTATATAATACCTTTTAGAACACACAGTATTTTAAAATCACACTGTAGAATCCAAATGATGACCCACAGTTTGCAATTTTTCATTGGAGGAACCCTCAGATGCTTCTAAATTTCAATTAACATCCTGTCCTTTCTTTGCCTTTTAATGCTTATTATTTCTTGACTAGTTTTTATAAATATCGTATCAAAATTTTGATGACCAAGTCAGGTAAGTATACAGTTATCTTATGTATCTATGTGCAGTACATTTTAAACTATTTTATTTTGTTTCACTATTTTTCAGTACTTAAAAATAATAAAGATACAAATGTTAAGTCAATTACTTTTTACTCTGCTTAAACATTATTTTTATTTGTTTATTTGCAGGAAATCAGAGATGGTGGTTCTCTCAAAATGATTCACTTTGGTCTGGTGTAAACATTAAGAAAAAAAGAAAACTGCCTTCTTCATATCTAAACTTTTCATGGCCTGATACAGACTTAAAATCCCCCGTGTGGATTTTTAACAAGAGACAGTATGAATCATATAAATTAGTTAAGAGTTTTGAGTTGAGTGTTTGTTTTCAAAATAAAGTTTTATTATTTCAAAAACATGCAGCATAACAGCAAAGTGATCGTAAGTAAAAGTCTTCAACCTACTTATTTTCAATAATGTAAAATTTTGAAAGTGTCTTAAATTGTATGTTAATTAGGTGCTACAAAAATAGAATATTTAAACTTTGTTCTCCCAGGTACTTTAAAAAAGGGGCAGTAGGGGGCAGGCATAGTGCTCATGCCTGTAGTCCCAGTGCTTTAGGAGGCCAAGGCTGAAGGATCACTTGAGCCCAGGAGTTCAAGACTAGCCTGTGCAACATAGTGAAACGCTGTCTCTAGAAAAAATTTTAAAAATTAGCCAGGCATGGTGGTACATGCTTGTGAAGCTGAGGCAGAAGAATTGCTTGAGCCCAGGAGTTCAAGGCTACAGTGAGCTGTGATCGCGCCACTGCACTCTAACCTGGGCAACAGAGAGTGACCCTGTCTCCAAAAAAAAAAAAAAAAAAAAAGAAAGAAAAGAAAGAAAGAAAGTCCTCTTCTGCTCTTGTTTACATTATTAATTTACATTACAAATACAGTATTTATTATGCAAATTTTTCAGCCCAGATCCATTGTTAGAAGACAATTCTCCATGGTTCTCTCGAATTACTGCTATGAGTAATTTGCCCTGACTGCCCCTTAGAACACAGATACTGTTTCCCTCTGGAGAAAGGGGCAGGCATGCTTATCAACTTTTATATGAGATTTGAGTTCTTTAAACTCAGAATGCCTCTCCTTTACACTGCCCATTGAGTGTGCAGGTGTCATCTAGCCCTCTTAACATTGCTCTATAGGAATAGGGCTCAGAGAATCCATGAAGAAAAGAAAAAAATGCCGATACCCTGGTTACTATCATTTGTCTCTGACTCAGGAGTCTCATGTCTTCTAACAGCATCCATGAAACTATAGTGTGGTAACTTGTTAGCTAGTAAGTAGGGTAAAATCTCATACCCTTCACAGTTATTGACACCCATTCTTTAGCAGATAACTGATATTTCACAATTATAGACATCTATAGGCCAGGCACGGTGGCTCACGCCTGTAATCCCAGCACTTTGGGAGGCCAAGGCGGGCGAATCACGAGGTCAGGAGATGGAGACCATCCTAGACAACATGGTGAAACCCCGTCTCTACTAAAAATACAAAAAAAAAAAAAATTAGCCGGGCGTGGTGGCGTGCACCTGTAGTCCCAACTACTTGGGAGGCTGAAGCAGGAGAATGGCGTGAACCCGGAGGGCGGAGGCTGCAGTGAGCTGAGGTCGCACCATTACGCTCCAGCCTGGGTGACAAAGTAAGACTCCGTTGCAAAAAAAAAAAAAAAAAAAATTATAGACATCTATAATAATAATCAACATTGTTTAATATTAGACAATAATTACATTATATAATTAAATCTTAGAGTTCAAAGTTAATCAGACTGAAGGCTTTTATACTTCAAATTTTTCTTTCTACTTCCCATTTATCTGTACCTCTACCAGAGGGTATGACAAAAAAAGGTGAAACTCAAATTAGATTTTTCATTTTGTTATTGCTCTGAAAAAATTTTAATAATGCATAACATGTAAGCCAAACTGAGTTACCAGCAAATTTTCATTCTCCTATTCCCAACCTTCTTTATCACACAGATAATCAAAAGTTAACTAATTTTTAGAGAAAAAATTGTATTTAAAAAAATAGGGTTTTGTCAAGATTGCAGAATTTTCTCCAGATTTTCCGGGTAAATAGTCATTAACCCAAAATACCTTTCCTGTGAGATACTAAAGATAAAATATGGATATTGATACATCTATGTTTTTCTACATAATGATAATAATAATGAAAATGTTTGCCAGTTATGTAGGTGAAAATTAAACAAATCATAGTTCTTAAAGTACCCATTTTCCCCACTTCACATACCTCTAGAAAAGTTAAATGTACAGAAAACCAAGTTTAGATAGTAAGAATATATTATGAATGATCTTTGATAATGTCCATGATTTATAAATGCTGTTATTTCCCAGATGTTGTAAATCTGAGAATATTAATTAAATTGATATTCCTCCTCTGCTAGAACCTGAAAGGATTATGAAGGGGCTACCATAGCTCTAAAGTAAGAAGAGTGGTATAGGCAGGAACAGCTAGGTAGTATCTGTCCTAGCACTGACAGGTTCACAGGTTGTCCTTTAGGAATAGACCCATGAGCTTTTTCAACTATTTTCCAGATTTCTCAGATCTGAGGTAATTTCCACAGTAATTTATATTAGCTGTCACATTGTGTCTTATTGCTAGAATAAACTTTGCTTGGAATGCTAATGTCTAAAAGTTTTTGCTTCATTAAAAGGCTGTGTAACCAAAACTTGGTATTATACTTTCTTCTTAGTATCTTGAAATGTTTGTTAAGGAGTTATAATTATACCACTCTCTACTGAGAGTTTGATCAGTGCTACAACACACATAGCCCTGTACCTACATAGGGATTCTCAATGAAACTCAGTGAGGAAGATACATCATCATCATCATCCCTACTCTATCGATGAAGAAACCTGATGAGCCTTCTAGCACCAGGTGTCACCTAGAAAGGACAGAGGGGCCTGGCCTCCCCTCCCACAATGTGCCAAGTGGAGTTTGAGCTGGCCCACACTGCCCTCAAGCAGCTGAAGGGTACTGTGTGCGATCAGGAGAAAACTGCTGGTGTACAGCTTCTGCAAACAGCCCACCCAGAGCGACTGCAACATCCCTGCCCCTTCAGCCTCAGATGTGAAAGCCAAGGCCAAGTAGGAGGCATGGAATGTGAACAAAGGGATGTCTAAGATGGACACCATGAGGATCTATGTTGCCAAAGTAGAAAAGCTGAAGAAGAATGAGGCTGGCTAAGGACACATTAGCAAACACAAGGAAAGCAGCATGGCTCCTCTGGTACAGAATGCTCTTCCTTAAAAACCTTGATGGCTGAAATGTCCTGAAACCAAAGCAAGTTTAGCTGAGACATCAATAAATCACTTAAACTGCATGAGAGTGACTGTCTGCTGCTGGAAAAGAGAAACACAGTGACTGTGAGTGCTCGGGAGGTGTCCAAATGTACAAACTGGTTTTTTGTATGGTTTTGAGTGGAGTTCCCAGCTTTCCTATTATAAGAGTTAGGTAGGCATTTGGCAGGAGTAGAGGGGTTAGGGGGAAAATGTGCTATGGAAATGCCCAAGGGCTGAGGTCAGTGAGACCATTCTCCAGTGACAGCCTCTTGGGAGGCTGAGGCTCCAACCCTTTACCTCTTCAGGGTTGATTCACTAATAACCCAGCACTATAAGGGGAAAGGGACTCTGTCCTCCAAAAAGCTGAAGTCAAGTCCAAAAGGCCCCATTGGCACACAGGCCCTAAGAAGTTAATGTTTTTAGGGAGACCAAGTTTTTAGTGATAATGTGGTGAAACAATTGATGCAGCACAATACAGCAGATGAGAAACAATGGAGCACATAGTGTCAAAATACCAGCCTCAGAAAGACGCATCTATGGCCTAGCAACCAAAATTTTCTTGAGGTTATTCTGCCCCTAACTCTGGTTTCTGCTTGGGGATGTTTGTGGAACAATATGCATATGTATGTATATGTGGGATTTGTTACAAGAACACAACATACCCCTCGACCTATGCAAGAGCCAGAGTGTCTAAGCCCAACTTCTACTCCTCACTGTTAGTTATCGTGGAGGCATCATTGCACAACCAATATGCCTGGTGGCTGGAGTATAGACTGCTAAATGGTATTCAGCGAAGCAGGTCTATAGTGACATGAGATTTCCTGGTACTTCTTCCTTAATTAAAAATTATATTCATAGATCATGACATCAGGTCAGTTCCAGTTCTTGCTGGGAACAATAATAGAAACAACAACCGTAAAGACTTCAGAGAACAGACCGGGCGTGGTGGCTTATGCCTGTAATCCTAGCACTTTGGGAGGCCAAGGTGGATGGATCACGAGGTCAGGAGATTGAGACCATCCTGGCTAACATGGTGAAACCCCGTCTCTACTAAAAATGCAAAAAAAAAAAATTAGCTGGGCCTGGTGGCACGTGCCTGTACTCCCAGCTACTTGGGAGGCTGGGGCAGGAGAATCGCTTGAAGCCAGAAGGCAGAGGTTGCAGTAAGCCGAGATCATGCCACTGGCCTCCAGCCTGGGCGACAAAGTGAGACTCCATCTCCAAAAAAAAAAAAAAAAAAAAGACTTCAGAGAACAAAGGCAACCAAACCTCACCATGTATCTTCAAGATATTCTGTTCACATATACATATTTGCAGGGAGTTAATATAGACAAAGTACATTACTTAAGAATGAAGCCTACCCAGGGCATCACAACAACTAAAGAACTATTTCTTGTAACTATAGACTGGGCAAGAGCCACAGTGTAGAACAGCAGTGCTGTTCTGTCTTCCTTGTAGGATGTTATGAAGACATTTTGATGCTTTTAGGATCATGATTCATGTTAAATGTAAATAGTAGAAATAATAATACATTTTGCTCCAAAATATGGTAACAACTTACAAGCTGTAATACATAGCCATACCACTCTTCAAATCATAGAACCTAAAAAGTAAAAATGTGCTGTAATTAGGACAGTAAAAAGTAACTGTAAGATAGATTAAGTTTAAAAAAGGAGAAACAATAGGATTTATATATGTGTATTTCCTTATGACGTCGTTACCTATAGGATGCAGGGGAAATGGGACTGATGCAGATGGGGTAGGAGCAAGATTTTTCTATGGTTACTGTGAAAAGAAAAGAAAATCTCAGGACTCACTAATGAAAAAAATTATACCATTCTGGCATATTAACTATTTAAGTTAATAGAGCACTTGAAAAGCAGCAGGTGAAAAAAAGATCGCTATGACATTCATGCTGGTTCCTAAGGCAAGAAATGAAATTCCTATATAAAAGATGCAACATTCTTACCATGGAGGACAAAAAGCTGAGGCCAAAGGAATTGTGTACAAACAAACCTAGTTACACCAACGCTTATCTTCCTGGCTACTTACCTACACAATTAGCTATCCTAGCCTAATCCCCTTTGCCTTATCACATTTTCCCAACTTACTGTTCTTTGTCCAATTCAGTATTTAAGTAATTGACTCTAACAGCTTCTTCAGTTCTTCATTTCTTTATGAAGGCTCCCATGCCACATAAAACTTATATTGAATAAATGTGCATGCTTTTCTCCCGTTAATCTAACTTATATCAGTTTAGTTATTGGGCCCAGTCAGGACCCTAAGAGAATGTAGGTGAAGTTTCACCATCTCTACATTAGTAAAGACTATCAAATTTACAACTAAGACTTTATTTTAAAACATACTAATTGGCCAGGCATGGTGGCTCACGCCTGTAATTCCAGCACATTGGGAGGCCGAGGTGAGCAGATCACCTGAGGTCAGGTGTTCAAGAACAGCCTGGCCAACATGGCGAAACCCCATTTCTACTAAAAATACAAAAATTAGTTGGGCATGTGGTGCGCACCTGTAGTCCCAACTACTCATGGAGGCTGAGGCAGGAGAATTGCTTGAACCCAGGAGGTGGAGGTTGCAGTGAGCCAAGATCGCACCACTGCACTCTAGGCTGGGTGACAGCATGAGACTCTCTATGAAAAAAAGAAAAAAAGAAACAGAAAGAAAGAAAATACTAATTAATTAATTATATTATTTAAATATATATATATATATATATACAAACAGACATATAGACCAATTGAAGAAATACAGAGCCAAGAAATAAACCTTAGAGTATATGGTCAAATTATTTTTGATGAGGGTGCCAAGACCATTAAATGGGGAGGGAAAGGGCAGTCTTTTCAACATATGCTGCTGCTGGGAAAACTGGATATCCACATGCAAAAGAATGAAGTTGGACCCTTACCTTATGCCATATACAAAAATAACTCAAAAGTGATCAAAGACCCAAACATAAGACCTGAAAATATAAAACTATTAGAAGAAAACACAAGGAAAGCTTCTTTACATTTGATTTGGTGATGATTTCTTGGATATAAAGCCCAGCAACAAAAGTAAAAACAGATAAACTGGACTCCAAATCAAAAACTTCTGTGCATCAAAGGACACTACCAGCAGATTGAAAAAGCAGTCTATGAAATGGAAGAAAACATTTGCAAGTCATATCTGATAAGGGCTTAATATCTAGACTATATAAAGAACTCCTACAACTCACACAAAAAATAGCAAAATATTTTTAAATGGGCAAAGAACTTGAACAGACATTTCTCCAAGGAAGATATACAAATGGCCAATGAGCACATGAAATAATGCTCAACATTGCTAATGTAGTCGCCAGTGGAAATGAAAATCAAAACCACAATCACATACTACTTTACATACCTTAGGATGGCTATTACATTATAAAAGAAAGAAAGAAAATAACAAGTGTTACCAGGGATGTAGAACATTTATACACTGTTGGTAGAAAGTTAAAATTGCACAGCCATTACAGAAAACAGTACGTTCATTCCTCAAAAAATTGAAAATACAAAGATCATATGATCCAACAATTCCACTTCCAGTATATACCCAAAAGAATTTTAAGCAGTGACTCAAATAGATATTTGTACACCCATGTTAATAACAGTATTGTTATTCACAATGGCCAAAAGGCAAAAAGAACCCAAATGTCCACCGACAGATACATAAACAAAATGTGGTGCTTATGTATGTCTGTACACACACACACACACACACACACACACACAATAGAACATTGAGCCTAAAAAAGGACGTAAATTGTGACACATGCTACAACATACATGAACCTTGAATATATTATGCTAAGTGAAATAAGTTAGTCACAAAAAGACAAATATTTTATGATTCCACCTATATGAGGTATCCAAAATAGTCAAATTCATAAAAACAAAAATAGAATGGTAGTTGCCAGGGGATGAGGGGAGAGGAAAATTGTGAGTTGTTATTTAATTGATAGAGAGTTCCAGTTTTGCAAGATAAAAAAAGTTCTGGAGGTTGGCTGCACAGCAGTGTGAATATACATAGCCCACTAAGCTGTACACTTAAAATGGGTAAGATGGTAAATTATATGTTATGTGTATTTATCACAATTTTGAGAAATATATATGTAACATAGTTTTTCCTTAATATGACTTTGAAGACTGAAATTCACTGAGATCTGCTATCTCCTAAAATAACTCCAAAAAAGCTGACTTTCAGAAGTAGCAAGATTTTGCTAAGAATATTTCTATATTTTAATAATCTACAACTATAACCCTAGTTACATAACTACCAATTTGCTTTTTTAAAAAAAATCATGGAAGAAAATCCAAAAGAATTCACAAGAAATCTGGAATAAGCAATTATAGCAAGATTGCAGGATACAAAGCTAATATACAAAGGTCAATTGCTTTCCTATATACCAGCAATGAACAAGTGCAATTTGAAATAAAAAACACGATACCATTTACATAAGCACCAAAAAACTGAAATACTTAGGTATAAATCTAACAAAATATTTAGAAGATCTATATGAGGAAAACTATAAATAAATTGGAAGATATTCCATATTCATAGATAGGAAGACTTAATATTATCAAGACATCAGTTTTTCCAACTTGATCTATAAATTCAATGCCATCCCAATCAAAATCCCAACAAGTTATTTTGTAAACATGAACAAACCAATTCTAATGTTTATATGCAGAGGCAAAAGACTCAGAATAGCCAATACAATATTGAAGGGGCATAAAGTTAGAGGACTGACACTACTCAACTTAAAGACTTACTGTAACACTACAATAATCAAGACAGTGTGGTACTGGTGAAGGACAAATAGGTCAATGGAATAGAATAGAGAGCACAGAAACGGAGCCACTAAATACAGTCACCTAATCTTTGACAAAGGAGCAAAGGCAATACATTGTAAAAAAAAAAAAAAAAAAAAAAAAAAATATATATATATATATATATATAGCCTTTCCAATAAATGATGTTGGAACAATGGACACCCACATGCAAAAGATGAATCTGGGCCGGGTGCAGTGGCTCACGCCTGTAATCCCAGCACTTTGGGAGACCGAGGTGGGCGGATCACCTGAGGTCAGGAGTTCGAGACCAGCCTGGCCAACATGGTGAAACCCCATCTCTACTAAAAAAGATACAAAAATTAGCTGGGCGTGGTGGCAGGCGCCTTAATCCCAGCTACTTGGGAGGCAGAGGCAGGAGAATCATTTGAACCCAGGAGGCGGAGGTTGCAGTGAGCTGAGATCAAGCCATTGCACTCAAACTTGGGGGACAAGAACGAGATTTCTCTTATTAAAAAAAAAAAAAAGATAAATTTAGAGGAAGACCTTCACAAAAATTAACTCAAAATGTATCACAAGCCTTAATGTAGAATACAAAACTATAAAACTCCTAGAAGATAACAGGAGAAAATCTAGATGACCTTAGATTTGGTGATGACTTTTTAGATGTGACACTGAAGACATGATTTATAAAAGAAAAGAGTCAATTAGCTGGATTTCATTAAAATTAAACATTTCTGCTCTACAAAAGACACTGCCAAGAGAATGAAAACATGGTCACAGACTAGGAGAAAATATTTGCAAAAGACCTATCTCATAAAGGACTATTATCCAAAATATACAAAGAATTCCCAAAACTCAAAAATAAGAAAACAACCCAATTAAAAAATGGACCACCATCCTGGCTAACACGGTGAAACGCCGTCTCTACTAAAAATACAAAAAATTAGCTGGGCGTGGTGGCGGGCACCTGTAGTCCCAGCTACTCAGGAGGCTGAGGCAGGAGAATGGCGTGAACCCGGGAGGCGGAGCTGGCAGTGAGCTGAGACCGCACCACTATACTCCAGCCTGGGCGACAGAGCGAGACTCCATCTCAAAAAAAAGAAAAAAAAAAAAAGAAAAGGACCAAAGACCTTAACAGACTTCTCACCAAAGAAGACATAGAGATGCAAAAAAAAGCATATGAAAAGATGCTCCACATCATATGTCATGAGGGAAATGCAAATTAAAAAAAGAAGATAACCACTGCACACTTATTAGAATGGCCAAAATCCAGAACATTGATAGCACCAAATGCTAGCAGGGAGGTGGAACAAGAAATATCATTTATTGTACATGGGAACACAAAATGGTACAGGCAGTTTGGAAGAAAGTTTTGTGGTTTCTCAACAAAACTAGACATACTCTTACCATATATATCATTCAGCAATTGAGCTCCTTGGTATTTATCCAAAAGAGTGGAAAAATTATGTCCACACAAAAGCTGCACATGGATGTTTATCAAAGTTTTATTCATAAGTAACAAAACTTGGAAGCAATCAAGACGCCCTTCAGTAGGTGAATGGATAAACTGTAGTACATCCAAATAATGGAGTATTATTCAACACTAAAATAAATTAGCTATCAAGCCATGAAAAGACATGAAGAAACCTTAAATGCATAATACCAAGTGAAAGAAGTCAATCTGAAATGGCTACATAATGTATGATTCCATCAATATGACATTCTGGAAAAGGGGACTCTGGAAAACTATGAAGACAATAAAAAGATCAGTGGGTTCCAGGGGTTACAGGAAAAGGAGGGATGAACAGGTGGAGCACAGAGGATTCTTAGGGCAGTAAAACTATTTTATATGATACGATAGAGTAGATACAGCTCATCATACATTTGTCAAGACCCAGAGAATGTACAACATCAAGAGTAAACCCTAATATAAGCTATGGACTTTGGGTGATGATATATCAATGGAGAGTCATCATCTGTAACAAATACACCATTCTGGTGGGGGATGTTGATGGGGGGAAGCTATTGCATCTGTGGGGACAGTACATATATGGGAAATCTCTGTACCTTCCTCTCAACTTTGTTGTGAACTTAAAACTGCTCTAAAAAAATTAGGTCTTGCCAGGCGCGGTGGCTCATGCCTGTAATCCCAGCACTTTGGGAGGCCGAGGCTGGTGGATCACAAGGTCAGGAGTTCGAGACCAGCCTGGCCAATATGGTGAAACCCCATCTCTACTAAAAATACAAAAATTAGCTGGGTGTGACGGCATGTGCCTGTAGTCCCAGCTACTCGGGAGGCTGAGGCAGGAGGATCACTTGAACCTAGGAGGCGGAGGTTGCAGTGAGCCGAGATCATGCCACTGCACTCCACCCTGGGTGACAGAGCAAGACTCTTGTCTAAAAAAAAAATTAGGTCTTATAAAAAATAAGTCATGAAGTTTACTACTCAGGAGGCTGAGACAGGAGAATCGCTTGAACCCAGGAGGTGGAGGTTGCAGTGAGCCGAGATCATGCCACTGCACTCCAGCCTGGGTGACAGAGTGAGACTCCGTCTAAAAAAAAAAAAATTAGGTCTTGTAAAAAACAAGTCATGACGTTTAAAATACAATTCATTTTAAAAATCAGATTTTAACAATCTAGTTCAGTATTCTACTTTTATTCTCAACTTTTCGAAAAAAGCAGTATTCCTTTATCCTCTTACAATGGATTCTAACATAAATTACATAATATTGTTCATGTGTTATGTAAAAGTTTATTAATACTTTTAACTTTTTTTTTGAGACAGAGTCTTGCTTTGTCACTCAGGCTGGAGTGCAGTGGCACGACCACAGCTCACTGCAGCCTCACCTCCCAGGCTCACACAGTTCTCCCGGCTTAGCCTCCTGAGAAGCTGGGACTATAGGTGCATGCCACCACACCTGACTAATTTTTAATTTTTTTATAGAGACAGGGTCTCACTATGTTACCCAGGCTGGTCTTAAACTTCTGAACTCAAACTATCCTCCTGCCTCAGCCTCCCAAAGTGCTGGGATTACAGGCGTGAGCCACTGTGCCCACCTATTTATTTTCAACTTTTTAATTAATTTTTTATGTTAATATTTCTGCTCTATAGCTGAACTATTTACCTAAATATGATACATTTAAATTCTTTCATGCAACCTCCCGTTAGGACAAAAACACATTGCTTTACTTTATTTAAATTTCCTTTAACTATTAAATACACATTAATTTCAAACTATAATCCTCACTGCTATCTTTATTTTTCACACTCCCTTTTAACATTCATTTATATGCATATAATTTTACCTATTTCATTCAAAAACATATAAGCAAATGGAGTAATGTTCTCATAGTATTAACTATTTTGTTTAAATGCAAAAGTTTATCTGTACTTGTTTCATGAGAAAATTTAAGTTTAAAATAATGCAGAAACTTTTATATAAAAATACAAAATTATCCTCATTCAGTAACTTTAACACACTTTAAGCCTAATAAAGTGGGAAGAATCACAGAATATGTATATTGTTCTATTTCACCACATAAGCTATCAGAGATACCTTTTCCATGAATCCTTATGAAACTCTGAGAAAAATGCGTGATTATGAGGTTTATTTAAATTTAATTTGGAGAATTATACAATCAGTCAAGAAGCATACATTCTTCATTCTACATAAAATAATGAAATGGTTACTTATCCATTGAATTTTTTTGGTGAATTACAGTCATATTTCTATCAGGTCAAGTGACAATCTATGTTTGAGAGATTAATCTGACACAAGACAGTGAAGCTTAATCCTTCAATATATCATAATCTACTTACTCTGTATGCTAGAAGAATTTCAGATTTTAAAATTACACAGGAAGTAATGCTAAACATGTACATAGAACAAAAGCAATTTTCCTAAAATATTTAGTTTTAATATCTACATACCATGAATGGACTTATTTTAAAAGGTGAAATACAATGCTTATTTAATTTTATGGGGTAGAATTAAAATCATCATTTGATAACATTTTATAATTTTTTAAAACTTTTTAAAATTTTTGAGGGTACAGAGTAGATGTATATATTTACAGGGTACATGAGATGTTTTGATACAGGCATGCAATGTGAAATAAGCACATCATACAAATGGGGTATGTATCCCCTCAAGCATTTATTCTTTGAGTTACAAATAATCAAATTACATTATTTAGGTTATTTAAAAAATAAATTTAAGTTATTATTGACTATAGTCACCCAATTGTGCTATCAAATAGTAGGTCTTATTCATTCTTTCTATTTTTTTTTTTGTACCTATTAACCATCCCTACTTCCTCCCTAACCTCCTACTACGCTTCCCAGCATCTGGTAACCATCCTACTACTCTCTGTGTTCGTGAGTTCAATTGACATGATTTTTAGATCCCACAAATAAGTGAGAACATGCTGAAATCTTCAATCCAGAGATTTACTTAAGATAATTCTATCTAGACATCAATATGTTCTCATTTTGTGACCACTCTATGAAGCTACCATTACTGTGTTCACATAATTCACAAGTACAGTGGAAGACACTGAGACTTAAAAAAAAATCCTTTGCTTTATCTGTGATTATTCACATTACATATAAAAATTAAAATTATTCACAACATGTATCAGAGATGCCAATAATTTCTTCTTTGAGAATCTGTCCTGCTTATAACCCTGGAAGGAACAGATCCTTTGTACTATTTGACCCTGTTCCTTCACTCCCAACCCTGTCCCCAGAACATAAATGACTGAAGCAATTAGATACTCTTTCTTGGGGATTTGGAATTAGAACATGAACACTTAATTACGTGTGGGAGAGCCAGAAGTCATGTAGACTGTGGGTCTGAGGCTATCATTCTGAGATGGTCACGATGAGACCGTAACTAAGAACTTCCAAAAACATGACAACAAAGAAACAACCCCAAAACTCCTTATATTCCTTTTAAAATATCTAAGAGCTGCTGCTTTTTCAAGTGTGAGAAACCAGGGGAAAATGGCACCATTAAATAGATATTGTCTTCTACCTCTCAGCAATCTTCAGACAGTCACTAAAGCTATGAAACTTCCTCAGCTCAGAAAACTCTTTTTATTCTCATTCTTACAGAATGTTAACGTGAAGATTTAATCTGGGTATCTACCTTATTTACTTCTTTCAGTTTAGTGTGATTTTGTTTTTAAAATTCATTAATATTAGATTATTTTATTATATTATTTAAACATTGTATCACTTTATTATTCAATCTTTTACCTTCTGGTTTTAATTGGCTTATATTGATTAATCTTAGCATACATTATTGTCTTACCATTTTTGCTATCTTATCACTTTAAACTCATATTTTTATCCTCTTATGAATACTTAAGTTTGCATTCATTTCTTTTTATTTCTTTCATATGCAATAGATATCTTAAATTTGTTTATTGATAATTATACAAATGTATGGAGTACATATGATAGTTTTATACATGCATACAATGTGCAATGATCAAATCAGGGTAATTAGGATATCTATTACCTCAAACATTTATAATTTGTTTTGGGAACATCTCAAATCTTCTAACTTTTTTGAAATATACAGTTAGCAGAAGTGCCCCTTCTTCCTTTCTGATGTAGGCCTACTTGGTTGTTGTCGAAATGGGCAAGTTTGTGAAACCTGGGAGAGTGGTGCTGGTCCTGGCCTGATGCTACTCTGGACTCAAAGCCAACACATCATCATGTAGAACATCGATGACGGCACTTCAGATCACCCCTACAACCGTATCTCTGGTGTCTGGAATTGACCACTGTCCCTACAAAGTGACAGGTGCCATAGGCAAGAAGATCACCAAAAGGTCAAAGATCAAGTCTGTTGCGCAAATTTATAAATACAATCATTTCATGCCCACAAATACTCTGTGATATCCCCTTGGGCAAAACTGTCTTCAACAAGGATGGCTTCAGAGACCCTGCTCTTAAACACAAGGCCCAGTGGGATTATTGTTAACTATAGTCATGCTACTGTGCTATACAACCCTAGCACTTTTTCCTTCCATCTATTTTATACCCATTAACCAACCTTTCTTCCACTGCAACCCTTCCCAGCTCTAGAACCATCAGAGAACAGATATCTCTTAATCTTATTATTTTTCCTCTAAATTTAAGAATATATATTCATGATGGAACATTTGAAAAAATTACGTAAGTTATTAAAAAATAAAATAAAAAATGTGTGCTTCCTTTCATTGTCATTATAAATATATTTTTCTTATAAAACTAGGGTCACATAATATGTATAGTTTACCATCCTGTTTTTTGTAATGAGCATTTTGTAATTACACTTAAACATTTATCTGTTGATTAACATTTTAATCACTTTTCAGTTTAAGGTTTATATTAATACTAATGTCTTTTTGTTGTTTATATATACATATTTCTGGTTATTTCCTTAGGACAAACTGGAATGTTGTGTGAAAGAAAATAAGTATTTTTAAGAATTGTAAAATACATTACCACATTGTTTTCCACGAAGTTTTATAAATTCTGAGGAAACATGTTTGTATGTGGCATTTTTTAAACTGAATCCTCAATATATCGGTTTCATTTTTCTTTGTAAATTTGACAAGCTATTTTCATTGCACTTATTATATTGTGAACAATTTTTCAAATATGTCTCATTTTATTTTTTGAAAACTTTATATTCTACCTTCTAAAGTAGAAATATCTTTATTAATTTTTCTAAGTACAAAAATTATAGGTCTTCCGAGAGCTGGTTGGAAGGCAGAGTAAAACCACATCACAGTTTCTCTTTGTCAAAGCCTAACAAAAGCAATTTAAGAGTACTTTAAATGGCAAAAAAAAACAAACAGTAAAGGCTAAACGATATGCTATGAATCTTCAAAAAATAATAACTAAGGAAATGTGTGGGATGGCTATAATCTCTATCCCAAAGAAGAGGTTCTAAGAAAAGAAGCAGCTTCAGAAAAATCATGAGGCGAGTTGATTCAAGATGACTGACTAGATCCTACTAGTATGCACCTCATCCATGGAAAGGAACCAAATATCATATAGATACTTACAGTTAGAATAGATCCTCTAGGAGAAAACACTGGAATTCAACCGAGAAGTTCTAGGAAGCACCGAAAGCAAGGAAAGGACAGAAATGAGGCAGCCTCCTTGGCCAAGATGCACTGGAAGCCAGGAGAAGCTCTGTGACACAGAGAAAAGGTAAGTCAGAGACCCCAAGGGTCCACACTCCTGCCACAAACTCTTACAATCCTAGCTAGAGGAGAGCCCCTTGACACTCATGGGCCTTGAGACTCACATAGGGAGCTGCCTAAAGATTGTGCAGAGGCATTGCTACAGAGAGGGAGCTGACACTGTGACCCACAGGCCCCTAAGCCTTGAGTAGCTACCACAAGGCACCATTCTGAGACCCTAGTCCCGAAAGGACTGTGTCCTGCCCTGGAGCCGATGCTACTGCTGCTACTCCCAGGCCAAGGAGGGAGAGGGGAGGCTGAGCACTTTCATGTGCCCCAAAGACAAATCCGATGACTGCTGCTGCTGCAAGCTGTTGCAGGACTGAAGTGCAAGAAAATCATACACTCCAGAACTGTCTGCGTTTGCTGCTCCCACTGAGAGTGGCCCCACTTTCCCCAGTGGCAGGCTTCTGCAGCACAGTTGCCACTGTCCCTATCTGAGCATTTTTCCAGTGGCCTAGAGACAACTCCACCCCTATTATCATAGCTAGTGCCTAAACACACTACCAGGGACCTGATAACAAGTCTGCTGGACCAGTGTGTCCCCCTAACACTTGAGCATGCTGTCCAGGTGCCTAAAAATTGCCCAACCCAGCCCATCACTGTTGACATCTGAGCACTCCTCCTGAGGTCTGAGATCAGGCTGATGCAACTGGTCAATACCACCACAGCTGGCACCCAAACACATATGCCACCTGTGGATCAGAGGATTGGTCTTCCCAACCCATTGCAGCCACCACCAACAGCAGCTTGAACCACTTGGGTTCCAGTGATTTGCCCCACCACTGCCACTACCATCACCCACATCACACCTGCTGCCCAGGAGCCCAAGAACATCCCCACATGCCTGGCCTACCACTGCCAGTGCCAGCATCCAAGCAAACCACCTGGAGGCCCAGGAACCAGCCATCTGGACCCACTAATGCTAGAATCAGCATACACCACTCCAGGGCTCGAGGATAATCACTTCAGTCTACCACTGCCACCCCTGGGGCCCAAAGACTGGCCTACCTGGCATCCCAGTCCTGAGCAAAACTTCAGCACAACCTCCACTAATAATTGCACCTAAGCTACACAGAAGTCACAGGTACCACTAACACTGTTTATAGCCAAAGAAACCATACAGGAACTACACTACTGCATGCACCTGAATCAACACCAAAGTGCCCTACCCAACCAAGGTCATAGATACATCTTCAGGAAAAAGTCCTCCACTACAAAGGCAAATTCAAAAATGTGGAAGAAGCAACAGTTACACCAGATGTACAGATATCAATAAAAGAACATAAGAATCACAAAAAGCAAAGAAATATGACACCCCCAAAGAAACACAATAATTCTCTAGCAACAGATACCAATTAAAAAGAAATTCGTTAAACCTTAGACAAAGAATTCAAAATGCTCATTTAGAGAGGCTCGATGAGATACAAGAAAATTCTGAAAAACAATACAAAGAAATTCGAAAAACAATTCAGGATATGCATGAGAAATCTACCAGATAGATATTTTTTAAAAGGATCAAACAAATTCTGGAATGGAGAATTAATTGAAATACAAAATACATTCAAAAGCTTCAACAATAGACTAGTTTAAGCAGAAGAAAGAATCTCAGAACTTGAAGACGGGTTTTTTGAAATAGTCCAATGAGAGAAAAATAAAGAAAAAATAAGGATTTAAAGGAATAAGCAAAGCCT
Source organism: Homo sapiens (assembly GCF_000001405.40). Classification (NCBI taxonomy): domain Eukaryota; kingdom Metazoa; phylum Chordata; class Mammalia; order Primates; family Hominidae; genus Homo; species Homo sapiens. Next base: position 63,105,134 of record NC_000002.12, on the reverse strand, counting down.
TTGTGACATCTGGGACAACATAAAGCAACCAAATATTTGAATGACTGGTGTCCCCAAGGGCAAAGGGAGAATGAAAGGCCTAGAAAACCTATTTGACAAAATAATTGATAAAAACTTCCCAAGTCTGGCAGGAGACTGACATGCAGATCCAGGAAGTTCAGAGATTCCCCCAACAGATAAAATGCAAAAAGGCTTACTCCACAGCACGTTATAATCAAAATGTCTAAAGTCAAAGACAAAGACAGGATTCTAAAAACAGAAAGAGGCAAGTATCGATATATCTATAAAGGAAACCCCATCACTGGATTTCTCAGCTAAAACCTTACACCCCAGAGGAGAATGGAATGACATATTCAACAAGCTGAAAGAAAGAAACTGCCAAGCAAGGATACTATATCCACCAAAATAAGCCTTCATAAATGAAGAAATAAGGTCTTTCCCAGACAAGCAAACACTAAGGGAATTCATCACCCCTGGGCCAGATCTATAAAAAATGCTCAAGGAAGTCCTAAACCTGGAAATGAAAGGATGACATTTATCATCAAGAAAACACATGAAACTATAAAACTCACTCATAAACCAAATACAAATAAAGAAGAGAAAGGACTCAAAAGGTATCACTATAGAAAACTATCAAACTACAATAACCAGCAATAACAGAAAAAGAAAAAAAACACAAAGAATACAGAAAACCACAAGAAAACAATTAACAAGAACAAATAAAAAACCTCACATGTCAATAATAACCTTGAATGTAAACAGATTAAATTCTCCACTTAAAAGATAGAGACTGGCTGAATGGATAAAGAAACAGGGACCAACTATATGCTGCCTACAGGAAATGCACTTCCCCTGTAAAGACAAATATAGACTCAAAGCAAAGGAATGGAAAAAAATATTCCGTATACACAGAAACCAGAAGCAAGCAGAAGAATCTATACTTACATCAGAGAAAACAGACTTCGAGTCAAACACATTTTTAAAAGATGTAGAATGTCATTATATGATGATAAAGGTATCAATCCCACAAGAGGATATAATAATTCTAGACATATGTGCACCCAATACTGCAGCACAGATTCATAAAGCAATATTACTAGATCTAAAGAGAGAGATAGACTCCAATTTAATAATAGTAAGGAACTTCAACACTCTATTCTCAGCATTAGTCAGATCATGTACACAGAAAATCAACAAAGAAGCATTCAATTTAAACTGGACTTTAGACCAAATGGTCCTAAAGACATTTACAGAACATTTTATCAAACAACTGCTGAATATACATTCTTCTTATCAGCACATGGAACAGTCTCTAAGATATGTTAGGCCACAAAAGAAGTCAACATTTTTAAAAAATCTAAATGATATCAAGTGCCTTCTCAGACCACAATAAAATAAAAGTAGAAATCAACACCAAGAGGAACTTTGGAAACTATGCAAATATGTGGAAAATTAAACAACATGCTCCTGAACAACCATTGGGTTACAGCAAAGAGGGAATTTTATTACAATACCTACATCAAAAAGGTAGAAACATTTCAAAAAAAACCAGCCTAACAATACAATTAAAGGAACTAGAAAACCAAGAACAAGCCAATCCCCAAATTGGCAGAAAGAAAGAATAAAGATCAAAGCAGAACTAAACAAAATAGAGACTAAGAAAACAATACAAAGGAGCAACAAAATGAAAAGCTGGTTCTTCAAAAAGATAAACAAAATTGCTAAACTGCTAGTTAGACTAACCAAGAAAAAAAAAGAGAGAAGACTCAAATAAACAAAATCAGAAAAATGAAACAGTACAACTGATACCACAGAAATACAAAAGATCACAGACTATTATATACAACTCTACACTAACAAACTGAAAAACCTAGAGGAAATGAATAGATTGCTGAAAATATACATGCTACCAAGACTGAATCAAGAAGAAATAGAAAACCTGAGCAGGCTGGGTGTGCTGGCTCATGCCTGTAATCCTAGCACTTTGGGAGACCAACAGGGGCAGATCACTTGATGCCAGAGGTTTGAGATCAGCCTGACCAACATGGTGAAACCTCATTTCTACTAAAAATACAAAAATTAGCATGCATGTTGGTACATGCCTGTAATCCCAGCAACTCAGGAGGCTGAGGCAGGAGAATTGCTTGAACCTGGGAGGCAGAGGTTGAGTGAGCCGAGATCATACCATTGCACTCCAGCCTGGTTGACAGAGTGAGACTCCATCTCAAAAAAAACAACAACAACAAAAATCAAAAACCTGAGCAGACCAGTAATGAGTGTCAAGATTGAATTAGTAATAAAAAGTCTCCAAAGAAAAGCCCAGGACTGGATATACTCACAGTCAAATTCTATTACTGTAGAAAGAAGAATTAATACCTATCTTCCTGAAACTATCCTAGAACACTGAAGAGGAAGCTCTCCCTAACTCGTTCTAAGAGGCCAACATCACCCTGATACTAAAACCAGACAATAACACAATAAAAAAGGAAAATGACAGGCCAATATCCCTGATGAACATAGATATAAAAATCCTCAACAACATTGTAACAAACTGAATCCAGCAACCCAGCAAAAAGGCAATAGACCATGACCAAGTGGGATTTATACCAGTGATGCAAGGATGGTTCAAGATATGCAAACGTCAATAAATGTGACATATCACATCAACAGAATGAAGGAAAAAAAAATATGATCATCTTAATAGATGCAGAAAAAAGGCATTTGATAAAATTCAACATCCCTTCATGGTAAAAACTCTCAACAAACTAGGAATAGAAGAAACATACCTCAAAATAATAAAGACCAAGTATAACAAACACATTGCTAACATCATACTGAACGGGAAAAAAGCTAAAAGCCTTTTCTCCAAGATCTAGAAAAAGACGAGGCTGTCCACTTTTACCACTTCTATTCAATGTCATAATGTAAGTCCTAGCCAGAGCAACCAGGCAAGAGAAAGAAATAAAAGGCATCCAGATTGGAAAAGAGGAAGTCAAATTGTACTCCTTTACTGATATGATCCTATATTTAGAAAAACCTAAAGATTCCACCAAAAACTTCCTGGATTAGATTAATAAATTCAATAATTGTATGCAAAATCTGCATAAAAAAATCAGTAGTTTCCATATACCAATAATCAACTAGCTGAGAAAGCAATCAAGAAAGCAATCCCATTTAAAATAGTTACAAAAAAAAAAATCTAGTAATGCTTCTAACCAAGGAGGTGAAATATGTATACCAGGAAAACAACAAAACATTAATGAAATAAATTGAAGAGTACACACACAAACAAATGGAAAGACATCCCATGCTCATGGACTGGAAGAATTAATCTCATTAAAATGACTAAACTGCCCAAAGCAATCTATAGATTCAATATAATCCCTATCAAAATACCAATGTCTTTTTTATAGAATTAAAAAAAAATCCTAAAATTCATATGGAACAAGAAAGGAGCATGAATAGCCAAAGCAATCCTGAGCAAACAAAGTGAGAGGCATCACATTGCCTGACTTCAAAATATATTAAAAGGCTATAGTAACCAAAACAGCATGGTATTGGTATAAAATCAGACATACAGACCAATGAAACAGAAGAGGGAACCAAGAAATAAATCCACATGTTTACAGCCAACTAATTTTCAATGAAGGCACCAAGAACATATATTGGGGAAAGAACACGATCTTGAATAAATGGTGCTGGGAAAACTGAATATCTATACACACAGGAATGAAACTGGACCCTTCTCTACGTGTAAAATCAACTCAAGATTAATTAAAGACTTAAATATAAGACCCCAAGCCATAAAACTACTGGAAGAAGACATAGGGGAAACACTTAAGGACAATTGGTAGGCAGATTTTATGCCTAAGACCTCAAAAGCACAGACAATAAAAACAAAAATAGACAAATGGGACTATATTAAACCAAAAAGCTCCTGCACAGCAAAGGAAACAATCAACAGAGTGAAGAGGCAACTTGTTGAATGGGAGAAAATATTTGCAAATTATTCACCTAATAAACTAACATCCAGAATATACAAGAAATTCAAACAACAGGAAAAAAAATCCCCTGAAACAATGGGCAAAGGATCTGAATAGACATTTGTTAAAAGAAGACAAACAAATGGCTAAGAAGTTTATGAAGATAAAAGTTCAACATCACTAATTATCAGGGAAATGCAAATGAGAACTTCAGTGAGAGATCATCTTACCCCAGTTAGAATGGCTGTTATTAAAAAGACAAAAAATAACAGATGCTGGTGAGGGTGCTGAGAAAAGGGAATTCTTATACACAGTTGGTGGGAATGTAAATTAGTAAAACCACTATGAAAACCAGTATGGACATTTTTTAGAAAACTAAAAACAGAACTACCCTATGATCTGGCAATCCCACTAATGGATATTTATCCAAGGAAAAGAAATCTGTATATCAAAAGGATACCTGCACTGGCATATTATATGGCACCATTATATGGAACCAACCTAAGTGTCTATCAACAGATAAATGAATAAAGGAAATGGTGGTATATATACACAATGGAATACTAGTCAGCCCGAAGAATGAATTCCTGTCATTTGCAACAACATAAATGGAACTGGAGGACATTATGTTAAGGGAAATAAGCCAGACACACAAACTCTCAGGCACATCATTTAAAATACAGGCAGTGCTAACTATCCCCAACAATAAACAGGAATTTAGCAAAACCAAACACCAAACACACAAAGACAGATAATGTGTTCTCACTCATATGTAGGAGCTAAAAATGTTGGTCCCACAGAGGTAGTGAATAGAATGATAGATACCAGAGAGTGGGGTGAGTGTGGGTGGGAGAGTGGCATAAAGAGAGGTTGGTTAGTAGGTACAAACATACAGTTAGATAGAAGAAATAAGCTCCAATATTTAATAGCAGAGTAGGGTGACTATAGTTAGCAACAATATATTGCATATTTCAAAGTAGCTAGAAGAGCAGATGTGAAATGTTCCCAACACTTAGAAATGATAAATACCCAAGGTGATGGATACCCCAAATACCCTGGCTTGATCATTATAGTCTATACATGTAAAAATACTCATATGTATCCCATAAATATGTAAAATATTTTATTGCTGCACATTATAATTAATTAAATTTATTTATTTTGGTAACAAAAATAAAAATTATGAGGTTTCTCACTGGTGCCCCAATTTGGAAAAAAGCAGACTGAGGAAATGAATAAGTGAGTAAGTGGCTCATGGAAAAGAAACCAAAACTATCTTTTTATTTATATTTATTTATTTATTTATTTATTTATTTATTTTGAGACAGAGTCTCACTCTGTAGCCCAGGCTGGAGGGCAGTGGTGCAATCTGGGCTCGCTGCAACCTCCGCCTCCCAGGTTCAAGCAATACTCTTGCCTCAGCCTCCCAAGTAGCTGGGACTACAAGCATGCACCACCACACCCAGCTTATTTTTGTAGTTTTAGTAGAGACAGGGTTTCACCATGTTGGCCAGGCTGGTCTCAAACTCCTGACCTCAAGTGATCCACTCACCTTGGCTTCCCAAAGTGCTGGGATTACAGGCGTGAGCCACCACACCCAGATGAAAATATTTTTAGAGTAGACAAACTCTACATAAAAAAGCTAGATTCTAGCGAGGAAATGAGGTACTCTCAGACGCATCATTTAAAATACAGGCTATTTTACCCAACATTAAATAGGAATTTACCCAACCAACTATACCCAACATTAAATAGGAATTTACCAAAACCAAACACAAAAGGAATGTGAATTGTTATAAACTATAAGTATTGAGATGGAAATGAGTAAGTAAAATGGGGTAGGATGTTTTTCCCTAATGGAAGAAAAGGCACTAGAGTTACATAACACATTGGAGGAAAACATGTCAACCCTGAGCACATCCCACACAGGAAAAGGATACCCACTCATCAGGAGGAATGAACCCTGGTCAAGGACACTTAATAAAACCTGAAAGAGGAAACAAAACCCATGTCCTTTACAAAAACTTGCAAAACCTCAGCTGAATAACTCTCCCTACTCCCCTCACATTCCCAACTTTACGAGTACAGAAAGCAGGTACAAGGCATTATCCAACCACCAAACTGTAGCTCAGAAAAGACAAACTGGTCACAGAGAAGTCTAGAAAAATTCATCCATATTGCAGTAGAGCAAATAGAAAGTTGGGGTAAGGACCCAGACCTTAAGAATGAACAAGATAAGGCCGGGCGCAGTGGCTCACGCCTGTAATCCCAGCACTGTGGGAGGCTGAGGTGGGCAGATCACGAGGTCAGGAGATCAAGACTATCCTGTGAATGGTGAAACCCTGTCTCTGCTAAAAATACAAAAAATTAGCTGAGCGTGGTGGTAGGTGCCTGTAGTCCCAGCTACTCAGGAGGCTGAGGCAGGAGAATGGCATGAACCCAGGAGGCGGAGCTTACAGTGAGCCGAGATCGCGCCACTGCACTCCAGCCTGGGCAACAGAGCGAGACTCTGTCTCAGAAAAAAAAAAAAAAAAAAAAAAAAAGAATGAACAAGATAAAAGGAATAGCAAATCAACTAGAAAATCATACAGTAGCATAATGAAAAGAAGAAAACTGTCTATATGGAAAATCCAAAGACAGAAGCTTAGATTATTGAGTTGAGTTGTTTTTTTTTTTTTTTTGGAGATGGAGTCTTGCTCTGGAGTCTCGCTCTGTTGCCCAGGCTGGAGTGCAGTGGTGCGATCTCAGCTCACTGCAACCTCCGCCTCCCGGGTTCAAGCAATTCCTCTGCCTCAGCCTCCCGAGTAGCTGGGATTACAGGTGCGCACCACCACACCCTGCTAATTTTTGTATTTTTACTAGAAACGGGGATTCACCATGTTGGTCAGGATGGTCTCGAACTCCTGACCTCATGATCCACCCACCTCGGCCTCCCAAAGTGCTAGGATTACAGGCATGAGCCACCACGCCCAGCCAAGTTGTTCTTTTCTAAGTGTTACAGGAAAGGCATCTGGATCCAGACCCCAAGAGAGGGTTCTTGGATCTTGTGCAAGAAAGAATTCAGGGAGAGTCCATAGAGCAAAGTGAAAGCAAGTTTATTAAGAAAGTAAAGGAATAAAAGAATAGCTATTCCATAGACAAAGCAGCCTGAGGGCTGCTGGTTGCCCATTTTTATGGTTATTTCTTGATTATACGCTAAACAAGGGGTGGACTATTCATGCCTCTCCTTTTAGACCATATAGGGTAACTTCCTGATGTTGCCATGGCATCTGTAAACTGTCATGGTACTGGTGGGAGTGTGGCAGTGAGGACAACCAGAGGTTACTCTCATCACCATCTTGGTTTTGGAGGGGTTTGCTGGCTTCTTTACTGCAACCTGTTTTATCAGCAATGTCTTTATGACCTATATATTGTGCCAACCTCCTATCTTATCCTGTAACTTAGAGTGCCTTAACCATCCGGGAATGCAACCCAGTAGGTCTCAGCCTCATTTTACCCAGCTCCTATTCAAGATGGAGTTGCTCCGGTTTAAACGCCTCTAACATAAGCGTTTAATTCTATTAATTTCCCTCTATTTTTAGGCCAGGCACAGTGGCTCATGACTGTAATCTCAGCATTTTGGGAAGTCAAGGTGGGCAGATCACCTGAGGTCAGGAGTTTCGAGACTAGCCTGCCCAACATGGTGAAACCCCGTCTCCACTAAAAATACAAAAATTAGTCAGGCATTGTGGTGGTGCGTGCCTGTAGTCCCACCTACTTGGGAGGCTGAGGTACCAGAATCACTTGAACCTGGGAGGCAAAGGTTGCAGTGAGCTGAGATCATGCCACTGCACTCCAGCCTGGGAGACAGAGTGAGACTCTGTCTCAAAAATAAAAATAGAAATAAAAATAATAAATTTCTGTCTATTTTTAGTGCTATAAATTTCCCTGTATTCTGTATCCCACAAATTATGTTATGTTGTATTTTCATTTAATTCAAACTATGTCAATTTCTCATGAGATGTCTTTGACCCATGAGTTATTTAGAACTATGTTGTTTACTTTCTAAATATTTTCAGACTTTCTAGATATCTTTTTTTGATATTTTTCTAGTTTAAATCCATTACTGCCAGAGAACAGACTTTGCAGGATTTCAATGTTTTTAAATGTGTTAAGGTTTGTTTTATGAACCAGAATATTGTTTATTTTGGTCAGGGGAGTGCAAACTACGGCCTTTGCACCAAACCCAGCCGCTGACAATTTTTGTATGGCCCATGTACTAGGGATTATATTTATATTTTAAATGACTGAAAATATCAAAAGAAGAATATTTCATGATGTGAAAATTACATGAAATTCAAATGTCAGTGTCAATGTATAAACTTTTATTGGAACATAGTCACACCCATTTATTTATGAATTATCTAAGGCTGAGTTTGCACTACAATGACAGAACTGAGTAGTTGTGACACAGACCACACGGCTCACAATGCTTAAAATATTTACTATCTGGCACTTTACACAAAATATTTGCTGACCCCTTATCTTGGTATGTTCCATGAGTATTTGAAAAGAATATATATTTGGCTCTCTTGGGTGATATGTTCTTTAAATTCAATTAGATCTAGTTGATTGATGATGTTATTCAATTGTTGATCTTCTCTTTTTTTTTTTTTTTTTTTTTTTGAGGCAGACTCTCACTCTGTCACCCAGGCTGGAGTGCAGTGGTATGATCTTGGCTCATTGCAACCTCTGCCTCCCAGATTCAAGCAATTCCCCTGCCTCAGCCTCCCGAGTAGCCGAGACTACAGGCATGTACCACCACACCTGGCTAATTTTTGTACTTTTAGTAGAGACGGGGTTTCACCATGTTGGCCAGGCTGGTCTCGAACTCCTGACTTCAAGTGATCTGCCCACCTCGGCCTCCCAAAGTGCTGGGATGACAGGTGTGAGACACCATGCCCGGCCTCTCTCTTCTTTCTTCATCACTTAGGATAGTGATTGGAGTGGATAGGAAAGGAGTCTTGAAGTCTCCACCTACAAGTGGATTTTCCCATTTCTCCTTTCTACCAGTTTTTGCTCCATGAATTTCAAAGCACTGTTGTTAGGCACACAGTTGTTTTAAATTGGTAGAGTCTTCTTGGCAAATAGACCCCTTTATCAGTACGTAATGCACCTACTAATTTTCCTTGTACTGAAATCTATTTGGTGAGGTATCATCCAAGTATCTTTTGATTAGTATTTGCAAGGTATATCTTTTTCCATCCTCTTGTTTTAATCTGTCTGTATCATTGTATTTAAAGTGGGTTTCTTGTATAGACAGATATTGTGGGGTCTTTTTATTATTATTATTGAATCTGACAATTGCTGTATTTTAGTTCTTGTATTTAGACCACTTATATGCATATAGATATAGATACAGATATGTTTGGATTTAGGACTACCATTTTATTGTTTTCTGTTTGTCTCTGTTTTCTTCTGTTTCCCATTTCCTGCCTTTTTGACAATTTGAATACTATTTAGTATTTGATTTAAATTTATCTATTGTGCTATTACTATATATCTTTGTATCTTTTTTAGTGGTAGCTTTAGGGATTACAATAAAAACTACTCAGTCTTCTTAGAATCACAATTTAACAATTAAAGTAGACTACAGAAACATTACCATCATATAGGTCCTTTTGCTCTCCCCTTTGTGTTATAGTTATCTATATATCTATACACATTGAAAACCCCATTAGACAGTGTTATTTTTTATTTCAACTGTAAAACATTTACTAAAGAACTAAAAAAAAAACTGTTTATGATATTTACCATTCCAGTTGTTCACACAAATGAACAGACTGGTACCACTGAAAATGCACAGTTACCTATCTCAGTTTGGTTCTCAGCTCTACCAAACAACCCTTCTTCACTTCCCTAGTCAGTTCCCTCCCATTCTTCTTTACTTTCCTGACACCTCCCATCCTGCTGTTTCTCTGCTTGGTCTCAGCAAATGACCTTGCCTGCTATTTTAGTAAAAGACATCAGCTAAGAACTCCTCGAATTCTCGCTATCACACTTAAAGTGACATATACCCATAACTATCCATTTCTCGGAGCTGGATTAAAGGGTTGACTGACCAAATAGAAGCCTGAGCACCAGTCTTCAAGTGGCACTATAACATCACTGGAATAAACTGATAATAAAGAACCATTTAATGCAACTGCTTCATAACCAGGCAAATGTGTAATGGTCCCTAAGTCCTCAAAGTTGAAAGCATTTTTAAAAAAAATTTTAATACCTCTTGCCAACATCAACCTATCCTCATCAAATATTTTTGCAGACTGTACTATACAGTACTACTGAAGGTTGTACCACCAATCCTGATCCAGATGGTTAACAGGGACTTAAAACTGATAGTCACAATCTCCAGAAAACTTGAAATTAAACCATGCATTGCACGGTGCTATTTACCAGGAGCAAGTAATTTATTTTTTAAATTTAAATTTGAAATCTTTAATATGCCTCACAGGAAGCTGTCTGGTTCAGAAAACAGCACAAGAAAACTGATTAAAGAAAAAAATACAGAAAAGTGAGAAGCATGTTGCCAACACAAAAACCATAAAAGTAACCTGAAAATATATTTTGAACAAGAGTTTTCGACTTTAATAATGTATTCAACAATATTATTGAGCACCAATTATATACCAGGTACAGTTCTGGGAAACCAAGGATATAATGGTAAACAGGACAAACAAGGTCCCTGCTCTTGTGGGATTTACATTCTAGGAGGAACAGATACCAAACTTATAAATGAAGATGATACATAATAAACACTATTTTTAGAATAACATAGGGGGACACATAGAGAAGACTGGGGATAAAGAAGTTGCCAATAGAGATTAAAAGTAAGGAAAAGCCACACTGAGGTACAAAAGACCTAAAGGATAAAAAGGAAATAGCCATGCAAAGATAGAGAAGAGTAGAGAACAGCACATTCTAAGCAGAGGAAAATGGCAAGTACCAAAAACAGAAACAAGGACCTCTCTGTGGCTGAAATGAACAAGGAAGTAAATTACAGGAGATGACTTCAAAAAGGGAGGGAGGAGTCAGATCAAGTATAGGCCACTACCCCAATCCTTAATGAGTGTGAATAAATAATGTTACCTAATTTTCAGTGGTAGTATATCAATGAGTTTTTAAAAATACATATAAATTAAAATATTAAACTATGTTCTGTGCATGTTAATAAATCTTTTATTATGAACATACAGAGGTATGCAATATTTCTTACTAGAAAGTAAATATCTCCTTACTCTGAATAAAATATTAAACAAATATTTGAAGGAGACTCTTTAGATTTTCCTTTCTACACTCCTACTATCATTACGGAACAGGAATCAATCACTTCTGGCCTCTGGAACTCATCTCTGTCCACCAGAGCCTCTGAGGGCTCATGCTGTTACACTTTGTTAAGAGAAAGGCTCCTCCTCTAGGTACACAATCTCTACACAAGGGCACAGGTTTAGCAGACAAAGCACACAATTTCAGTCCCTCCTCACCCACTTGGCCCAGTATCCTTATGCACAACCATTTAAGTTGGCCTTACTAACCACCTCCTCAGAAATCTTATTCTACCAGTTAACTCCTTTAGGCTGTAACTTCAACTACTCCCTCATGGGTAAAAGATACATATGTCAGAAACTGTCCAAAGTTATACCTTTTCCCTCAAGAAATGCTGAGCATTACTGTACTGTATATATACCATTATGTACTGCCAAAATCTTGACAGAGTGCTAAGACTTTGAATGTTTTGTTAACTTAAAATAATCAAAGTTATAATAGTTCAAAAGCTCTCATCTTTTTATTAGGCTACCTATTTTTATTTGGGTAGCTTTAAAACCACGTACACACCTAGTTATTTGTAATCTACACCCTACTTCCTATGGTTGTGAGATAAATCACAGTTTGAGAATGAATTTTTGGATCATCTATAACTCCAACTACCATATATCTGAATTCTGGCATTACAGCTAATTATCCTGCCAAAAATAATGATGCAAAACCTGGCAGAGATGCTGATTTGTCTGTCAAGAAAATCTTTTTCAGATAATATAACATTTTAAAATTTCCTAGTCAGCACTTAAAACTTTCAAATGTTTCTAAGCAGAATAGCTTCCTTAACATGGAACCTATAAATTAATTACAGCAAAGAGCAATTACAGCAAACAGCCCATTTGTTATTACACTTTCACAACTGGTAAGCTAAGAAAATAATGAAGACTAAATTTAATAGTCTAATAATATATTAAAATTCATACGTAACATAGTTCTCTAATTTAGAACATTTTAATTAACTGTAAAATATTTATTGTAATAATGTGCAAATTATGACAGTTATACAAAATGTTTGCTTCCTCCTCCCCTCCCCAATCTAAAAATATACTTATGAATTATAGGGGCCTGTAATAATTATCAGCAAATTAAACACTCTGCCTTTGGTCATACATTGAGACTGCCTGAAGTAACCCCATAGCACAGAGAGAATTTAGGCTTGAAAAATAAGCTGTAACATTTCAGATAAAAAAATCACAGCTAATTGGCTCTGAACAAAATGTTATATCCAGCTCTTCTTCAGGCATTTGTACAACAAAATTGACCCTTCTCATGCACCACTGATTTGGTCATCTCATATTACACAGATAAGCAAAGAACCCTCAATTACAAAACACTTTCTACTTTTAATAGTAATCGTAAAGATAGTCCAATTTTTAAAAATTAACTATTACCCATAATCCCACTACCCTAAAAACAAATAGCTTTTATGTACCATATCTGAAATATGGTAATATGTGAAAAGACCAAATCCACGTCTGATTGGTGTACCTGAAAGTGATGGGGAGATGGAACCAAGTTGGAAAACACTCTTCAGGATATTATCCAGGAGAACTTCCCCAACCTAGTGAGGCAGGCCAACATTCAAATTCAGGAAATACAGAGAATGCCACAAAGATACTCCTCGAGAAGAGCAACCCCAAGACACACAACTGTTAGATTCACCAAGGTTGAAATGAAGGAATACGTTAAGGGCAGCCAGAGAGAAAGGTCGGGTTACCCACAAAGGGAAGCCCATCAGATTAACAGCGGATCTCTCAGCAGAAACTCTACAAGCCAGAACAGAGTGGGGGCCAATATTCAACATTCTTAAAGAAAAGAATTTTCAACCCAGAATTTCATATCCAGCCAAACTAAGCTTCATAAGTGAAGGAGAAATAAAATATTTTACAGACAAGCAAATGCTGAGAGATTTTGTCACCACCAGGCCTGCCCTGAAAGAGCTCCTGAAGGAAGCACTAAACATGGAAAGGAACAACCGGTACCAGCCACTGCAAAATCATGCCAAATTGTAAAGACCATCGAGGCTAGGAAGAAACTGCATCAACTAATGAGCAAAATAACCAGCTAACATCATAATGACAGGATCAAATTCACACATAACAATATTAACTTTAAATGTAAATGGACTAAATGCTCCAATTAAAAGACACAGACTGGCAAATTGGATAAAGAGTCAAGACCCATCAGTGTGCTGTAGTCAGGAAACCCATCTCACGTGCAGAGACACACATAGGCTCCAAATAAAAGGATGGAGGAAGATCTACCAAGCAAATGGAAAACAAAAAAAGGCAGGGGTTGCAATCCTAGTCTCTGATAAAACAGACTTTAAACCAACAAAGATCAAAAGAGACAAAGGAAGGCCATCACATAATGGTAAAGGGATCAATTCAACAAGAAGAGCTAACTATCCTCGATATATATGCACCCAATACAGGAGCACCCAGATTCATAAAGCAAGTCCTGAGTGACCTACAAAGAGACTTAGACTCCCACACAATAATAATGGGAGACTTTAACAACCCACTGTCAACATTAGACAGATCCATGAGACAGAAAGTTAACAAGGATACCCAGGAATTGAACTCAGCTCTGCACCAAGCAGACCTAATAGACATCTACAGAACTCTCCACCCCAAATCAACAGAATATACATTCTTCTTAGCACCACACCACACTTATTCCAAAATTGACCACATACTTGGAAGTAAAGCTCTCCTCAGCAAACGTAAAAGAACATAAATTATAACAAACTGTCTCTCAGACCACAGTGCAATCAAACTAGAACTCAGGATTAAGAAACTCACTCAAAACCGCTCAACTACATGGAAACTGAACAACCTGCTCCTGAATGACTACTGGGTACATAACGAAATAAAGGCAGAAATAAAGATGTTCTTTGAAACCAACGAGAACAAAGACACAACACACCAGAATCTCTGGGACACATTTAAAGCAGTGTGTAGAGGGAAATTTATAGCACTAAATGCCCACAAGAGAAAGCAGGAAAGATCCAAAATTGACACCCTAACATCACAATTAAAAGAACTAGAAAAGCAAGAGCAAACACATTCAAAAGCTAGCAGAAGGCAAGAAATAACTAAGATCAGAGCAGAACTGAAGGAAATAGAGACACAAAAAACCCTTCAAAAAATTAATGAATCCAGGAGCTGGTTTTTTGAAAGGATCAACAAAATTGATAGACCACTAGCAAGATGAATAAAGAAGAAAAGAGAGAAGAATCAAACAGACGCAATAAAAAATGATAAAGGGGATATCACCACTGATCCCACAGAAATACCAACTACCATCAGAGAATACTACAAACACCTCTAAGCAAATAAACTAGAAAATCTAGAAGAAATGGGTAAATTCCTCGACACACACACCCTCGCAAGACTAAACCAGGAAGAAATTGAATCTCTGAATAGACCAATAACAGGCTCTGAAATTGTGGCAATAATCAATACCTTACCAACCAAAAAGAGTCCAGGACCAGATGGATTCACAGCCAAATTCTACCAGAGGTACAAGGAGGAACTGTTACCATTCCTTCTGAAACTATTCCAATCAACAGAAAAAGAGGGAATCCTCCCTAACTCATTTTATGAGGTCAGCATCATCCTGATACCAAAGCCGGGCAGAGACACAACCAAAAAAGAACTTTAGACCAATATCCTTGATGAACATTGATGCAAAAATCCTCAATAAAATACTGGCAAACCAAATCCAGCAGCACATCAAAAAGCTTATCCACCATGATCAAGTGGGCTTCATCCCTGGGATGCAAGGCTGGTTCAATATATGCAAATCAATAAATGTAATCCAGCATATAAACAGAACCAAAGACAAAAACCACATGATTATCTCAATAGATGCAGAAAAGGCCTTTGACAAAATTCAACAACCCTTCATGCTAAAAACTCTCAATAAATTAGGTACTGATGGGACATATCTCAAAATAATAAGAGCTATCTATGACAAACCCACAGCCAATATCATACTGAATGGGCAAAAACTGGAAGCATTCCCTTTGAAAACTGGCACAAGACAGGGATGCCCTCTCTCACCACTCCTATTCAACATAATGTTGGAAGTTCTGGCCAGGGCAATTAGTCAGGAGAAGGAAATAAAGGGTATTCAATTAGGAAAAGAGGAAGTCAAATTGTCCCTGTTTGCAGATGACATGATTGTATATCTAGACAACCCTGTTGTCTCAGCCCAAAATCTCCTTAAGCTAATAAGCAACTTCAGCAAAGTCTCAGGATACAAAATCAATGTACAAAAATCACAAGCATTCTTATATACCAATAACAGACAAACAGAGAGCCAAATCATGAGGGAACTCCCATTCACAATTGCTTCAAAGAGAATAAAATACCTAGGAATCCAACTTACAAGGGACGTGAAGGACCTCTTCAAGGAGAACTACGAACCACTGCTCAATGAAATAAAAGAGGATACAAACAAATGGAAGAATGTTCCGTGCTCATGGGTAGGAAGAATCAATATCGTGAAAATGGCCATAGTGCCCAAGGTAATTTATAGATTCAATGTCATCCCCATCCTGCTACCAATGACTTTCTTCACAGAATTGGAAAAAACTACTTTAAAGTTCATATGGAACCAAAAAAGAGCCCGCATCGCCAAGTCAATCCTAAGCCAAAAGAACAAAGCTGGAGGCATCACGCTACCTGACTTCAAACTATACTACAAGGCTACAGTAACAAAAACAGCATGGTACTGGTACCAAAACAGAGATATATATCAATGGAACAGAACACAGCCCTCAGAAATAACGCCACATATCTACACCTATCTGATCTTTGACAAACCTGAGAAAAACAAGCAATGGGGAAAGGATTCTCTATTTAATAAATGGTGCTGGGAAAACTGGCTAGCCATATGTAGAAAGCTGAAACTGGATCCCTTCCTTACACCTTATACAAAAATTAATTCAAGATGGATTAAAGACTTAAACGTTATTCCTAAAACCATAAAAACCCTAGAAGAAAACCTAGGCATCACCATTCAGGACATAGGCATGGGCCAGGACTTCATGTCTAAAACACCAAAAGCAATGGCAACAAAAGCCAAAATTGACAAATGGGATCTCATTAAACTAAAGAGCTTCTGCACAGCAAAAGAAACTACCATCAGAGTGAACAGGCAACCTACAAAATGGGAGAAAATTTTTGCAACCTACTCATCTGACAAAGGGCTAATATCCAGAATGTACAATGAACTTAAACAAATTTACAAGAAAAAAACAAACAACTCCATCAAAAAGTGGGCGAAGGATATGAACAGACACTTCTCAAAAGAAGACATTTATGCAGCCAAAAAACACATGAAAAAATGCTCACCATCACTGGCCATCAGAGAAATGCAAATCAAAACCACAATGAGATACCATCTCACACCAGTTAGAATGGTGATCATTAAAAAGTCAGGAAACAACAGGTGCTGGAGAGGATGTGGAGAAATAGGAACACTTTTACACTGTTGGTGGGACTGTCAACTAGTTCAACCATTGTGGAAGACAGTGTGGTGATTCCTCAGGGATCTAGAACTAGAAATACCATTTGACCCAGCCATCCCATTACTGGGTATATACCCAAAGGACTATAAATCATGCTGCTATAAAGACACATGCACACATATGTTTATTGTGGCACTATTCACAATAGCAAAGACTTGGAACCAAGCCAAATGTCCAACAATGATAGACTGGATTAAGAAAATGTGGCACATATACACCATGGAATACTATGCAGCCATAAAAAATGATGAGTTCATGTCCTTTGTAGGGACATGGATGAAATTGGAAATCATCATTCTCAGTAAACTATTGCAAGAACAAAAAACCAAACACTGCATATTCTCACTCATAGGTGGGAATTGAACAATGAGAACACATGGACACAGGAAGGGGAACATCACATTCTGGGGACTGTTGTGGGGTGGGGGTAGGGGGGAGGGATAGCTTTAGGAGATATACCTAATGCTAATTGACGAGTTAATGGGTGCAGCACAACAGCATGGCACATGTATACATATGTAACTAACCTGCACATTGTGCACAGGTACCCTAAAACTTAAAGTATAATAATAATAAAATAAAATAAAAAAAGAAAACAAAGATGTCTCAACTCTTAAATGGTGAGAGAAGTAATGAGCCATTTAATTAAACACACTTACAATTTCTTTCCTGGCTGGAGCATCTCCCCTCAAAACAACTGCATTTAGGATAACTTAAACTTTATGTTCCCCTTTGTGAGTCCTGGAGTAGAAATAACATGGTCCTGTCATTAACATTTGGTAGAATTATCTATTTTGCTATCCTGGGAGAGACAAGCTATGATTTTACTTAACTCAACAGGAAGGATCCTGGGACCAACAACCTGAAGTGTCCACACTCACATTCCTTTACCTGCATTTGATCTTGGTGAATTTCAATAATGTTTTTCACATATTATTGGTACTGTGGATCATTTACCACTGATGATCAGAGTTTCACAGTAGCCAAGAGGTTTTCTCCACTTAGGCAGTTTTGCTACCTTTAAATTTTTAGGAGATATGATTTCTAGCTTGGACACATGTGCCTCAAAAGTACAATCACTTTTAGAAGCAGCTGCTCTTATTGACAAACATTCCAAATAATGTTTTGGAGAATTTGGTGAATGGAATGACCCTACATTTCTCAGATAAACTCACCATGCTAATAATGCTAATCCTATGGATGGATTCAGGACATGGAGCTGCCATAGTCACTATTTCCTTCTCATTTTCTTCTAGCAAATCTGTATATGAGAATGATAACCAACCCCATGCCTAAATTCCCATAAAATCAGCCACCTTTTCCTTCAGAGACAGTGTGATGATGATGTCACCTTGTACAAAGTTAAGGTCTTATCAGCAGTATGTGAAAAAATCGATTTTATGTTTTTTCATCATGTTCAGTCCAGTTACAACAGAAACCAGTCACTGTTAACAAGGATAATTTGAAGTATTTGTGGATTATTTATCCTTTCTCAACCCTCTGGAACTGTTAACATGCTGTTAAACTTATCAGTCAAAGATCTGGTATATGTTCTGGCTAAAGGAGCTGGGTACTTTCAATGGAGAGGTAGGGTGGACATAAGTGTGTAGTATGCTTTTGATCTAATTATGTTGTTTCTATTACTGATGAAGGTTGATGCGTTCTAGATATTGAGAGAGAGACTAAAGTCTTTATTTTTGCCTATCATATTCATTCATTATTTTTTCTGGTTCTTTGATATTATCATCACAGATTGTTTGCCACCAAGGCAATGTGAAATTAAGTAATTCTGCACACCGTGAGTGATGATAATGTATGTAATTCATAAAACTACAATGTTTGTCAGCCAAAAAACAGACTCCCTTGTTCTTCAAGTGGAACTTCTTTGAAAACTTCTGTAATAAATTTCTGGACTTCACTTGAGCAACAAGTAATGGTTTCCAACAAATACATGGAAACTAAAAAACTGCCTCCTGAATGACATGTGGATAACAACAAAATTATGGCAGATATGAAAAAATGCTTTGAAACAAATGAAAATAGAGACACAATGTACCAAAACCTCTGTGATGTGGCAAAAGCAGTGTTAAGAGAAAAGTTTATAGCACTGAATGCTTATGTCAAAAAGATAGAAAGATCTCAAATTAACAACCTAACCTCACACCTAAAGGAACTAAAAAAAACAAAGACAAACTAAACCCAGAGTTAGCAGAAGAAAAGAAATAACTAAAATCAGAGCAGAACTAAATGGAGACCCAAAAAAAACATGCAAACGATCAATGAAATGAAAAATTGGTTATTTGAAACAATAAACTAGACAGATCACTAGCCAGATTAACAAAGAAAAAAAGAGGGCGTATCCAAATAATTACAGTTAGAATGACAAAGGAGTTATTACTACCAAGCTCATAGAAATACAGAAGACCCTCAGAGAGTACTATTAACATCTCTATGCACACAAACTAGCAAATCTAGAGGAAACTGATACATTCCTGGAAACACACAACCTTCCAAGATTGAATCAGGAAGAAACAAAAATTCTGAACAGACCAATAACAAGTCATGGAACTGGATCAGTAATTTTTCTAAAAACATACCAATCAAACAAAGCCCTGGACCAGATGGATTCACAGCTGAATTCTACTAGACATACAAAGAAGAGCTGGTACTGACCCTACTGAAACTATTACAAAAATTCAAGGAGGAAGAACTCCTCCAATAACATTCAAGCTGAGAACCAAATCAAGAACACAATCCCATTTATAATAGCCACAGGAAAAAAAGTACCTTGGAATACATCTAGCCAAGGAGGTGAAGCAACTCTGTAAGGAAGACTACAAAGCACTGATGAAAGAAATCAGAGACAACATTAACAAATAGAAAAGCATTCCATGCTCATGAGTTGGAAAAATCAATATGATTCAAATGTCCGTACTGCTCAAATTAATATACAGATTCAATGCTTTCCTATCTAATTACCAGTAACATTTTTCCTAGAATTAGAAAAACTACTTAAAATTCATATGGAACCAAAAAATTAGACCAAATAGCCAAGGTAATCTTAAGCAAAAAGAATAAAGCCAAAGGTATCACATTACCTGACTTCAAACAATACTACAAGGCTACAGTAACCTAAACAGCATAGTACTGGTATAAAAATATACACATAGACCAATGAAACAGAATAGAGACCCCTGAAAGAAAGTCACACACCTAAACCAACTGATCTTCAACAAAGTTGACAAAAATAAACAATGAGGAAAAAATACCTTCTTCAAGAAATAGTGCTAGGAAAACTGGCTAACCACACGCAGAAGAAAGAAATATTGGACTCCTGCTTCTTACCATGTATAAACATTAACTCAAGATGAATTAAAGACTTAAATGTAAGACCTGAAACTATAAAAAATCCTAGAAGACAACCAAGAAATACTCTTCTAAACAGTGGCCTAGGCAAAAAATGTATGATGAAGATCCCCAAAGCAAATGCCACAAAATAAAAAATAAACAAACAGGACTTAATTAAACTAAAGCGCTTCTGCACAGCAAAAGAAACTATGAACAGAGTAAACAGACAACCTACAGAATGGGAGAAAATATTTGCAAACTATGGATCCAACAACAGACTAATATCCAGAGTCTATAAGGAACTTAAATCAATAAGAGAAAAACAAAAATCCCATTAAAAAATGGGCAAAGGATATAGACACTTCTCAAAAGAAGACATACAGCAGCCAACAAACATATAAAAAATGTTCAACATCACTAATCATCAGAGAGATGCAAATCATAACCACAATGAGATACCACCAGTCAGAATGGCTATTATGAAAAAAATTTTAAAGTAACAGATAGGCCAGGTACGGTGGCTCACGCCTGTAATCCTAGCACTTTGGGAGGCCGAGGTGGGTGGATCATGAGGTCAGGAGTTCGAGACAAGCCTGGCCAATATGGTGAAACCCCGTCTCTACTAAAAATACAGAAATTAGCCAGGTATGGTGGCAGATGCCTGTAGTCCCAGCTATTCAGGAGGCTGAGGCAAAAGAATCACTTGAACCCAGGAGGCAGAGGTTGCAGTGAACTGATATCACGCCACCGCACTCCAGTCTGGGCGACAGAGTGAGACTCCGTCTCAAAATAAATAAATAAATGAAAAATACCAGATATTGGTGAGGTTGAGAAGAAATTCCTGTGGCAGGAATGCAAATTATTAATAGTTCAGCCCCTGTGGAAAACAGTTTGGAGATTTCTCAAAGAACTAAAAATAGAATTACCATTCAACCCAACAATTCCATTACTGGGTATATACCCAAAGGAAAATAGATCATTCTACCAAAAAGATACCTGCACTCACATGTTTATCACAACACTATTCAAAATAGCAAAGACATGGAATCAACCCAAGTGCCTATCAATGGTGGATTGGATAAAGAAAATGTGGTACATATACACCATGGAATGCTATGCAGTCATCAACAAGAATGAAATCATGTCCTTTGCAGCAACATGGATGCAGCTGGAGGCCATTATGTTAAGAGGACTAACACAGAAAAAAAGCCAAGTAAGGCAGGTTCTTACTTGTAAGTGGGAGCTAAACACTGGGTACACATGGACACAAAGATAGGAACAACAGACATTGTGGACTCCAAAAGTGGGGAGGGAGGGAGGGAAAGGAACAAGGGCTGAAAAACTGCCTATCAGGTAGTATGCTCAATACTTGGGCAATGGGATCATTAGAAGCCCAAACCTCAGCATCACTCAATATATCCACAAAATAAACCTGCACATGTACCCCCTGAAACTAAAATTTTTAAAATGTAATGGTTTCCACCTATTTCATTGATTTGTTTTCTTTGTGTTCTTTTGTGTGTTTCACTGATATTTCTATCTGATCATCAATTTTCCTTCAGATTTCTCCAAAGAATCTAATTTATTTATATGTCCATTT
Source organism: Homo sapiens (assembly GCF_000001405.40). Taxonomy (NCBI): domain Eukaryota; kingdom Metazoa; phylum Chordata; class Mammalia; order Primates; family Hominidae; genus Homo; species Homo sapiens. The sequence continues at coordinate 63,083,305 of NC_000002.12, read as the reverse complement.
TAGTACATTTTTAGAGATGCATTCATATATTTTTCATTGAATGCGCTGTCTCCTCTAATTTGCATATAATCCCGTTATGAAAATTATTTGAACTATTAACAGAAGAAAAATTTTACCAGTATTATCAACATAGGAAACCTAGGGTTTACTTATTTTGGCCACTCCATCTTCCTGCCACTTTTAGGTTGATATACAATATAGTTTTGCATATTAGTTTTCCATAATTTTTTTCATAACTTTTCCTAGGTTTATTAAATTTCACAGCTCAGGGTTGAATTATTCCATAACCTTCTGGTAGAACAGACATGCTTACAAATAATAGCAAGACATATGCAACTCAAAGTTCTCTAGGTGACCAAAGGCTGCCTAGATCCTACTGTAAATGGAACACATTACAGACATTCTTGTCTTTATCTTCAAAGTGCAACCCACAGAATCTAATATGCCTACAGGGGTTATATTTTAAACAAGTGAGTTCAGCAATTTCCAAAGGAATCCACAATGAAATTGTTTGGGGAAATAATGCATCTTCCTCTAGTAAATTGAAAAATATTCATTGACACATTAAAGGCCATGAAAAATCATGCAATTAGGAGAAAAAGAAAACTATTTTAATTCAACCTTAGACTATTCCCTGCCCCCCATGGGTATTCTGTTAACATGTCAAAAACTAGTTCATCACAAAACACAATCTGGGAAGTCCTGATTTCATCTGAAAATCAAAATCGTTTTTAAAATTATTCTCAATGGGGCAGCATCCCCTAAGAAAAGGATTTATTTTCTATGGAAAATAAAATTTTTTTGTCTTAAAAATTTGGTGGTGATGGCTGGGCACAGTGGCTCAAGCCTGTAATCCCAGCACTTTGGGAGGCGAAGGTGGGCAGATCACTTGAGCCCAGGAGTTCGAGACTAGCCTGGACAACATGGTGAAACCCCATCTCTATAAAATAAAATTTAAAAAAAAATTAAAAAAAAAAATTTGGTGAGGAGCCAGGCATGGTGGTTCATGCCTGAAATCCCAGCACTTTGAGAGGCTGAGGGGGACAGATCACTTGAGCCCATGAGTTTGAGATCAGCCTGGGCAACATGACAAAACCCTGTCTCTACAAAAAATACAAAAATTAGCCAGGCATGGTGTCATGCGCCTGTAGTCCCAGCTACTCAGAGGATCGCTCGGGCTTGGGAGGTCAAGGCTACAGTGAGCCATAATCACACCACTGCACTCCAGCCTGGGCAACAGAGTGAGACCCTGTCTCAACAACAACAACAACAACAACAACAAAATAATAATTTAAAAAATACAGGCCGGGCACGGTGGCTCACGCCTGAAATCCCAGCACTTTGGGAGGCCGAGGCAGGAGGATCACGAGGTCAGGAGATCAAGACCATCCTGGCTAACATGGTGAAACCGCGTCTCTACTAAAAATACAAAAAATTAGCTGGGTGTGGTGGCGGGTGCCTGGAGTCCCAGCTACTCGGGTGGCTGAGACAGGAGAATGGCGTGAACCCAGGAGGCGGAGCTTGCAGTGAGCCAAGATCGAGCCACTGCACTCCAGCCTGGGTGACAGAGCAAGACTCTGTCTCAAAAAAAATGAAAAACGAATCTGGTAGGGGCATTTTTGGTTGCTACAATCACAATAATCAGTTGCTACTGATATTTAATGAGCAGTAAGCAAGTGGGCAGGAAGTGGTAACTACACAGAACAAAGAATAGTCTCATCACTTTCAACTCCTGATGGATGGTCATATAAGGGAAAAACGTGTTTATAATTATGTGAGCTTAGACTCTCCATGTTACATATAAACACAATATATTCTTGTACAGCATTGATATGTGCTGAATTTTTCAGGAATGAAAAGTTTGGAACTTTGTAGTTATTCACCATTTCAGAAAATCACACTACTGAAAGAAACACTACTCATTATACTCATTATATTTTAAACATCAATACAACTTACCTCAATCAGTTTGTATACATAGTTGTCTATTTCATGGTGATTCTGTGTACAAACATCTGACTACTTCATTGGGACTTCCAGTGTGGTCATGCCTAAGCATTTACATATAGAAATATCTAATATTTTATTATAAAACAGTTTCCTTTATTGCTTCTTAGTGTGATTTCAGGCATTCTATTTTATTTTTATATTAGATATATAAATAGGTTGTATTGTCCATACATTTTTTTCAGGATAATAAAGTGATTGTTACAAAGTATTTAATTTTAAAAAGGGGGTTGTTCATCCCATTAAGATTGAGAATCACTGTTCTATACGGAACCTTTGGTTTCCTAAAGGTGAGGATTTGAATTAGGACAACTTATGACTGACCAAAAACCTGATTAAATTAAATTGACCCACAAAAATGGTATGGTTAAGGTAGGTATTGGAAGATACTGTATGTTTAAAATAAAACAACTTATCAGCAAGCCATTTCTATGTACCTAGCATTTGATTACACTGGAGCAAACACAAAGAGGTATAACATAGGTCTGCCTGCCTTCACGGAACTTACAGGGTGCTAAAGAAAACAGGCAATAGGAAAAACAAAGAATTACACGTCAGTCACTTTCTAAACATTTGTGAAATAAATGTTCATAATTCCTTCAGCTGTGCATTCTATAATTAAATGGACAGCATCAGCAAGGTGTGTTCACCATGGCAAAGAGGAGACCAGCCTAATACCAAGGGGTTAGGGGCAGGGTGACGTTAGATCCTGGGAGGGACCAGTGAGAGAGAGATGACCGAACTAGATAATGAAACCTTGAAAGCACAGGAGCCTGAACTTAAAGCAATGGACAAAATGAAGCCCCTATAAACTTCTAGGGAAAGTAATAAAGGTGAATTACTTACTGGGAGTCAACTAAACCTCTTTACATTATATTTTTAAAATTTAAATTTAAATTATATTATTGAGAGTAATATATATGACAGACACACTTATGGAGAGAAAGACAGATACAAATGACCTTGGGTAGTTGGGGAAAGGAGTCTGACACACAAAAATGAATTAAGCTTTAGATTTGATGAAATTGAGATAATCAGTCTGAACAGACTGCTTTAAAAGTCAACATAGAAGTAATAGCTGAATCTTTCACCAGAATGAATGAGCTCAGGAAGAAAATGAACATGGCGAAGGAAAGAGGTAGAAAACAGGGCCTTGGGAAACACCCACAGGCTAGGGAACCAAAAGAAGGGCTGGCAAAGCAGCCAAAGAAGGCAAATATGACTTTCCATTCAAATGTTAAAACAATGAAAAGCTTTAGTCTTGCCAGGGGGGTTGCAGAAACTAAAAACATGATAAACCAATCATCTTTTAAGATTTAAGAAAGGTTATGGACCACAGAATCATGATTGTTTACCAATATGTTATGACAGAAATTCCTAAACTTTTAGGTTGATATCAAAGATTATAGCCCTGTATATAAATAACACATACATCCATGAGGGAGGCTATTCTAAAAGGAAGACATACTACCTACAGAAAACAAATCCAGTTATATATAGGTGAGTCAAATGGCTCATAGATACTATTATAAACTCAGAAAATAACAGTAAGCAAAAATGAGCTATAAATTCATCATCAATCATCACTGAAAGTTGCATTACCACAGGATTACTCTGACTCAATCTAATAGGCAAAGAAATTGCCTAAAGGGCAGTATAGCTTTGAGCATAAATTTAGTTGTATGCAATAGCAGAAGCAACTGCAACATAAATCCCTACATTCTTCACAAATTATCCTTTATTTTCTATGTTCATGTGTGAACTGAAGCTATTTATATTAAATGTCTCAACCTTATGAATCCACCTCTAGCAGTTAATTATTAACAGAATAATTAACTGTTTTAGCAGTTAATTATTAACAGAAATTAACGTGCCATCATGACTAAACATTCCCAAGATTAAATGCTAACTACAGTTGCCATCTAAGAATGTGAAGAACTCTACAAATAGGATATCCTGTGTCCCAGTTTGCCTGGGACAGTCAGTTTATACCTGCTTTTCAGGAAGGATCATTAATAGTACCCCCTTTCACTCTTAAAGTATGGATGGTAAATCACATGGACCCTATATCGATGAAGACAAGCACACAGGAAATTATTATTTTCTACTTCATGTTTATTCCTAATTTACAAAAATATCTGTCATATCCTATGAACATCCATTATAGTTGCTAGTACTCATAGAATGCTGCTCATACTTTCAGAAACTAGCCCTGAAACAGCTAGGGACTGCCTCCTAGTGGTGGGGTGAGTCTCGGATGTCCCTGACCCCTTGACAAAACAACATTTTGTCAAGCCTAGTGAGGTTCTCCCATACCTACCAATCAGCTTCGAAGGGCTCTTTCCATCCCATACTTTTCCCTCTTGTGCTTAATAAGCTCTTATGTTTCCTCATTCAAACCAAGCTAATGAGAAGTGTATCCCAAATATGACTTTCTCCACAGATGGAAATTTTTACTTTATAGAAAAAAATAGGCTTGATTTCCTGTAAGATCAGGAACAAATCAGGGGTGCCTGCTTTTGTCACTTCTATTCAAAAAGTACTGGATTTCTAGCCAGAGCAATTAGGGAGGAAAAAGAAAATTACAGGCATTCAAGTTGGAAAGGAAGAAGTAAAACTATCTCTGTTTGCAGATGAAATGATCTTCTGTATTAGTCTGTTTTCATACTGCTACAAAGAACTGCCTGAGACTGAGTAATCTATAGAAGAAAGAGGTTTAATGGACTCACAGTTCAGCATGGCTGGGGAAGTGTCAGGAAACTTACAATCATGGCAGAAGGTGAAGGGGAAAAAAGGCACCTTCTTCACAAGGTGGCAGGAAGGAGGAGTGCCTAGTGAACGGGGAAGAGCCCCTGATAAAACCATCAGATCTTATCAGAACTCACCCACTATCTCCAGAACAGCATGGGGGAAACTGTCCCCATGATTCACTGACCTTCACTTGGTTTCTCCCTTGAAACATGGGGACTGTGGGGATTACAATTCAAAATGAAACTTGGGTGGAGACACAAAGCCTAACCATATCATCTTCTATGTAGAAAAAACCCTAAAGGATCCACATAAAACCCAGGCATGGTGGTTCATGCCTGTAATCCCAATACTTTGGATGGCCAAGGTGAGAGGATCACTTGAAACCAGGAGTTCAAGATCAGCCTGGGCAACATAGTGAGACCCCATCTCTACAAAAAAAAAAAAAAATTTTCAACCTGTCAGAGCTAATAAACAAATTATGCAAAGTTACAGGATACAAGATCAACACACACAAAAATCAGCTGCATTTCTACAGATTAGGAGGAAACAATACAAGAAAGAAGAAAATAATTTCATTTATAACATTATCAAAAAGAATAAAATGCAACCATTAGGAAGACTATTATTAAAAAAACAGAAAACAATAAGTGTTGCTCAGGATGTGTAGAAATTGAAACCCCTGTACACTGTTGGTGGGAATGTAAAATGGTATAGCTGCTCTGGATAACAGTACAGTGGTTCCTCAAAAAATTAAAAATTAAATTACCATATGAACCAGAAATTCTACTTCTAGGTACGTACACAAAAGAATTAAAGCAGAATCTCAAACAGATATTTGCTGTTATACACTAAATTGTGTCCTCCTCAAAATTTACATGTTGAAGTCCTAACCCTCAGTACACCTCAGAATATGTCTCTATATTTGGAGACAATACATTTAAAAAGGTAATTACGGTTAAATGAGGTCACATGGATGGGACTTAATCCAATATGACTGGTGATCTTAGAAGAGGAGACACCAGAGATGTGTCCACATAGTGAGAACATGACCATCTGCAAGCCAAGGAGACAGGCCTCAGGAAAAACTGACCCCGACAACACCTTGATCTCAGACTTCTAGCCTCTAGAACTGTGAGAAAATTAATTGCTGTTGTTTAAGCCACCCAGACTGTGGCATTTTGTTATGCTGCTCCTAGTGAACTAATACATTTGTACACTCATGTTCAGAGCAGGATTATTCGGAATAGCTAAAAAGTGCAGGCAACCCAAGTGTCATCTACCAGTGATACATATATTGTTTATCTCATATATATATCATATATATATCATATATATATATACCCACACAATAGAATATTATTCAGCTTTAAAAAGGAATAAAATTCGGCCGGGTGCGGTGGCTCACACCTATAATCCCAGCACTTTGGAAGGCCAAGGCAGGTGGATCACGAGGTCAGGAGATCAAGATCATCCTGGCTAACATGGTGAAACCCTGTCTCTACTTAAAATACAAAAAAAAAATTAGCCAGGCGTGGTGGCGGGTACCTGTAGTCCTAGCTACTTGGGAGGCTGAGGCAGAAGAATAGCGTGAATCCAGGAGGCGGAGCTTGCAGTGAGCCGAAATCGCGCCACTGCACTCCAGCCTGGGCGACAGAGCGAGACTCCATCTCAAAAAAAAAAAAAAGAAAAAAAAAGGAATAAAATTCTGACACATGCTACAACATAGATGAACCTTGAGGACATTATGTTAAGTGAAATAAGCCAGTCACACAAAGACAAATATTTTATGGTGCCACTTATATGAGGTAATTAGAGGATTCAAATTCCTAGAGACAGGAAGTAGAAGGGTGTGTGCCACAGGCTGGGGGAGGAAAAATGGAGAGTGGTTGTTTCATAGATACAGAGTTTGTTTTGACAGATGAAAGGAGTTCTGGAGACTGGTTGTACAACAACGTGAATACCTAAATTGAACTGCACACTTAAAAAATGGCTAAGATGGTTAATGTTATATGTATTTTACCATAATTAAAATTTGGTTTAAAAAATAAAATACTGAGGAATCAATTTAGCAAAGGAGGTGCAAGACTTGTACACTGAAAACTACAAAATTTTGCTGAAAGAAATTAAGGAAAACATAAATAAATGGAAAGACATCCAATGTTCATGAGTTGGAAGACTTAATACTGCTAAGATAATACCACCCAAAGCAATACACAGATTCAATTCAAAGACCCAATAGCATTTTTTGCAGAAATAGAAAAGTCCATCCTAAAATTTATATGAAATTCCAAAGGTCCCAGAAGAGCAAAAACAATCTTGAAAAAAAATGACAAAGTTGGAGGACTTGCACATTCTGATTTCAAAAGCTACAAATATGCCTTAAATATACACAATAAAATTTATTTTTTAAATGCTATAAATAATGGAAAAAGTATAGTACTGGCATAAAGACATACATAAAGACCAATGCGATAGACAGCCTAGAAATAAACCTTAGAGCACCTTGTCAAATGATTTTTGACAAGGATGCCAAGACCATTCAATTGGTAAAAGACAGTCTTTTTCAACAAATGGTGCTGGAAAACCTGGATATCCACATGCAAAAGAATGAAGTTCTCTTACTTTACACCACATACAAAAATTAACTCAAAATGGATCAAAGACCTAAATATAAGACCTAAAATTACAAAACTCTTAGGAAAAAAAAAGGGAGAAATCATCATGACACTGAATTTAGCAATAATTTATTGGATATGATACCAAAAGCACAGCCAACAAACTAAACAAATAGATAAATTGAACTACTTCAAAATATACTCTCAGCAGAGTGAAACAGCAACCAACAGAATGGGAGAAAATATTTCCAAATCATATATCTGATAAGGACTTAATATCCTGAACACATACAGAATTCCTACAATTCAACAACATAAAAACAAACAATCTGACTTTTAAAATGGACACAGGACTTAAATAAACCTTTCTCCAAAGAAAATATACACATGGCCAACAGGCACATGAAAAAGATGCTCACCATTACTAATCATTAGGAAGATGAAAGTCAAAATCACAATGAGATACCACTTCCTACCCATTAGGATGACTATTATTAAAAGGAAAAAAACAAGTGTCAGCAAGGACGTGGAGAAACAGGAACACCTGTGCATTGCTGGGGCGGGGGGAATGTAAAATGGTACAGCTGCTATGGAAAATATGACGGTCCCTCAAAAAATTAAAAATAGAATTACCACATATTCCAGCAATTCCACTTTTGCGTATATACCCGAAAGAATTCAAAGCAGAGGCTTGAACAGACATTTGTACACCCATGTTCACACCAGCATTATTCACAACAGCTAAAAGGAAGACACAACCCAAGTGTCCAACAAAGGATAAATAAACAAAATGTATATATGTATACAATAGAATATTCAGCCTTAAAAGGAAGAAAATTCTGACACACGCCACATGAATGAATCTTGAAGACATTATGCTAAGTGAAATAAACCAGACACAAAGGGATAAATATTGTATGATTTCACTTACATGAGAATCTAAAATAGGTAAATTCACAGAAAGGGAAAGTATATTAAGGGTTTCTAGACTCTGGAGGAAGGGGAAAATTACAGTTCATTGTTTAATGACACAGAGGTTCTGTTTGGAATAATGAAAAAAAAATTGGAAACAGACAGGGGTGATGGTGGCACAATATTGTGAATGTAATTAACACCACTAAATTGTACACTTAAAATGGCTAAAAGGGGCCAGGCACAGTGGCTCACGCCTGTAATCCCAGCACTTGGGGAGGCCAGGGTGGGCAGATCACCTGAGGGCAGAAGTTCGAGACAAGCCTAGCCAACATGGTGAAACCCCATCTCTACTACAAACACAAAAATTACCCAGGCATGGTGGTGTGCACCTGTAGTCCCAGCTACTCAGGAGGCTGAGGCCAGAGAATCACTTGAACCCAGGGGGCGGAGGTTGCAGTGAGCCATGATTGCGCCACTGCACTCCAGCCTGGATAGCAGAGTGAGACTTTGTCTCAAAAAAAAAAAAAAGGCTAAAATGACAAATCTGTATTTATATATATTTCACTAAAATAAAAAAAGAATTTAAAAAGGCATGAATTTAGGCTTTTATTTGGATTGATATGATGAAATGTGAATAATCTGAATTCACTCATCCATTTAGTAATTCTTATTTTTTTTTATTTTTATTTTTTTGAGAACAGGTTTTGCTCTGTCACCCAGGCTGGAGTGCAGTGGCATAATCACAGCTCACTGCAACTCTGAACTTCCGGGCTTAAGCAATCCCCCCATTTCAGTCTCCTGAATAGCTAGGACTACGAGCACACACACCACACTTAGCTGATTTTTGAAAATATTTTTGTGGAGATGGGGGTCTCACTACGTTGCCCAGGCTGGTCTTGAACTCCTGGCTTCAAGCAACCCTCCCATCACAGACTCCCAAAGTGGTGGGATTATAGGCATGAGCCACTGCCTCTGGACTCACTGGCATCCCATATAGCACATATTATGTTGTAGGCACTTTGCTAGACTCTAAAGTGATAAACAGACACTTATGGTAATGTTTTTGTTGTCGCTTTTTGAGACAGGGTCTTGCTCTGTTGCCCAGGCTGGAGTGCAATGGCACAATCTCAGCTTACTGCAGCCTCAACCTCCTAAACTCAAGCAATTCTCCCACCTCAGCCTCCTAAGCAGCTAGGACTATAGCGGGCACCACCATGCACAGCAACTTTTGTTTATTTTTTGTAGAGACTAAGTCTCACTATGTTGTTGCCCAGGTTGGTCCCGAACTCCTGGCCTCAAGAAATCCTCATGCCTCGGCCTCCCAAAGTGCTGGGATTACAGGCATGAGCCATTGCACCTGGGCTGTGATAATGTTTTCACAACATTAATAATCATTAACAGTTTTTGGGTTTTTAAAATTTCAACTTTTCTTTTAGATTCAAGCGGTATATGAGCAGGTTTGTTACTTGGGTATACTGAGTGATGCTGAGGTCTGGGATACAAATGATCCACCCAGGTAGTGAGCATAGTACCTAATAGTTTTTCAACCCTTGCCTTTCTCCCTCCCTCCTACCTCTAGTAGTCCTCAGTGTCTATTGTGCCATGTTTAGCTCCCACTTGTAAGTGAGAACACAATATTTGGGTTCCTCTTCCTATGTTAATTCACTTAGAATAATGGCCTCCAGCTGCATCTATGTTGCTGCACAGGACATGATTTCATTCCTTTTTGTTTTTGAGACAGAGTCTCGCTCTGTCTCCCAGGCGGGAGTGCAGTGGCGCGGTCTCGGCTCACTGCAAGCTCCGCCTCCCGGGTTCACGCCATTCTCCTGCCTCAGCCTCCCAAGTAGCTGGGACTACAGGTGCCCACCACCACACCTGGCTAAGTTTTTGTATTTTTAGTAGAGACGGGGTTTCACCATGTTAGCCAGGATGGTCTGGATCTCCTGACTTCATGATCTGCCTGCTTCGGCCTCCCAAAGTGCTGGGATTACAGGTGTGAGCCACCGCACCCGGCCGATTTCATCGTTTTTTATGGCTGCATAGTATTCCATGGTATATGCATACCACCGTTGATAGCCACCTAGGTTGATTCCATGCCTTTGCTTAATGATAGTTAACTGTTTTTGAACGTTCTTACATACTCCCAACAAACTTATGGGTTAATTTATATGATTATCCTCATTTTCCTGATGAAGAAACTGGAGGCTTACAGAGAATAGGCAACTTGCGAAAAGATCACTGCTCAACTATGTATTCTCAACCATTATTCTGCCAGCAAGTGTATTTGCTACTATGAGAGTACATTAGCAATGCAATTAAATTAGTCACCTAGGATTTTAGGGATGTCTAAGCAAAAATTTGAAAGCTAAGTAGGAATTTTGGTAGGGCAAAGGTTATAAGTTAAATAAGAAAATGTTTCTAGGCCAGGTGTGGGAGCTCACGCCTGTATTCCCAGCACTTTGAGAGGCCTAGGCGGGAGGATCACTTGAGGCCAGGAGTTCAAAACCACTCTGGGCAACACAGCGAGACCCTGTCTCTACAAACAATTTAAAACTTAGCCAGGCATGGTGGTGCATGCCTGTAGTCCCAGACAGTTAAGAGGCTAAGGTAGGCAGATCACCTGAGCCCAGGAGTTCAAGGCTACAGTGAGCCACGATTGCACCACTGTACTACAGCCTGGGTGACAAGGCGAGACCCTGTCTGAAAAAAAGAAAAGAAAAGAAAATGTTTCTAACAGTGGGCACAAAAAGCCTAGAAGAAAAGGCAGAGGGGATTCGGGGAACTTCAAGCAGCTTAGTGAAGGAATATCTTAAAGTGTCAAAGGTAAACTGTCAGAGATGAGACTGGAGTAGTAAGTACAACAAAGAGAGGTTTAGTTTTGGCTTTGGCTTTACCTATTGTGAAATAAACCACCACAATGTTTAGTGGTTTAAAACAACAACCATTTTGTTATTTGTCATTATTCTGTGGATTGATTAGGTTCAGTTAGACAGTTCTATAACTCCATATGATGCTGCCTGAGGCTGAAGTCATCTGAGGGTTTCACAGATGTGGAACATCAAAGATGGCTCTCTCACACATATGGCATCTTGTCAGGGACATCTAGAAGGCTAGATTCACCTGGGGTACCGGGATGCCTGAGCCCTTCTCTTCCTCCATCTAGTTTCAGGCACAGTCTTTCCACTTTCTAGTCCTCCAGCAGGGGAGCTGGAGACTTACTATGAGGCACTTTAGTTGCAAAAGTTAAAGCTATCAAGCATTCAACTTTTGCTATATGGCGGAGGCCTGGAACTGACACAGCATCCCTTCTACCATATTACTTAAAGTGAGTGACTAGGTCAGCTCAGATTCAATATGGAAGGGAACCACACAAGGGCATAAATCCTGGAAGATGTGATTCACTGGGGGCCATCTTTGGAAACTAACTACCACAGGTTTTATGTATAGGATCAGGATTGAGGAAAGCATAATCAGTAAGGAGGTTATTGGAACAGACTAGGCGAGAGATTATAGAGGCATTTTGTATTTGGAATATAGACAGGTAAGTAGAATTAAGACCTGTTAAGTGATAAAATGAACTGAATTTGTTGAGTAACTGACAATGGAAATTGAAGAAGGACCAAGGTGGATGGAATGTAGATAACTTTCTGGTTTCCTTCTGTGGTCAGGGGTTCATAGAGTTGTTATTCACTGAGATACAGGATAAAGTACAAGGAGCAGATGTGGTAGTGTAGGTACCATTGTATGTGCATCACGCAGATAGAAATTGGGTCAGAGATTAAGGCTGAAAACACATATGCAGAGCAACTGAAAACATGGGAATAGATGAATTACCCATAGAGGGTATGTAAACTGAGAAGACAGCCCAGGGAAGGAGTCTTGAGGAAAAACAATATTTAATGCATAAGCAGAAAAGGAGTAGCCACAAAGCAGACTAAGAAGAAAAAAAAAAAAACCTGCAAGAATAGAGAATCCCAAAACCTGGGGGGAAAAGGTGTTTCACAGAAGATAAAATGATTACTAGTATCAAATGCTATTGAGGAGTTAAATATGATTAAGACTAAGAATTGTCCCCTTGGATCTTAGACATATAATTATTGGCTTTGGCAAAAGCAGTCTTGGGGAGAAGCTTTACTGCAGTGAATTAAGATATAAACAGAAGGTGATGACATAGAAACAGTAAGTAGGCAATTTCTTCAAGAAGCTCAGCTGTTAGAAGAAGACCTAGTAGTAAGTATAGGAGGACAAAGGATCAAGAGAGGATTTTTAAAGATGGCAGAGGTCAGTACATCTTTAAGTTCCGTTGGGATAAAGCCAGTAAGGAGGGAGAAAGAAACTGAAGATGCCAAAAGAAGCCTCTGAGGAAGCTTAAGGGGATAAGAGCAAGAATACAGAATCAGAGATTAACTTCAGACAGAAGAGAATCACTGTGCCTAACATTTGACAGAAGTAAAGGAATGGTTATGAACTGTGATGGTTAATACTGAGTGTCAACTTGATTGAATTGAAGGATACAAAGTATTGATCCTGGGAGTGTCTGTGAAGGTGTTGCAAAATGAGATTAACATTTGAGTCAGTGGGCTGGGAAAGGTAGACCCACCCTTAATCTGGGTGGGCACAATCTAATCAGCTGCCAGTGCAGCTAGTATATAATCAGGGATAAAAATGTGAAAAGAGAGACTGGCCTAGCCTCCCAGCCTACATCTTTCTCCTGTGCTAGATACTTCCTGCCCTCGAATATTGGACTCCAAGTTCTTCAGTTTTGGAACTTGGACTGGCTCTCCTTGCTCCTCAGCCTGCAGATGGTCGATTGTGGGACCTTGTGATCCTGTAAGTTCATACTTAATAAACTCATATATATATATAAACTCAACTCATATATATATATAAACTCAACTCATATATATATATAAACTCATATATATATAAACTCATATATATATATATATATATTCCATTAGTTCTGTCCCTCTAGAGAACCCTGACTAATACACAAGTAGAGATAAGATTGCAGGTATGGTAGCTAAAAGACAAGGGAATTCCTCTCTGATGGCTTCTACAGTATTTTCTCAGTAAAGTAGAAAGTAAGGTCATCTGCTAAGAAAAAGGATAGAGGGTTTGAGAAGAATAGAGGGGGGTTTAATGGCCACCATGAAGACTAGGTTAAAGAGATGACTAGAGGCTGGGCAAGGTGGCTTACACCTGTAATCCCAGCACTTTGGGATGCCAAGGTAGGAGGATCACTTGAGCTCAGGAGTTCAAGAGCAGCCTGGGCAACATAGTGAGATCTTGTTTCTACAAAATTTTTTTTAATTAGCTAGGCATGGTGACATGAGCCTGTAGTCCCCGCTACTTGGGAGGCTTAGGTGGGAGCACTGCTTGAGCCCACGAGGTCAAAGCTACAGTGGGCCACGGTTGTGCCACTGCACTCCAGCCCAGGTGGCAGAGTGAAACCCTGTCTCAAAAAAAGAGATAAATGATTAGAAAAACACAGAAACATTGCAAAGATTGTTAAAAAGCTTGAGAATCCAAGGCCAGGTTGGCAACAGTGCCTCTATGGAATCCTGTCTGCTCAGCTGTGAGTTTTTCTCTTTTGGCATTCAATAATCAGGTACAAAAAATAAGTCACATAGATTCAAGGGAGGAATTGTGCTACAGAGGCATTGACAGGTGGGTCACATTCAAGAAAATTAACAATTTTAGCAAGACGTCTATTGATAACTGTAGGCAATTACCTTTTATTCAGTTAAGAGACTCACAACTCACAATGTTATTAGTTTTGTAGTTTGCCAAAAGTACATATTTGTAGCACTTTCGGTGATACTCATATGTACTATAGAGTATGGATGGGGTCCCCATTTAGAGTTCTTTCTGTCCCTGTAAGAGACAGACCAGAGAACCACACCAGCCATCTTAGGGATCTCTATTCAGAGGTGAATTAAAGAAAAATAACAGGAGCCACAAACATAATTTAAAATGTTCTAAAATCTACATTAGAAAAGTAAAGAGAAACTGGTGAAATTATTTTTAGTAATATATTTGATTTAACCAGTATATCCAAGATATTTTTTCAAAAGCAATTAATGTAAAAGTTAATGAGATGTCACATTCTCTTTTTTTTATACTCAGTCCTTGAAAACTAGGAAGAGTTGTATACTTACATTGCATCTCGATTCAGACTAGCCACATTTCAAGTGCTCAAAAGCCACATGTGGCTAATGGCTACCATAATGGACAGTGCGGGTCCAGATGTTATGTTTCCACAGTTACTCTTGCTGAATTAACAGAGCCACTGAGGTTCTTCCTTAGATACCATCATCCTACTCCCATAATCAAATGTAATTCATAACATGCTTACATAGCATACTGCATCTATAATGTTCAGTTATTTGTAGGCTCAAAAATGTAGACACATGTGTTACAATGAGATCATCTCAAGACAGCTCTGGTCCCCCCTAATTTCATGCTGACCACTTGCTTGGAACCACCAGTATCTGCACAGCCATTGGCTATTATTTGCTATCCCAGCTAGCCAGGTGTGGCAGGTAGAAAGTAGCTGCACAGTCAGGGATTCAGCTTTCTTTACTAAGTTAGTTATCACTCACCCACTAACAATCCAGCTTCCAAAATTCTGTTGATGTCTCCTTTCATGTTCCCTTTGTCCTTATGGAGTTTATGCCTTTTTTTATTCCTTGACTTTCATTTTACTGTGTTTTCATGACAGAGTAAAAATGAACACATGTATTCAGTTGACCATGGTTATCTAAAAGTTGCTTTTATGATTAGGGGCTGATGTATTTCAAAATATATATAATTATCAGAAGATACTGATCTGCAGACATGGAAGACAAACTTTTTCAAGTTTCTTTAAAGATCTACTTCAATCTGAATTCCAAATGTAAATAATATATAATATCTTAATGAAAAATCAATTTTCTCTTAAATTTTCTCTATTAAGAACATTTTATATTCAGAATATTCTTGTGCATATGACAAATAAGCTAACATGAAAAGAGAGAAAGATAACGTTATCAAACGCTACTAACCCTGCTTTCTCCAGATGAACAGTAAAAAATTGTCTAACCACAATTCAATTGTTTTGTACGTGCTGTGTGAGCCTTAGGTAAATATTTGGACTCTAGTCACCAGAGGTTTTATATTTTGTGGAAGTCTGCAAAATTATCACACGTAGAAACTGTTAACCTATCACCATTATGATTAAACCCAAGAAGTACCTAATTCCAGCACCTTCCAGACTAGACGTTAGCAAGCACTGTCAAAACAAATATATTCATCAGTATAACACTTGTAATAGGATAGACTGTGCTCATTAATGTGTTCTCTGAAAAAAAAAACACACACATTTCTCCATCAGTGTTGCAAATTTCTTACTTTTCTAAAACTAATTTTTAACTAACTTTGTATTCTAAGTCTGTTTGAAACAAGTCATCCTTTTAAAAATGAGAGTTCAGTCAATTTTATTTGTTCTTTTAAGATTATTTTTGCCCCTTCATTAGCATGGAGCCAGAGCAGTATGCTGTAATCTTTTTAGCTAGAACCCACCCACATAAAACAGCCCAGATAACTAATTAAGCTGAGATTACGGTACAGCAAAACACAACAGCTTTAATCAACTTCAGAATAGGTAATGGATATGAATCTTTTCTAAAACAGTTTAGAAACATTGATATTGTATTCTTTCATCAACATTTTTCTCTACTCATGACCTTTTAGTCAATGCATATATTTCTATTTTCTTTTTTAAGATTAGCAAAATTTTTAAATTTAATTCAAGTATGTTTTAGTACTATTATGTATCAGGCACTGCTAGGTGCTAAGAATAAAAATATTACCAAAACATATTCTCTGTCTTGAAAGACCTCAAAATCTATAGCATGAGAGACAGGTACATAAACTAACAACTATAAAGCAGTATGATAAGTACTGCAATAAAGATATGAACAAAGTGTTATGGGAAGCCCAGAGGCAGGAGTGATTAATTTTGTCTGGGAATGGTGGTGGAAGGAATAGGATTTTCCCAGTGGGAAGAGGTAGAAGGAAGACTACTCCAAGCAGAGGGAACAACATGAAAAAAGGCATAATGAAAGTACGCAGCTTCTTTGGGAAACAATAAGTAGCCTGGTGTGGCTAAAAGATGAGATTCCCGCAGAGTAATGGTAGAAGCCATGTGAAAGATTTAAACTTTTTGTTATAATGAAGGCAATGAAAAGCCATAAAAGCAGGAAAGAGGTGTGATTTGTCTTAGAAAGAAAACTCTGTGGCAGTGTGAATGACTGACTACAGAAGGGGGATAGAAGGAAGGCAGGAAAACCAATTAGGAAGCTATTGTACTAGACTAGGTGGAACTCTGAGCAGTAATTGTGGAACTGGAGAGAAGGAAAAGAAGAATGGATTTGAGATGTATTTCAAAGGTAGCATCACTTGGACATGATGGCTATGTGGATGGGGAAGGAAAGGGGAAAAATCTCAAAGATTCCACCACGTACTTTGGCTTACATGACGATTTAATCTAAACAGAAAGCAAGGATTAAACAAATGAGCTCAGTGTAGCAGATATTTTCCAAATTCGTTGTGTTATTGATTGGATTCAAGTGGAGAGATCCAGGAGGCAGCTGGAAATAAGGGTCTCAGCTAAGGAGTGTAGTCAATACCAAAAAATACACAGTTTTGGAATTAGCAACATAAAGATGATATTTGCAGTCATGTGAGCAGATGAAGTTTCAAGAAGGAACAGGAGGAACCATTGCCAAATACTTCACTCACACAAAAGTCAGATGATAAATATTTAAGGCAAAACTTTTAAAAGAAATCTTTTATAAGAAAATATAGAGAAATATTTTCATGATCATGAGGTAAGAAAGGACTCCCTAAACAAGACATATAAAAAGCACCAATCAGAAAGAAAAAATTTAACAAATTCAGCTAAGAGTGAAAGTGCAATCCACAAAGTGGGGAAAATATCTGCAACACATATAACTGACAAAGGACTAATATGCAGAACATACAAGGAGCTCTTACAAATCAGAGAAAAGGCAGACAATCTAATAGAAAAAAAAGACCAAGGCAAATATAAGAATAGGCACTTCACAAAAGAAGAAATAAAAATAGACAACAAACATATGAAAAGGGGCTCAATCTCATCAGTAATCAATAAAATATAAATTAAAACCACAACGAGATATTACTACACACCCAACAGAGAGACAAAATTTTTAAAGTCTAACAATACTAAACTCTGGCAAAGATATGGAGAATTAGAATTCTCATTCACTATTCGAGAACATGAACTAACACAACCAATTTGGAAAATTATGCCAGTATTTAGTCAATATATACATGTCTTATGGCTCAGAAACTTTACTCCTACAACATATCCTAGAGACCTGCATTCTTATATGCATCAGGATATGCATAAAAGAATGTTCAGAGTGGCACCATTATAACTGTCCCAAACTGGAAACAACCCAAACACCTATCAACAGTAAAACAGATAAATTTTGGTATATTCACACTATGTAATATTATACAACATACAGCAATAAAAATGAACAAGCTACAGATACATAATTATAAACATTACAATGTTAAGTGAAAATAGTTACAAAGATAATACAATATAATTTTATTCTTATAAAATTCAAAACTGGCTAAATAGATCTATAATTGTTTAGGAATACATATAGAGGTGGTTAAGATAGAAAAGAAATGCAAGAAAAAATTATAGACAGTTCCCAACTTACAACAGTTCATTTCAGGATTTTTCAACTTTATGATAGTGCAAAAGCAATACACATTCAGTAGAAACCATATGTTAAGCTCCCGTGTATTCATTCAGGTTTTCACTTTTAGTACAGTTCTCAATAAATTGTATGAGATATTCAACAGTTTATTATAAAATAGGCTTTCTGTTAGGTTATTTTGCCCAACTGTAGGTTAATATAAGTGCTTTTCACACATTTAAGGTAGGTTAAGCTAAACTCTGATGCTTGGTAGGTTAGATGTATTAAATGTGTTTTCGACTTACAATATTTTCCCTTTTTTTTATTTGACTCTAGCCAATAAACTTACGATATTTTTAACTTACTATGGGTTTATTGGGACATAACCTCATGGTGAGTAAAGGAGTGTCAGTAACACGAACAACAGAAGAGCAGTTACCCCTGGGGAGACAGAAGAGATTATGATGGATAAAGAATAACCTAAAAAATTCTGTGGTCCCAATAATATTCTATTTCTTGACGTGGGAGTAGTGATTACATGGTGTTAAGTTGATAACCATTTGATAAAATGTACATATACATTTTACAAACTTTTAAATAATTTTATAACATAGAATTTTAATGAAATAAATTTGGAAAGAGATGTGATAGTGAGAACCAAAAAAGTCTTATTTATAAGGATGATCAAAAGAGATTAAGAAAGGATGCTATCAAATCCATTCAAAACCAACTTTAAAAATCACAAAGACACAAAGGCAATTCTGTATCTGAGAAGAATTACAGATATGATATAAATCTGCTTCATGGCTGATGACTGGGCTTCACTCTTTCATTCACTCAATAAACACTGTTGAGTCCTACCTTGTGTCTGGCACTGTGCCAAGGCCTAAGACTACAGGAAAACTTAGTGCAACCTCTTAGGTTTCTCTTAGCACTAGGAAGCCCGCTGATTTCTAATCTCTCTTGGATAAAAGGTTTAGCTGACTTATTAACTGGAATACAATCTCAGGGTAAAGAAAAATCTCAGTTCCTAATAAAAAGTCCAAATAAAAGGTATGCAGGATTATCAGGTGCTGAGCTGAGTACACGATAAAGTTGATGCCTCAACTGAGAAAATACAGGGAGAAAATAGGTGCTATTTATTTTCTCTAAACATAATAAACATGAATAGACAACGTTTATTTTTCACATCAAGTAAGGGGAAGACTGAAGAAGTCATTAGCATGAATAGAATCATAAAATAAGGGTTTTTAAAAACCTGAAGAATAAAGGTACAACTTAAACAAGACTTTGGCTCTTTGCTTTTCCATAAAAAAGACCTATAGTGATATGATCTCTGCCACCCAACTTGTTAACCCATTTCTTAATTTCCAGACTTAGCTCTGAAAAATAAAATTTACCCAAAAAGACAAGGATTTGCCATTAGTGAGATTTTAAAAATCACTCTACAAGCTTCAAAACTCAAAAATAGATGTTTCCAAGTTAGTGTAGTTAGGGGAAAAAAAAACCTTAATGTTTACTTACACATAAACTAAGCCTCAAATACAGAGCCACTAATCTAATCCCAACTCCATATCTGGTTTAAACTTATTCTCTGGATTAGAACTCCTATAATGTAGCAATATTCTGAGCAAAGAAGGCTCAGTCAAGAACAGAAAACACCACTGATAAATATGAACCCACCAATAACAAATTTTTTAATTACTTAGAAATGAAAATTAGTAAGAAATTAAAATTAATAAGGAATTAATGGGGAAAATAGAAAGATGAGACTTGGTATCACTAGTCTCCTTAATTAATGTTAATATCTCTCAGAAAACTCATTAAAATGAAATTTAAGTGATGCCCAGAAACAGGTAAGAATATCCCAAGACATAATTTTCAATGACCGAAACTCAAATTTTTACAACTTGAATTTAGATGAAGCATGTTTTGTTAATATTAATCTGGCAATCAGATTCTCAAATGATATGTTATGTATTTTAAAATTAATGTTTGTTAATATACTTAAAAATTTAGGTACATCTTAGAGCAAATGAGAATGGAATCTGAAGACTGAGTACCAAGATCTGCTACCTACCAATAATGCAACCTTGAATAAGTGACCAAACCACTTAGTCTCACTTTACCATTGCCAACTTCACAAGACTTGGGCAACTTAAAGAAAACAATATATGTGAATAATATTGTACAAACACCAAAGCATGGGAAGCGCAATTTTTTTCAATCTACTACAAAGACTACTTTTGACGAACTAATGAAATATCTTTTATTCACAGTAGAGAAAAAAATTTAAATCTACAAAAGCATAGTATAATAAAGTCTTAGTTCTCTCCCTCAGCTTCAAAAATTATCAACTCAAGGCTAATCTTATTTCTTCTATTTTTGACCTACTCTCTCTCTTCCTTGACTATTCTGAAGCAAGTCCCAGACATCATATCATTAACTTCCCTAAGGGCTTAAATTCAATAGCCTCTATTTAGTTCATGTACAGGTATGGTATCCGAAGTCTAACAGAGAAGTCTGGGCTAGAAACATGGATTTGAGCAATGAAACACCAGCAATGAAATCAAGATTTGACGCAATAGCTCTGGATGAGGTCAAATATTCATGCTTGAGAAACAAGAAGGTAGATTATCTGGGTGCTCGTTCATAAAAAATACAAATAGACATAAAGCACATCTCTTCCACCCAAGAAAAACCCTATGAATTTACAAAGGCCTATGGATTTTTTTTTTAATCTTATGATTTAAAGTGCTTTTCTCCCTTAAAAAGTGTCCCTACGTAGTAGCAGTAACTACTCTAAAAGATTTAACAAATCCCCCAAACATGAAGATATATTTAATGCAACATCAAATTTAAACACTGATATTGTAACCAACAACAAATCTACTTTTCAAAGTATTTGTTAAAAACTTGTTGCTCCATGTATATTTTATTCCTTGCAGTGTACAAATCTTTTTAATTTCTTTTGTATATTTCACAGCAAAATTTTTAAAACAAATTTTAAAAATAAAATATGATTCCTATTGAAATAGCTATGATAGATGATGTATCTTACAAGCATTTAGAGCGCTGAACATACATGAGAATATTTGTGTACTGAAAATGTTTATACATTCTTTAGACACCAAATGTTTTATATACTCTTTAGAAGCTGAATCAGAGATCATTTATTCTTACATTTTATTTTTTACCCCGAGTGTAAAGATTAGTTATGATCTATTTATACTCCAATCCTGAAAATGTTTTGACTCAAGTTCCTTAAATCCTAATTTACAATCCACTTTAAAAGAATTTCTAAAATTTTCTAAAATAGCTTTCATAATCTGTTTAGTAAAGATGAACCTTTGTAAAAAAGTATTTGCGACCATTGGAAAGGAATGCAATTTTGTCCCTTTAGTTATATTAGTCACCAAGTAAAGGATTCAAAGGAGGTAAAAGAGGCACAATTTTTAGAAACACCATAGATTTCCAATGTTTCAATGTTGATGGACCATCATTGATTAAATGGAGCCTAAGTCCTATTTGGTCAGAAAGAACTCCAACATATTTTAAGCATATCCCTATCTTTCAAGTAATAGTTTTAGAAACAAAAGTGTACAATTTCATAAATTAGAGTGATACGCATTTTAGTTTCAAGCACACTATACACTTCTTTGCTCTATTTTTTCCCTGAGAAAAAAACTAGATATATTTAAAAGCAGTGTCAATTTTGGCTGTATCATGTAACTGCCATTTCACCTAAATTACTGGATTTTTTTGGCAAATATTTTTGATTTTTAAAACTTTTGAGGAAATGCACCTAATGTGTTTTAAGTAAAATCCAACTCAGTTTTAAAACATGATTGAAGAATCATTAGATCAAAATGGCATGTTCCCCTCCTCCACACACACAAAAATTCAATTCTTTTTTCAGATATCAGTAAATATCAACAGGATAATTAAGAGGCATAATTGCTTTCTCAGGAATCATCTACTAAACACAGCCAAAAAAGCTGGTTTTCAAAAAAGTACAGTCTAGACACCCAAACATTTATTTAAAACAGATTCTTTCCTTAATGAAGATGTTTTCTTGTTGTCAAATAGGCAAGACATTGTTATTATTTAGTATTCATTTAAAATGTGATGGATTTTAATTCAAGTATTGTTTAATATAAATATTTCTTGAGGGTTTTTTTCATTTTCATTTTAAACATGAAAATGCATGGGGGAAGGGAGAGAACGTGTGAAAAATATAGAATAACTTGTTGAGAACTTATTCTGTTTTTAATTAGGGAATTTTACAAAAATATCTTGTTGCTGTTCTTAAATTAATTCCGCATCAGAAGCCAAGTGATTTTTTGGTCTTGAATAGTAATGATACAGATTCTCTTTACCAATAATGTATATAATAACAACATTTATATATCAGATAGATTTTATTTCTTTACCTCTAAAGAAAACCTTAGTGCTTGTCATCAGGCACTAATGACATCATTAACATTAATTAATTCTGCCAGAGCGAGTAGTGAATTTATATTTTCACAATTGAAAAAAAATCACAATTTAGCTGTGGAAATTGCTATTTTGCACAAAATACATTAAAAACTAGTAATTTTCTTTTGATACAAGAAATGAAACCACTCCGTTTTTTGGTCTCTGTAATGTAGCAGAAAAGAATTTGCTGACATCCAGCGTCTTAAGGTTTTTACCTGTTTTTCTTATGAATCAGATTCCCCCTTACGTTTAATACCCTGTAGCTTTAAGATTTTTTTCTCAAAAAAAAAAAAAAAAAACCCACTAATGAATTAGAGAAACATTGTCTCTATATATCCTCAATAACTGGTATAAAAAATTACAGAAAGGCTCAACAAACGAGGTTACTTCACCGAATCTGTTCAGAACTTCAGCAAATTGAAGCAGTGCCCTTGAGAGAGTTTTAACATTAAAAGCAATCTTTAAAATCATAAATATGACCCATCCCTTACCCTTAAAGCACTTCACACACGTTTGTCTAAGAGTAGACTTTTTTGCCCCTACAGTATAAGCAGAGAATACAAGGTATGAGTAGAAAACGTCAAGTTTTCGTTGACCACTCAAAGAAAGAAAACTGTTGACGTCTGAACGTTGCTAAATTTTCGCGGGTTGCTAAATCTCCTGAAGTTGCTTCAATTCTAATTGCTCCGATTGTGTCACGAACACCCAAACCCAAACCGAACAAACTTCCTGGACAGAAGGGCGAGCTGAAGTCGGTTCTCAGAGAACCTGCCTGTCAACAGGTGGCCGGCCCGGGGGTGGGGGTGGGGGTTGGGGTGGGGGTGGAGGGAACCTTCCGCGTTCCCGCCGCCGCTGCCCAGGGACTCTCGGCCAACGCCAGCGCCCTCACCCTGCCGGGCCTGGCCACCTCCCGCCGTCCCCCGCCGCCCCCGGCCCGGCAGCGCACTCACCCCACTCCCCCACGCTCCAGCGTCCCGGCAGCCTCAGGTGGCGCCGCGGCCCGGCAGGCCCTGGGCGCCTTCCCTCTTCCGGTTTCCACTCAGTGCCGTGGGGTTTCAGCACCTGGCGGGAGGCCCTGGGAGAAGCACGTGCCTCTTTTCGAAGCCTCGTTCCCCGGGCGGGAACTCCGGCCGGGCCTCGGTGTGCCTGGCTGCCAGCCCCCTCCGGCCTTAGTATGCAGGTGCCGAAGCTTCTAGACGCCCCCGAGGGGCCGGCCCAGGGGTCGCATCTGCCCCTCCCGCCCGCAGCCGCGACCTAAAGTGTGAAGCTCTGGCACGTCCCAGGCCGAGTGGGTTCAAATAACAACTGCGACGAAACTGAGGCCCAAGGGTTTGGGTACCTTGCTCCGGAGGCCACACAGTTGTCCAAACGAGTGCAAAGCCGGGTCTCCTGGTTTCGTTCCATTTAGCAGCCAAGAGGACTGCTGGGCCCCGCAGAGCTCGCCTCAGGGAGCCGCGGGCCTCGAGCGGCATTGGCAGCTGCTGCCTGAGCCAAAGCGGCCCTGGGGCCGCTACAGGCAGGGTCACTGAGGGGAGGGCCCAAAAGGCCCTGCAGCCCGGGTGCCCAGGCCAGTGCGGCGCAAGCTGGAAGCCTCCTCGCCCTGGCCGCCTGCCAGTTCTCCCCGGCACGTGCGGGGTCCGCACCAGAGATGCCACGGGGCACCCCGGCAGGTCAGGCTTGGCCCCGCATTTCACCCTAAGGCGCCGCCTAAGGGAGACCCTGCGTGGCGCGGGCCGGCCCTGCCTTCAGGCCTGGCGTACCAGGGCGGCGCCGCTGGGCCAAGGGCGGAGGGACAGCGGCTGCGCCCCTGTGGGCCTCTGCTGAGTCGGGAAAGATGGTTTGTTGGTGTGGGAAGGGCGCGCCCGAGCCTGGCCTACCGAATCCGGAGGGAGGACGCGGCCGAGAAAGCTTTGCTACAGCCGGGCTCGCAGCCCTGCGACCCCGCTGGGCGCGGAACGCGGGAGGGGTCGTTCTCCGAACCCCGCTTCACAGTGTGTTCTCAGGTCTCACACGGAATTTTTAAAAAATAGGGGATGTTGGTCACTTCGCAGGAAACTTTTCGTTGTTTCCTTGTTTCCTTCCCGCCCGTGAGCAAGTCGAGCAGATTCATGGCCTTACACCCAGGAGGTTTCAGGCCAGAGTCTGGACAGTTCCAGGCTCTGCATTTTCTGGGGGAGGATTACCCCTCAACCCCGTCTTCCCTCAGAGGGAGATGGAACTGTCCTTCCTGACCCCCAGATGCAAGCCAGTCGTCTTCTTCCCCTGCCAAAGTGAAAGGCGTCCTTGTCGACTTTTCCAGGTTATGAGTTTGTATGTTTTAAAGGAAGTTTACAGTACGAAGAAAGGTAATTTGGCTACTTCTGGCAGGAGCTGAGGGCTTAGAGGGACATCTTAGCACGTGGAAGGAATGGCTCGGATTCCCCAGCCGCGGTGAAGCCACCCGGGACAGCTCAGCAGCAAGGAAGGTTGTCTGCTGCCAACATGCAGGACACGGATCAGTTTTTTGTCGTTTTGCTTTCTTTTCCTTTTTGGCTCAGCTCTGAGAGCATTACAGAGCTATCCTTTCCCGCCTCCCGACCCTCTTCCCCTCCCCCTCTTCTTTCTGGTGCAGGCAATTAGGGTGAAGAAATCAGTGCCAGGCTCCTGCCTCTGAAGAGAAAGGAATTGCTTCGGGAATTGAGTCCTGACACCTGTCTCTGTCCTGGATGGCGAGGGGGGATGCGGGGTCAAAACGCCTGGGGGAAGAGGCCAGGCTGACGCGGAGGGGCGTGGTGGGGGTGGGGGGAGACACTCCCTAAGCGAAAGTTTCTGGGGACTTCTCTTGCCAAGTCCTCCCGCCTCATCCTTTGGCCTCCAGCTTCACGCAGGTCATTAACACGCGGGTTATTAACACGGAGTTTCCCTCGCTTTTAGCCCCCCGAGACCAGGACCTCGGGCTGGAATCAGAAGAGCAACACTGACAAGCCGTTCATTAATTTGCATTTATTTTCGGGAAGTAATGTAGATAAAGAGGAGGAGGGGGACTGCCTTACATTTCAACAAGTAATTTGTGATCTTCACATCAGACAAATCAAATTTACAAATTACTTTCCCACCTACTGGACGAAGCGGCCAAAGCCAAAATTGATACACAGGCGCGCGGGCTCTCCGCAGATTTCGGAGAACGAAGGTGCACTAAAAACTCACTAGACAAAACAAGGGTGTTGAAAGAGAGAAGCCGACAGAGGAGTTGGAACTGGGTTTGGGGCCTGGGTTTGTTTGTTTTTCCCTAATGCTGTACTTTTACGGATTTTGTTTTGTTTTGTTGTTTTGTTCCCTGGTTTTGGTTTTCTTGTTTTAGGTTTGTAAACTGGAACTGCGACCCTGTGCTTAGACCGGGTGAGGGGGTCAGCCCTGCGCCCCTGCCCAACCCCCACCTCTGTACCCTGACTTGTCTGTTTCCTCCACACTTCGGATATCCCGCGCCCAGCTTCCTGAAACCAAGCGGTTCTCTTCAATAAATACACAGAGGGAGAAGATGTGAAGAGGGCAGGGCAGCTTTGCAACAACTGAAAAAGAAAAAGCGCCATTGATTGAGGAAGAGCAGAAGGGGGACGGACAGAGGGAAAATATTTTTTGCTTTTGTTTTTTATATATGTGTATATATATATGTATATATATATATATGTGCTGTATATATCTTAAAGTTCTGTTTCCTGGGTGCTAAGACAAGATATGTTCAGTTCAACCAACCAACAGCAACTAAAAAGTTTAAGTGGTCCCTGGAACGGACCTGACTATGTACAGCGTTCCCGCCGAGGCGGAAGCTTGAACCAGTCCAGCGCAGGGCGGGGCGGGATGCGGCTCTGTGCGCGGAAGGCTGGGGACGCGCTCCTCCGGCGGGCCTAGCCCTGGCGCGCCCCAGCGCACTCCGCTGGGGCGGAAGAAACGCCGGGAGGCTCTGGCCGGCAGGCGTGGAGCAAAATCGAGGGCAGCTGAAGGGGCAGCAGTCTGCGCGGGAGGAACTCTTAGTGGTTTTGATTTGGAGTAGTGTGCGGGTGCTCCAATGGGCAGAAACACGCCAGTTAGTGACTCCAGTGTCCAGAAAGAATAAATTAAAGTGTTGGGCTCAAACAGCGGATCAGAGCGCAGAGCCTCCGAAGGCTGCAAGTGCTTAATAGCTGTCCAGAAAGACTGGAAGGGGAGGCTTAAGAGTTTAGTAGGGGCTGAAGGGGGGAAATAATACATCTCTCCTGTATAGAATGTGTAGGCCAAGCCGAAGCACCGGTCCCCCCATCCAAGGGGCAGGGTGGGTTTGCACATCCCCCCAAGCAAGTGGCACAAAAATGGGGGCGGCAGTGCAGGCAATGGACATCTTTTTGGGGGGTGAAAATTCAGTTTTGGAGAAGACGAGGCAAAGGCGGGCGGTGCAGCAGCAGCAACAGGATCGGGACCACGGAGGGCGCAGGTAGTTGCGTTTCTTCTCCTCTTTCATTCCTGGGCTCACAAGACCTGGAACCGCCATGAGGCTTGGTCCTTATAGTCCAGACAGTCGGGGGAGTTGAAGTTGAGTTTCCAGGCGGAGGAAGCAGCAGCGGCGCCAGGCTCCTTGTAATCCAAGCAGTCGGCAGAGTTGAAGGCAAGCCCAGAGCCACCGTAGCCTTGGTGGTGGTGGTGGTGATGGTGGTGGTGGTGGCCTGAGGACTGGCTCAACGGGTGGTGCGCATGTGGGTGGTGATGATGGTGGCCCGCCATGGAGGAGGGTGCCATGGGGCTGAGCTGGTGCGGGTGGTGATGTGAGTGCATGGGCGCTAGGTATGAGCTGCAGTCCACGCCGCCAAAGTAGGAAGAGGAGGGCGTAGGGTAGCCTTGGCCGTAGCTGCCGCCCTGGCCGTAGGACATGGGATAAGAGGCTGCTGCGGTGGCGGCGCCTGCAGCTACGGAGCGCTGCATACACGAGGTGTTGCTAGGCGCGGCCAATGGCTCCGGCACCGACACGGACGCGGGCGCTGAGCCTGGCGAGATGGAGGCCGGGCTCCAGATAGATGAGGCAGCTGGTGTACTCAGCGACGACGCGGCCGCCACCGGGTTCCCACCTAGTCCCGCAGCCGCTGCAGCCGCTGGGTTGGCGGAAGAGCTGGACGCCGAGCTAGAGGACGAGGCAGAGCTGGACACAGCTGGCGGCGTGAATTGGCCACTGCTTTCGGAGCCCGAGCTCTCCCGCACTGGAGAGGACTTCTTCTTGGCTGGGCGGCTCTTGGTTCCGCTCCCGCTCTGCTGCTGCTGGCGGCATTTGGCGCGGCGGTTCTTGAACCAGACCTGCAGTGGGCCGGATGGGGGAGAGTGGGTCAAAGGGAGCTAGGGGAGCTTGTTGCTCCACCGCCCCGCGGACCCAACTCCCGGTCCAGAATATCGCAATCCTTTCTCACCGAGGCCTCCGCCCCTTCCTGTCTCTGGCCTGGCCAGACCCTGCCCCCTACCTCGGTTCCCAGCTCCTCCACCCTCCCCCATCCTTCTGCTCAAAGCCCCTCCTCAGCTGGCTCCAGAGCAGGGATGCGCACCTCCCCACCCCTACCGCAACTCTGCCCTAGGGCGGAATATTTCAGTCTGCCCAGTCAGAAGTTCTGCCATCTCTAAATTGCTGCTGTTGGCTGCTTCCGTGTATGTTTGGAGGCCCCGTGTGTGTTTGGAGGCCCAGTTTTCTACTAACAGAGCTCAGGCAACAGTGGAGAGGTACAGAGCCGAAGAGTGTGGAACAGTCACCAAGTCTAGGGCCTGAGCCGTTTCACTGAGCAGCTCCTGGAGGCCAGAACTGGGCAGGGCGAGTATTTGGGTGGGGGTAGGAGCAAGGCCAGAGGCTAAACAGAGGTAGTACTTGAGGGACTCGGGAAGGAAGCCTGGGTGGGATTTCGTTGGCCCTTTGGCTCCAGGTGGGGAACCAAATGGAATGGTTACTCTTCTAGGAGAGCCCCAGCACATGGCACTGCATTCCTGGTCCCCCTTCTCAAGCTTTCGAGTAAAGGAGGCGAGACTCTTGAGGAGAGTTCTGAGTTAGAATCCGAACGTTATCATCGGAACCCTTTCATCTCAAAAACAGAAATAAGAAAGCCGGCAGCAGGATTTTGCACTTAGCATCCTCTGTAAGCAGAGGAAGCGTCTAATGAGACCCAGGCAGAGCACCAGGCTCCAGCCAATCTCCGCTCTTCCATTTCTAGGATTCCCGGGGTGGAAGACAAGGGCAGAGGCAGAATTCAGGCCTCTAAGGGAAACTGCCAAGTCCTGGGGCAGGCGAAGAAGCAGGGGCAAGTGTCAGGCCCGCAGGGCGCTTTACATTCGGGAGCTTCCCTAGTCCTCCGGCAATTCTAAAAAGTACTTTCGATACCGACACCGAAGGCGCCCTAGGGCTAAAGGCGGAATCCAGGGCTCTAAGCCATTTCCTTTAACTTTTGCCCCCTTTCCTGGCTGGGGCCCAGCGCTAGGGGGAGTCCGAGAGCGGCTGCCCAGTCTGTAAGCCCACCCCCACAGGATGGTCTCCTCAAGAACTACTCAAGAGCCTTCCTAGACCTTCCCCGAGCAGCCTCAGCTCCCCTACCCAGACCCTGGAGCCCGGGGAGTGCGCACCTGGACTCTAGACTCCGGCAGGTTGATCTTGAGCGCCACCTCCTCCCGCATGAAGATGTCAGGGTAGCGAGTCTTGGCGAAGAGCGCCTCGAGCACGTCCAGCTGTGAACGCGTGAAGGTGGTGCGCTCCCGCCGCTGCTTCCGCGGAGTGGCTGCGGGGACACGCGGGGGCGCCGCGGGTCATTGGTGGCCACGTGGACCCGCGATAGAGGACTCGGGCAGGCCCCTGGCAGGCCCAGATCTCGGCCTTCGCAAAAGAAAGCCGAACTGGGAATAAAAGAAACTCCCTCGGGCGGCCGAGCCTGAGAGGCCACAGGTGGGAGAAAGTGCAGATGTGCGACTAGAAGCCAGTGTCTCCAAGATTCGAGGGCTGCCCCTCTCTATGCCTCTCAGAGGTTAAAAAAGTTAAGAGAAGTCTACAATCTCCCTTCTTCTACATCCCCTCTCCCCTGCACACACACACGCACACGCACACACACGCACACACACACTCTGGATGGGGGACAGGGAGTGGGGAAGAGGTAGGCAGAAACACGACCTGAAAAACACTTTCGGAGAAAATAAATGAGGTAAAGGAGCGGGAGCTAAAAAAGAAACCCCGGCTTTGGCTCAAGTCGTCCTCTACAGCAGCGCAAAAATGGGTGCAGGACATCGATTTAGAGGACAATTTAATTAGGGAGGAAGAATACTCCTTCAGTGCAGCCTGCCGCTTCGCATAAGGAAAGTTTGGCTCTTTCTGTCAGGGCCTAACGAGTGTCCAGATTACACATTCCATGTTGGGGAAAAAGGAAAAATACTAGCCGCCCCTGGGTAGCGAATCCGCAAGTAAATGAGCTCTGCGCTGGCGGTGGGACCACAACCGGAGAAAGGTTGCCGGTGATCCGGCCGGGAAGGCGCATATTGCGCGTTTTCTCAGCCCTGGCCACCTCACACGCCCACGACTCTGCCCCATGCGCCGGCAGTGGGCCCTGTATTGTAAACAGACAGTGGGCCCTGTGTTGCAGCCGGCTCCCTGGGCCTGCTCAGCAACAAAGCTTGCACTCAAATCCAACAGTCTGGGGGTCCCCAACATTTGAGAGGCTGAGGCAGGGTCGGGAGGGCTGGTGCTCACCCGGATAGCCCACGGATGGGTGCAGGAGGTCCATGGCGGGCCCGGCCAGGCCCAGCCCGTTCATGCCGTATGGGGGTTGTTTGAGGTAAGACATCATGCTAACAGCTGGGTGGAGGCGCCCCGACGGATCCAGGGGGCCCGGGGCCAGGAGCGGTGCAGGGCTCCCACCACGCAGTCCTTCAGGGTCTGATGCGTCTGGGGGCCTGGCCTATGAAGACACGAGACACACGGAAACCGTCAATCGGAGCCACTTGGCTGCCAAGTCTTGCCCCGGGATAGACAGGGAAGGCAGGTTACAGAACTGCGCAGGGTGGTCAACTGGGATCCACAAGGCCTTAGCCCAGAAACCACAGTTACTTTGAAAAGTAAAGTTTTCTGGGTCGTCTGGCTCTAGGGTTGGAATGAGCCAAAGACACTGGTAGGGAGTCCATAGGAGTAAGGAGAAGTTAAAAGCAGGGCCAGGCTGGGGAGGTCAGAGCCAGAACCGCGGAGTGTACAAGCTCCCAAGTCCAGGCAAAATTCTGAATCCGGCAGAAGCCAGCTTCATGTTGCACAAGCAAAGGTTCACTTGGTGCCCGGACGGCAGGCCGCCCAGAGCATGAGGCGTTGTTTCATTTTGTTTCACGTGTTTTTGAAAAGGTAGAGACTACAAAGGGCCAATGTGGAGGGCTAATTGCACTTCTTGTCCACTTAGACACTTGGTTCCTTTAAAGGTCTCCAGGGCTGCGCCCCTGCCCCAGATCCCGCAATCACCACTCCAGCTGACCTCTCTGTGCCCAGCCACTGAAAGATCGCTGACGCGAAATCCCACCGCACCTCAACCGCAGTAACGGGCCCAGGCTTCGCAGAGGGCCAGAGGACGCCGAAGGGGCCACTGTAGAGGGGGGCGACCCCAAGATGCGGCCTGAGGTCGGGAGCGCCTCAGCTGCGGCCAGCGTCCTTCGTTGCCAGCGCGCACCCGGCCTTCTCTCTGCCCAGTCTGGGCTGCGGACCGCAGGGTCCCAGCAGGGGGTGAAGGGTGACTGGCCTAGCACCTCAAAGGGTCTCGGGGATTTGTGAAGCCGGAGGGCAGCAAGTCGCGTGCTGCCATCCTTGTAGCTGAACCCGCGGCCCCAGGACACGGTCGAGAACAGAGAACTAGGCCTCAGCGGCGTAGCCCACGCAGACCCGAGCTGGGAGGTCGAAGCCTCGCCCCCGCCGCTGCCGGGAACCCGGGGTGCCA
Source organism: Homo sapiens (assembly GCF_000001405.40). Lineage (NCBI taxonomy): Eukaryota > Metazoa > Chordata > Mammalia > Primates > Hominidae > Homo > Homo sapiens. The sequence continues at coordinate 63,051,865 of NC_000002.12, read as the reverse complement.
CTCTCAGGGGTCAGGGAGGGGCGCTGGAAACTGGGCCTGGGGCCCTGGGGGGCCATCGCTACACCCCGCTTAGCGGGATCGCTGTGAAGCAAGCCAGGGACTCGGGCTAGGACGTTCAAGGAGAGAAGTTAGAGCTAAAGAAGCTCCCCCCAGCCCCGTTCCCGCCCCCGTCTTCTGGGACCCAAGACCTGGGCTGAGGGAGTCCAGCTTGTAGGAAGGGGACCGGAAGGGAAGCAGCCAGGGCTCTAGGGCCGAAGGAAAATGGGACTCAAAGCTGCGACGGCTTTGCGAAGCTGCAGCGTGAGTTTTCAAAGACTTTCTCCAAACTTAGCACTTCAGCTTGGTTACTTCGGAGGAGGCGGGGGAGGGGGCTGCGGGCCGCGACAGCGCCCCGGGGTCCTCGGCTCACCAAGAGGGGAGCCAGGCCGCTCCCACAGCCCCGACCACCTGCTGGGGACCGGGGAAGCCGGGATCCATTTGAGGAGGGGGAGATAAGGGTAACCAACGCGCTCCCGGAGTCCGGGGTGGCCCCGCGGCTTTCTCCTTACCTGCCCTCAGCTGCCGGGGCCGTTCACCATCTACCTGGATCTCTCACAGAGACCCGCCGGGCAGCCAACCTGCAAAACAGAGCAGCACTGGAATTACCCTGGCGGCTGGTCTAGGACCCCCAGGTTTCTTTCTTTTCCCAACTTCCTTCTTCCCACCTCTATCTTTTTTTTCAATGGCTTTGTGCGTGTCCTTCTGGGTTTCACTTTATTGCACAGACACTTTGTTTGCTAAGCCCCACACGTTCTCAGGACATTGCCTCGCCTGGGATCGCGCCGAGGGGCCGCAAGGGGGGGAATTCGAGGGGCAGAGTTGGGAGGTGGCTCGGCGTTGCCGCGGCACTCCCGGTGCAACGTGGAGGCAGTGGGGACTGGGAAGTCCTGCAGAGTCACTTTGCAAACTAAATAAATCAAGCGATTTACCTTGTCGGAGTGGCTTGTCTTGCTCGGTTGTTTAGGTGATTGGAAATGTAGCCTGATGAAGATTGATCACCTTTCTACTGCCCTCCCCGGGTATGTGAACGCGAGGCGAGTGCGTAACGGGGCTAGGCCGCCAATCGGGGGCCCCGCGCGGGCTGAGTGACAGGGAGCCGGGCAATGGCTGCGCGAGCCGGGGGTTACCTCCGCGCGCCCCCGCCCTCCCCCGCCCCCCACACCCCGCCCTCCCCGCCCTCCCGCCCCGCCCCGGTCGCGCGCTAACTCCGGGACTCGGCTGGCAAAAGCGGCGCAGAGCTAGGCGAGGAAGGCGAGCGGAGAGCCCGAGTCCTGGCCGCGGAGGGGGCCGTGGGTCTCCAGGCCTGCCCTGGGCGCCCCCGCCCTTCTCGCGCTCTCGGCGCTCCGGAGGGAGTGGCAGGGAGGAGGCGAGGTGCTGGAGAACCGGTTCCTTCGCTCTCCCGCGCGCTACAGGGCTCAGCCGCTCGGGTGTGGGCGCCAGGACCCGGGGGCGGCGGGCTGGAGGAGCCCGGGCCTCGGCCCCTCTCCCGGCGCCGCGGGCCCCAGCGTTTTCTTCCCCGGCGCCGCCACCTGAGACCGACGCCGCGGGCTGCTCGTGCCGGCGCAGGCTACTTTGCAGAGCGCGGGAGCAGCTCCGGGCGTGCAGATCTCTCCTCGGCCCCTCCGGACTCTCGCGCCTGGGAAGAGCACCCACTGGGAGGGCGCCGCCACTTACCTGCTTGCTCGTCGGCATCTCCCGGGGTTCCAGGTCCCCACCAAGGGTGTTTGCAAGTCTTAAGCGCTTCTACTGAAACGTTGGAGCCCAGCGTCCTCTTCCCCTCACACGTACACCCTACTTCTTAATTGAAACATTTTGATAGGAAAGTTTCTTTTTCGCTCTTTCTCTCTCTTTCTTAGACTGCCTCTAACAGGGACTTTTTGATGGAAAATGTGGCCACAGACCCCTGCCCTCAACTTTTTTCCACATGCTGCGTAAGGATCCTCCTTGAGGCGATTTCCCCGGATTGTTCGTACGGGCGAAGCCCATTTCCCACCCGAAAAAACTTCCCAAACACGTCTACCTGGGTGGACTTTTAAAAGTGCAAAAAAGAGTTTTCGTTCCAACTCTAAGCTAGGCGAATCTTTTAAATGGCACCTCCTCCTGAAAATTAGGCACTTTATTCCCTTTCGAGGAATTTCTACCCCTTGTTTCTAATCTCCCCCACTCCCCCACCCCGACAGGCGGGGTAAAAAGTTTGCACAGGATTAAGTGTGAGGGCAAGTCAAGGAGCCTCCAGGCGCATCGCAGTGGGGAGCACTCGCGCTGCCCGGGCTGCGGGGTCGGGCGCCGAGAGCGGACCGGGCGCTGGGTGAGGAGGAGGAGAACGAAGGGGGAGCCCGCTGAGTGAAAAGGGGCCGCGGCCGCCGCTCATCAAAGTGCTTCCCCCTCCCCCAAGCGACACTTTCCTTTGGAGTCCGAATAAAATACGGTAACAGAATATGATGGAGGGCACACTGTTTCCTTAACTGCTTCTCAAAGGACCCGGGAGATCTTCTTAGGACCTTTAATAAGGCTTTGGTCGGTTCTTTTGTTGATCTCTCAAAATCAACTCCTTCTAATTGAAGTTGGAGCTGAAAGCGAGCTAATGTTCAAAGAAAGTGGCCGCCAGACCAACGAAATTACATTTTTTTTTTGACGATGAGGGAACATCTAATCAAAGAGGCAGGGGAGGAGGGGTGGGAGTGGGGGCGTACGAAGGAGAAAAGGAGGTTTTACAAGATCCTTCTCTGGTTCACAAAAGTCAGCGACACGGGCGCTTCTCTACAGAACAAAGACACCGCGGCCCATTCACAAAAGGGAGAGAAAGAGAGAAAGCTGAATAAAAGAACGAGAGAAATGGGGAAAAAATGAGAGAGAGAAGGAGGGAGAGAGTGAGTGAGAAAGAAGCTTTAAGAGGAAAAGAAACAGTGCAGAGCGCAGCGCTAACCCAGGCGGGGACACACCTTAGGCTCGCGCAGGCCCCTACCAGGAGTAGCCCGCGAGGCCCGCGGTCAGCCGCCCGCGGCTCGGAGCCACTGTGATCGTGCTGAGGTTTAAAGAAAGCAACGAAATATACCCCTTCCTTAGGTTCCGAGGAAAGGCGCCGGCTGGAGCGCACTAGTTTTGGGGGAAAGAATATGCGGACGTCCCGGGGTGCGCTTCGCCGGCGTCCGCGTCCATAGCCCGGCGCTGCCCTAGTCCCGGCCAGTCCGCTGTGTGCCGGGGTTGGCCCTCCAGTGCCGGGGCGCGTGACCTTGCCCCATTCCTCCACCTTAACTCATTCCTCCCTCCACCAGGCCCTGTTTCGCCTGCAGCCTCAGCACCTGACCTGGGTCCGGCGCAGCGAGGTGGGACGGCAGTGCGCTCTGGAATGTGCCAGCGCGGTCCCCGGGGTACGCCTCGCGGGAGGCCGGCGCTCTCGGTTCCAGATGCTGCCACCATTCTCGGGGAAGTTGGGAGGTATCAAGTAGCACGGATTTTTTTTTTCCTAATTAGAGTATTTATCTAATCCCAAATTGCAGGCGAATTTTCTTAACGCTCAGCCCATAAAACCCCAGGATTAAGAAAAGAAAGAGGAGAGGGGGAGAGGGAGGAGAGTGGAGAGGGAGAGAGACTGGGATGAAAGTTTCTTGAAAGCAGCGCAGAGGATTGAGGCGGCCGTCGCTAGGCAAATGTCCAGGTGGGAGATGCTGGGCCAGAAGCCATGACCGTTCCAGCATCGGCCGCGGTGCGGGAAGGGGAAGTGGGGACACCACTGGAGGAGGTGAAGCCGTCCAGCTCAAGGCCCTCGAGCCGGGAAGGGGCGAGGGAGCTGGGTGTGGAGACAAGGATCCAGCATCCAGGTGACCTCCAGGCCCGGCCAGGCTCTGGAGGACACTTGGGACAAGGGGAGGGCTTTGGATCTGAGGCCGAGGGATCTGACCAGGGGCGGAAGTTCTGCTCCGGCCCGCAGACTGTGCCCAAGCAAGCCCGCTGCCAACGCCCCTGCTCCTCTGCGACCCTCGGACCGATAGTCTCTTTTCCCGCAGCGCGGGCTTTCGAGTTCCGGGTCCTCCGGCGTGCTGGGCTCGTGCCCGTTCTCGGGAGCCAGCGTCTGGGCACCACGCAGCGATGTCCGGATGCAGCGCCCTTGCCGCGGGCCTTACCCCGCCAGGCGCCGGAGTCCACGCTCCACCGCCGCTGAGGGGCGTTCGGGCGCCACCGAGCAGCCCAAATTGAAACCCCGAGAGGCTCGGGACTAAAGCTGAAGGGGCAGGTAGAGGGGCCGCCCGGCGGTCCCAGACCATCCTAGCAAATCTGGGGCGAGGGAAGGGTTGTCAGTTGGCCGATTGGGAGCGGCTTCGGGAGCGAAGGAGCTGCTTTTCGGCGAGGCCCCTCGGGAGTGAAGGTTCCTCGAATCAAGCGTAAACTGGGTGGGTGCTGTTGGCCGCCCAGGCCCCAGGCTGCTTGGGGCGGGCGATTTCTGTCTGCTGAGTTTTCCCGGGGTTAGAACGGGATTCTGAGAGCGTTCCCCAGAGAGCAGCAGCTCTCTCTCTGCTCTCGTGCTCGAATAAAGAGGGCAAATACCGACTTCATTTACTTAAAATAACTTTTCAATAACTTAAAAGAAATGCTCATCATGAAGGAATTCTACCGTAGCAAGTTTTTATCATTTTGAAAGACTGGCAACTGGAGGTGGCTGCATACTTGGAACGAAATTTGTTTGTGTGCACATACATACGATCTACGCTGAAGTATAAATGCTAGTGGACTTTTTTCTCTAAGTTTCTGGACTTGTTGAACAAGCTTTCTTTGTTTGGACACCCCTGTGGGGGAATGAAGGAAACTAGCATAGAATCGCTTTTTTTTTTTTTCTGTAGCCTAGAACTTCTTGTTAAAAGTTCTCTTTCCCTCATTTCATACACACATACCTGCATACATTCTCCCCGCCCCCCAACAATAACCCTCTTCCTTTCACTTCAGTACCTACAGACTTGCCGGTTATCAGAAGACACGACTCTCCCTAATACGACTTCAAAACTCTAACAATTCAAAGTAATGACGTGGAAAATTCAAGATATAAATATTGGTTTTTCATTGGTGTGGAATCACAAATTTCCTCAAATCTTTAGCAGAGATGACCCTTTACAAAAGACATGATAGTTTATACTGCTTAAGAATATGACTAATTACTTTTCAATTCGCATTCGTGTGTCAGTAGGGCCCCCTCTGGGATGGTGTAAACTTATTCAGCTTCAAATGCAGCCCAGTATCCTGCCCTAAGTTCCAGAGGACCATTTTCCACATGAAAAGTCTTACGGATAGACAAACTTCCATTCAAGCCAATGTCAAGTTTTCATTGCAAGAAAGTAGCAGCCGTGTTTAAGGTAAGAAAGTTTCTGCTTTTATTGAAAATTTATATATGACTCAGTATTGTAATAAATAAACATAACCATTTTCACAAAAAATGACAGTGCTATGCTAAAGAAGAAAATATTAAATGGGGGATTTACTTGTAGTGGCAAGACAGACTTTTTATCAATACAGAATAAATATTAACAGCATTCGTGAGCCAATGTTGAGACCCAACAAAATGTAGGAATCAAGCATGATGTAAGAAATAATTATCCAGAGAAAAAGATGGTGTATTCTCGGATGATAAGACTGTCTTTGTAAACTGGTGCATATCAATTAGTCCCATCCTCACAGCTCACCTTCAAACCACAGGGCTTGTTTCTGGCTATGTTAAAGGACCATCCTCTGAGGAAAGCAGAGGAGAGGAACTCCATTATCCTTACAGTGAAACGCAACCACTGCAGAAAAACTCCACTGGTAAATAGAACACAGTTTAATAAGTAGATTGGATATGATCTAACTATAAAATTTAGGTAACAGAGTAAGTGTTACATGTGGCAGGACCGGAAAAAAATCATGACATTTTTCTTATCCCCTTGTACCCCTCCCACTGTCATTATGCTATTACCAACAACAACAAGAATAATGTTTCAAATTTTCCTCTCATCAAAAAATGAGAGAAAATAACGAGGGAAGTGTTTTTGTTCTTTTTCGAACAGTTTCTTGAACACCTCCAATACCAATCACTCACAAGGTGTCTGTGCAAATCTATTTCACAGGATTTCAAGGAAATTGTTAACTCACAAAAAAATCCTTAAATGAAGCTATTTTGGAGTTCTGTATATTATTTGGAAAGGAGGGAGGAAAAGGGTGGTGGTGGTAAAGTAGAGGTAAAGTAGTACAATCCAGCCAAACAAAATGTTAAAAGTTTTAAATCAACAATGAGTCTGACTTTTTCTGGTTTGGGAAGCAAGACTCTAAAATGTTGGGAGAGATTCTTTCTGATCTGATGGCTACTGAAGAACACATTTCTCCTCTTTCTTGGCCATCTTGCCTTTGTTTTGCTCCAGAGTTCGCTCCAAATGCTCATCTTCTTCTTCGGCCCTGGATGTCAGACAAACAGGACAAACAGGAAACAAAATTATTTTTCTTCGTGGAGGGCAGAGCAGCACTCCCCCGTCGCCCAGTATTTGGATCCCCAGCGGGAATGGGGAGCACCAGGCCAGTGGGAGGCTGCCCCGGCCCTCCCGCGACCTCTGGATTGAACTTTCCGCACACTTCTCGGCCCCTCGGCAGGTGGCCCAGCCTCGACCCGACCCCACTGCCCACTCACTGCTTCTCCTGCGCGTCCAGGTCCCTGACGAGCGCATCGCGCTTGTTCACCAGGGCCACCAGCTCATCTAGCAGAAGCTGTTCGCGTCGCTTCTGGGCCTCGGTCTTCTGCCAGTCTGCAGAAGACGGGAGGCTAGTTACCCACCGGCAGGGCCTCCGAACACCCGGCCCCCCGCCCTCCCCTTCCCGCCTTTTCCAGTTTCCTTATATTTCTCAGCAAACCACATTATAGAGCCACTAGCTAGTGTTTTCTGGGGAGTTTGGCTGTTGTGGTGAAGGCTTCCTCGCTAAAAGTCTACTTCCTAAACAGGTCCTGTGAATGGAGATGGCTGCAGCAGTGTTGGAACCTGCTTAGAACCAGGTGTGAACTGGTGGCTAGCCTGAGGTGCGCACCTGAATCCAGCCAAAGTGGGGGAGGGGAGCTAGAGGCCCAGAAGAGGTTGGCCCAGGGGTTGGTAGTGGGGGAAGTGGGTAAATGAGGAGGCGGGAAACAGTGATGGGCGATAAAATCATTCTGAAAAGGCTAGAGAATCTGCCTGAGAACCTATCCTCCTCCCCCACCCCCACTCTCACCCCAAACAGCCCATTCTTCGCTAATTTCCTCTTCGCTCTATTTTAGCAGTTGGATGTATCTCACACTGGGCGCCATATGCTTCACAATAACTTTAAAAGTAGTGAATCGGCTAATTAGCATTTTTCTTTGAAGTAAAAAATAAATTTGCTCTGCAATATTACACTGCAGCTCTCGATCGCATCACAGCCAGTTTTCTTTTGGAGACGTTTGCTGGGTGGTTTCAAATCAAAGCACTTTTGCAAAGGAAAAATTACATATTTCTTTCTGAAACCCTATGTTAAAGGTTGGAAAACCCGATGGGCAGTGCTCTTTCCATGGATGGGGGGCGTTTTTTTTTTTTTTTTTTGAAGGTTTTAGACCCCAATAATATATTTCCTAATCTTTGCTGGTCTGATGATTTCCTTAAGATGAGCAGCAGTTTCATTTAATAGAAACAGGACCAAATCGAACATTTAAAACACTTTTGAAACCAAAGCCAACTGCTCTCTGGCCAGACTGTAAGGGCTTGTAGCTGTCAATCAACCCCCAGTCTACCCCGCCTCCCTCATTAGGAAGGTAAACAATGAAAAGAAGAAGTAGATGATGAGGCAGATAGCAGAACAAATGAGGACCTAGAGGGAAACAGGACACCAGCTTAAAAAAAAAAAAAAAAAAAAAAAAAAAAAAAAAAAAAAAAAAAAAAAAAAAGAACCATGGCCACTGACTCCTGCAGCCCCCTCCCCCAGCAAATGCACTTTCCAAAAAACAGAGAGAAGTGCAATCCTTTTGGGTTTCTCTCTTCTCTCTCCATTGCCCTGGGCAATCATGTTAAAACTCACATGGCTGGTGCTTATTCAGATAAACCTAACAATGCACACCGCTGGTTACCATGTGAATCTTCACAAACCACACAAGAATGTGCTGGTTCAAATCCCCCCCGACCCCCTCCAAAGCAAAATTTATTCAAGACAGCAAACTGCTCAGCAGCTTTATGAAAGCAAATGGTGCTAGAGGGAATTCTATCTTGTATTTACAAATTAAAAATTAGATGCATCATCATGCAATAAAGGTTAGAAAAGCAGCAAAAAGCTAGACTGTTTTATTCAATTTATCACTATTTCTTTCATTATAAGCTCTAACACATACATACATATTTATATGAAACATGCTATATGTTAATTATCCACATTCGATATAAAACCACACAAATACTTTAAATAACTGATCACTATTACATTTTTATTTTAAAAATGAAATATTCTATAGCATGGAGATGAATACAGAAACTATTTGGAAAGGGTTTCTTTGAATATAATAATTTAAAAAATAATAAACAGCAAAATTGAAGAGCAGCCATATATATCACAATTTTATTCTTTGGATTTAAATGCAACTGAGGAGAGGAATGCTGGAAAATTTTTTAATCTGGTTCTTGTTCTTAAATCAGTCTTATTCAGCAGGTAAATTAATAGGCTCTCCAGGTTGGAAAGATCTTAAAGGTCATCTAGTCTAATTTCAGGTAACTATAATTCTAGAAATATTATTTCAGAAAAAAACCTAAATGTGTAATAGATTTGAGACTAAATTTTATATTAAGATTACTAGTTTAATGAATGTTAATTTTTTTCACTTCCAACCTCAAGAAATCATTCTGATTATAAGCTTTGATTTATAATTATTTACTTCGAAACCATTTTGCTAACAGCTTTACAATTGAATACATTTTCAAAAATAGAATTAAATTGAAAATTATATTAAAAAAATTAAACCAAGAAAACATAAATTTTAACAACACATATAATTTTCTTAATTATTCCTTCTCTGAACTTGACCAGTTGCTTTTAAGGCTTTAATTAGTAATTAAAAATACCAAGATTTCATTAATATTGAAAAAATTAGGACTTTAACAAAATGGATAAGAGAGGACATTAAAGAAAATTTTAACCTTTGAAGTATTGAGTAATTTAAAATATCTTAACTTTTCCCTAGCTCAGTAATGACATTTTCTATAACTGTAATGAAATCATTTAAAAATTAAGAATATTTAGGTAATTTTCATCATTTCAGAGTCAAATTTAAATGACATTAGAATTTAAAATATCCCAGCATAAATTTATAGGTTTTTAAAATATTAAATCTGTCATTACAGTGCTACATTAATATCTGTCTACAAAATATTAGTCAACTGTACAGGAAATAGCAATGTGCAGTGAATAGATTTTACATTAGCAAACTATACTTTTACTTCACGTTTGTTTTCTCATAATGGGAATAAATTATATAATATATATGTACACAAACTCATACATATGTATACATATACATATATATTTGAATGCTAATTTGAGAAATTAAGTAAACTATTTTTATCTTTTTTAAAAAATGTAATATTACATTTAAAATTGATCAAGATTCACATTCGCATGTTCAAGCCTAACTGCACTGACTTTGGCTTGGACAAACTACAATGTGGGTTCTGATTAATTTAAAGATTCCAGTGTACTTTTGCTACAAAAGCCATATCCTCTTGTAACAAATAGGATTAAGTTTTGATGCTGCATTTGAGCCAAAGTGTTGAAATAAAGAGATTCTGTTTATGTCCATCTGCACTGAGCTGTTTTGTTAGTTTAAAAAACTCTTTTTTATATATAGGGCCAATTATTCACTCCCTGATTCAGTTTATTTGCTGAAGTTGATAATTACCTTGAAAAAAGGCAAGAGAAATACCTATAAACACTTTAACAGAAAGGACCTAAAGTTCTTGTAGTAAACCTTCAACCTTGCCACTATAAATAAGCCTGGCACTTTGATGAAAATTAACACTAGTTTTGTAAAGAGCACATTGGGGGATTGCAGTCAAGTCTTATCTTTAGTTCCAGTCAACTAGCAATCCTGAAAGAGTTTGCATCATCATCAGAACAGGCCATTTGATAGGATTCTACCGCTGTACCTAATCAATCTATGGAAGACTGTGGCTGTACTGTGTAACAAAGCTAAAATAGATTTACAAATGGGGTTTTAGGGGATAAGCTCCTCCACAGGATTACATATTGATTTTAAATATAAAAAGCTTATCATATAAACCATAACTACAAAAATAGTGAACCTATGCATAAATCCCTTTAGAAGAGCGCCCACTTCAAACTCTAAGCCAGGAATAAATCAAGATGTACAAAATCCTAGAGAAGATCCATTTCTTGTGCAGAAAATGAACATACCACTTTCTAAAAGCCCACCCCAATGTGTGCAGAAATGAATTTATCTTTCTTGAGGGGGCATTAAATAATCTGGAACAAAAAAAACTATAGGAAAAGTATCTAAAAGATGTTTGTTAGCTTGAGGGATCCTACAACTTAGTTCAGTAGAATGAAACTCCTGCTATGAAAAACACCTCAGGAGAAAAAGGGTAAAAAACAGGCCAAAGTGATTATGGATTCTCAGAAGAATGGATGTATTGAATATTATTTTTTTTTGCTCTCAAACCAAGCTGTTAATATTTCTTTCAATGTGCCATGGTTATCAATATTCTATGCTGTTCTCCTGGTGAATGGTTTCAGCAGCAGATTTATTTGAAAAGATTTTAGTTTATTTATTACTAAAACCATCTTATGGCTACTAAGTAGGAGGGATGGGAAAAGAGAAATGAACTTTAAAATAAAAGAAAGCAAAACAAAACTAACTACTGTTGCTTATTCATGTGTTTTTTTCTGTGGTGTGTTAACACTTAAAAAGGCTATTCATCTGAATGTGTGTCCACTCTAAGGGTTGGCTCAGAGGACACTGTCTTCACAGAGCTGATCTTCACAGTGATCACCACCTCTCTGGGACAGCCCAGCCCATGTACTGCCCAGGCTAGTGGGGCAGGCCTCTTTCTTAAGACAGTATCTTTATTTGTAATCAACAGGCTGCTCCTTTTCTCAAGTCTCCTTTTTCCCTCAACCAGCAGTGGAAACTGGCCGAGAGATTTAAGGCACAGTCATATATATACAGACAATGTATTTAAAACACAAAAGAGAATGATAATGCAAAACACTAACAACTGTAGTAAAACTGCTTTAAAAAGAAAAATATTTTTCCCCTTTTCTTCAAATATATGACTTTCTACTGCTTTTCTGTATGTGCAAGCAGGTCAGGCAGATAAAATATTCGATTATTTAACACTGTAAATCTGGTATATAGGGATAGGACTGCTGAGGAAATTGAATTATTTAATGTGTCATGGCCCTGCTTTTAAGACAGTTATTTGGTTATAACATTGGTTTTGGGGTTAGAACCAATATCTATCTTAAAGTCAACTGTATTGTATCAAGCTGTATTTTGGGGATAGTTTATCTTTTTATACGTGAAAGTGTAGATAAAAATGTAAAGAATATTCTGTGTTGAGTGTAGTGTACAATGAATCTATAAATAATAAACTGTATGATGAGTTATATGTATTATATATACTATATATAAACATTATATATTACACATACATATATATATAATATAAATAGTATTTGCTGTGTCTACTTTTCAACTGACTATTTTGCTCTTTTAAAGACTATACCATGACTACAAAAACTATATCAAGAGGAAAAATACCATTTAGTATAGTTGTGCACTTTATTTCAATGGCACGTTTCACAGAACTTCTTAAATAATTTTGACAAATTTTATAGTCATTATCAATGCTATAATTTGATACATCTGGGTAGCCACTTGAAGGAAATTGGCTAACTGAAGCCTTTCAAAATAAGGTAAATCAGATTTATAAATGAGGATATACAAATGTTGCCAGTGATATTTATCAAATGAGTTTATGAATATAAAAGTAACTAAAAATGAAATGTCTACAAGCATATATGATAGTATTCAGACAAATAGCATGCACTTTGGTGACAATATTTATTAAAATATTTTAAGAATATAAGGCTTCACTTGGCTTTCCCTTACGTACTTAAATTTCCAGTTTCTGAACTAATTAGAATTGACTTATTATGGATCAGGTACCTTATCAGGTGAAGAACAAAATTACCATGGACAGTCAATGGGTTAAGAGGTCAATATAGAATAGGAAAATCAGTTTGCATTGATTAGACAAAAGGTCCATTTTACAGAGCCCAAAGGATTAGCTTTTAAGCAGACATCTTTGAACTATAAGACATTTTCAACTGAGATATAAGGAGAACAGCATTATAAAGCACCTAAGAATTAAAAAAAAATCATATATAGTAAATGCCAGATAAGCTAGCTGATGTTTACTGATATATGAACCATGCATAGGATTACTATATAATTCATTTAAAAGCTTTATGAAAAGCATGAAACTGTTTCATTTATCTTTTATGCCAATCTTTGCCCAGATATTCACTTAATACAAGTTGGAATCTTAAGAACTGTAGTAGACTGAACAGGAACATATTTCAATGTTGACATCAATTAAAGTAAAATTTAGAGTCTGGATGTAAAAAATCAAAATGATAAATCTTTTCCAAACCTCCCGAGTGGAAACAACTTTAAATCACACTTAAGTAAAATGTAATTAAATCAATCAACTCCTTTTATTTTCCATTTTATGGACATATAAGCTTACTGAATCAAAAGTTAAGACAATTTTGTGCTACTATTAATAGCAAACATAATGATTATCTATCTGAATTAGGGTCCTTAAGTTTATATGGATACTGCTTTCTGCCTCCACGGCATTTATTTGCAATTCCGGAAGGTCCCTAGTACACCAGATCTAGTAAGACCAGAAGTGTATTATATTCTTTAAATCTCTTTGACAACTGACACGTCACATACCTCACCCCACCATAGCATTTCTTACCTTCAATGGCTAGCATTGCCCTCAATTCCCGGTTCAGCAGCTCATACCGTCGTTCTAAATCATGTTCTTTTTCCCTGGGCAAGTTGCAAAAGTTCATCAATATGCTAATTACTAAATCATTAAAAACTTAAAAGAACCTTTAGGTTACATTGATTTTAGGACTCATAACTGACTTTTCTCTTTAAGTTTAAGCCACTCCAAATGAATGATACACAAACCTAAAACCTTCCTCAGTCGAATATTTACTAGTGCTATTATTTTCCTCCTTCAATTCTGAATGTTACATAGGTATATTTTAATCTGAGGATAATTACTCACTTTCTTCATTGCTTCTTGTAGTAAATGCCAAGTATAAGGCTATTTTCTAAAATATTTTTCATAATTTATAATCTCTTTTTTCCAAAACTCCATATGAAAAGAATACAAGAAACATGAAAGTACCAGCAGTGCAAATTTAATACAGAGACCACAATTCAGGATTTGTAAAGTTTTGTGCTTCTTCATAACTCTTTTATCAAGTTCAGGCATGGCAGAAATTATAAAATTAGACTTTTTCACTAAAATAAACCACGTAAGCCTGCTCATTCTCACGCTAGGTGGCATACTAGAAGAATACTGCTAGTGAGCAGAAAGGAACGTGCTTAAGTCCTCCGGTGAACTAAAATGCTAAAAACTAAGAATGCTTACATTTTGTCTAGACTCCATTTTACTGTAATTCTTATAATCACAAAAAGGTCACTTTTGTTTTAGTAACTTATCTTTTATCCCAAAATTTAGAGTAACATCACCTGAGACTATAAATGTACTTTTGTCCTTATTAAGAGTTATTTTATTTAACTTAGAATTTGTTGTTAAATAAACTTTAATTTTATTTATCTTCCCCTCTCTCAATATAAACCAAACTTCCTTTCCTTGTATAAGTGATTTACTTCTTAAATACAATAATTGTTTATATTCCTTGGCTTTCTGTATAATAAACACTTTTTCAGTGTCTACTGTTCCATTTAAAAATTCTTATAAGATGAAAACTGTCATATACTATTTTTTATTTTTTTATAAAACATGTAATCGCTAAGGAAAGGGAAAATACCGAATAAATATTAAATCCCAAAGAAGGCAATAACAAGAGGCCTAAGATTTATCAATGTTGTAGGCAAAACAAGCATAATGATGAGTACTTACAGAAGAGAGAGCTGATTCATTCTCCTTATTAAGGCATTTTTCTTATTAACTAACATAAACCATTCCTGCATCATAGCTTCTTCTTCTTCTGTGTTCCTTCCTATAATTCGGGAAGAGTTACCTTTTACTATACGATGTTAAAACAAGCCAAATAGTAGTTTAGCACATAATTTTTTAAACATAGAAAACATTTTACTTATTCTAATACTATATATTAAACTGCTTATAAGAAGGTTAAAGTCTAAGTCCTGAAAAAAGAAAAGTCAATCTTAAGGTGGTATTATTCGGCATGCATATTTTACTCTCCGTGAACATACCGATAGATCATATTAACACTAAGTACAGTAAACAAAATGTCCTACCTTTTAAATTCTCCCTAGAGGCTGACTTGCTATTATGTTTCAATAAGGAACTCACAGTGCTGAGAGACATATGGTCATGATTAAAAAAAATTAAAAAATCATTATGAGACTCATAAGACTAGCAGGAAGATCAGGGAAGTCCAGAGATTGTGTGAAAGTTTCCATTTTTAACAACTTGCTATTTTCTTATTTTCCTCCCCAAAAGTAAACTAGAGATATATATGACATTTTGGAACTCATCATCCCTAATAGGGTAGACTACTTATAAATTACTAAATACACTGTAAATTACCAGGCTACAAAAAAATACCCACAGCTATCTATGAAAAAAAAAATTTAATGAACATCATGATGTTCAGAAAACATGTGAGCAGAGTGACAACTGAACATTTTAGATTATAACTGATTGTACACAGGAGATACTTAAAATTCTCCATCGCTAATATCCATCCCATCATCTAATACCACCCTGCCACTTCCTCACAAAGGCCAATATAATCCATATTAAGGATTATAATATAGTATATGTTTGGCATTTGTTCATGTAGAAGTAGGCCACAATTATACTGAAGAAAAATATTAATTTTCCTAGCTTCCTTTCTCTCCCTTCAAATTATACCTAGTCGAATTTCTAATTCTTCAATGTTTATTTACTGAATTTTTCCCATGACTGGTTTATTGTTTTGCTAAGCTAGTATTTAATATTTCAGTCTAACTTCTGTATGGCATTCATAAGGTTAATTTAAATATCTATTAAAAATTAAATAATTCCCTTCAGATTATTATTCCCTAAGTTTGATTTTCTTTTCACGTAAAATGTCAAGGATAGCCCTCTTCCACCAACCCCACACTTCCCTTCTCCACAGGTAAGTATGATTATAGTTTAACATATCTCCTTGAGACCACATTGATAGCTATGTCTATCACACATGTGTATATACTGTATCTATAGACACATACATGTTTCTTTCACATAAAAGCTCATATTACATATTCATCTATGATTTGTTTTGTCATATTGTCCAAATATCTATCTCATTCTTTATAGTGCTTGCATAAATTATGAGCATACCATAATTTATTTAAGTATTTCTACATTAATACAAATTTAAATAATTTTTAGAATACAAATAGAATATAAAAAGCTAATCTGTGTGTAAGGGATTAAACATGTATTTCAGAGCATCCCTATAAAATAGATAGCTGTTGTTTACCAGTAGGGAGAATAGTTGAGAATATATGCCTTCATTCAATGCTGTTAAAACTAATGGTACGAAGCCGACTTAGGACAGATTCTTTTAGAGTCTGAACAAAAGTCTTTATTGTTTTACAGTATTTTTAATCTCTCTTTTAGGGTAGCTGGTTTTGTATTCACTTTGGACCATGTGATGTCTTGACACTGGTCATGTGATATAGGCTGCGATAGGCACAAATCCCTGGGTAGCAACAAAAGAAGAAAGAGTAAAAAGAAAAAGCTGAGAAAAAGCTTGCAATTTGGAAAAAGGCCAATTGTACCCTGGTGAAGGCCTTTTTGATCAGTGAAATGCCACATGTGTGCAATATTAATAGGTGTAGATTTTATGATATTTTACTTTCCGATTAAAGACTTAATTCTTGTGTTCATAACCTATGTGATTTCTAAAAATATAGACTTATTAAAACTTTCTTTTGCGTTTAACTTAACCTATAATTTGAGGTTTTCAGGCAATACTAGAAGCAATCAGCCTACTCTTAAATTAGCATCATTTTCTTCAATGGAAGGCTGCTTCCTTCAGAATAACAATATTGATGTGGTACTGTGTTATTTTCAGTTAAACTTATGCCTATGAATTCTAGTGAAGAATAAGAGATCCCCTTCCTCTAATTGTTAGGAAATGACTAATAACAAAAGAATCTCATGTTTTACAAGGAAATAAGCCTAACAATAAGAAATATTTAAGGACACATTACTCATTGCTTCACAGAGCATTTAACTGGAAAAACATATTTGAAGATAAATCAATTCTGTATCACCAAATCCTTATCTGCGATAGTATACAATGATGGACATCTATACGTAACCTCATACTAAAAAAATTAAAATTTCTTCTAATACATCATTACACTATTGTTTTCAGGGCTCTCAAATTTTTTAAATTTAAAAAGCTTTTAAAAGCCAGTAAGTTGAACCATTACAAATTAATCCTGACTTTAATAACTGGTTAAAGACCCCTTTAGCTTTATAAGTAACAAAAAATATTAAAGCCTGTGATCACAGTGAGCTTTTCTCATTTCTCCTCTAACCATTTGTTATTTAATCCAATACTAGTAATCCAATTTGTCCATCAGACTTTTAAAGGGCAGAATGCAACTTCCTCAGCTTAGACACTTTTCAAAGTACAATATATTTTTCAAATGAATGCTGGATGTTTCATTTTTCCCAACTGTTCGTAGCTCTAATGCATGAGGAAAAAAAGAACAAGATGAACATTGTTCATACTGATTAAGTAAGAGCTCATTAAAGAGCTGTCAGTGCGGTACTTTGAATATGCATGAAGCATATAATCAGATCTAGTACCGTCACTAGAGGAGAATACGGTAAGTACAAAGGATTGATTTAATTACTTAGAGTGGGCTGTGGTGGTAAAGCAGTCTTGTTAGTGCAAAAAGAAAAAGAGGTTGTATTCTGGCACTGCTAGAAAAAAAGGCAGTTTTAGCTTCTGCCACAATACCTAATCTCAGAATAAAGCACTTTACATTGTAGCTTAAAATGAAGACTGTCATTATTTTATAAAATGGCCATAAATCGTTTAATCTTATTTAACCTAACCTGGTTAACTACCTCTTTTTCAAAATTATCTTTAATTTGTAATTACAACCACATTTTTGTCACCTAGACCAACAATAATCCTTTTTAAATTTTTTTTTCAGTTTCACCATTTAAAAAATTCAAGACATACAATATTGAAAGCCATTTTGAAATTAAAAATGACAAAATAACATACTACAGTATACAATTACTAAAATGTGAAAGCATGGCTGAGTTGTTACACTATATTTTAAAACATAGTACCTCATGTTTATTATAAATAAATTACCAATAAAAACATAAAAACTACTTAACTAGTTTTAGCCTTAACATTTTAAAGTATTGGACTACTTAATATAATCTCTGGTAATATTTTTTCCTACTTTGTTTCCTTAAAAACTTGTTTTTTATTTTGCCTCCAAGACAATGTAACATCTATTTCGATATCACAATCCTTAAAGTCAGTTTTTTCTTTTAATCCGTTATTGCAGCTGGAGTATGATTTGTAAAAATTATTAAATAATCAAGGATAATGATAATAGCAGGAAAAGTAACTATTTGTAAATATAACTTCAAATTATTCTTCCTATCACATAGTTAACAAAAACCACTTGATAGAAGCATATGATGCAGAGCAGTACATGCAATAGTCAGTGTTAACTGACAATATCAACTACTTTACATTACATATCTTCCAAGAAATCTTCAAAGTTATTATTTTTATTTAGCAATTCATTCATTTATCCAAGAATCTGTATGTAATTTTTATTTATTTTTTCAGAAGTAGTATTTTCAACATAAGTTTTAAAATGAATAAAAGTGATGTCAAAAACCAGAAATTATGAATGTTTTAAAAACTGTCTTCTCATTAGCTTTTCCTAATTAATCTTTCACCATAAAATTATCTATCTATAAAGATATATTTTAGACAATGAATTCTTATATAAATGCAAAATAAGGAATAAAACAATTTTAGCTGAATAGAAGACGAATTCAATGGGAAAGAGTAAATACATATAAATGTAGGCTGCTGTTATACAAGTACACAAATTCAAGATTTTCTACCATGAAATCATTAAAGAATGCTGAAATCTTGCCATAGCCCCATAGTGGTGATGGCTGAGTAGTAATCACATATAGCCCTTAAAGGACAGAACATAGCAAAGCTAAACCAAACACAAAAACAAAAAAACCTGCCATTACAAATTGTCCTGATGGTGATTATAAGAATATGATGACCTTTGAAAGACATATGACAAAAAGACATATGATACATGAAGGTATCCAAGTAACTGGTATTTAATGGACGAAAGAGATGAATTTGGTGCAGTTATTTAGGGTCATGTAGACATTAACTCCAAAGCCAACATTATTGCAGGACTCCAGTGCCTCAGTTTTAGAAAATATTTAAACTTAGGAAATAGAGCTATATTATGAAAATAAATTTTACTACAAATGTTTCTGATCCAACAATATCCTCAAACAGCATCAGCATAGAAGAATCTCATAATCTTGATGTTTTCAGCAGTTTAATTGTCTTAAAACCATTTGCTCAGCCTGATATATTTATAATATTAAGAGTACAAACTTTGGGAAAAATCCTGTCTCCTTTGGTTGAAGCAAAAGAAAAACTGCCATATTCTCTCACACATATCTTTTATTTACCTGTCTGCTAAGATAGAATGTGGGGAGAGATGTGAGGTAGCAACTTTCTACACACGACTTCTAACAGACCCCTGTGCATGGACTTTCTACAGGAGGAGGCACAGACAACTTCACCAAAGTTCTTCCTCAATAAACTTACACATAGGAAGAAGCTATTTCTAAAGGTTGGAAGTTTACAGCAGTCTTCTTGTACCAACTCCTTACTCCTTAATGGGGTCTGAACTGACTTTTTTTTTTTTTTTTTTTTTTTTTTGAGACAGAGTCTCGCTCTGTCGCCCAGGCTGTAGTGCAGTGGCGCGATCTTGGCTCACTACAACCTCCGCCTCCAGGGTTCAAACAATTCTCCTGCCTCAGCCTCCAAGTAGCTGGGACTACAGGCGCCCGCCAGCACGCCCAGCTAATTTTTTGTATTTTCAGTAGAGACGGGGTTTCACCGTGTTAGCCAGGATGGTCTTGATTTCCTGACCTCATGATCCACCCGCCTGCGCCTCCCAAAACGCTGGGATTACAGGCGTGAGGCACCGCGCCCAGCCTGAACTGACCTTTTTTTTTTTTTTTAAATCATTTTATTTATTTATTTTTTAAATTATACTTTAAGTTGTAGGGTACATGTGCACAATGTACAGGTTTGTTACATATGTATACATCTGCCATGTTGGTGTGCTGCACCCGTTAACTCGTCATTTACATTAGGTATATCTCCTAATGCTTGAACTGACCTTTTTTATACTGAAGGTCAGCACTGGATTTCTCAAAAGGTAACACACTAAACACAAAGTTAAGGCAGAAATAAAAAAGCATCAAAGTAGTCATTACGGAAAAAAATATAACTGATAAAATTATTTATATTTACTTATAGCTTAGGTTTTTTTTGTTTTTGTTTTTTGTTTTGAGACAGGGTCTTGCTCTGTCACCCAGGCTGAAGTGCAGTGACACGATCTCAGCTCACTGCAACCTCCACCTCCAGGGTTCAAACGATTCTCTGGCCTCAGCCTCTCGTGTTGCTGGGATCACAGGTGTGCGCCACCACACCTGGCTGATTTTTGTATTTTCAGTAGACGTGGGGTTTCGCCATGGTGGCCAGGCTGGTCTCACACTGCTGGCTTCAAATGATTTGCCCACCTCGGCCTTCCAAAGTGCTGGGATTACAGGTGTGAGACACTGTGCCCAGCCAATAGTTTAGTATTTTTTTTAAATTACATATGGATGATGATGCATCCATAACTTTTTATTGCTAAGAGCCTTTAAAGGTAAATGACTCACATTTCAGGTAACGCATGACTATCTTGACAATCTACAGATGAGCATTTGACTAAAGTTAAAACACTCAGAACTCCAAAGCTGTATTTATTTTTTAAGGTACATTTAATGTATTTTGTAAAATAGGATAAAATACAGTCAGTCACTTTTACAGGCATAATTCTACTGGATAGACAGTAGTCTTCTTGGAGAATCAATTAAGCGACCTCTAGTAAGGGGAAAACTTGAATTGTAAGCTTCCCTTACAGATGGATGCCTCCCCCTGACAGCTCTCCACTCTCCTGAAGGCCTTTTTGTTTGGGCTGCATCTGGCTGACTCCATTCTACCCACTCCCTGTCCTATAGCCTTCTCACAGTCATGTCATGGGAATGACTCAAGTGGCTCTAGAAGTGACAGATATATTAATATCAAAGATGAACATGAATAGTTGAATAAAATAATTTCTTTAAAAGTGGGAGTGGAAGCTGGGCGCAGTGGCTCACGCCTGTAATCTCAGCACTTTGGGAGGCCGAGGTGGGCGGATCACCTGAGGTCAGGAGTTCGAGACTAGGCTGGCCAACATGGTGAAACCCTGTCTCTACTAAAAATACAAAAAATTAGCTGGGTGTGGTGGCGCATGCCTGTGATCCCAGCTACTCAGGAGGCCAAGGCAGGAGAATCACTTGAACCTAAGAGGCGGAGGTTGCAGTGAGCTGAGACCACACCACTGCACTCCAGCCTGGACGACAGAGCGAAACTCCATCTCAAAAAAAAAAAAAAAAAAAAAAAAGCTGGGTGTGCGGGTTCATGCCTGTAGTCCCAGCACTTTGGGATGCCGAGGCAGGCAGATCATTAGATCACAAAATCAAGACCACCCTGGCTAACACAGTGAAACCCCGTCTCTACTAAAAATACAAAAAAAAAATTAGCTGGGTGTGGTGGTGGGCGCCTGTAGTCCCAGCTACTTGGGAGGCTGAGGCAGGAGAATGGCGTGAACCTGGGAGGTGGAGCTTGCAGTGGGCCGAGATTGCACCACTGCACTCCAGCCTGGGCGATAGAGCGAGACTCCGTCTCAAAAAAAAAGAAAAAAAATGGAAGTGGAGAAAAGCAATATTTCTAGGTTAATGTATTTTAAGATGTGATTTTTAAATGTGTGTGTGTGTGTGTGTGTATATATATATATAGCTAAATATTAAAACAGATATTTATAAGCATTTATACATTCATGTAGGCCAAAATTTCAGGGGGGATATTGTCATTGGGAGAATGGGGTTCATCTTTATTTAGGTTATTTGGATACACGTGATAGAGCAACTGACTCATAAATGAACTTTAGAATAAAGACCTCTTATAAATTAAGGAGCATATTATGAATGTTTACTTACATTAATTCTGAGAAACTCCTGTAGATATAACTATAAATTCTGGTAGTGTCAAGCATGATATATAATTACATAGTATCTATAGTTTCATGGTTGGTTAGATCAGTCATTCTGAATATAATGCAAATAAGATGAACATTGCATCCACACCCAATATGGCTTCTGTTGGCCAGGCATGGTGGCTCATGCCTGTAATCCCAGCACTTTGGGAGGCTGAGGTGGGCAGATCACCTGAGATCAGGAGTTTGAGACCAGCCTGACCAACATGGTGAAACCCCATCTCTACTAAAAATACAAAAAAATTGGCCAGGCATGGTGGCGTGTGCCTGTAATCCCAGCTACTCGGGAGGCTGAGGCAGAAGAATCGCTTGAATCTGGGAGGTGAAGGTTGTGAGCTGAGACTGCGCCACTGCACTCTAGCCTGGACGACAGAGCAAGACTTCATCTCAAAAACAAAAAATATAGCTTTTGTTCAGTTTAGCTTTTAAAAAAAATTGAGCCCCTTGATCTCAGACTAATTATTGAAACTCTCTAAACCTCAGTTTCTTCATCTCTATATGGATAATGGTATTACTTACTTCACGATTGTTGTAAGAATTGAGAAAATCCACATAAAGTACTTAGTGCAGAACCCAAGACTACAAGCTATGATGATAATAATGAAGGGGGTGATGATGGTGTATATAGCCCTGAGGCAGGAACTGGAGATACAAGATAACCAAGATGTGGTCCCTGCCCTCAAAGGCCGCATAATCTAGTATGGAGACAGACATAACCAGGGATAGCTAGATGAAGGGTAAATCTGTAAACAATTTCATGGACACAAATTGTATTTTTAATCTTGGCTCCCATAACAAAGTCTATAGTTAGTGTTCCATTAGTCATATGCAGGATAGGTGAAAAATGTGGGTGAATCAGTACAAACCCATCTCTGCAGCTGGAAAAACAAAGCAGATGCCCTACAGGGTCAGCAGTGTCACTGTGGCCTACAAAAGATAGCCATAGCTATGGTAACATAACAATGTGGCTGTGCTCCAAATAATGATAGTCTAGTTATTGACAGTGGGTTTTAGAGACTTAAAAAAAAAAGTAGATAATGGAATACTGCTTAATATCAAAAAATAAAAAAGGTACATTTTAAGATTGAAAATTATGGACTAACAGAACACATCTACAAGTTTGCTGGTTATGAACATAAAGTTTAAAAAATGAGAATTACAATATGAAGTACAAATTGATATAATTTGAAGAAAAGAATGACAACAGAATATCAAATACTTATAAAGCAAAAAGCTTCAGTGGGAAAGTAAGTTTTCATCATTTTTATAGGAAGATATTTTGGTGTTAAAAGCACAGCACCTTTAAAATCAGCTTATGAAATTGTCAGTGTAGATGAAATAGCTTATTTACTAAATGCCAAGTGGGACTGTGATTAGATTCTACTGAAAGTATGGAAAATTAAATATATATAATTTTTAAAATATAGAAATACAAATTCAGACAGATAGGTTTTAAATGTGTTCCAGATAGGTTCCTTCCAATAAAGGGTTTCTCCAAAGATGTATCATGCAGTCGGACAACTACTCTTGTAGGTAACCTGCTCCAGTGTTGCTTAAAGTCTCTACAAATTGGCTGGGGGTGGTGGAGCATGCCTGTAGTATCAGGTACTCAGGAGGCTGAGGGGAGGATCACTCGAGCCTAGAAGTTCAAGGCCAGCCTGTGGAACATAGCAAGACCAAAACTCTTAAAAAAAAAAAATCTTTAAAAGTCCTTAAAATATCGTACCCAGGGTGTCTCCAGAGCCTCCAGTTTCCAATAAGGGATGAGTTCAACCCTCAATTAGCTGCCTGCACAGTAAGTTTCTTTTCCACTCTATACCTGCTTTGATCATGCTTGGGTTCAGATAACCAGGTAACACTGTGATATATCCTTCCTATGTACCTTCTCATTTACTTATTTAATTGACAAAAAGCGTATATATTTATCATGTCCATGTTTTGAAATAGGTAAACATTGTGGAATGTCTAAACTATGGTAATGAACATATGGATTACATCATATACTTATCTTTTTTTGTGGTAAGAACACTTAAAATCAACTCTCTTAGTAATTTTGAAGTAAAATACACTGTTAAAGGCCAGGTGTGGTGGCTCACGCCTGTAATCCCAGCACTTTCAGAGGCCAAGACAGGAGGATCGCTTGAGCCCAAGAGTTCAAGGCAAGCATGGACAACATAGCGAGATCCTGTCACTGAAAAACAAACAAACAAACAAACAAAAACATATACTCACCACGTTGTACAATAGATTTGGTGAACGTATTCCTCCTATCGAACTGAAATTTTGTATCCTTTCACCAACATCTTCCCTGACCTTACCCCTACCTCCCCTACCATCTTAGCCCCTGGTAACCACCACTGTGTTCTCTATGAGTTCAATGTTTTTTGATTATAAATATAAGTAAGGTCATATGATACTTGTCTTTCTGTGCCAGCCCTATTTCACTTAACATAATGTCCTCATATGCACCTTCCTAAATATCTATAGGGGAGAGCTGATGGGAATTATGCTTCCCCACTTGCAGTCCGCACCCACATTTGTTCTCAAACCACAGAAGCCTAAGCAAAGCAGGACAGTGTAGATCCTTCTCCAGCAGCTTTCTAACTTGAACAGGATTTCAACAATTACACAACACCTTGAAATCAAATGCAATAAATGCTGTTCTTCCAGACCAGGCCAGGTGATTAGTGTGAATTTCAACACTATAATACCACATCCAGTGCCCCTCAGTGGTTCTCTGGAGAACCATTCTCTTCACTTGAGTACACATTATCTTCACTAGAGTACACTCATGACGAACTTGGGTCTGTATTGCCATTTCCTGAAGTTGAGAACAACAATGTCTCAAAGAGACTGTCATGTATTTCCTTCATCAGATCACTGACAACCAATAACTTTCTTATAGGCTGGGAATAATAATGGTAGTGATGTTGATGATGATAATAATAGCATCAACTGTTTAATGAGGTTATATAATTTATCTCAAGTCATATAGCTAGTCAGTGGTGGAACCAGGCCTCAAATGCAGCCAGTTTGTCTTGTGAGCCACCACTCTTAGCCACCCATTTGACACTTAAGGACTCACAGGTAATCAGTCTTACCAGAACAGGCTCTTTATTTAGAATTCAGGCCAACTTTGACAAAGCCTTCAGAGTGGCTCTGATAAACAAATGAACACAAAAAACCTTCAAAACTCTGATAAACAAGAAAACCCTCATGCTGTTCACTTAGTTCATCCATAACAGAGGGGATTTCATTTAGTCTTCCCATGTGTATGCCATTGGGACTTAGCAATGATGTCAGAGCAGCATACCATTCTTCATAGGAGGAGTCAACCTTTCTTCCTATGCAAACATGTCCATAAGATCCTTGAATTATAGGTTGGTATATGATTTCTTACAGAAATGGGATGCCTAGACGAGACCTGTTCACTTCTTGGGTAACCACAAGTTACCTGTGATTCCAATTGAGGCAATGGAAATGGCCATTCAATGAAAATGGCCAAGCAAGAATACTCTGCCTAGCACTGGATTATCAGGATACATTCAAGTCCAGCTATGCTCTTTAAGAGCTATATGAACTTGTGTAAGTTATTTATTCTCCCTAAGACTCAGTTTCCTCATCTGTAAAAAGGAAACAATGGTACTATTTCATAGAGTTCTGTGAAGACTAAATGAATTCAAATATGTAAAGCACTTAGAATAGTGCCAGGCTCATGGTAAATAAATGCTATGTAAGTAATATGATATTGCTATTATTGTTTCTTTCTTTCTCTCACTCTCTATACACACAGACACACACACACACACACACACACACACACACACACACACACACACACACAAGGTAGAGAGCCATATTCATTACTCAAACTTCGGTATCCTCTCTTGATTCCTAGAATTATTGATAGAGCAAGGCATGGTGATTCCTCCCAGCAGAGTGTCAGAGTTTTTCTGACTGCCTATGCAAGCATTAGAAAGGACTATCCACAGAAGTAAATATGTTGGGCAACTCAGTGCAAGTCTGAAGTTGTTAGTTTCATTGAGTATATTTCTAATGTCTTTATGTATTCATTTTACTGCACCAATCAACCAAAATGCATCCTAACATCATTCGGCCTTTTTAAATCCCCTCAATGCACCCAAACCCATCAACTACGCATTACCCATTTTTCTTTTCTTAAAGCAGCTACTCAATTGCAAACCCTCCATTAGACATTCCCCTTTCCAAGGTTACACATGTTCTGTTAAGTGTATTCCAAAATCCTTGTGCTAATTGCCATTTTGTTCAGTTAGAAGTCTAGAGAAAATCTAATGTGTGACTCCCAGAATCTCTAAAATTCCCAAGGATTAAGTTACTTTCATATTTCTTCTCAACTTAATCCCCAGGATATGTTCAGTTGCCCCTTTTATCATGATATAAATTTTAAAATACCCCATAGAGTGAAGAATATCATGGTACCCCAATAGTTCACCTCAGATTCTGGCATAAATCTTATGCGTCAATCTCAAGCAGTTAGCTTTATGTCCTTGTGTTGTAATGTCCTTTCCCTTCTCTCCAAAGCTACAGCCCATTTAAAAAGGGCCAGAGCCTCACGCCTATAATCCTAGCACTTTGGATGGCCGAAGTGACAGGATCATTTAAGCTCAGGAGTTCAAGACCAGCCTGAATATAGCAAGGCTTTGTCTCTACTAAAAATCAAAAAAGTTAGTTAGCTGGGTGTGGTGGTGTGCACCTGCAGTACCAGCCACTCAGAGCCTGAGGCGGGAGGATTGCCCGAGCCCAACAGATGGAGGCTGCAGCGAGCTATGACTGCATCAAAGCAATCCAGCCTGGGTGACAGATCAAAACCCTGTCTAAAATCTGTTTAGTCCTCACAATACACCTGTTGACACAGTACTTCATTTTCATTTCCCATACTTGTCGCCATCAAATCAAATTACGTATTTCAGAGCTTAGCAAAATATCTACCTAATCTACACTAATAATTTTGTAGGATGATTTTAAAGAAAACATTTTTATCATCTATAAATGATGGAAACTAATCTTTTAATGAAATTCCATTATCTAAAACCAAACTTTGTTGGCTTTATGAATGTTTAGTACTTTTTTCTAGAATGGCATTCTACTTTTTTTTTTTTCCCAGAGTGGATCTCGCTCTGTTGCCCAGGCTAGAATTCGGGAGAGCAATCATAGCTCACTGTAACCTTGAACTCCTGGGGTCAAGCAATCCTCCTGCCTCAGCCTCCTGAGTAGCTGAGACTACAGGTGCACACCACCATGTCTGGCTAATTTTAATTTTTTTGTAGACATGGGGTTTCACTCTGTTGCCCAGGCTGGGCTCAAGCAATCCTCCTACCTCAGCCTTCCAAAGCACTGGGATTACAGGTGTGAACCACCATGCCCAACCAGTATTCTACTTTTGAATAGCAATGTTCAGTATAACTTTGATTCAAAATAAGCATTTGAGTAAAAACAAATGGTCTTAAAAGTGTTAAATTTTGACTCCATCTAATTTTTTTTTTTTTTTTTTTTTTGAGACAGGGTCTTGCTGTGTTGCCAAGGCAGGAATACAGTGGCATCATCACAGCTCACTATAGCCTTGACCTCCTGGGTTCAGGCAATCCTCCTGCCTCAGGCTCCTGAGTAGCTGGGACCACAAACACATGCCACCATGCTGAGCTCATTTTAAGTTATTTGTAGAGACAGGGTATTGCTGTGTTGCCCAGCTGGTCTTGAACACCTAGGCGCAAGTAATCTTCCCATCTTTTTTGTTTTGTTTTTTGTTCTTTTTGAGACGGAGTCTCGCTCTTGTCATCCAGGCGGCAGTGCAATTGTGCAGTCTTGGCTCACTGCAATCTCCACCTCCCGAGTTCAAGTGATTCTCGTGCCTCAGCCTCCCAAGTAGCTGGGATTACAGGCACCTGCCACCACGCCTGGCTAATTTTTGTGTTTTTAGTAGAGATGGGGTTTCACCATGTTGGCCAGGCTGGTCTCGAACTCCTGACCTCATGATCCGCCCACCTTGGCCTCCCAAAGTGTTGGGATTACAGGTGTGAGCCACCGCGCCTGGCTGATCCTCCCACTTTGGCCTCCCAAAGTGCTTGGATTACAGGTATGAACCACCAGACCTTGCATTGGCTCCCTCTAATTTTATTCTCATAAGAAAATAAAATATTTATGACTTTTAAAAATTCAATTCTCTAGAAAATTTTTATACCTGAAATATAAAACTATCTCTAATTTTTTAAAGCACTAAAATTTGTAATAAACTCATTTTTAAAATAAACAATTATATCAATCTAAATGTCTTCCTTGACTTGTATCTTTAACTTTCCTTATGGAGCTAGATCCTTCAAAAGCACAACAGATATAGCCATGAAGAGATCTGTCAGGTTCCAGTTCAGAAGTGTCTAATGTGGAGGACAACATGCTAGTAGGGAAGAAACGTTAGTGCTTGACACAATTCCTAGTTTTGGCCACCAAGTGGTGCTATTAATTCAGAGTGAACTGGCACTGGGGGCATGGGATTGGTTGGCTTTGGGGTGGGTAAAGAGTAGAAGAGCAGTCTACAACCAGTCAGTAAGTACAAGGGACACTGACAAGCCAGATGTTTGCAACTCTGTATACTGTGAATTCATGTATCAATGTCACTAGTTTAAACACAGAGGATAAAACTAACTTACATACTTTCATTTTTACAGGTAAAGTCCACTGTCTTTCCTTAGGAAAATAACCGTTTATGTATATATATTTGTATCAAATCTGATCCTGTAAAGCTACACAGCTGTAAAAATAATCACACTATTTTGATTAATCTTTGTTTCTCTAAAAAATTCCTCCAAATTCCATTAAAACAAAACAAAAAACGGTTAAAGAAAACCAAACTATTAAGCAAACATTACAAACATTAATTAGTAATATTAAGCATCTAAAAATATCTGATTTATTACTATTTTTATTTGATACAGAGTCTTGCTATGTTGTCCAGGCTGGAGTGCAGTGGTGTCATCTCGGCTCACTGCAACCTTCACTGCCCAGGGTTCCAGCGATTCTCTTGCCTCAGCCTCTTCTGTGGCTAGGATTACAGGTGCACACCACCACGCCCAGCTAATTATTGAATATTTAGTAGAGATAGGGTTCTGACATATTGGCCAGGCTGGTCTCGAATTCCTGACCTCAGGTGATCTGCCTGCCTCAGCCTCCCAAAATGCTAGGATTACAGGCGTGAGCCACTGTGCCCGGCCTCTAATGTTTTTAAAAAAAATAGGTATCAACTCAACAGGTTTTCTTTAACTTACACTGTAAACTTTTTCTGATGAGATAGCTCCTTTGAGTGCATGAATACTTTTCACATTTCAGCTCAGAAGTGACAAGTGCGGATAGGGAACAGATACAATGACTATATAAGTTCAGTTTTCTTATGCAAACCACCTACAGGCCTATGAAAAGTGTTAAAAACATAATGAGTAACTAAAAGAAAGACTTAATAATCTACCATCCACTGGAAGAACTGGCAATGTTGGCCAGGTGCGGTGGCTCATGTCTGTGATCCCAGCACTTTGGGAGGCGGAGGCAGGCGGATCACCTGAGGTCAGGAGTTCGAGATCAGCCTGGCCAACATGGTGAAACCCCATCTCTA
This sequence comes from Homo sapiens, assembly GCF_000001405.40. Classification (NCBI taxonomy): domain Eukaryota; kingdom Metazoa; phylum Chordata; class Mammalia; order Primates; family Hominidae; genus Homo; species Homo sapiens. The sequence continues at coordinate 63,022,496 of NC_000002.12, read as the reverse complement.
CTAAAAATACAAAAATAACCTGAGTGTGGTGGTGCATGTCTGTAGTCCCAGCTACTCGGGAGGCTGAGGCAAGAGAATCACTTGAACCTGGGAGGTGGAGGTTGCAGTGAGCTGAGATTGCGCCATTGCACTCCAGCCTGTGCGACAGAGTGAGATTCTGTCAAAAAGAAAAAGAAGAAAGAGGAGGAGGAGGAGGAAGGAGGAAAGAGGAAGGAGGAAGGAGGAGAGGAGGAACTGGCAATGTCTCCACAATAGAATGGCCAATGATGTGAAAACACAACTTTGTAAGCCTGCATAACAATGAAAGTAAGGTTCACGACTATTCAGTTGGACAGCTCTGTCTCCAAGATGAAGGACCTAACAAGGGTCAGTAATGCATCCAGTTGTTTCTATACATTAGCATCCGTATTTTTAAGTAAAAATGTTTCGAATGCCGGGCGCGGTGGCTCACTCCTGTAATGCCAGCACTTTGGGAGGCCGAGGTGGGCGGATAACGAAGTCAGGAGTTTGAGAGCAGCCTGGCCAACATAGTGAAACCCCGTCTCTACTAAAAATACAAAAAATTAGCTGTGCGTGGTGGCAGGTGCCTGTAATCCCAACTACTCAGAAGGCTGAGGCAGGATAATTGCTTGAACCTGGGAGGCGGAGGTTGTAGTGAGCAGATATCGAGCCACTACACTCTAGCCCGGGCGACAGTGTGAGACTCCGTTTTAAAAAAAAAAAAAGTTTCCATTTGGGGAAACTGGGAGAAAGGTGTCGGAACAGAGCTTGCACCCTTCTATAAAGTACCTTGATTTTGGTTCGGGACTCAGGGGCCAACGCATACATACTTATCCATCTCTGATGTCATTCTCTGTCAAAACAAATTATGAAATGTTGGTTAATCTTCTTAGGGGATGAAGTCAGGATGAAACAGAGGAGGATAAATGCATTTGCAAAGTTGACTCTTACCTGATGTCCTAAAATAGATTTCTCAAAATACAATGTCTAAGTTCAGTTTGCTTCTGTAAGTGCCTAACACTCATATAATAAGTGTAGGAATTCAGATAAAGGGACTAGCACAATTCCTAAGGCTTCCTCCTAGTTATTAATCTATCTGTGAAAATTATGGCGTTCACAAAACATTCATTAAAGTTACTTTTTACATATAACCTAAGGGTTGAAAAACAACACAATAACAACAAAAATAATTCTCTAGCCTTATGTCAAATTCCTAAACCAGTACTTTTGGCTTTTCTGGGGGGCTGGGGGAGAGACAGAGGGAGAGACGGAGAGAGTATAAGTGGGTGTATGTGAGTTGCAGAGAAGAGGAGAGTTATGATAGAACGAGATGTGTATATTAGAAGCTAAGGAAAATTTAAAGTAAATGTAGAAACAGCTGGGTGTGGTGGTGCATGCCTGTGATCCCAGCTACTTGGAAGGCTGAGGTGGGAGGATCACGAGTCCAGGAGTTTGAGAACAGCTTGGGCAACATAGAGAGACCTTGTCTCAAAAAAAAAAAAAAAAAAAAAAAAAATGAGGCCAGGCACGGTGGCTCATACCTGTAATCCCAGCACTTTGGGAGGCCAAGGCAGGTGGATCACCTGAGATCAGGAGTTCAAGACCATCCTGGCCAACATGGTGAAACCTGTCTCTACTAAAAATACAAAAATTAGCTGGGCATGGTGGCACGTGTCTGTAATCCCAGCTACTCAGGAGGCTGAGGCAGGAGAATGGCTTGAACCTGGGAGGCAAATGTTGCAGTGAGCCGAGATCGCGCTACTGCACTCCAGCCTAGGCGACTGAGCAAGACTCCATCTCAAAAAACAAAAAAAAAAAGAAAGAAAAAAGGCAGAAACAATAATAAATAATTAAACTACTCTGACTGATAGCAGTAGCTACTATCGTATTGAGTGCTCATCCTCTGCCAAGTTCTGTGCTAAGTACTCATAACTTTCTGAAGTAGGTATTATCAGCCTTTTCTTTTCTTTCTTTTTTCTTTCTTTTTTTTTTTTGAGATGTAGTCTCATTCTGTTGTGCAGGCTTGAGTGCAGTGGTACAATCTCGGGTCATTGCAACCTCCACCTCCTGGGTTCAAGCGATTCTCCTGACTCAGTCTCCCAAATAGCTGGGATTATAGGCGCCTGCCACCACACCCAGCTAATGTTTTCTTTTTTTTTTTTTTTTTTTTTTTGAGACAGAGTCTCACTCTGTTGCACAGGCTGGCGTGCAATGGCATGATTTCGGCTCACTGCAACCTCCACCACCCAGGTTCAAGTGATTCTCCTGACTCAGCCTCTCAAGTAGCTGGGATTACAGGCACCTGCCAACACGCCTGGCTAATTTTTTGTATTTTTAGTACAGATGGGCTTCACCATGTTGACCACGCTGGTCTCAAACTCCTGACCTCGTGATCTGCTTGCCTTGGCCTCCCAAAGTGCTAGAATTACAGGCATGAGCCACCTCGCCCGGCCTTAATTTTCGTACTTTTAGTAGAGACAGGGTTTCACCATGTTGGCCAGGCCGGTCTCCAATTCCTGACCTCAGGCAATCCGCCTGCCTCGGCCTCCCAAAGTGCTAGAATTACAGGCATGAGCCACCGCACCCAGCCCAGCATTTTTTTTTCCTTCCTTCCTTCCTTCCTTCCTTCCTTCCTTCCTTCCTTCCTTCCTTCCTTCCTTCCTTCCCTCCCCCTCTTCCCTTCCCTATCCTTTCCTTTCCCTCCCCCTTTCCCTTCTCCTCCCCTCCTCTCCCCTCCCCTCCTCTTCCCTCCCCTCCTCTTCCCTTCCCTTTCTTTCTTTTTCTTTTTTTGAGATGGAGTCTCGCTCTGTTGCCCAGGCTGGAGTGCAATGGCATGCTCTTGGTTCATTGCAACCTCCACCTTCTGGGTTCAAGTGATTCTTCTGCCTCAGCCTCCCGAGTAGCTGGGACTACAGGTGTGTGCCACCACACCCGGCTAATTTTTGTATTTTTAGTAGAGACGGGGTTTCACCATATTGGCCAGGCTGGTCTCAAACTCATAACCTCGTGATCTGCCCGCCTGGGCCTCCCAGTGCTGGGATTACAGACGTGAGCCACTGCTGCCTTTATCTTTTTTAAAACATATGATCAAACAGAGGCTCGGAGAGATTAACTAACTTGTCTAAGAACACCCAGATTCTAGCTGGGATCTTACTGATTTTAAAGTCTATACTCTTAAATCTCTATGCTGTGCTACTTCTCTTAGCGCTTGTAACACTATGAGTTTAGCACATCTTCACTCTGTGTTTCTCAAATGTGGTCTGTGGATCACCTGTATTAGAATTGCCTAGAAGACTGGCTCCATACCAGGTCCAGTGAATCAAAATCTTCTAAGTAAGGCTTGGGAATCTATGTTTTTAACAAATTTCTCAGGCATTTTTTTAATGGATATAAAAGTTTGAGAATCACTGTCTTGGCCCTTTCACAAAGAAGTCACTGAGATTAATTTTTCTTAAAAAAAGAAAGGGTGATATTCCATGTATAACATGTTATTTTAGCATTGGCATGACATTACACAAATTTAATTTCACATTCAGAAGAAAAACACGTTGCTGCCAAGTCAGTTCAAATGCCTAAATTTTGTTTCATAGATAGTTGTTGAGGAAAAACACATTTTCCTGGAATTTCTACTTTTTTAAATGTTAAAAAATTTTATTGCAATCTAGAATAAGGATGTTCCTCACTTCAAGCAACAGACATGTTCCAAATTGAAAATTATGGTGATGTGTTAATTCTTTAGGTTCAAAAATTATACTTTACATTTCCAATTCAAAATTTCTAGTAGTGGAAAATACTTTCTAAATATCACGGGTAGAAACTGTATACATTTGTTTTTCTGGATAAATGAATAAACATGAGTCAGCAGATGAGAAAGTCAACTTAATACTGTATATAGTAAAAAGTTGGGGCATCCAGTGAGTGCCAAGGAGAGAAGAAGAAATAAATGTTAGAAATGAGAACCTTAGGAAGCCCTCTGCATTTCTGAATCAGCAAGGTTCCTTTCTAGAAATCCTATGATCCAGAACCTATCGCATGAACCAGAATGATTCAACAATTAAGTGCTAGTGCTTCTATATATAATTTATATTTTCCTTCTTAAATGGTCTAAATAATGAAATACAGATAGCAACAGAAGCTTGAATTAGCTGAACAAATTGTGAGAATAAAGAAGACTTGAAAGTATGATATTTTAATTTTCCTTGTAACTACAGAAAAAAACTATAGAAAGACAAGAATTAAATTACCAGTTTTTAAAATTGAAAGTAGAAAAAGTAAAAAACAAAAGTACTATAAGCACCTTAAATATAAACTCTCCTTTTATTTATTTTATTTCAGTTTTAGAGACAAGGTCTCATTCTGTTGCTCAGGCTGGAGTGCAATCATAGCTCACTGTAGCTGCAAACTCTTGGGCTCAAGCAATTCTCCTGCCTCAGCCTCTTGAGTAGCTGGGAACTACAGTCATGTGCCACCACAACCAGCTAAATTTTTTAGTTTTTGTAGAGACAAGGTCTTGCTTTGTTGCCCAGGCTTGTCTTCAACTCTTGGCTTCAAGCAATCCTCCTGCCTAAGCCTCCCAAAGTGCTGGGATTACAGGTGGGTGCCACCACACTCAGCTCCCTAAACTCTCCTTTTAAAACAAAATTTACTATTTTCTTTAAACTATATGTCTGTTCATTATTGATTATTCCCAATAATCAAATGCCTCTATACTACATATGTAATACAGAATAATAAATAAAATGTAGAAATGTGAGAAGAGAACAATATTAATTCATTATACCTTTTTTTAGTGCTTGATGATGATAGGTAAAATTCCCAGCATATTGGTGTTTTTCATCTTTTATTTCAAAGGAGATGTTGAGAAATTTAAGTATTAAAAAGATTATATAAATAATAATAGCTAACATTTATGGAGCTCCAAGTGCTTGGTTGCAAATACCAAGTACTTGGTTGCAAATGTTATACTCCAAGTGTTTGGTTGCAAATGCTTGATATAAAGTATCTAATTTAATTCTCACATTTCTCTTAGTTGCCATACTACATCAACTTTGACTTAGTGTGACTATATGTAAACTAATTAGGTTCACTAACCAGGGTTAAGGTTCTACATTCAGTATAAGCATACCAAGGATCAAAACCTCAGGCATAATGAGGGATCCAAGTATATTGGCTGGGCCGGGGACGGTGGCTCATGCCTGTAATCCCAGCACTTTGGGAGGCCGAGGCAGGCAGGTCACTGAAGGTTGGGAGTTCAAGACCAGCCTGGCCAACATGGTGAAACCCCATCTCTATCACAGGACATGAAAGAATGGAAACAAATTTCATCCTTTATGGGAATTAAAGTTGAGTTCTTTACTCCAATTTTTATTTCTAAAGCCATAGTGTCCTCATTCTATTAGTGTACAAACTGAGGGTCCCAGCTGTGAAGATGAGTTAGTAAGCAGTTATCATTCCCCCAGTCAGGGTCCCACCTCACTGCTGCAAGGGATAAGTCCATGTTTTCAGATGAAGGTATGATATGGATTAAATATTGAAGAACAGCCTCTCCTGTAGTTATGCTAACAACAGTAAAAGACCTATGGGCCCTGGGTCCTAATGGACAGGAGCATAGGAGCAATGGTTCACATGAAGACCTTGGAGAGCTGGGCCTTGGAGCACTGTTCTTCTGCCTGGCTGTGATTCCATCAAGATGTGGCAGAATCAATTGTTTGACATGTTCTTATATGCTTTTTTACCTTCTGCATATTGAATTAAAACATAATTTCAGGCTGGGCGCGATGGCTCATGCCTGTAATCCCAGCACTTTGGGAGGCTGAGACGGGTGGATCACCTGAGCTCAGGAGTTCGAGACCAGCCTGGCCAACATGATGAAACCCCATCTCTACTAAAAATACAAAAATTAGTCGGGCGTGGTGGTGGGTACCTGTAATCCCAGGTACTCGGGGGGCTGAGGTGGGAGAATCACTTGAACCTGGGAGGCAGAGGTTGCTGGGAGCCGAGATGACACCATTGCACTCCAGCCTGGGCGACAAGAACGAGACTCCATTCCCCCAACCCCCCAAAACAGAAAAACAAACAAAAAACCCCCCAAAACCCCACATAATTGCATGAAGTTTTATCACTTCTTGTAATTAGAAAATGATGCTGTATTATTTTGCATTCTTGGAGTTAGGTAACATAAAGTAACTAAAATCTTGACACAGTTAAAAACACATATATACAAAACAGAACTATAACACCATATTTATCAAAATCATGTCAGCATTTTGCTTCCAGAAAGGAACAATACTATCAACTCTTAGAGTCTATCAACAGATGTGGCTTATTGCCTCTGAAAATTGTGTTAAAAATTCACTTTGTAGAAAATTTTCAGATATAAAGTATCATTTTTTCTGGTTTCTTTATTATTACAGATTCAGTACTCTATAAATTTTAGTAGAGAAGAATAGGGTAACTCTATACTACTTCAGAACCTTAGTAATCATTTTATTTGCTTTATAACATCAAATTCCCTCATTTATTTTGTTTCTGTTTATGAAAAGTTCCTTTGCAGAGGAAATATTAAAGCCTTGTCTGTCCATCTTATATTTTATATGAGTAGATGTCAACTGGGTATTCAACTTTAATAACCTAGAAAACTTTATTTTCTATTTTATCACGGTATATCATATTAGAAAACAATTTTTAATGACACACCTTCACTTTTTAAATTTTTTTCAGTTCTGTAATTAAAATGCCAAAAGAGATATCTCACTTAGTTTAATGTATATATTTTTAATGACATGGTCTCTTTTCTCATTATAATCTGTATGAAAATAGACATATTAATGTCTATTAAAACAGAATCTCTAGCCAAGCAGGGTGGCACTTGCCTGTAGTCCCAGCTGCTTGGTAGGATGAGGCAACGTAATTGCTTGAACCCAGGAGGCCCAGTCCAGCCTGGGCAACATAGCAAGACCCTGTCTCTAAACAAACAAACAAACAAACAAACACAAAACCACAAAAACCCAGGAACTTTACAAAATGGAGACATGTTATTACACGAATCCTAATTCCCATATAATCCATACTTACGAGGAACATAGAAATAGCACACTAAATAATAAAAAGTAAAGAATTAGCATATTTTTAAAAACTGTTGTTATATTTAGAAGATAGTCTCTACTTTTTCCTGACATTAAAAACTATGGTTGTCCAAGTTACTCCCATTAACACAGGATTTTTAACCTCCATTTTGCTAGAAGGGTGTATAAATTATAATATCTTAAGAGGCAATATTTAAGTCATGTGAACCAAGTACAATGTACAAAAATATAATTTTTCAGGATAAGAGAACATTTAAAGAACAGTATATAGAAACATCAAATATATGTGTTAAATGTGAGAAACACTGGCAAAATTTTTCCTCATATAAAATTCGGAAAGAGTTATTATATCAACATCTTTTCCTTCCTTTCCTGGTTATTTATTAGTTGTACAGAATTAATTTAACTCTAAGCTCAAATATCTTTTTTTTTTGAGACAGAGTTTCACTCTTGTTGCCCCGGTTGGAGTGCAATGGCGTGATCTCGGCTCACTGTAACCTCCACCTCCCGGGCTCAAGCGATTCTCCTGCCTCAGCCTCCCGAGTAGCTGGGATTACAGGCATGCGCCACCACACTCGGCTAATTTTTGTATCTTTAGTAGAGACGGGGTTTCTCCATGTTGGTCAGGCTGGTCTTGAACTCCCGACCTCAGGTGATCCACCTGCTTCGGCCTCCCAAAGTACTGGGATTACAGGCGTGAGCCTGTGCCCAGCCGTGTTCAAATATCTTTATATATAAAAATGTACCCAGTTTTGGTTTTTTCTTCTTTCTAGGTATGGATGGATATGGTAAGAAATGGAGTTGACTACTCTTATTCTCCTGGTAAGTGTACAGTGATTGCTAAAGAAAAGAGAGATTGTGAAAAATATGTTCCTTATAAATACATAATTAAAATCTCATAACATATTATCAACGAACATATTTTTATAACATTTATGCAGATAATCTTAAATTTATGTTGTTATTTATGCCCTAAACAAGTATGTAATATGCCATTTTCTAACTCATAGACTCTAATAGTCTATATAGATCCTGTTTTAATGTTAATGAATTTATAGACACAAATAGCTAGCATCAAGGCTACATGGAAAAGCAGAACACTTTAAGCATTTAATACAGCTAAAGGGGCAGATTAGAGATCAATAACAAAATCACCTGGTAAAAAGGAAAAAGGTGTTGCATTAAAAGGCTTTTTGCTTTACATGTGAAACAATACTGAGAAACCTGTATTTTAGCACTTGTACTCAACAGGCACTCCAAACTATGCAATGATGAGAACAGAAACCCATCCTTTCTAATAATCTTGTGACAAAAGCTAAAAGACATCATCCTATTAACTAGTGATCTCAACTGCTAATGCGGAGTACTTCCTGGTGCCTTTTATGTAGAATGCTGCTATTAAAAAACCACTAAACATTCACTGTGAACAACACAGAATCATTCATCTTTTATCAGCATCTCTTGTTAGAAGAGTATGAGTGGGGCTGAAGGTGTCATTGATATTATGGAGTGGAAATTAATCAGAAATTTTTCTCATATTTTCCTCATCTCACTAATTTACTTTTGTTCAAATTTCCTCCTGTTAAAAAGTTCATACCCAACCCCCTGTTGTACTCTTTTAAGTTGAGAATATTCAACGAGTGCGTCCACTGAAAAGCACCAGGTCCTAACACAAAAAGCATTCGAAATTCTCATTTAGTTGTCTTTATTTTGCTAGCGCCATGTGGTCCTTGAAGATGTAGAAAACACGGGAAGCCGAGTAAAGATCAGAGCAAGCTCATTAGCATTCTGACAAAATTGGAGTGGTGGAGATGTATAGTTTGCCTAGTTTGTCGTTTTGAAAGCTACCGGTGGTAAGCTTTCTATTTCATTGTGCCTTTGTCTTTTGGGGGGGTTTCAAGCAGCAGGGTATTTGTTAGCCCTAGGTTTGCACAATGCATTGTGGGAAACTTTCCTGCACATTCAGCCCTACATAGTATCATTCCAGTTTGAGTCAAAAAGTTTTTTTCACTCTTTATAGGAAAGGACTGTGTGTGAATCTTAATGCATACCTTTAATATGTTCATCACAGCTCTGACTTTTCCTTTTGCCTGAATCATAAAGTCCAAAGAGAGTCAGAACCTAAAGTAGATTATTTTCAATTGTTTATAAATGCTGCCAGTCATTTCAGAATATAACATTAAAACATTAATTTACTTTCTGCTCTTTGTTATAAACAACTAACAAGTAACACAGGACTGATTCACTTAGTTACAATTTAAAGGCTTATTGCTCACTATGTAAGACCCGATTCTATTTTTGAAACTGTGTAGAGAACAGAAATGGTCTGTGCTTTAGAATCATGTAAATAAATACCTCTTAGAAGACTTAAATAAGTTATTACCCTACTCGTTTGATTTTCTTCATCATCTTCTTCATTTTCTTTTCTTTTTTCCTCTTCTTTTTTTAAACATAAGACTCACTTTGAAGAGCTAAGTAGGCTACATTAATGCTACTATTCAACATGAATGTTTCCAAGTTGCAGTGAAATGGATAAAGGTCTTTGGGGATGAATTTATCTGCTAAATCCTTGTGGTTGCCCTTGTATCTTGAATGATGACCCAAAAGAATGTCAACAGCTCATTTTCCCAGAGAGCTGGAAGGAGTCCCTATGCAAGCCATAATCTGCACATTCTCAAAGAACCATTTCAAACATTATATTTCACAAGCTGTTTTAAGTTATTTTCCTCTCATCTCCAGTATCCTAACAGTACTTTGGACATTAGTGCCTCTGAAATGAGGGCCAAAATTTTACGAGACTTCTACATATGGCACACACATTTTGAGATTTACTTAGTGTACATTTTAGAAACATGGTTAGCTTTTGTTACAATAACATATTTGTGGCATAAATGAAAAAAAAGTCTAAACTGAAGATTAGTATTTTTTATCACTGCAGAAAAAGTGCTTTTTTATTATTAGCTATTATATATTTTGCTTAGAATCAAACCTAATTTATGACAAGTATCTACAGTCTTTCTTAATTTATAATTATTAAAAGCCTAGGGGAAGCTAAAGAGCAGTGAGTGAGATATAGTATATGAATAATCTGGTGAAGGTAGTTTAACAGTAAGAGATTGGATCATTTCTATATGACACAGTAGCATTTGGTTATATCATGTTTTATTTCCTTTGTATGACAGGAAACCACTAGACTAGTATGTCATCATCAAGGCAGGTTTTACAATATTAACTGTTCATATTATATTAGAGCATGAAATTAAAATGATGCAACTTTTATTTCTAATTTAGGTTCTAATTTTCACCCCCTACAGCTTTGGTTAGCCTTTTCTATGTTTAAAAGTTCATTAAAAAAACAACAACGGTAACAACAAAACTACAGACCTACTATGTATTATTTTGTGGCTATGATGTGGCTACTTATATTTTGTTAGAACTTGAAACTTGACTAACAAAGCTTAATATTTAAATGTATCCCAACATTGAGTTGTTCTACTGCTCACTTTAAAGCTAAAGAACAGATGTTACTACAGTCATAATGACTGAATTAGTTCTATACTTTGCAATATGAGTATAGCTGCAAAATTATTTATCTCCTTCACTGAATTCTCCTGCCAAAATTTCTTGAATAAAATCATTTTGACTAGCTATATCAAATTAGAGAGCAGTCAGGAATGTTTAAGTCCAGCTTTAAAACAAATATTTTAAGAATTACTTAGACATATGCAAAATAGGGAATGTCCCTCCTGAAACCATGTTTAAAATATATTTTCTATCTTGAATTTAGACTACATTAGAAACCATTTTTGACTTGTAATACCAAGATTGCTGTAATGTTATTCTGTTAAACAACCACAAAAAGATGTAAAAAGGCTGAACTTCTTAAAGCTGCAAATTAACAATTTTCTAATCTTTAAAGCACATTACACTTGGATTTATAATACTGTCAAAGTCCAAAAAAACTAAGTGGAGTTAAAGTATTATAAGTAAACAAATTCTGTTGTATGGTTAGATAAAGCTACACACACACTAACATTGCTTTTTTATGCTAAACCAAACTTGAAGCTTCTTCACAAGTGTTCACATTATACTGGTGTTTAGGTTCCTATGACTTAAAGGCCAGATGTTTTTCACAAATGACCAACAATTGTAGTTAGAATAAATTAATGATTGATTTTTTTAAGCTTTGATGGAATTAAGCAAACTTCTTTTCTCAACGTGCCCATGTGAATGTTTGCCTGTTAAACTTTTTTTTTTTTTTTTTTTTTTGACAAGTGAGGCCACCCGGCAGAAAACAACTGATGCAAAACCCAGGAGTAATCCCTCTGTTTAGTTCAACACTATGGTTAGCCTTAACACTGCCTCTATTATCCAATGGATTTAGAGAAACTTTCATTTATTTGTTGGCCTCAGTTTTCAATTCTGTTGCCCTCTTTAAGGAAACCTAGATTTATTCCTATGTAAATACATTTGCATACTGGTACAAAGAAATGTTCTAGAATTTGGTTACCTTAGAAAGCTAAATTGGGGTTGTGTACTTAAGTAGTTTGAAGAAATAAGTGAAAAGAATCAAGACATAGGTTAATAATCCTACTAAGGATTTTAAGACATATTGGAATGAACGTATAATGTTCATGGTACAAGACTAATGTAATTATTTCTAACAATATTTTAACAATATATGGACATCTATTTTTAAAAACCCTAAAACCACTGGAACCTAGGAAACTTACTCTATTTTCACAAAGTCAGTGTCAAATTGCTACATTAAAATGTGTTATATTTTCCTAAATAAATGTTTTACAATTGTTTTATTACACATATTTACATTCTATAACATTTAGAGTCTAAATTACAAAAGGTTTACTCCACATGAGTAAGGTAGACTACGATTTTTTTAGTTTACTTAGGAGACTCAAATTAGGGATTCATTTAGCTGTGAACACACTATGGAAAATAATCCAGTATAATTTTTTTAATAGGTTTTAAAAATCTAGATGGTTTCTCCTTGAGACATTTAGGTATTGATTTTTCTTTCTTTATTTCTTTTTAAACAAACTATGTAAGAGTATGGATTAAGAGAAGGGAATGAGGCTGGAATGTGAGTCAGAAAATACCTGCTCTAATTATAGCTTTGAGCCAACCTCTAATTCTGGATTCAGTGTTTTTATCAGTAAACTAAAAGGTCTATACTAGATGATCTCTAAGACTTGTCATATTTGCAAACATTTATAGTTACGTGGTAGTATTATATACAAAACAAAGTACCATAATATTAGAAGCTAATATTAGGAATTTGTATTCAAAAGTTGACTCTTAGCCTTCCTTGCTCCAAGTGGCTTTAAAAATTGAATACAGTAGTCCCCCCTTATCACTTACTGAGGTCCAAAAATAGGTGAGTATAGTACAAAATTTTGGGGGGAGGGGAACATAGAGGGGAGAGATTACATTTACATGACTTTTATTACAGTATATTGTTATAATTGTTCTATTTGATTATTAGTTATTGCTATTAATCTCTTACTGTGCCTAATTTATAAATTAAACTTTATCATAGGTATGTATGTATAGGAAAAAACATAGTATATATACATTGTATGTATAGAATCCACAGTACAGTCTGAGGTTTCAGGCATCCACTGGGGATCCCCTGAGGATAAGGAGGGACTACTGTACAGCAGTACAAATTGTACTATGTATACATAGATTGCATAAGACTAACAGTAATAGAACTTCATAATAAAGTCCATCTTTACTATGGACTTTACTCCATATACTCCAATTACTCCATCTACAGTAAATGAATCACATAAGGCTTATAAGGATATCTTAAAATTATTTGGAATACTGTTTCTTAGCAGTTTTCCCTAGTTAAAGCAATGAGCACTTATGGTGAGAAAAATACCTCACCCAGAATGTTATTTACACCTTAACCTAAAGAGGGTGAAATCAGCAATCCCACCCATACCCCATTCCTTCCTTTTTCTTCTCAGCATGTTTATCCTGGAAACATGACATTAGTTTCTAGAAATGTTCAGCTAAGAAAAGTTTCATATAGATTCAGACATTCAAATGTTCATACAGGACATCTGAACTTTATCAAAAGAGTAAAACAGAAAAATGATCAGACATTCCACTATCCAGAAGAGAAGCAGAGGTCTCCAACTGGAAATGTACTTGAGTTTTACAGTGTAAAGTATTCTCTTGGGAATCAAAAATAAACATGCATTTTAGGGTGCTAGCAAGTCATGCAATTTCTCCTATAAAATTGATTTCCCCATTGGACTAATCACATCAATACAAAAACAAATGAACTACCAAAGTGCACTAATTAACAATTTTGCAAGTGAATACAGACATTAGTGCAACACTGCTGCCATTAAAGTCCATTCCACGGTATATCTGTTTCTGTTAACATTTCAATAGGCCAATTAAATGACCTTTCCCCCTTCAAACTCAATTAAGCTATCTGAACTTCAAATGCCACCTTACAACATATTTATACAAAATTTGCATACAAGAAATTAATTTTTTAGTTTTAATGGGCTTATTCATTCAACACTTAGATCACAGAATTTAATATAATGTAAATATAGAATATTATCTGCATATGCAATTGGTGAAATCAATCTTTCCAATCTAACCTTATATATTTTTATTTCTGGTTTATTACTTTAATAATCTTGCAATCCAGTTATAATTTAAAAAATTTAAAACTACAAATAACATTTATTATTTTTAGGCAAACGGAAAACTAAAAGGCAGAAAGCCAAATAAGAAAAAAAAAAAGAAAAAAAAACCTCTAGGTACAAAAAGATATCTTTTGCTCCTTACAAATTAAAAAAAAAGCAGTGATTTATATATCACTAAAAGTTGCAAATTCCTAAGTTCCTCAGCGTTTTGTAATAGAAAAATAAAAAACAGATACACTAAACTTTTCATTTTTTTCATTAGAGAGGGCATAAAGCAGACAAGAACAAGAAAGAAATTAAAAAAATGAAAAAAACAAGACTGAAATCTGACAATTCTATTTCAACTTTCTGAATTAATTTCCAAAAATTTAGTGGCACCACAGGAGTGTACAACAAAAGCATGCTTTCTGGGAAAAAGCATTGACCCTTTTAGAATGTTAATCTGCCATATCACTTGCTAGTCCACCCCAGCATGTACTTTTGCTCCTATCTACAATTAAAAGAATACATTTATTAAGTAGTCTTATCACTGGATGTTTTAGCTTGTAATTCATGCTAACTAGATAGTCAAAGTAAAATTTATTTAAATTTTCATTTCTTTGTAAAACTTTGTAGATGTGGCATATCTCATGATTAGGAACAACAAATAAAGGATCCCCTAGTCTAATCTGCCTAAAATCCCTTTTCATCCAATTGTTTAAGAATGCTTGAAAGGCTCACACCAAGCCTAAGACCACTGCACATATGGGGGAGGGGAACCTCTGAGGTTAGCTAATTAAACTGTTTGTCTTCTAAAACATTTAACTGGCTTTGGAGATTATTCTAATTAAGAATGTTAGATGTATTTTTTAATGTAGCTATTAAAATTAATCATAATCCACCAATCTCATGCACTGAACTAAGTCAATAGAGATGTACTAAAAACCCTGCTGAATTTCTTTAATTTAGAAAAAATAATTTTCAAGAATATCATCAATACGCTTTTAACTTATGTGTGGGTAGAGGAACCATAATATACACTTTCTATTTATTTGAGTGAATTAATATATTTGGTATTCTTAGGCACAATGCGATATACACGGAGGACAGGGGAGGTGTTTCAGCTGGTATTTATACTGTACATGGCACTGTAGGATTATAACTAGGAAATAAGAAACTGCATTTAAAGGGAAAGTAGGTGAACAGGCATGCCCAAATTCATACCATGTCTTTGTACAGATTATACTTCAGAGATCTCAAAACTGTGGCAAATATTTTATACACACACATACCTACATATATATTTGCTGTGTATCTATCTATGCATGCCACAAAAAGAAGCTGGCATGCAAACAGAAAGAATGAAAAAGTCAACAAGCAACCTGCTAAATTTTTATAAAAGTTCTGTTTCCCTTAAATAGTTACAACTAAAACTAAAACAAAATAAACAAATGAATTATGATTGCAATACACATAACAGGCAGCCTCTATTAGAATCAGAAGGGTATTATACTCTAAACACTTTTTCTTCCCTTACTGCTGAAAGATTATACTGGTTATCCCATTAAAGTTGGTAAAATGCCATTCTTGTGTCTTAAAGCTCTAGCATTGGAGGTCAAGAAGTGTATGCTGCTTCTTACAAGGCTAGTGTGGATGTAATCTTCCCAAAGTTACAATAATTAATGTTAAGCTTCTTTAGCAATACGTTTCTGAAAGAACTTGCCTGATAATATACTTACAGCCTGGCTAGCTGTTTGTGTTTCTGTGCAATAAATGTATTCTATGCTACTCACGTACTTCAGCTTAAATCTTTAGTCAAACTAGGATGATGATGAGTAGTTTGACTTATGAACAGACATAATATTTAAATATACAGAAATTAAGTATGCAGGAGATCCTGACATATATATATATATAATTTCCAATATTTATTAATTCTAAACTAACAAATGTACTGAACTCTTTCAAAAGTCTTATTAAATAAAATTTTTCAGGAAAAATGGCACGTATTCTATTATGATCTTTAGCATTTTTACAGAGTCATCTTTTAACATTATAAATAACACTTATCTTTTAAGAAAATCTCCACTCTGAATGAAAATGGAAAATTTAACTTTTACTTAAAATGTATTTAACTTACAGTGTCTGTACTTTCTTTGGAATAAAAAATATATCACGTTTAAGCAACAGGGTACCAAAATAGCATATGAATGCAGAGAAAGCCTGTCAGTACTGTTTTCATTGGTTAAAGGTTTTTTTCTATCTAATAGTTGTATGAATGAAGTAGAAGTGGAAAAAACAGGCAAGAACAGAAAAATAAAACTCTAAGAAACTACCTGTTAACTCAGTGTAGCTGCCATCAACTAGATTCTTTATCTGACAAACTGAGAGAACATTTGGTGTAGTTCTTTTGTTTAATTTATTCCTTTTTATTCCATTTATTCCTAGATGTCAATGAGTGGCATAGAATGGGATGATGGGATTTAAAAAAAAAATCAACTTACCACAAAAGGACAAATGTTTCACTGACTGACATTTATGTGCAAAGCACTGTTGACTCCTTGAGGGAGCCAAAAGATGAATGTAAGATACCATCTTAGCCTCCCTAGTCCAAAGTTTTATAAGCTACTGGAAAGATACGCAAAAGTGTTATAAGAGAAGGAGAGGATAATTCTGGCTGGTGGGATGATCTAGGAAAGCTTCCTTAAGGCAGTTTTAAATAATTCCAGAACAAGTCAAATGTATTCTCTTATACCCCTACTCAGCTCCTATACTCAATTATATAAAATAAACATGAAAAAACCTCAAATAATTATGAATAATTACTATATGTTACCAAGTATTTTAGGCATGTTAGAATGATATTTTACCTCCTCTAAAGCAGGGACCATAGATGGTTTGCTATATGGTTTAGAGAAATTAATACATAGTGATTGTTTTTAAAATACTGAATAAATATAATAATGTGGTAAGCCACATTTGTGAGTAGCCTTATTATTAATACCAATTATAGATAACTTTTAATAAAGTCAAATAGCAAAGAACTACAATATTGGCCACACATCTAATGTAGAGTGGCTTGGTAATCGAAAAAGAAAACATTACTGAAAATAGGCTTTGTTAATTTAGTTTCAAAATAAATTATGGATAATTATGAGTGATATGCATATGTTCTTATTCTTTAAGCTTACAGGAAGCATACTATTCACTATTCAAAAATTGTGGAGAAATAATATTATCCAAAGGCACAAGTGGAACTCGATTTATTTGGCATTCTGACCCTGAGAGAACTCTAGAACAGCTTCCCAGGCAGGAAGGTAACACTTCAGTAAGCCAGCCGGTGCTGTTGCTATCCACGCTAGCCACATTCTCTCCTGCAGTAAGTCATATATCTGGGGATCTGGCTTCTTGGTAATATAGCCATCAGGCATCTTTTCTCCACAACTGCAGACTTCACTGAAGATAATAAAGAACAGCTACATTTATAGCATGGGCAAAACGAATTCAGATTTCCTTCAAAGTAGCAAATTCCCTGCATAATTATTAATACTACCCATGGCCTTCTACGAGAAAAATACATGATGACTCTGGATTACCAAGAGATTAAATAGATAACTCTCCATCTGGAAGGAGATTCATATCAGGAACAATGGAAGAATAATGGATGAAGTATTTAAGTATATTCAGAAATTGGATCATTTTCTGTGCCAACTCATTATTAGTGTAGGTAAAGTTTTTAAAGCACTGTTCTCAAAGGGGAACTCTGTGGACCACCTGCTTCAGAATAAAATAAAATTGTTGTAAAAATGCAGATTCTTAGATCCCACTTCCCATGTCCTGAATCAGAATGTGGGTAAGGGGGTGGGAACAGAGAATTTACAAACTCACCAGGTAATTCTGATGCATATTGAAGTTTGAGAACAATATTTTGGTGTACATGTAATTTCAGAAATAATATTAAGGGGATCCATTACTAATTCTAGCACCACAAAATTACAATAAATGTCAAGAAATTGGAAAATATAAGAAAAGTAATTGGAGCTGTATGCTAAAATTACAAATTTAATGAATACTGTGACATAAATTTCATTAGGTTGAAAATGACTCAAGCTATTAAAAACCATTTGTTCTCTTATTTTATTGAAGTTATTATCTACCTTCATTGAATGAAAGCCAGTCTACATTGGAGAATGTTCCCAAAGTATTTACTTTTTTCTTGTTAATAAATATAAATTATTTTCATATACTTGATAGGTGTGTTGTTACCAATCACTGTCATTTGGTATTAGACCATATTGTGGGGGAAAAAAGGATCATGATAGAGAAGAGGACCTTCCCATATGCCCTATCTTATCAGGATGATATATGACATGTCATTTTCTTAAGATGTAGTTAAAAGAACTTACACTTCCATAAGATCTTTCATCCCAGAAGATAAGACTAACAAAATTTTTATGAGCCATTTTGCTTTGTGATTGGCCTTTTGCTTAAATTGTGAACTGAACTGTTACCAAAGAAAATCCATGTATCCACCATTTAATAATTGGATGGCATGCCAGTCTTTAAATTTGTACAGAAGGAAAAAAGAAGAGGAAAAAAAGAAGTTATGTACAGAAAAGTGGAAGTCAAAACAAAAAAGCTTATCAAATATGTCACAGATATAGCTCCCAGATATAATTTTATGAATTAAGATGGATTAGCAAAATAATACTTTATAGAAAATTTTAAAGAGTCAGTTTAAAACAACAGATACATGTCCCTAAATAATTTCTAAAAGACTACAATGCTTTAACAGCATCAAGATGGTATTGTCTCACTTTTCATAAACAGATTTTAGAATACTATCTCTCCTAAATATTTTAACTCCTTACATAGTGGAAATGTAAATTCTAAACTATAAAATTAAATGCTTTTGAAGGACACTGAGCTCCCTCTGGTGAAGGCATAACAAGTTTATTAAGTAAGCACCACCTCTGGAATTATAATCCCCTCTGGCTTCTTCCGCTGAGTTTATTGGTTCAATTTTCATAACCATGAGCATCATCAGGGCAATGCAGTAATTAAGAGTTGTTAGAAAGTGAATTCTCAAACTGCAGATTAGAAAATTAAACTATTTCCTGATTACATATTAATGGAGCACAACAATAGCAGTTGCCATAAGCTTGGAAGGCAACCAAGGGATAAATCTGTGTACTTAATTACCATAAACAATGGCTGCATAGAAATGAAGTTTTATGCACATTCCCTTCTGTAATATGTCTGATATCAGTACACACTTGACAATTCTTGTTCAATTATCTCTATTATTTAATGCGCTGTGAACGGCTCTGTGTAAATAAAATTAACCACCCCAATTACTTTGAATTCATCTAGGGACTACGTAATAAAAAATGTGAAGAATTCTGCATGCCTATTAATCTAAAACATTACACAAGCTTTCTCATATGCGCTTGTCTATATTTATTTTGTCTACATTTATTTTACTGCTCTGCTAATTCAATTACGTTTACCATTGGTGGTCAATAGAGTTTTTGTTATTTAATTAATACTTATATAGCACCATAAACATGTTCATTATCTGATAATACCTACATGGTCTGAAATGGTGACTAGTGACTATTCACTAACAGAATTTATATCTTACCAAACTTATAAGTCTAGGTATAATCATTAAAAACATTTTTAAAAAATCATATGGACCAAATTCGTAATTATAATAAAGTTCAGAATGCAACTTGTAGGATAAGAAATGAGAAAATGAGATAAAAGTAAATCAGAGAAAGATACACATAGTATAAAATAGTTACATGATCCCTACATTTTTAATGTCTTGGTTTCATTTTGAATTTTGTACTAACTCAGTATCTATGAGTTGGATCATAAAAATCCATCTACTTTATTCATGGAATGAACTAGCTCAGCAATAGAAGTTACATTGTTATAATAACAAGATAAGTCTGTATCTGTGATCAGTTAATGTTGGTCATCATGGAGAGAAAATAAATCACTGAGAGTAAAATTAGACTACTCTGTACTTTGATCATACAAATGCTTTTTCTTTTTTTATATCTTCTGCACATCCCTTTTCTCTTACTCATTCACAGAGCAAATCTTTTATGATCATATATAGCATTTCAGGAATATAAGTAACAACCATAAGTAAACCCTCCAGAAATGGAAAAATTTTGAGTATTTAGATTTTAATGAAGAGAAGTGACATTGACTGAACCAGCATTCATGCCACCGAGGTACTAATTTTCTATAAGTTCTTCTAATACACTGAGAAACTATACTTTTTTAAATAGCTGAGATTACATTTTTGTATTGAAAAAGATCAAGATCACATTTTCCCTTTTAAAAGTAAAACTAAAGGGCTTTAACATAGGAAGTGTACATATATATCTACTGTCATAAATTGTAAGCTGCTAATATAAAAATAACTACCTTAATTTAGAAGTCAGTCACTGAAATATTAACTAGTTTTATTTTTAACATAACTCAAAAAAACATTTTCGGGTATTCCTAAGTAGCTAGTCCCAGACTGAAAACTACCCTCTGAAGGTTATAATGTTCAAATTTGAGAACCTTCTAAAGATTAGTAAAGAGTGAGATGCTTCTTTTGAAGGGAACCTTGTTTGTATCCTTTTTATTATCCCAAATGGGGATGTTTTACAGTCTGATTTTCATGCATATTACATTGTGATGACCAGGGTAAAGAAATACTGTTAAGAGGCACATGAGCTTGTTGGGTCTCAAATGAGCCAAATAGGTTGGCTAGGTATCTTTTTGCATAAGTGAATATTGATCTGTTTCTTCTGACTTACTAATTATAAATCATAAAATGGTAATGACAGTGTCCAGAGAATTACTAGTAGAACCCCAGGAAAATCAGAAGTTCACCTCTAAGAAGATGAGAGATGAAGCAGGGATCATGTCAGGTGGTATCTGGGAGTCAGGCTCCAGAGCCATCAGACTGGGTCTAACTCCTGCTCTCCCACTTGTAAACTGTATGAATTGGGCAACTAAGTTACTTCTGTCTCTAGGCCTCAGTTTCCTCATCTGAAAAAGGTGTTTATTAATAGTCCCAATTATTACTAGACCCTATCTCATAGGGCCTTTGTTAGAAACAACAAAATATGTGTAAAGCACTTTCCACAGAGCCAAATATCTAATAAGCATGCAAAAAATATTGGCCATTACTGTCATCTTGATTTTTATTTTTTGTGGGCCCTATTCCCTGCTTTAAAGCAGCTTTAATACTACATTTGATTCCTCAAAGGAGGAGGTAAAGAAACATTCTGAAGAATGTATAGAAAAAAGTTCTTTTAATTTATTTTCTTCTCTAAGTATATTTCATATTTTTAAATGGCCAGTTAGGTTTTTGGAACAGATACTCTACGAAAAGCTACAGTATCAGTATTTTTGAGAAGGCTCATGATCCTTTTACTCAGTGCTTAAAGGTTATAAACTTGCAAGATGCAATTTTATTGTTATTCTCCGCTCAGGAATGTTTTAACTTTTACTCTCAAAATGTAAATAAAACACTGTAACTTTTAAAAAACTCAAATCATTAGATTAAATTAAAACACTGCAGTTAAAAAGTTTGATAACCATTAAAAGAAAACAGATTGGGAATGGAAAAGAAACACCATTCATTATAGCAACACTATCTGTAGCACTATAGTAAAAGGGCCCATCAGCATTTCCATTATAAACTCCATTTTTCATGGGTTACAACATTGCTGGCACAGATCCATTAGCACTAAACTTACATAAGAAGTGTCAGCTTGGAATACATGATATTTCTAACTAATAAGTTTTGCTCTTCCCAAATAAGAAATCATTACAAAGTTAAAGTACTAGAAACTAAAATATTCCTCCTCAAAAACAGTTATACACAGACGTACACACACACACACACCATTAAGAGCTGAGGAGAAAAAAATTCACTTGTATTTGCATAGGGATTTTATAGACCCCAAGGTAAAATGGCAGAAAATACTATGCCTTGAAATATAGTTTTTGTTGTTGTTGTTGTTTTGAGACAGAGTTTTGCTCTTGTTGCCCAGGCCAGAGTGCAATGGTGTGATCTTGGCTCTCACTACAACCTCCGCTACCCAGGTTCAAGAGATTATCCTGCCTCAGCTTCCCGAGTAGCTGGGATTACAGGCATCCACCACCACATCCTGCTAATTTTTTGTATTTTTAGTAGAAATGGGGTTTCACCATGTTAGCCAGGCTGGTCTCGAACTCCAGACCTCAGGTGATCCACCTGTCTCGGCCTCCCAAAGTGCTGGGATTACAGGCGTGAGCCACTACACCCGGCCTGAAATATAGTTTAAAAGAAAAAAAAAAACACACACACTCACATACACAGCATGGCTGCTCAGTATTCAAACTATCACTGATTTAGGATTACTGAACAATTT
Organism: Homo sapiens; assembly: GCF_000001405.40. NCBI lineage: Eukaryota > Metazoa > Chordata > Mammalia > Primates > Hominidae > Homo > Homo sapiens. The sequence goes on along the minus strand of NC_000002.12, from coordinate 63,000,311 downwards.
TAGAAGGAACCAGACATATAAATCCCATAGTTGTTCTATCTGTGTCGTTGGTGCCCTTTCCCAGCTCCTGCCATTCTTATCCCTGGCACCTCCCCATCTTGTTGTATGAGCCTTTTACATTCCTTTCCTACTTTCTTGCTAAGGCCTTCTGCCAACATGCCAGGAGAAATGCCCAGCAATCTGGGCCACCATCCAGGCCCCACCCATCCTGCCTCCCCCCAGGATGTAAGTAGCTTCAGCATCACAGGGGTGGTGCTTAAAATCCAATGTTGCTCAAGCTCTGGGAGCCTAGGACTCAGGTCTAAAATAACTATTAGTATTATTTAGTTATATTTGGAATTAACAGGTTTTTGTGGGTTTGTCTGGCTTGTAGACACTTACAACAGTGTTTCTTTTGGAAAATGTTTTCTGAATTCTACCTTAACCTCACAACTCATTTAAAATTGAGTACAATATTACCATATGATTCAGAAATTCCAATCCTCGGTATATACCCAAAAGAAATGAAAACAGAGATTCAGACAGATACTTGTACACAAATGTTCATAGTAGCTAAAAGTGGAAACAACCCAAATATCCATCAACAGATGAATGAATAAACAAATGTGGTATAAACATACAATAGAATATTATTCAACCATAAAAAAGAATGAAGTACTGGTACATGCTACAACATGGATGAACCTTGAAGATATGTTAAGTGAAAGAAGCCAAACACAAAAGGACAAATATCGTTTGATTCCACTTACAGGAAATAACTGCAATAAAGCAAATTCATAGAAAAAGTAGATTAAAGATTCCCAGGGGATTGGGGGAGAAGGAAATAGAAAGTTATTGCTTAGTGAGTACAGAATTCATGTTTAGGGTGATGAAAAACTTCTGAAAATACACAATGGTGATGACTATACAACACTGTGAATGTACCAAACGCTACAGAATTATGCATTTTCAAATGGTTAATTTTATATTATGTGAATTTCAAATCAGCAAAAAAAACCTGAATATAGTCAGTATCTACAAGTATATAAAAACTGAAATAGCAGATAAAGTATATTTGTTCTGTAAAGAAGATGTAGTGGGGAAAGAGGACTGAGTCAAGAGCTAGAAAACCTGAAAACCTGGGTTCAAGCCGTAACTCCACCATTCCTAATGAGATCATCTTAAGTGAGTCATTTCCCCTGTCTGAGCCTCAGTCTCATCATATAAAAAACATGGGTACTATCTGCTCTGCTTAATTCTAGGCTGAGAATCAGAAAGTACACTGAAATGTCTAACATACCAAAAAAAGGTATTATAATAAATAAAAAGTTGGAATAAACTGGAACCCAAAAGAGAAAAGGATGAATGTACCCTTTCACTTTCTAACATCTTATCTCTTACTTCAGATACTAGGTTTTAGGCAAATCTTAAAACATTATTTGTGTTGGAGGAGGTTTAAAACAGTCTAGGATGATTCTTGGAGCTTATGAACTTGGGAGACCAACTCAGTTTTGGTCTAAATCTGCAGTAGCAGATCCAGTTAGGATCAGATTCTGTCCTGTGAAGTAAGAAATATAATAAGCTCAAAAGGATTCTAGATTCAACCTGTATTCTATGACTGTCTTTCAGATTATAAAGCATCTATGGTTGGAATGGGGCCATTTCAAAGCTTGACTAGTGATATGTTGGGTAGGAAGGAGAAATTGAGTCTATTTCAGTTAGAACCCTCAACAAATCAGGCTCCAAGTGCTAAAGAGGGAGAGGAAACAGGATTTATAGCTTTTTCACTAGTGGCACAAGTCTTCTTGTATAGTAACATTGAATTTATCCAACACAATCAGGGAAGGTGGTTAAGTTCCATTTGTTTGGAAAAAAAGGAAATCTGTCTCCTTAAAATATTTACAGGAAATAGTTAAAAATATATTACAAATATTATTCAGTCTAGTAATTATATGTTTAATATAGCTAACATAGCTAATATTTTCAAAATCCCTAAGAAACCCAAGAAAAAATGCAAATATAAAACAATACATTGGTTTATGGAATCATGCTGAATCCACACAAGTATATAGGTATAAGACTGAGCATGCATGCAACTTATTAGGGGAATGATATACATGGTCTACATATTCTGGTGTAGCAAGAAGGGTCCCGTATGATAGGGCTCTGGTAGCCTGAATTCCAATCTAAGGTCTACCATGTGGTGATCTGTTTGACCTTCTTAAACATTTCCTATGCCTGTCTCCTCACCTATATAATGAGAAGATTAAGTAATAGTTTTTTTTAAAAAGTATTTTTGGTTTTAAATTTTAAGCAGTAGAACCTTTTTTTCAAATAAACTGTCCCCAAAAGCCCACTATTTCAGATAAATAAACTCAGAGCCACTCTATTTGAAGTAAGGTAAGGAATCCAGATGCCTGTCTACTTTCTGCTCCCTTATTCTCCTGGCAAGCCCCTGAGGTGCCTCTGAAGATGATTTAGGACTTCAGAGAACACAGTATGAAACCCACTGTCCCAGATAAAGCCTAAGGTTCCTTCCTGTTCTAATATGCTCTGATTTCACTAATCTATGCATTTTCAAATGTCCCATATAAATGCTTATTTTTGGAGAAGTTCTTTTATTTTAAATATATTTTTGGAAAATAGAGAAGAAAAAGTTCAGGAAAGCTTTCCAATCCTAAATCATGCTAATCTACTGTATTTTAACACTGCCATAAAATTAAAGCAATTAATTAGATTACAGGAATAAATTTTCCACTTGTATTTTTTGACTTTTTTTCTTAATATAACTTATAATTTGGTATGAATGATTTAATTTATTTCACATTTTAATCTCTTTGTAGGGGCAGCATTTTACACACACACACACACACACACACACACACACACACACACACACACACATGAGTTCCTTTCCAATTGCTTATTGTGCTCTTAGATCTATTCAATCACCATTGGCAATCAGCATTGAAAGCCAATCTGCCCTCTGGTTAGGAGCTAACTTGGTGCTCTAACCTATCTTTACAAACCTTGCTATATACTGTAATCCTTTCAAATGCAACTGTGACACAAAGTATTACAGACTTTTAAAAACCTGTTCTCTTGAAAAAAAAATTGTGGAGCATCAGTAACCAGATAGTATTCTCAAATTTCAGTGATCTAGTCCATGGAGCCGTCCCCTATGCACAGTGCTCTGTTTCATGCAGTACATGGCTTTAGCTGGCCAAATCTTTTTTTTCCCCAATGAATCAGTAGAACAGTAAAGATCTTACTTTTTTTTTAAGCAGTGGCATATCAATGAGGCACAGATGTGTATTCCAACTCTGCATGGATGAGCACACTGTTCAATAGTGCTGGCTCACACGGTATCAGGGCGAGTTATCACTTCCCATGAAGGCACTCTTATCACCAGGGCCCAGAGAGGTGGCTGCAAATCGCAGCCTTTTTATTTTCAAGGCAGTTTTGCTGAACATTCAGGCTTCAAAGATTCACACTTCCAAAACTCTATAAGAGTTTGTGAACGCTCAATTTGCCAAAACTGTTTACAGTGTAATTGGGCACCGTACCTGTGTCCATGAGATAGCGAAGGCGCTTCTCCACCAGCGCGGCACGGGTGTCAATTTGCTTTTGCTCATTCTCTAGTGCTGCCAATTCTCCTACTACATACTGACTGGTGTCTTTGAACCCTTTCTGTTAACAAGAACAAACAGGAAGGAAAAAAAAATCACTTGTAAGTTGCATTTTTCCTTTCTACAAACACTTAGTAAAGCACTTACCTAGAGAACCAAATACACCGTTAGTATCACCCTTAGTACCAAAAAGCAACTCTCTGTGATTCAAAAAATTTTCATATGTATTACATATACCAAACTTTTATAAATAGAGAGATCTTCAGCTGTTTACTATTATGTTTAGAATTTCACAGGCAGATTTGCCAGATTTTAAAAGTTAATGCTAAGTTAAAAAAAAAATTCTCCTTAGAGTTAAGTCAGAGTTATTTAAGCATGGACAAAGAAGATAATTTTCCCCTTTGTGATTATCAAAACAAACACCAATGGCACTTTTAACTCAAAAGTGTAATACACAAAAATGGAGTTCTAGTAAGGAATTGACCATGAAAGTATCCAACCTGAGAGAGTCAGATAAATTTGTTCTATGGAAATACAAAATTAAAGAGATACATTTTTTTTCAAAATGATTACATTATTTAAAATACTTTAAAAATGATAAAAAGGGAAGTTCACAATATCTCCAATTTTCCCTCCAGCTGGCTCCTGTACTTTAATATGCCATTCTGTTGATGTATTAGTAATTATTACAGTTGTAAATACTAACCTGACAGGTGGTTTCAAACCTTGCTACATAGGATCTAAGAAAACTCATATATTGATTTGGTTAATCTTCCATTTAGCCAAGTTTGGATTTTAATTTGAAAATTTACTTTTTGAACCATCCATGTTTAAAAAAATATATTTTTTATATATGTGTGCCAGTTTACCTTTAATTTTTACAATCATATTACAAATTTAAATCATCAAAGTCAGGGTTATTTATGGTATAGTCATAAAAACTGATTAATTATGGCTCCCTTTGGATTACCTGTTTACCTTTTGACATTTTTGGGGCTAAGAGATCTAATTAGCTAAGAAATATTGAAGAACTGATTAAGTGATTATTCTTACCACCACCACTCCTATCATAAGCACTTATAACATTATTTATTCAGAGAAATAAATGTGAACAAACTTCTTCTGTAAAATCCCTTCCCTTCCTAGCATGTGAATCTCTTAGAAGCTATAAAGAATTATATTTCACTACTCCTTAAACAGGAAATAAAATAAAGAATTATGTTAATTATGAGCATATTTTAGAATTCTCATGATTAATAAATATGTCTAACTATATGTGTAACTTACATACCTTTTGAACTGGTAAGTAATTTGTACTCATATGTGACCTCAATTTATACCAACTTATTATTAAATTGATTATGGCAGTTGACAAATTTAAAGTTAAAATATTTTAAGAAATCATAAAACTAAATTTCTCAGGATAGTTTGATTTTAAAAGTCACTGTATTTTTAAAAAATTTATGCAAAATGGATATTCTTCCATCTCAATACAAAATATAACAGAAAAAAATAAAATAATAGAATAAATGCTAATGGTAACTTTAAAATCTGGGATAATCTGGTGAATGCTTCTTGAACCTATCTGCCAGATAGCAGATCATTTTCAAAAGGGATATTTTATTTTCTCATTCCCATACAGACAGACAAAACAAATATAGTAGTTTGCAAAGATAATACAAAAAACAAATACATAAGGAAGCAGAAGTGATAAGCAACACACAAACTTCATTGCTCTTACTGATTGGTTCAGTTAAAAATAGAAAGAAATTTCATAATCAGATTTCTGTAGTGTGAGTACATAGTATAGTTAAGTATTCTGTAACTTAAAAGTTATACCAAATACTTCATCAGGATTATTAGTGAGCTGTTCTTTTCTAGCTCATCCCTTTCCAGGTCTTCTAAAGTAAACAACTTAAAATGAGAAGATTTTAGAGTCCTAAAATGTAGTTGGTGACTCTGAGTGTACTTGTATAAGGATTTTAAAATCCAACTATTTTAACACTGAAAACAAGAGAAAATACCTAGAAAAACTGTAGATAATTTAAAAAGTAGTACTATTAAAGAGAGCTATGCTTCCAGACAAAAATTCAAGTTAAAACTTGTTCTTCCTGCTTCTGTCCCGCAGCTGTCCATCAAAAGCAGCTTTCTCCCTGCGGTCTATCAAATATTTCCCTCACAAATCAATTTTACACATGATCAGCCCATACCCCTACTGAGCTGAACCTCCCTGTTAATTAAGTGAAGAAATTACCATATATATTATATTAATGCAAACATCATTCAGCTAGTAATTCACGGCTGATCTGGATAATGGAAAGGTTGAACACCCATTAACCCAAGCCAACAAAATGGGTTGGCTGAGAAATTCTAGCAGGTCTCATGTGACTTTTCCCTCTAACTGCAGCTCTGCGGTATCTGCTATTGTAATAATTAAAATCCTCCCAGTAGATCAATACTGGAATCTCTTTATGGGAAGTGCCCTGATGGAAATGTCTCAAGGAAACTGGGGCTGTGGAACTCTGAAAAATTCATTTTTTTTTATCTGACAATTATCACCACACTGCAGACTAATTCAACAGTGCACCCCTCTCACTCTGCTTTGAATGCACTGGAGATTGACATCTTAAAAAACCTAACATCTCATTTTAACAAATAAAGGCACTATTTCCACATACAGTTTGGAATTATCAGCAATCATGAAACCACACAAAAAATTAATATACATTAAGCACTTCATCTTCTGATGGCTTCCTCTGAGTTTCAGTTATCGCTGCCTTCTCCTCATTTCCTTTCTTTGTATCTTCCTGTATTGATCTCTGCCTTTTCATCTCTTAAAAAAAAAAGAGGAAAGACATGTAAAATTATTGTAAAGCTTGATATTTGTGTATTGAAATGTGAATTTACATTACCAGATTATATACATATATACTATATATATATGCTATATATATATACTATATATATATACTATATATAGATATCTATATATAGTTAAACCATAACATGGAAAAACATTTTAAAAAGTGTTCTACCTGGTCTATTCTCAATATATTGGCTGAAAGACTGAAGTTGAGTTTTTCTGACTGTAGAATCTTTGCTGAACACAACAGGATTTCTAAAACGTTCTGTTGTTTTTTGTAATCGTTCAGTCCGGAGATCTTCTGTGCCACTCTAAACGTAAAACAACACATGGTAAGAGAGTCCTGATCTCATAAACATAAAATTACACATTAGTAAGGCAATTTTTACTGATTTAAGATAACACTGATTTAGAAACTTTTTGCAAGAAAAGGATTTTAAAGCACTTTAAAGAGCTCAACTGCAAGTTCTGTTGCCTGTAATCACAAACTTTGGGACACATGGTTTAACTCTTGATAACTTTGATACGAATGTGTCTTCCACCAGTGATACATATCATTTAAAAGCCATGTTGCCTCCTATTTCCCCCACTATTCTGTGTCATCAGTTTGTACAGCCCCACAGACTTGTATGACAACAAGAACTAGTTTCTAATTTTATGCCCATTGAGATAAACCACTAATGCTGGATGAAGGCTAAAAGGTAGGATTATAATACTACCCTACTGAACTGCATTTCATCAGCTATAACTTTCCAAAGCCAGATTTGTAAGTAAGCCCTTTACAGCTAAGGAAACTACAATTATCTTTTCCGGAGCTTCCTATGTTAATACTGGTAACAAATTCAAATGGTTCTATCAACAAGAAATATCCCAGAAGACTGAACCACTGCAGTGTGTGGAAGCTGCAGATACCGAGGTGCTGTGTACCAAACAAATATTTCATTTTATACCTAATCTTTTATTATTTTTATTAAGTGTTTTGAAAGTAAATAGGGAAAGGCTAAGATGCATGACTAATAGCTAAGCCTGCTGAATGCTGAAACTGGTTATCAAAAGCTACCAAGACTTTGCCCTTCCTCTGCATTGAGACAATCAGTAATGAGGGAGCCCTCCAATGGCCTATTCTCTAGCCTCAAGGAGGCCTGGGATACAGAATCCTCAGGGGAAGGTAACAGTTTATTCTTTTCCACAAACACAGAATGCCTCATTTATAAATGTGTAAACTGCATTTTATTAAAAAAAATTAAAACCCAAGTCAACGCTGAAAGCTTCAAGAGAACAGATGGACTCTATATGTTCTTTATAAACACCATTTTCAAAATCTTAACTAAAAGGAATCATACAAAGGCAAGCTGTTTAAAGCACACCTTTTGTTGGAATAACTTTAAAGACTACTATATAAGAGTGTTTTGGAAAGCAAAACCAATTTTATCTATACAGATAAACCATAATAATGAAAATAACACTATTTTATTTTTTTAAAGTTATCTAATGAATTTATCATTAATATCATGCTTATAATATCCTAGCCATATAGTTATGATAGCAACAGTTTTGGCTTTTATTCTATTTTTTTAAAGAAAAATAGAGTTCTACTGTTATATAACTATCCAATAGTCTAATACTCAAGTCTTTACCAAAATAAACAAACACAGCTAAATTTTTTTAGGCCTGGCAACATGCTAAAATATCAGTGCGATTAGCCAGCAAATCCCATCTTAAGAAACCTTTTTATGACTAGGGACTTCTGCCACTTTACAAATGTATTCCTCTAAACCCACTAATTCAGTTAGCCTTTTCAATCTATTGTATTATTCTTAGGCCAGCTTCATTCTGCATTAAATCCACTGCAGAAAGCTAAATTGAACGCAAAAAATCAGACCCGATCCAGGCTTCCTTTTGTTCAAAGATAGAGACCAAAAGTCCTCTGGTGCTGCCACACACTTTCATCACCAATTTATAGAAACTGACAATATAGGGGAAAAGCAATGAAAGTCATTGTTTTGGGACTTCAAAGCATCTCTGTGTCAGGGGAAGGAAATCCTTTCAGTCAGCAGGGCAGTCCCCATAGTCCGCAGGTGGGTGAAAAGTTATACAGGACTGGAAGTGCCCTAAAGCTACAGAAATACTAATCACTGTGAGGAAAGCAGGGAAACATGTGGGTGGGAATAATATAAACAGTCTAATAATAGTCTTATAATGTGGCATTTTTGACTAAAATGTTACACAAGGTAAGATGCATAATGGCACAAAACACATGCAAGTTATCTTAAACATTTATATTCAATCACATTACCATTTTCAGGTGTGATGATTCTTACAAATAACATACATTTAGTTCATCTATATAGGCAGAAGCTTGAGGATTATTGAAAAATGCGCTAGAATTCTCTTAACAGTATTTGTCTTAGCAAAATATACATACATATAGAACTCAAGAATAGTTTCCATATTGCCTCTATTTTTACTTGAAATAGCAGTTTAAAGTAGTAGTTTCCCTGAAAAATAGTATATGAATACTGATTACCATATTGATATTTACTTATTGGCTATTTAATACAATTTTTTTAATTAATTAATTTTTTTTTTTTTTTTTTAGACAAGGTCTCACCCTGTCTCCGCTGCTGGAGTGCAGTGACATGATCACCACTCACTGCAGCCTTGAACTCCTGGGCTCAGGCAATCCTCCCGCCTCAGCCTCCTGAGTAGCTGGGACTACAGTCATGCACCACCATGCCTGGCTAATTGTTTTACTTTTAGTAGCAAAGTCTCAATATGTTGCCCAGGCTGGTCTTGAACTACTGATTCTCCTGCCTTGGCCTCCCAAAGTGCTGGACTTGCAGGCATGAGCCACCACACCTCACCAGTAAAAATTTCTTATACCCTAATCTTAATATTGGTGAAAAATTAGGTAAAAAATTGTTTTTGGAATTACAAACTCCTGGCAGAAACTAGAAGACACAGATACTAAGCCAAATGTTTTAAACAAGTAAGACTTACTTTCATGTCCTGCTCTGAGCTCTCAGTTACAGCTTTCTGGGCAGCACTGGAGGGTGAATTTGCCACCTGTGGCTGAACTTCTAGGAGCTTCTTCAGCTTCAAGTCCACCAACTTACTGTTTTGTTCTGTTAAATATGCAAATACCATGAATAACTGAGTGAGATGCATTTAGATATGTAGGCTGTCAATTTTATGTGAGCTCAGAAAAGTATTACTATATTTTAAAAGAAAGAAGAAAAGGATATTAGTAGATTAGACACATGAAAAATCCTTTACATATATATATTCCCCCACCAAAATCATTCCCCTTAAAGAATACAGTCAACATATCTAAAGAGAACTTAGTTATACTATAGTTAAATAGTAGCTAATGCTTACCTAAAAACCTATGCCTGTATGTGATGTATACATTTATATAAGCACTGTATGTTATACATAATAAAACAAGCTGTTATAACAAACTAGATATTTAAAAGAAGAGATACATTTCATTTTGAATATTATTTTGTAGTTTTCTTTTAGTATATCAGATTTATAAATATAATGCCATATTAAAACAAATTCTTAACATTATCTCAGATCATCATCATGTACATACTATTAGAATCCAGTGTTTATATATGTACCTATATAACCAGCATTGAAACAGGGTATATGTTTACAAATACCCTCTACTTAGATAGCAGAAATACAATACAGATTATTACATTTTTGGAATGTATTAATGTACATTAATCTTTCATAATACAATAGTTCAAAATGAGTAGAAACACAACTAATTCTTAAATTAATAAAAGGCAACTCCTCAATAAAATGGTCGCAATAGATATGTCCACCATTTGCTGGATGATATTTTTCATAAAGATTAATAACTTTTCTAATTATAAGACTCTTAATAAATGCTATTGTCATTACTTTCATGCAAATTGGTCAGTTTATATTGCAAGGCTTCTCTTTTAAACAATATCTGATGAACTATGGTCAAATCAAGATAAAGATTAAACAATTTATTATTAAAACCTTATGACTTATATACATATGAAAAAAATTTGGGGGGAAAATAAAGCAAGGATAAAAATCATAATATATTCTAAGGGCTTCCAGATTCTAGTTTGCATTCCTATTTCTTATTGCCACAAAATAAACCATAAATCTGAACTGGGAGGCCTGTCTACTTCCATGCCAACACTTAACTGGCATGCTTGAGAGCCGTAAACAATTTATTAGTTAACTCCAAACAGGAAGGCTGAGATGTGTGTTCGTTTTGGAAAACATTAAGTAGGAGGAGAGTTTTTAAAAATGACAAGAGTCAAGCCTGTTAGGATTAAAATTAACCCATCTTTAAAGTATCCCCCAAAGTTGCTACAGCTGAAACTAGAAAATTCTCCCCTTATTTTACCTAAGAAATGGCTATTTTTTCCTGTGTTACTAACCTACTGTAGAATCAGGACATATGCATCACATATTGTTACTGATTTTATGCTTTTATACTTCCATAAATTGAGTATTAAAAAATTAAATCCAGTACTTATGGATGTCCTCCTCAGCATTAAAAAGATGTGATTGGTTTCCGATAAAGCCTTTGGTGGTGGTTATGGTGGGAAGGTGAGTAAGCAACAAAAATGTTTTTTTAAAAAAAAATCAAACCTAACCAAGTTCTGTAGTATTTTAAACAGAAAGAAGTAAAATGTAGTTCTAATTTTGGGTTAAACATTTAAAAGTTTTCCTTAAATATCAGCATTCTTTTGGACTTGCACAATTATAAGTATACTGACTTCTATTTAGCAATAGTATAATTTAACACCCGGCCATGAAGGAGCTACTGACAAAAGGGCATGAGTTTTCTTGAGTGTTCGTTATAGTCAGGAAAACCCTGGTCACCTGTTTATTGAAGTAATAATAGTATTTCCAACAGGGAAAGAAATGGAGCAGATTAGCATTGCAGGTGCATGCCATGGATAGGAAAAAGTATGCTTGCTCTCACTCCCTTTAGCTTTTTACAGGAAAAGATAAATATTAGAGACTTTGCCTCCCTCCTTTGAGTCTAAAGAAATCACCAAAGACTTTTTATTGCCATAAGAATTCAACTCAACAAGCATTTATGGAACCCCTCAGATATACAAAACTTTGGATTGCTACTTGCTGCTGGCTTATAAAGGCAATGCATTTGGAACATTCACCTATTAAAAACCACCAGCAAATATCTTTGTATTTTAAATAAGAACTTACAAAGGTCCATTGCCAAAGCAATTTATTGATATAAGACATAAGGTTAATTTAACAGCAGTCTATATAGTTTTCAAAGTGTCTTATTGTAATCAGTTAAGTATATGTAAAATCATTTACTAGAGTAATATTTAAGTAAGGTAAGCAGAAAATCTGCAAAATAATATTATAACTAAGACTATAATTCTAAACTAAATCAGAAAATCTGATCCCATGGTTTGGATTTACATGTGGAATATATACCTTCTGACATCACACCAAAATATTTAAGCTGAGAAGGGAACCAGCTATTGAAAACCTACAGATTATCTCACATAACATAAAATACAATAGTGAATCTTAGTAACAAGAGAACACAAACTACAATTTGCTATTCCAATGTTATTGCTAATTTTAACATCCAACCTAAAACAAAATAACATAAAATTGATGGAAGGTGGACTAAGCTAAATGGTTTATGAGGCCATAAGATGTAATAAAACTACAAAATTATTATTATTATTGATGAGATAATAAAAATATAACCATAAAGTTTGCCATGCAGCAGGACACAAAACATTTATAATTTGAAATTACCGGGAGTATCAAGGTCATTTTCTAAGTTAGTAAGTTCATCTCCACCTCCTACAACAAAGCCTTCAGGGATCTCCTCGTTAGTATCTATCTCAATATTATCATTTTCATCTGTAGGAACATGTAGCAATAATGTTAGTATATTATTTATATTTTATATCATTCATCCAAAACACTAAAGAAGAAAAACCAGTATTTTAGTATAGTTATTCAAATTCAGGTCTGACACAGATAAGCAAGTTAAGAAATCAGTTTTAAGTCACTCTTTCACTATTGGATTAACATTTATATTTTACATTCCTATGTCAAACATGAATTATCACATCAAAGCAGATGCAAAGGTTTTGACAATTTGCCACACGCTGTCTCTGAATCACTGAGCTCATTGAGTCCCTGTATTTTAAAGTGTAATCTATAAGTAACTCTAACAATGGCACACAAAAATAAAGTTAGTTTGGTGACAAAGTCATCAAATATTTCTAAATTTTACACTTTTATCAGATTATTCGATTTAAATGCATAAATAAGCACACATTCCTCATATATATATTTGTCATTTTCATGAAGGCTTAAATACTTTTATGCTATTAATGAAATATTATCATAAAAACATTATGGATAGATTAAGAGTGAGACTAGCATATACAATGCCTTTATACAATGGAAAATTCAAAAACAACTAAGACAATAAATCTTGGTAGAGCAAAATCTGGGAAAAATTGTCAACCAAAATTAAATATACGGGAATGAGAAAGTCTTACATAATTTTTTATATCCCTAGTAAAATGTTTTGGGTCATAATTAATTAATGGAGTCAATTTTTGACATTAAGGATTTTTAGTAGATATTTTTTCCTCTCCAAATCCTAGTGATAAAATTGTTACAGTAATTTTGAATTCTATACATTTGAAAAGGCACAGCAGCAATTTTAGTTGCATATTAGAGGTTTAACTTTAATTTCTATCCAACAGACAGGCAATGTACCTTTTGAAGAAATAGCTCTGTAGCCCTGGGATTTGAAGAATACCCCTACTACCCTGCAACTCATTTTTTTTCAATTGGGCAACTTTTATTAGTAGTGAGGTATTCCGAAGATTTTTTTCCAATTGATAATTCTACAGTTTGGCTTAATCCCTCAACATCTGTCCCTTTCTGAAAAAGTACATCCTTAGGCTTGATTTTTGGCTTCCTAAGTAAATGCTTACTATGAGCATTAATATTAATAACAATAGTTTACATTTATTGAAGACTTCCCATCTACTATGTAAACCATTTGGAAGAAGAAAACAATAAAGAAAAAAGATTGACTGGGTGCGGTGGCTCACGCCTGTAATACCAGCACTTTGGGAGGCTGAGGCAGGTGGATCACAAGGTCAGGAGTTCAAGACCAGCCTGGCCAACATGGTGAAACCCCATCACCACTGAAAATAAAAAAATTAGCCGGGTGTGGTGGTGTGCGCCTGTAGTCCCAGCTACGAGGCTGAGGCAGGAGAATGGCTTAAAACCAGAAGGTGGAGATTGCAGTGAGCCGAGATCGCGCCACTGCACTCCAGCCTGGGTGAAAGAGCAAAACTCAGTCTCAAAAAAAAAAAAAAAAAGGAAAAAAGAAACAAGATTGAGAAATGCACCCCCCACACCAGGGGGGCAAAAAAGCATAGAGATAAAAACATTGTTAAATGCTTTCAGAGAACTAGCTAAGGTATTATACATGGCTTCATTATTTAAGCACAATCACCTGTGAGATCTTTTCTAATCAACTATGCTCAGCTTATCAACTATTTGACTCATTTCACAGAAGTGGGCATCTTCAATTTCACTATCCTCAAAATTTGTAGTTTAGCAAATAAGCTAACAAATATTTCCTGTGTGTCAAAAAGTGTTCAGAATACTTCCTCAGCATTATTCTATGTCAGAGATAGCTTCTATTAATAGTTTTTAGGGATCTAATGTAGTACTTTTTTGCTGCCAATAAGCCTCCACTGATGATTACTGAATATAATTAATCTAGAGGGAGAGTATAGAATTCAATATTCTTTCATTTATTCTAGAAACTTCTACTGTGTACTGTATACACAATATGAAAAACACTGTGCTAGATGTTGAGGAGATACCAAGTTGTATGAGACATTTATTCTACCTTAAAGGCATATTCAAGGGACTATAATACCATGTATGGTGGGGGTTACTGGATAAAAATAAGGTACAGAGCAAATTCAAAAGATAAAGAGATTATTCTTTGCCAATGACACCAGGAATTCTTTCTTGGAAACGCTAACCTTTAAATTAGGTCTTGAGAAATGTATAGAATTTCAAGAGGTACAATTGAGGGGAGGGCTTTACAGGCATGAAAGGAGGAATGGGTAGGTTATGTTCAGAGAATGGTGTAAAGTCCTATTTGGCTCAAGCATACTTAAAGAGAAATAACAGAAGGTAAGACTTGAAAGGCAAAACTATAGAGAGCCTACAGAGAGTCTTGAAGGACAGAATGGGAAGTTTAACTTTTACTTGGTAGGAATGCAGAGATACTGGTGGTCAACATGATCAGTACTGTGCTTTAGAAGATTAATTTAACAGCAATCTCCATAAGCAGTTTTCAACGGAAGTACCTTATTGTCATCAGTTGTGAAGTAGGTATAACTTATTAGTAGTAATATAAGTACTGAAGCTTATGTCTTTTATAAGTTAGAGCAGCGTCAATTATTATTTCTATAATATCACTCTTGCTCACAATCTCATATGCCTTCTTATGTGAAAGCAAAAGTGGTCTAGGGACTGTGCATAAGACAGCCCTATGCACGTGACACCATCTGTCATGCAAAATTGCTGACCTAAATGTTGGACTGGAGAACACAAAGGCTGGAGTCAATAAATGCAGGTTGGAGACTGTTATAACCCCCAGGCAAGCACTATGGAGAGCCTAACCTAGGATGAAAGAATTGGGAGTAGGTATGATGTAACTTGGAAATCAACTGGATGTTGGGCTGTGGGAGAAGGGATACTGAGGAGAGTAAGGGTGAGGCCACCATCACAATCAACTCTCCAGCCCGAGTAAACAGAATGATGGCATTGCCATGAAAAAAAATAGGTAAGTCTGGAAATGTGGTTGTATATGGGTTCTTTCAGATTCCAGGGATACCCAGGAAATGGCACCTACTTTCTTTACCCACTTATACAGTGCTAGGTTCCTGTATGATGTTAAACAGGTGCCATTTACACTACCACTCCCCAGTAATGCTGAGTGGGTTAACTCAATGTTCATATAGGTACTGCTAACCTTAGATAAAAGGATTACTATTTGGGATGGCAAGAGTAAAAAGTGATCTATACAGCTCAGGTCTTCTTAAGAATGGGTTTCTACTTTCTTTTGATTCATTGACTTCAGTTTTACAATCAACTTCGAATTCTTCTGAACAGTTAATGTTACATATTTCCTAACACCTGTAAGAAATGCTCTAACTGTATTCTTACAGAACTGAAGTGCATGTGCATGTGTGTGTTTAAAGATACTACATAAATGTATAAATATATCTTTATGGTTAAACACTGAAAACCCAGTAGGTGAACAAGGCAGAAAGTAAACTAGAGATCCATTATACAACAGAAGCTGGTTTGCAAGTATGCTATGTACTGTGTGTGCAGGAAAAGGTAAAAGGAGATTAGATATGCACTGAATGTAAAAATGCATTCCAGTTGACACTGCACAGCACTATAAGTAAAATAGATAACCCAACCGTGTGGTCAATAAGGCCAGTCTTATACTTTTTATTTATAGATAAATTGAATGAAACCAAGATATCTGGTGACAGTTAAAAAAGAGAGAGAGAGAGAATATCTGCATTTTTTAAACAGAAAGTGAAGTTATCATTAAAAACATACTTAAAAATTCCAAAAAAATTTCTCACTTATGATTTTTAAAATTCTCAACAAAGGTCCCCATAAAATTCATTATTTTTGAAGTTATTCTACAGAAATCAAACAAAAGATGGGAAACACAATACAGATATTATGTTATTAATAGAAGCTAAAAATAAAAATTATTGAAGACCTAAGATATTATTTCAGCTCAACAAATTTATTTTCCATAACTGAAATAATAAGGATCATGCAGACATTCTCATGGGCAAAATTTAAAAAAATTTCTTCATTCATCCAAAATGCAAAACAAAATATACTACTTTGTCTACATAAAAAGGAGGCAAAGGCCGGGCGCAGTGGCTCACGCCTGTAATCCCAGCATTTTGGGAGGCTAAGGCAGACGGATCACCTGAGGTCAGGAATTCCAGACCAGCCTGGCCAACATGGTGAAACCCCGTATCTACTAAAAATACAAAAATTAGCTGGGCATGGTGGCCGGGTGCCTGTAATTCCAGCTACTCGGGAGGCTGAAGCAGGAGAACTGCTAGAACCCGGGAGACGGAGGTTGCAGTGAGCTGAGATAGCGCCATTGCACTCCAGCTTGGGCAACAGAGTGAGACTCTGTCTCAAAAAATAAACAGAGGCAAAAATGTCAGTTTAAAGTTAAGCAAATCTAATCTAATCTAACTAAACCAAAGTGATAAGCTATGGAATAAATAATAACAAAATATGTATCATATATAATATACTTTATAATATATATACATGTGCTATATGACATGATATGTAATATCATCTTAAAACAAGGTAGTCACCTTCCTTGCAAATGTATCCATAGACCATTAACAAAAATTTAATACGTATTTGGCCAAAATAAAACATTAATAAATTCCCAAAGCAGAAATTTAGGCCCTATTCCCTGACCACAATACTACATAACTAAAACCAAAAATACTAAACTTTATCAACATCTGTACCTTGTCAGGAAAGATTCATACAACCCACATCGTTTGTTACATAGAATGAGGAATTTAAAATGAGGCCATCGCATGTCTACAATTACAAAATGATGCAAAAATGAAAAAAACATGTGTAATACACTACCTGGTTTTCTCATAAGCCCCACAAGTATGTCAAACAGAGGGTAAGTGAAAGCTAGGCTATGGCTGCTAGGAGAGGTGTGATTCTGTTATTTACACAAGAATTAGGCTATTTCTGGTTGCAATAGGATATAGGTCTCTTGATTGCCTGAATATACAGTTACAGGTGACCTAAAATACCTTGTATGTATTTTCTGTGGACACCATGAAGCTGAAGACACCTCACCTCAAATTTAGTAAGTTTCCTTTTCTCACCGAGGCTGGTTGCTGCTTGAGAACAGAAAAAGTAGGCTTTCGCAGGTGAGTTCAGGCAGTGGGTATGAGTGATGATCATGTTCAATACATTCCCCAGGCTGTGCATCCACCTTGTTATGTCAGCTCTTCACTACCCTCTTTTATCACTCTGGACTACTGCTTCGAAAATCTTCCTACCCTAGTTCTCCATCTAGGCTGGTCTCAAGTTATTTCTCTCTCTTCCTTTCACACTACTCCTTAGCAAAACTTTTTTCAGACCTGAGGATTCCTACTAGACCCTAGAAGAGTGGACACTAATTTGTTAATTCTTTCCCCTGACTTAACAACCTCATCAGGGTCATTTTTACTTAGAAAGTAGACTCTTGTGAACTCAAGTGAATTTTGAATTTGCTATGCAAGGGTGAGCAAACTACAGGCCAGGGGCAACATCCAGCCTACTGTCTTTTGAAGGTAAATAACAACCAGGCTCATTCATTCATATATTGTTCAAGACTGCAAAGGGAAGTTCAGGCTACCAAGGGCAGAACTGAGTAGCTGGGACAGACAGCACATGGCTTACAAAACCTACAGTGCTCTGGCCCTTTCCAGGATGTCTGCCAAATCCTGGCAAAGCACAATCGCTGGTACTGTTTGATAAATAAATGTATATGAATCATTGAATTTCAAGAGGAATTTTACCTTCTTCCTTGTCCTAAAGTTCTCTACACAACTCTCACTCTCAATAGCTAGGGCTTAGACCTTGAGGCCAGAGGAGACCTAGTCTATTCCGTATCCCTTTATGAAGACAGGCCAAGACCCACCACCGAGGACAGGAAATAGGCCTGCGTCATTTGTCTTAGGTCAACCTTAGTTCTCACAAACAGACTACCATTTGGTATGTAGCTGCTTCCAACATCCAAGATATGCTGTGTCCTATGGGGAAAATAGACCCTGGTCACTTTGGTCTCCTTCAGGAATAAGAAACCTGACTCCTCAGGAGGTTCTCATAAGTCATTTGTCAAACCCTGCCCCTTCTTCATTTCACCTGGCTTTCCTTGTTCTAGTCTCCATTTCCTTGCCAACTCTATAGATCCAGTCCTCACTTGTCCTTTGTTTACTTTATTTACTTTGACTGTTGAATGATGGCAAATTCAGATCTTTACTGTCCCTCATTACCAGGCAGCAACCACACTTTGGGTTGTAACACTGACAGTCTCCTTGCCTAGTCTAGTCCTGGCTTAGCCTCAAGTGTAGTTGGATTATAAAGATAGGACCAACTGTATAGCTGACACATCCCATATCATTAATAGGATTTTTAATCCTTAGCCTTCCCAGCACTTACAAGTCATTTAGCATTGTTATCTGCTCACTACTGGGAAAAACAAAAAATAGATACCAACTGCCCCTTCATCCTATTATTATTTGTTCTCCTACATGGCTTTATGATGCCACAGGAAGGTGGCATTAATAGCTTCAGGAAGCCTATCTGGAGCATAAGAATATGGTGTTTTTCCATGACTCAAAGATATAAGGAGGCAAAGATTTATTAAGATTTACTTAGAATATCTGGAAGATTTTTACGATAAAAGAAGCATCTAATTATTAATGATAAATGACAGCAAATTGTCATAGTATTACACAAATGTAGCTGTGCATAATTACTGATCTTACTATAAAGCTGTAGTAGAGAATGTAGAAATTGCAATAAAAATCCTGCATGATAGCTGCATGATAGGAGTCGAAAAGGGAAGATGAAGAATTCTTTTTTTTTTTTTTTTTTTTTGAGACAGCATCTCACTCTGTCACCCAGGCTGGAGGACAGTGGCATGATCAAGCTCACTGCAGCCTCAACTTCCTGAACTCAAGTGATCCTCCCGATTCAGCCTCTTGAGTAGGTGGGACTGCAGGTGTGTGCCACCATGTCTGGTTAATTAAAAAAAATTTTTTTTTTAGTGGGCGTGAGTTGGTTGAAGGCAATGATTTAAAAAAAAAAAAGACACGTGAAAAAAAATTAAAATATATATATATATATATTTGGTAGCAATAGGGTCCTGTGATGTTGCCCAGGCTGATCTCGAACTCCTGGGTTCAAGTGATCCTCCCACCTTGGCCTCCCAGAGTGTTGGGATTACAGGCGTGAGGCACTGTACCTGGCAAGATGGGTTTAACTAAGATACAGACATTCTGAGAAGACCAGAGGGACAGATACACAGCTGTGTGGGGAAGAAGCTTTCAAATTTATGAGATGGAAGATTAGATGTTATAAGCATTAGAATTTTCTACAGTAAGCTTTTAATATAAGGAAACAATAAGAAATAACAGCAATAAGTTTCAGTTTACTTTGAGGAAACTTATCATTGACCTAGAAATAGCTTACCTTTGTTTTGGCCCTCTTAGGCAGGGGTCCTCAAACCCAGGGCCATGGACCAGTACTAGTCTGTGGCCTATTAAGAACCTGGCCTAACAGGGCGAATGAGCATTACCTCCTGAGTTCGGCCTCCTGTCAGATCAGCAGCGGCATTAGATTCTCACAGGAGCACGAACCCTATTGTGAACTGCACATGTGAGGGATCTAGGTTACATGCTCCTTATGAGAATCTAACTAATGCCTGATGATCTGAGGTGAAACAGTTTTGTCCTGAAACTATCCCTCCTTACCCTCCTGGTCCGTGGAAAAACTGTCTTCCATAAAACCAGTTCCTGGTGCCAAAAACGTTGGGGATGGCTGCTCTAAGGTCTTATTCGAGTCTTCACTTGCCTACTCTTCAGAGTGATCTTTGCATTCTAAGATTAACTCAGGGCAAGTATCTGGCATGTTTTAGTAGATAAGTAGGTTATATACCTTTGAAATAAGAAGCTCACAAGCCTTGTGAATATACCTCTCTTAAAAATGTAAAATGTTCCAAAGATGTCCAAATTGAGCATCTCTGAAGTTAAAATTAAAATTTTCTTTAATTTTATATATATATAGCCCTTGTCCCAACATCAAGCTTAGATTAATCTCTGCAGATATTGAAGAAGACCCTCTCAGAGTGAGGAGACTAAGAAGAAACTGAGATGGGACTTATATAAACTTCTCACATCTCAGGCTATAATGCCAGAATATTGTTAAAGTTACTTTCTAAAGATCTTGTTTTAAGTGAAAATCTTTCATGACAAAGCTCATCACTAATTGTGCTGATTTAGATGTTAGGGATTCAATTACATTTTACATACTCCTAATACTATTAATGAGGAATCATGGGGTATCACAAACCAAGGTATGAGTTTTTTACAAAAGCATATTCTAAGAGAGTACTTCTTGAGTATTTTTAAATGAAGCCAAAAAGTTGATGTGGAAAGCAGCAACAGTTATCTTCTAATTTACTATGCTTCCTTTAGGTGTTTTGCAACATATCAATAGGTTAGAAGCTTTATATTTTTGAAGCAACATTTTGAAGTAAGAATAAAAAGTCCCAAAAGGTCCACTGTGGATTTCTGGGTTGTCTGTAGAATGATAGAAGATTCTTTAACTCACCTCCAGATGCCTTTGACCTTTCTTTCAACTTTTCTGCAGCCATTTCACCATAGCTGGGAAGTTCTGACATCTTCACTCCAGATCGAGCTTCTGCTATTAGCTGACGAGCTCTCTCTCTCAGCTGCCGACGTCGCTCTTCATCTTGCTGCTAAGATATATTGAACAGTTGCCAACTCAGTAATTGACAGAAATGCAATTTCATTTTCAATCTGATCATCATGATAGTAACTGGTTTACAGCATGGTGCTTGGCCCACATTATAAATAGGATGCTCTATATCAGTTGGATGTCACACCATTTTTAAAAGACATCTTAGAATCAGATTTTTAAAAACATTTACAAATTATTGTATTAAAATGTCCATTAAAAATACAAGTTAAAGAATGTTTGGTAATACATATTACTGAGAAAATATCAGAAATTATTATTAATAAAAGAATCCAGCTTACAGAAAAAAGTCACAATACTGAACAGAATTTTAATTCATGTTTTTTAAGAATATAATTTAACTTGCTATTTTTGAATAAAGGCACAGAGCAGTGGCTAAAAGACGTCTTTGATAGCAGAAAATGCTGGTATACTATGCTGATCAAATACTATATAGGAAATGGCATATTTAGGGGGCTAGAGTAAGAGTAGGGATAGTTTATCAGTACATAATTTGATTTAAAAACTATCAACAAGAATAATCCCATAGTGATGTGAAATTCTTTTTGGTAACTCCCCCTCTCCCCAAATGTATACTGAGAAGAAAAATTAAAATCTAATGTGGTTTCTGGTATTTAAAATAACAAGACAAATAAGAGAGTTGTTGACTACTAAAAAAAGGATTATTGGCTGGGCACGGTGGCTCACACCTGTAATCCCAGCACTTTGGGAGGCCAAAGCGGATGGATCACAAGGTCAAGAGATTGAGACCATCCTGGCCAACATGGTGAAACCTCGTCTCTACTAAAAATGCAAAAGAATTAGCTGGGCATGGTGGCACGTGCCTGTAGTCCCAGCTACTCGGGAAGCTGAGGCAGGAGAATCACTTGAACCCAGGAGGCGGAGGTTGCAGTGAGCTGAGATCACGCCACTGCACTCCAGCCTGGCGACAGAGCAACACTCTGTCTCACAAAAAAAAAAAAAAAAGGATTATTAATATTATGAATCGCAAATAATCAATGTGAAACTGCTTTGTAAATTGAAAAGCATATAAAATATGGCATTATTATGATAAAACAAAGACTGAAATAATCTGGCCCCAACATATCTTTGCAGGGTTATCTCCCCTTAACATCTCCGAACCTCCATAAATCTTCACATCTATTCATACAGAATTGTTTGTATCATGTAGCTTCATGTACTTGTGGCTCTGAGTGTGTCATTTCTTTTTCTTGGAATGAGCTTCTCTCACCTTATTTAATTTCTACTCATTCTTCCAGATTCAGTTTAAATCCACCAAACCTCCCCTGACTATCCCCCCAACCATTTCCCTATGAAATAAAGTAATCCTTCCTCTATGTTACTTCAGTACTTCATGTGTGTCTACGTGTATATGTTATTTTTTTAAACAATACTTGTCAATTTACATTATAACTTTGTAGGGATGCCTCCTTCACATTAGAGTTGAACTATAGCTGATTTACCTTTGTATCTCTGGTCTTTAGCACATAATTTGTGCTAGGTGCTGTAACCATTTCAAGCAGGAGAATATACTATATACTATTTATACTCTCAAAAAACTTATATAGAGAAAGAGAAAGTAACAATGTTAAGGCAGTATGATCAAAATAACATAAGGGTTCAGAAAAAAGAGAACATTTTTGGCTGAGGGGCAAACAGAATGTATCATACCATCATGGATTTCAAGTTGGGTCTGAAGAATGAGTAGGATTTGGAATGGGTAGAGATCGAAGTTGGTGGTTAGGTAGGTCAGTGCAAGAGAGACAAGGAGGTAGGAACAGTACAAAAACATAGAGACAAGAAAGTATACGGGGAAATATAACCTAGTTTTCCTGAACATAGGGCAAAAACAGTGACAGACAAGGCAAGAAAAATAAATTTGAGGAGATACTTTAAAGGCCCTGTCCAACAGGGAGAGGTGCTTTAATTTTATTCTAAAGACAGCAGGACCACTGCCGGGCTTTGTTTTTATGCATATGTCTTTTTTTTTTTTTAAGTCTAGGGGAATCATCAATTAGAGGTGTATTTGAGAAAGATTAATCAGGCAATGGTGCATAAAATAGACTGACATAGAAGGATGGCAATGGACTACTTAGGAGGCTCTTATAAGAGTCCAAGGAAACTGTAGTGAGATACAAAACTAAGACAGTGGCAATGGGAATAGAAAGAGAAAACTGTAATATATTAGAATTAGAGGCACCAATTCTTGGTAACATAATAGATGCAGAGGGAGGGAAAAAAAACTCAGAAATTTTAAACTTAGGCCACTAGTAGAACTGTGATGCTCATAATAGAAATAGAAAAACTAAAAGGAACTATAAGAAGGGAGGGAGAGAAAGTCTGTGCTAAGACATACTGGGTTTGAGAAGCTGGCAGGACATCTGAGTAGATGTTAGTAGGTAGTTGAGAAATAAAATGGATACTAGGATGTGAGGTCAGACTATGACTAGAGAGCTGATGAGTTATAGGAATCCATGAAAGCATTTGAAGAGGTACCCTAGAGAAAAAGGAGGGACACTGACTAAAACATGTAAAACATCTATCTATACGTACATAAGAGGAAAAGAGGACACAGAAAGGAGAAAATTAGAACACTGAAGTATCCAGAAAATCAAAGTAGAAGAGGCTTTCAAGAAAAAGGAGTATCAATTGCAGCCAAGTTAGAGGTTAATGAGTCTGAAAATTTTAAAAGGGCAATGAAACTTGGTGAGACATTGATGTATTTTAAACCACATTAAATAGTCTGTTGCCTTAAAAAACAAAACAAAACTTGGTGACATATCATTAGGGACAAGGGTAGAAACCAATGGGTAGAACTCAAGCCCAGGCAATTTTTTTTTCACAAATTTCTTGAGAAATCAAGTAAGCCATCAAAATTAATGGGGGTAGGTTAATGTGGATGTCCAATGGAGCCAGGGACGAGCTTGAAGCTCCCAGTAGAGAACCAATTAGAAGAACCCAGTAGAGAGACAATTTCACTTTCAAAAACAAAAATGACTGCAATGAATTGAATCAGTGAGGTCACACACTGAATCAAGGAAAATTCGAGTCCAATATGATATTCAAAACATAGAAGGATATAAAACTCATTTGTTACCATTTAAGGCAGCTTTTGAAATAACTCCTAAAAAGTAGTAATTAAAGGAAAAGAATTATTTTGTATTTCCAGTGGGAAATGAATTTTGGAGTAACAAAATATTCTCAGTCAATAACAGAAAGCTCTACTATATATGTGTGTGTGTGTGTGTGTGTGTGTGTGTGTGTGTGTGTGTGTGTGTGTACATACAGTAAACCCATCCAGGCTGAAATGCAGTGGTGCAATCACAGCTCACCGCAGCCTTGACCTCCCAGGCTCAAGCGATCCTCCCACCTCAGCCTCCTGAGTAGCTGGAACTACAGGCATGGTAGCTGTAGTTTAAAAAAAATTTTTTTTTCTTTTTAATTTTTGTAGAGACAGGGTCTCCCTGTGTTGCCCATGTTGGTCTCAAACTCCTAGGCTCAAGTCATCCTCCCACTGGGATTACAGGTTTGAGCCACCATGCCTGGCCTAGCTCTACTTTATAAAATATCATTTAATAATGCCCCTAAAAGGTAGAATTATAAAAAAAATCACTTTGCAAATCATAATGAATGATTCTGGCAAGGATCATCAACTGTAATTAAAGCTCTTAGGTAAATGTCCGATGGGGAACCAGATAGTCATGCTGCAGCCAACTGTATTTTCCAAAGATGGCCACAACAGTTATCGCTCATCCCACATGCTCTTCTGCAATGTGACCTTGCCATTCCCTCAATAAGAGGAAGAGTTTAATTCTTCTGAGCCAGCTTTAGTGACTTGTATGTAAGAAATAGAATGCAGAAGTGTTGCAGGTGATTTCCAAGGCTAGGTCAGAAAAGGCCATACCCTTTCTGCCTAAGCTGTCTTGAAATTCTTATATTCTGTCCTCTTTCTGGGAACCCAGCAGTCATATAGCGAGAGGACTAAGTTACATGTAGGTGCTTCAGTTGACCATTCTAGCCAAATTCAGCCTTCAGTCATTCTGGCATAGGTTCCAAGACATGTGAATGAAGAAGGCTTTAGATGACCTCAGACTCTCGCCATTTTGAGCCACCCCCAACTGTTAAAAGTCTTCCTAGCTGATGTCTCAGACAATGTGGAACAGAGACAAAGCATGCCCACTGTGCCCTGTCTGAACTCCTGACCTACAGAATTTGTAGAGCATAATAGCAAGACATTTTTTTTTTACGTCACTAAGTTTGGGGTGGCCTCTTACACAGCAATAATAACTGGAACATATGCTTAAGTAACACCACACAGACTACTTTTAGTTGCAAGGGGAAAACCTTATTTGTAAAAAGAGAGATAAGAACTAGATCAGAGATTAGGGACCACGAATCTAGCAGCATTAATGTTGGGTCAATCATACGCTATATGTTTTTTGATATGAAGCACATGAACTGCACACCACCTATAATATTCTACCAAAAATATTTAAAGTGAATCCACTCAACCTTTAGATATAATTTCCTGTTTATCATAAGCACAGGGGATAGAGAAGCATGACAAATGACACAGCAAGAAAACAACAAAATAGATCCAGAAGGTAGGATATCCTAGACAACTGACCTGGTAATTTTAATAAGTCAGAGTTAAGAAAACATATGCATAGAAAGAGATTTGGAAGGGTATACGCAAAGTTGTCATGGTGAAGATTTCTGGGTATCAAAATTTGATATTTTTATTTTCTTTTGACTCATTTTCTAATTTTCTATAATACACATGTACTACTCTTATAATCAACATTATTTTAAAAAACAATCTCGACTAGTCATGATGGCACATACCTATAATCCCTGCTACTCAGGAGGACTGCTTGGGTCCAGGAGTTCAAGACCAGCCTGAGCAACTGGGCTACATAGCAAGACCCTGCCTCAAAAAAGCAAAGCAATGTGATGGTATGCTTCCTGAAGTGTATATTGTGGTAGGGGCAAAAGAAGAGAGGTCTAACATTCAAGTGAAATTTTATTAGTATCTGGAGACACAAGCTTATTCATAGGTGAGGAATAGTATGCAATAGGCATAGTGAGAGTGAAGATGCAAGAAAATCATAAAAAAATCCTGTTTACTATCAGTATTTCTTTTTTTCTTTTTTAAATCTGAGACAGGATCTCACTCTGTTACCTGGGCTGGAGTGCAATGGTGCAATCATAGCTAACCGCAACCGTGACCTCCCCAGGCTCAGGTGATTCTCCTACCTCAGCCCTGCCACCACCCCGAGTAGCTGGGACCACAGGTGTGTGCCACCATGCCTGGCTAATTTTTGTAATTTTGGAGAGATGGGGTTTCGTCATGTTGCCCAGGCTGGTCTCAAACTCATGGGCTCCAGTGATCCACGCACCTTGGCCTCCCAAAGTGTAGGGATTACAGGCATGAGCCACCACATCTGGACCACTATCAGTGTTTCTAAACTTAAAAAATATGCTAGGAATAAAAGAAATTACAGGATTGATAATGGTGAGTTTGATGATGGCTGCTGCTATCTCCTGAGCATTTATGTGCTATGTGCTTTATGTGCATAATATTTAATTTTCACATCTTTATTTTTACCAGTAAGAATACT
Organism: Homo sapiens; assembly: GCF_000001405.40. NCBI lineage: Eukaryota > Metazoa > Chordata > Mammalia > Primates > Hominidae > Homo > Homo sapiens. The sequence goes on along the minus strand of NC_000002.12, from coordinate 62,973,546 downwards.
TAAGTTTAGAGTCACAACATTCCACAGCTAGACCTGATGTCAGAGCCAGGTGTTCAGCTCAGGTCTGTTTCACTCCAGAGCCCTTGCTCTTAACCACTAAACTATATGATTCCCAAAGTATCAAATTATATGATCAAATGAGGAAAATGGAACTTTTACTAAACTTTCATCTTCCAAACTTAAGAAAAGTTAAGAGTACTAACAAAAACCATTATTTAATATGCCTCAGGCAACTAAGTTTAAGTGTATTTCACTGAGTGAATAATAACTTCTTACATAGCTGGAATTTGGTGATTCAAACTAAAATGAAGGGTCATTTTTACTGAGTTAAGATGAAATAAATGATTCTAGTTTTCTGAATATGAAATGGCAACCTAATTTTTTTCTTGCAAGCTATCACCTCCTCTACCCCCCATAATACTCCCATCTGCAAATTTTTCTGAGAGCTTACCAAGAGTGCAATTTAAAGTAGTCAATCCTTAATAAAACCAACTCTAAATACTAATTAGGAACTTTATCAATTTCCATGTAAATTGTTTGTTTGTACTTATTTACTCATCATTGTTCTCTACACAATAGAAAAAAATGCAAATGAACAAATCAGAATGTAGCCCTAATGGGACTTTCTGTTTATAACCATTAGCCCAGAGGTGTGCTGTAATTCAATTCTCAAGTAGCAAGATTTAGCCTCATTAACAGACTGCAAGGGCAGGTTACAACTCATAAAACCCTACAGTAAACAAAGTTTATGGACACAGCACAAAATCTTGAGCCTGATTGACAGAATTCTAGTTCCCTATCAGATTGCCTTAATTTACTTTTCTACTAATGTCCTAACACCACAGAGACAATTTTGCTTGGGCCTGAAGCTCTCCAGTGGGATGGCATATCTGTGTTGTTTGTTTTCTCACCCTTTAACTTCCCTTAAGACAAAAAACCAACTGAGAAAATAAAAGTTAATTGTTAAGGTCATGAAGGAAAAGCTTGTAATTATAGTAATTGATTATGCCATCAATTTTAGTTTGATAGCACTAATTTTCAGTTTATTAGTCTCCAGGTTCATCATAAGTAAAACTAGTTCATTTTAATTTTTATATGTAGGCTCCATTAAAAGACTTTTTTGCAATAATATTGAAAGAATAGATAGCAATAAAATCTATGCATTTTTTCTTTTTTACTCAAAATAGCCACACTGTTTATGTCTAAGGATAAAATGACTAGAGAGTAGGGACAATGATTATCTTATTATTTCTGTATAGCGTTCAGCACAAACTGCTCAAATACGTTCATAATATTTCTGACAATGAGTTTGCCTAAACCTAAGAAATGTGGTTTTGGTATCTGCTTTGACCATTCCTCTTTCAAAAAAAGACAGTGGCTCATAGCTGTAAGTAAATCATGTTTACCATGTGTGCTGGGAAAAAAAATCTTTTCACTGGGTTGCAGAGGTAAGGCAACTTAGAAAACTGCTGTTACTTAAAAGATAAGTATACTTCAAAAATCCAATACATAGGAAACCCCTATGTCTTTCATTTACTTATGTAGTCTAGATAGACTTAAATAAATTGAAGTAGTTAGACTTCCTGTTTCTGAGAAAGGGTCTGATGACATTCACCTTTTCCTATATGGTATTATTTAGAGTTAGACTGAGTTATAAAGGATAGTCTTGCTTTTGTAAGATAGATGTGTACTCTTTGGAGGGTTTCATAGAAGCCGTAGTTTTGGGAGGTCTCCCTCCCTATGACTATCTTTTTACAATTTGTAACAAATTTTTGAGTAAATACTAGTTCTGTGCCCTGTGTGCTCACACATGTATATGTGTTGTCTCATTTACTCCTTACAACTCTGAGATAGCTGCTATCATTCCAATTTGACAAAAACTGAATCTCACTTAAATATACCGCCCAAGGTCATATATCTTGTAAATGGCATAGTAAGAATTAAAATCAGTGTCTGTTTGATATCAAAGCACTGGCCCTATCTATTACATAACTGCTATTCAGAGCATTTTCTGAGGCCCTACAGTGATTACGATTTTTTAAAGTCCCAGTTCTTTATGTATACTTGGGCTATACAAATCAGTTTACATTTCCCTTTGTGTCAATGAATACAGAGAGATGATGAGCAACTAATTTGTTTACATTCACTTAAAACTTACGTTCCCAGCAACTAATTTGTTTACATTCACTTAAAACTTACGTTCCCAACCTTAAATTATAAGCCTTTAGAAAAGTGATAAATGTATTTAAGCTTTGCTTTTCTCTTTGCTAACATCTTCAGGATAAGGCAAAAGTCCTGTTATGGTGCAAAAAGAGCCCTGTTTCAATCCAATGGATTTGAAATATTCAAATAAAGATGGATCAGAACTAACCACTTTGGACACAAACTTAAATAATATTTAGCCCTTTCACAGCATGTCTTCAAGTTACTATTTTCCTTATCATTCTGAAATGGTCTACAATCTGCCATAGATAGATGCACTAGTAAAACTTGACAATTTAAGGACAAACTCTTCAAGAATAAGTAATGTAATTCCTTGTTTCCTTTCCATAAAAATGTATTGGTATGCAATTTTTATATTTCACAGTTCACCGACATCTAGGCAAGCTTTCTTCCACTGCTTCAATGGTGCTACTTTTAATTTTATCCTCCTTAGTCGTAGTAATTAAAGTGATCAGCAGTGGCATCCCAGCGGCTTTGACACAGCTACAACCCCCTAGCAGACTTTTGCTTTTGAGGGGAAGGGGAAGAAAAAGGCTGGAGTTTCATTTCACAGAGAACAAGAAAATCAAGCTTCTCCAATCCCCAACTTTATTCAATTGTTCTTTCAGCAGCCTTTGGATCTTAAGAATCAAATAAAAATGGCTGCCATGGGGGGTCCTTTTTACACTTGCCGCAAATGTCACCAACTGACATTACTTTAGCCAAAAAATGATGCCATGGATTTGTGAAGGTGAATTAGAACATGAGAAACTGTCAGTGTAGCTGCTGAGATCATTAAGAAACATGTCTACACACATTTTCATGAAATAAGCCTTAACAAAACTTTAAAAACATATTATTTCAAACAATGTAGTTTGTATCCATACTCTTCGTAAAATTGTGTTTATAACATAAAAAAGCACTCTGTTTCTACCAAAAAAAACCCACATTTCATCTTTTACCTCCCTCAAGAACATCCTGTGCTTATTTGTTTTGTCTTCGGTGTTTCATACAGCCTTAGTAATTGAACTTTAATTAATTGAGCTAAATAAATTTTAACCTATCTAAATTTTTTTAAAAAAAGTTTTACTTAGAGCTGCTAATATTTAACAGTGTTCTGTTCTCAAAATGGTCCATGAAATTCCTCAATTTTGTAGTAAACTGAAAGAACTTGACTGTCACCCTTTCATCATTAGACAGGGAGCAAGACTCTGTTATTAGGCATTCAGAATGGACCGAAAAAAAAAAAAAAAGAATTCTGTGTTTGTCCAGAGGCAAGGATTACCAAAGTGTGCCCACTCACTTACTATGAAAGATAGAATTAAATAAAAAATAAAATTACAAGATTTTAGAAGGTTTAGGTAGACTAGATATTTTACTGCCAGCTTGATCAGCTCCTGACTGAATAAATAGGATTTAGGGTGAAACATTAAAACTGTTTAGCAGATCTTTTCAACCCATTTCAAACTTTTCTTATGCTGGTTTGTAATATAAGCAGACATGCTTATAAATGGCCACACCTGCTCATTTCTCTGGGGATGGCCTGATCTCTGCTTCTCTAACAAAGAAAGAAAGAAAGAAAAAAATCAGCCTTTCTTGTTGCAAAACAGAGTGGAAAGTCAAAATCTTTCTCAAGTTTGCCCCATCTGGTCAGATTAAATCTTTGATCAACCCTGGGGATTACATTTATTTTTGTGGTAACTACTAAATTTTGGATTTGTTTAAGATACATAGGAAAAATAGTAAACAGAATATGAACTTAAATTTGAGATAGTTTTTAATATATGAGTAGAAAATATAAAAGGACTAATTCAGAAAAAATAGACACATTTTAAGAATTTAGATTTCATCTAACGTATTTAATTCATGAAAATGAATATATCATACTCTAGTTTTTAAAATATATCTCTTTGTTTCAAGATACAGCAAGTATTCTTTTTAATTGTAGCATTTGTTTTGCAGTGTTATACCATGCTATACAAATAAAGAATCCTAAACAAAAGAATACATGAGATCAAGTTAATGTTGCTAAATGAGGCTTTCCTTTAAGCATTCTGGGATAGAAAGTTTTATATTCTAAATAAATAATCATTTTCTTTCATTCATTTACTTAATACATATGAATTCCTAGTAGGTACTATATTTCTCCAAAAATAATTATTTTAAGATTATAAAAGCAATTATTTTGTGTTTCTGAAAACTTCAATTTGCATTAGTAGAACTAACAGAAATAGTTTGAGCCTCCAAAAAAAGGACCCTTTGATAATTTAATTCCTCTTTTCTTTGTGAAATTGATAACTTCTTAGTTTAAAAAAATTATAAGAATAAAAGAAGAATGGCTGACTAAGTAAGTATCACCTTGTGTTACATCCAAGGCCTCTTGCTGGTTGTCTGGCTGCTCTTTTGTAGGCAAAAAGGAGCTGAACGCTCTCTGGCTCCTTAGATCTGGCCCAACAAATGCACTGCCAGTCATGCACATGGATCTAGCTTAAAACCCAGTGTGAGCCTAAAAGAAGCCAGTCAGACTGGCACCTACTCATGCAGAAGGAGATAGATTTGTCATGACAGGCTGATTATTCAATGTAAAGAAACAGTTTAGCTTTTCTAATCTGGTACAAATACATCTTTCTCAGCAAAAAAGTAGAAGGTCTAACAGTTCAAGTATTTAAAGTAAAGAAACCAACAACAAAAAAATGTAACGTCAAAGTAAACCATAGGTATTTGTGTTAAAGTGTTCTGCAAAACTGTCCTGCAGTTCCATTCAGATAAATAAGACTTAACCCTTCAAAAGTATGACATCTATGTATCATATTAAAAAAAATTACTGTTTTATATTGTGATATTTTTCACTAGAAAAACCTCTAAGAATCCAAGTTCATCTTCTCTCTTGTCTCTCTCTGTATGTGTATATACAGATATATATGTGCTTATGTAACTTCTTACTTCGTTTCCTGTTCAGGTACTGAAATGACATACTCTATTGGTATTTGGTATACATGATTCTACAAGTTGTCTCTTAATAAAGCCACCCAAAGAACCCTTTATGATGAATTTAACACTCCACCAACACTGGCTTTTGTTCTAAAGTGTTAATGATCTTCCTAATCTTTGTAACTTCTATGTAAGTCATAGTTCTATGCTAGTAGTATTACTTATAAACTATTTATTTATGAACTCCTTTGGATTGTACTCAGAATAAGACCCAAAAAAACTGCTGACAGTTAATATCAGTTTGACAACAGTGATGGGGTGGGCAGAGCTCAGAAATACCTTAGTGTTTAAAGAAAACACACTGTATCCATTACGATCAGTACTTTTGCTCAAAATACGATGTATCCTATATCTCTCAAAAGCTATACTATAAAGAGTGCTCAAAACAGCTTATTCATCTGTAGCAGCTAAGTTTCACAGTGCTTCACTTAAGGGCTTTTCTCCTGCGTAAACTTGACATTTGAGATGAAAAAAAAAAGAAGTAATATTATAAAACAAAGATTTTTGGCAAGCCGACCAGATGTATATGCAACATAGGAAGAAGTGTTCTTTACCTTGCCAGATTAGAGATTCAGGAAAGTTCTATTCTTAGTTAACTATGTTTTGGAATTTTTCCTCTCCTACAAAGAAAATACCTATACATTGTCTTTTCATCATTTTATATTTCTGAAACAATACAGAGAACCACATTCCTGAGATGTACTTGAAAGATTTTCCTCCTCTCAATTTTACTGGAAAAATCCCGTAAGATACAAGTGATCAAAATGTAAAGCACAAGTGAAAACCACATCCTTTTCCATGTCCTTTTTAAAAAGAAAAAAATGTCCTGCAAACTGTTGGCAGCTTGTTTTTAATGGAAAATACCAATCGTCTAGGATCTATACCTAGCCTTTTGCCAATAATGAGAAAACTTCACCTTCTGTCCCTAGCAATTCTTAGGAAATCTTTTGCTGTTATTCCTACAAATCCAATTACAGATTGTTGAGTAGCTAGTGGAGTAAGCTTATTGAGAAGTGTCACATCACTAAGTCGTGCGTATGTGTTTCAGTTTGTAATGTGGTCTGAGCCGCTGTAGAGGTGTCAACTTAAAATGCAAGTAAGTAGCAGAACAGGGCTAATCCCAGCCACTACTCCCCTGCAGCCAAATTGTAGCGCAATGAATGACAGTGGAAATGCAAAGATGCCACTGTGCTTATCACACACAGCCAGATGGCGGACCTGGATCAATGCACACATGCCACGATCAATGCATTTGATAAAGAATTAAGAAGAAAACTGTACATGTTATCAAAGAACTTGTACATGGCATAATTATGATTCTGCATGTGCTTACTGATGATATTGGAGACTCAGAGGCAGGTGATAATGAAACTGATAGGAAGAAATAGCTTAAAGGCTACAGCATATGGCCTCAGCACTAAGAAATCTTGTCAAATAGTTCAGAAAGCTTTTAAAAACTGTTATTACAGGCTGCTCCTAGTGCAGGCTAGTGGTGATGTTTTAAATTTCTTTTAAAAATTTGAAATGTCAAAAGTTAGGGAGCACACTATACTTTTTATAATAACTGTTTAATTAGGATATTATATCATTTAAATTTAATTAGGAGATTGTATCCTTTAAAAATGCTGGGAAATGATAGTTCCTATTAAAATAGAAAAGAATCAAATGTATCTTATAAAAGAATATTTTATGTACACTAAATTTTTAATATTATGAAAATAAGTGCCTGAATTTTCATGCCAAAGCAGAAATTTAAAATTTACTGATTTTCAAATACAAACTTTAATGACACAAATAATACATAACTCTCTTTCAGTTACACTTCTACTGCACAGCAACCACTGTCATGCCAGAGACCAATTAAAGCACTCGGGAAAAGGTATAAAGTAATGGAGATGCATATACATTTAAAATGTATAAAAGGTACCCCAAACACAAATTCTCATGCTTCAGTTGATAGATGAGCTGTCTAATCAACAGCCTTGATGTAACTTAAGTGCTCTCATTAGTGCTAAGACCTTCAGGCTAAATAGGGCTAAATCCTTTAAAAATTGCTTCTGAAATAGGGGGAAAAAATCTAACTATTCCCTTTCCTCAAATTATAAAACTCCCCCCTCTAAGAGGTATTTTCAGATAACTTCCTTTTAATCTAAGCATGGAAAACAAATACAGTACTCTGATGCAACTGAAATACTTCAAGACAAAGTTCTATTATCAAAACAGTGAAGTGACAAGAAAAATAAAAGAATCAGACTCTAAGTTAATTTGTTCAACTGAAAAGCTTGGCTGTATATTTAGTATTGTGGTATATGAATATCACTGATTTAAAACTTTTAACTTGTTCTTGGCTTGTTTGTATTTGTAAACTTTAAATATTCCATTTCAAAATTATAATCTAAGCTTCTTAACAAAATCTAGTTGTAAAAAGACACTGTATTTTCCCTCATTTTGGAGGAAATAGGGAAAGAGAGCCAGGAAGGAGAAAAGCAAAAAATCAGAATATCAATTTGTACTGACAAATCATTTGGTACTAAATTCTAAAGACACGTAGAGTGCATAAAGAACTGATGGCTTGATTAGCTCTTGTGGCACAACTGAAGGAGCTGTCTCACAGATTCTTGGTTTGGAGAAACACTTTGATCTTTGTTCAAGTCAATTCATGAACATCAACTGACAAGACTGCATGAAACACCCTGATGGTTAGGTCCAAACTCCAAGCAAACTATTTAGTTTCATTAAGGGCTTCCAGAAAAGGTGACCAAGACAATCCTTTCAGAAGGCAACATGCAAGTGACTCTTTAAATTCTAATGTGCACAATGTATGACCAAGGGCTAACACACATATAAGCAATCAGTCAAGTATGGGAATATCTACTTTGTGACAAAAAGGAAAGCCACATTTCAATTTCACTCTCATTAAGGCATTGTAAGATTCTTATACAGTATCAAAACTCTACGTCATTAATATCTCACAGGCAGAATAGTTTAAAATAGCACTAAAATAGTCGTGCATATTTCTTAATGAAGAGAGAGGAAAATAAACTTGCTAAACATTTCACAAAATAGAGTAAGATGTTAAGAAATTAATTAGAGGGCTTTCTTTTCTATAGTTAATTTTTTAATTGCAGTTTAACCCCCTTTTAGAAAGGGGATTGTTTCAAAGGGCTCATTTTTGCACCCACCCTGTCAAAGAAGGTCAGAAACACTCAAGTATAAAGTCACTGCACTACTGTGGCACAAACAGTTTCTGCGGCTAAAATCAAACAAAGACCAATTAAACTAATCATAACGTTCCAGTGAACACAAGGAAGCTCACCTGGTATTTCTGGACTTCTTTCGTGAATTTTCAAATCTACTCAGTTCGTGGTATTATAATTACCTTGACCAAAATACTGTGAAATTACTGCTCTGATCTACTAATGGCTGAAAAAATCAAGTCGTTGTGGTTTCATGCCAAGGGGCCATAGCAAGGTGGCGCAATGATTTCTGACACAGAAGACAACTTCTAAAAACTCGAAAGGGAAAATTAACGGGATGTGGTTTACATTGCCAAGGACTGTTCATTAATTACCAATTTAATCACTGCTGGAGGCATGACATTACAAAAATCTGGCTGAAAGTTCTAATAGATTATGAAGACCACCTAAGAAGAGTGACCAAGAAATGTACAAAACAATTAATACTGTTTCACTGCTATCAAAGACACTCAGATTATTTTACATCAAGTGAAGCAAAGGAATTAGTAGCTTCACAGTGCCACCAATAGGAACTGTAAATACAATAGCACACAATTAGTAATGCACATGTGACTTTTCGTTCAAGGCATATATCCTTGGGAAAGCAGAATATGATAAGAAGAACAAAAGAAACATTAAAAAATGAAATGAATAAAGATTTAAACTCTTGTGCATGCTGAGCAATAACAAAATAGGCAATATAAAATACAGCTTTAGTAATGGTGATATTCATCCTGGGATGTTCAACACGGCACTGAACAGCCATATGGAAAATGTCCACAGCCATTATTACTTGCATAAAAGGAGTGTTTCTGATGCTAAGACACCTAGCCCTAGCTTCATGCATTCATGGCAACCTCAAATAAGACTTTTGAGGCTAGGGGTTCGTGGCCACATAATAGAAAAGATGCTTGAGGTTTTTTTTTCCTCCACAACAATGCTGGTATTTTGTTTGACTTTGAAGATATGCTAGCAAGCTAACAGTATGTTTTCTAAGAAGTCTAGTAACTATTGTTAGGATAGCAGACTTGAAATCAACTTACATTTAGACATAATAGATAAACTATTATTTAAAATAATACGGAATAAAAACCGCTGCTTTGTATAGAGCTATTTATGCTGAACATAGAAGTACGCCAGCATTCTTCTCCTCTAAAACGCAACTATAAAAAGATCAGCTCTACACTCAAAGTGTCTCACTGGTCTGAAATGGATTTTGTACATTAAATCTTTTGGTGATTGTGTTGAAGTAAAAAGTAAGGATGTATTTTCATTTCAGTGCCCTGGGCATAGACATTCCAGCTCATAGGAGAATAAAAATTCCTAAATAAAATCTGTATGTTATTAAAGGTTTTAGATTTTTTAACTAAAAACTCACTCTATATGTTATTAAAGGTCTTAGATTTTTTAATAAGTGATAATTGATGTCCTTTCACACAAAATTACAAATGTAAAGTTAACGTACTTCTTCCTAACAGTAGAATTGATAATATGTGTAATTAGGAAAAATACGAAATTTTAACTTGAACTTAATTTTAAAGCTTTGATTCCTAAGAAGCTATCTATTTAACTAACACAGCCAATATTCATAAATATGTAAGTATAATCTCATACATATTTTTATGATGATATATACTTAGAACACATATATATGAAAACTACGGAAAAGGTTACTATTAGAGATTATCAAAAAAAGTTTAGTGTTTTTTACCAATTGAATGGTAAATGCTTCTTTTATTATTTGGAGAAGATCTAGTGATCTTATCTAAATCTGCTACAATTATCGGCATGACAGACTAGTGCCATTTAAATCAATAATTTCCAATCAACATCAAAAGTACGCGGTTGATGTCTCACCCTTCATGGCAATAAAATACCCGTCAAAGGTTTAATTTGCAAAAGAGCAACTTGCATTCTCTTAGTTCTCTTAAGCCATTTGGATTCACTTCCAAAGGCGAGCTTAAAAAAAGTCACTGTGTGGTTACTGGTCTTAGCAGTTAACTAAGAGCTGACCAAACTAAAATCCTTTCCCACGTATACTGTTTTCTCTAGAGGATTCAAACGTTCCTTCAGGTCTTTAAAGATGGATACTGCAAACCTTCCAGGACTTGCTGCTAACCTGCAGTTTCATCCTGCTACCTGTTATGTGAGAAAAGGCTCCTAAACCAGTTGAGTGTAATGGATGGGCCATTATGCTAACAGATTAAATGTTAGGAGAAAAACTTCAAGTCTGTTTTATAATAGCATTGTAATTACTTCCTGATAGTTCTTTCTAAAACGCATCCAGATACCTAACAACTATCTGCAAACCATACTCTTATGCTACGTAATTACTGCTTAAACAAAACAAAAACAAACATATTTATAAATTCACTGATCATTATGATTAGACTAATTAGACTGAAGTTTCATCCTGATTCTCTTTTTAGATTTGTTTAGATTTTCCACTTATAAAATAGATTTTATTCTGTTAAAAAAGTTATAATTAAACATATATAGCATCATTCTTCTGATATGTTCAAAATGCTTCACTAATATGCTAACAAAAATTCCAAGGACTGTGGGTAGCAGGACTATCATCCTTTATTTTGCTTAGAGTGTATGAATTCTAAACTTAAGCACATCAAATGCAAACATCCCTTTCAGATACCTATACAAGTATATAAGTATCATTAAATGTAATGGTGGGCTTATTAAATGCATTTTTTAAAAAGCAATTATATTCCAATGCAAAATAATTAGCAAAAGCATCTGAAACAGATTAGCTTTTATTTTTTATTTTTATTTTATTATTTTTTGAGATGGAGTCCGTTGCCCAGGGTAGAGTGCAGTGGCACAATCTTGGCTCACTGCAACCTCTGCCTCCTGGGTTCAAGCGATTCCTGTGCCTCAGCCTCCCGAGTAGCTGGGACTAGAGGCGTGAGCCACCGTGCCTGGGTAATTTTTTGTATTTTTGGTAGAGATGGGGTTTCGCCATGTTAGCCAGGCTAGTCTCGAACTCCTGAACTCAAGTTATCTGCTCACCTTGGCCTCCCAAAGCATTGGGATTACAGGCGTGGGCCACCACACCCAGTCTATTTTTATTTTTTTGAGACAGAGTCTTGCTCTGTTGCCCAGGCTGGAGTGTAGTGGCGCAATCTCCACTCATTGCAACGTTCGCCTCCCGAGTTCAAGCAATTCTCCTGCCTCAGCCTCCTGAGTAGCTGGGACTATAGGCGGTGCTGTCATGCCTGACTAATTTTTCTGTTTTTAGCAGAGATGGGTTTCACCATGTTGGTCACGCTGGTCCTGACCTCAGGTGATCTGCCTGCCTCAGCCTCCCAAAGTGCTGGGATTACAGGCCAGATTAGCTTTTTAAAATTCTATTTGTACATATCTGGATGAAAAGTGTATGGGGAAATGGAGTAATAAAGAAAAATAATAAAAAAAGAAATATTTTCTTGAAAAAATTACATTTTCTTCAAGTCTGTGCTTATATATTACATGATCAAGACGTCTCCTTTGAATTACATACTGGGTGGACTGCTGAAGCTACCAAACTCCTGAGTTGTACTTAAAAAAATCATTTAAAGCACATGTGGAAAAAAATGAAAAACACAAATATCACACCTAAAACTTACATTAGTAAAATTCAACCTTTGAAAATCTTCATAGAACAAAAGGAACAGGAAGAAAAGAAACATAAAATACAGACCCAGAGCAATGAAATCTGTCTCCCATAGACATAATTTCAGGGAGCAAATGAAACAGGTTAAAGGAGTTTCTAAAGGCACAAAGGTATGAATGAAGCATATAAATGACTTTCATGAAAAAAGACTTGAAAGGCAATAAGTAGTTTTACCAAGTATTCACTAAAATATGCAATGGTAGTCCTGCCAAAAATTTAGAAAAATTAAAAGGTTTATGGTATCTGTGTTTGTGAGTTGTCCTTTAAGGGAAATTACAGCTTATATCTTTCCTGAGGATAACTTAAGTGGAGTCTGTACGTAAGGGTCCACCCAATAAGAATATCGAGAGTTGTTTTCAGTGTCTTAGAAACAGCTTTCCAGGCTAGCAGCCTAAAGCTATACTCATTTTGGAAGGGAATGTTTTGTAGTGTTGTGATTCAAGGCAGAACTGAAAGCTGAACTCTAATCAGAGTCCCAGGATATGGGAAAAGCTGGTGTGTGTAAGGATTTGGCATACACACATCATAACAACAAAGAAAGGTATCATAATGTACGATTCGAGAATAGCAAGGAAAGAATGATATAAGCTTAAGTACCCAAGTGGCAAAAGTAATCTTATCTGTAACTGACTTCAGACAAGGGAACACTAACTTCCTCTGCTCAATTCTGCTTTAAACAACTTCAGAGAAACATTTATTTTTCCTGTTTACAAACCTACTAAGAACCTCCTTATAGCAAAGTTTTCATGTTTAAGCTAATTTTTTATTAGGTGACACTCAGAGGATATGAAAAATAGCCTGTCACTATTCCCTTCATTTATTCATTCAATGAACATTTACCAAATACTACTACTTGGTGCTGGGGATACAAGGTCCTTGTACTTTGAAATAGTTCACAGTTGAATGAGAGGAAGAGATTTGTAATTAGATAATTATATTGGGATGAATGCATGCTACGGTAGAGAATAACAGCAAAAGATATAGGAAAGAGAATTAACTTCACTGCAAGGAGCCATGAGGACAGTGTTTATAGAAGTGCTATTTCACTAGAAACTAATAAGGGAAGATGGGTATTTCAAGGCAACAACAGCAAATGCTTGACACAAGAATGAAAGAGTATGGCACATTTTAGATACAGTAAGCAACTTATAACTGGACTGTAGAATGAAAAAAATGAGAGAGGTAAGAAATGAGGCTGTAAAGGGAGGGGACAGGATTTGCAAGGACATGAGGCCATGCTGAGTAGTTGGGAAGTTTATTCTCTTAGGTAAGTGGGGTTACCAGATGGATTTTGAGGCTTCATATATTCAAATGATCACTTAAGCTATTTCCCAGTTATCTCTTCTTTACATTTTATAAGGCTTTATTTCTTACAAGTAGACCTTTCCTTTCAATCCTTTAACCCTTTTCTGAATCCCCTGTAAATTCTCACTTTCTCTCACCCAGAACTAAATACAAAAGTCTCACAAGTAGCTAACTGTACTGAGTACATGGACATTGTCCCATGCACTACATGCTTCTATTTAAGTACTACAACAGCAATTATTAAAATAGCTCTTCTCATTATTTTTGGTATTCATCAGAAGGACTTAAGTTTACTTGTACAGAAATAAAGTACAGAGGAATAAAATAAAGAAACTGCTAAAGTAAACCAGTGGTCCTTTAAGTAATAAATAAGAACTCCTATAACTCATTAGCCACCCCTCACCAAAACAAACTGTTAACCCGATTAAAAAGTGGGCTAAGAACTTGAATAGACATTTCTTCAAAGAAGACATACAAATGGACAACAGGTACAGGTACATGAAAAGATGTTCAATGTCACTAGTCATCAGGAAAGTGCAAATCAAGATCACAATGAGATGTCACTCCATGCTTGTTCAATGGCTATTATTTAAAAAACTAAAGTAGCAAGTGTTGGTGAGAATGTGGAGAAAGTGGAATCTTTGCACACTGTTGGTGGTAATATAAAATAGTGCAACTGTTATGGAAAAACAATATGAAGGTGCCTCAAAAAATTAAAAACAGAACTACCATATGATCCAGCAATCCCACTTCGGGGTACTTATCAGAAAAAGCTGAAATCAAGATCTTGAAGAGATTTTAGCACTCCTATGTTCACTGCAGCATTATTCACAATAGCCAAGATGTGAAAACCACCTAAATGTCTATTGACAGATGAACGGATAAAATGAATGTGGTACATATACAGTGGAATACCATTCAGCTTTAAAAAAGCAGAAAGTCCTGTCACATTCTACAACATAGATGAGCCTTGATGACATTATGCTAAGTGAAATAAGCCAGTTATAGAAAGACAAATACTGCGCGATTCCACTTATATGAAGCATCTAAAATAGTCGGATTCATGGAATCAAAGAGCGAAACAGTGGTAGACAGGGACTGGAGGGAGGGAGAAATGGGCAGTTACTAATCTACAGGAATAAAGTTTCATTTGAGCAACATGAATAAGTAATGCAGACCTGCAATAAAACATTGTATCCACTCAAATTTTTTAAAAAAGAGTAGCTCTCATGTTAACTGTTCTTACCACAATAAAATGTTTAAAAAATTGAGTCTTCTAATCTATGAACATAATATGCCCTTCCATTTATTTACTCTTTTATATCTTTCAGAATGTTTTAGTTTTCTGCCTAAAGGTCTACATATTTCTTGTTAGCTTTATTCTTAGCATACTACGTATTTTTAATGTTCTTGTAAATATTTTAAAACTTTTGCTTGTAATAATTTAAAAAGATAAAGATGTAATTTACATCTAGTAATATGCACCCATTTTAAATTTGATGTTTTAACAAATGTATATACCTGTGTAATCAGACACAATAAAGCTATAAATCTTTTCTATCCCTCTAGAAAGTTTGCTCATGATATCCCACCTACCCTGGCATCAGGCAACCACCAATTGGCTTTCTGTCATGCTACGTTAGTTTTGCCTGTTGTAGAATTTCATGTGAATGTAATTATACATGTCCTCTTTTGTGTTCGCAGCATAATATCTCCAAGATTCATTTACATTATTGTGCATCTCAGTGTCCTGTTCCTTTGTATTGCTGGGTAATATTATATTGCATGGCTATATCAGGATGTGTTTATTCATTTGTCTGGTGATGGACATTTAAATTTTGTCCTGTTTCTGGGTACTACAAACAAAACTGCCATGAAATTTTGTGTAAAAGTCTTCGAATAACCATGTGTTTTTAGTTTTTTTGGTTATATACCTTAAAATGGAATTGCTGGGGTCATGTAAGTGTATGTTTAGCTTCATAAGCAATGGCCTGTTTTTCAAGATGGTTGTACCATTTTACATTCCTACTGGCAAAATGTGAGAGTTCTAGTTGCTCCAGATTCCTTCCACACTTGTTACTGTCAGTCTTTTAAATTCTAGTCATTCTCATAGTGGTATCTCACTGCGGCTTTGAGTTTCATTTGCTTGATAACTAATGAGACTAAAGATATTTCTTATTTCTTATGTGCTTGTTGGCCATTTGTGTATCTTATTGAAATATAATTTATTTTCACATTTTGGGAGGCCGAGGCGGGCGGATCACGAGGTCAGGAGATCAAGACCATCCTGGCTATCACGGTGAAACCCTGTCTCTACTAAAAATACAAAAACATTAGCCAGGCATGGTGGTGGGCGCCTGTAATCCCAGCTACTTGGGAAGCTGAGGCAGGAGAATGGTGTGAACCCGGGAGGCGAAGCTTGCAGTGAGCCGAGATCGCACCACTGCGCTCCAGCCTGGGTGACATGGCGAGACTCCATCTCAAAAAAAAAAAAAAAAAAAAAAGCATTTATTTTCAAATATTAATTTTATGTCCAGTAATCTTGTAATTTTGGGGGAATTTTCTATGTACGAATCATACTTCTGGTGAATAATGGTAATTTTATTGGTCTCTTTTCATATGTTATACCTTTTTATTTCTTTTCCTTGTCTTAGGTTCCCCATTATGATATTGAACAGAAGTGATAGTGGACTTTCCTGTCTTTTAATCTGTCACAAATGGAAAGCTTTCAATATTTCACAATTAAGTATGTTTGCTATAGGCTTTTTATATGTACATTTTAGCACATTAATAAAGTAATAAAGTTCCTTTCTATCCCTAGAGGCTAAGAAATGTGATTCTTTTCTCTCTGTGGATCATGAATGGATGTTGATATTTTTCCAACCTTTTTCTATATCTGCTTGATTTTTCTTTATTCTGTTAATGTTGTCAATTACATTGCTTGAGTTTTGAAAAATTAAACAATCTTGCATTCCTAGAATAAATCCAAATTGACCATGGTATGTTAACTTTTAAAAATAACTTCTGGGTTGAATTTGTTAATATTTTCTATAGGATTTTTACATCTATGTTCATAACTGAAATTTGCCACTAATTTTCCTTTCTTACAATAAACTTAAAGTGATTTTGTTTTTAAGAAAAGCTAGATCATAAGAATGCCACATATTTATGCCTTATTCCATTGGGACACTTGTTCTTGGAAGTCAGCCACCATGCTATGAGGAAGCCCACACTAGAGAAGTAGAGAGACCATATGGAGAGGCCACATGTAGGTGTTCCAACTGACAGTCTGGCAGAGGTCTTATTAGCTGAAAGCCAGCCCCAGACGTCATGGAACATAAACAAGCCACTACCACTGTGTCCTATCTGAATTCTTAACTCACAGAATCTATTAACCTAATAAGATGGTTGTTTTTTGCCAGTAAGTTTTGCGGTGGTTTTTTTTTTTTTTTTTTTTCTGTAAGTAGAGATGGGGTGTCACTGTTGCCTAGGCTGGTCTCAGACTCCTGGGCTCAAGTGATCCTCCCACCTCAGCCTCTCAAAGTGTTGGGTACAGGCATAAGTCACCATGCCTAGCCCTGCAGTGGTTTTTAATGCAGGAATAGATAACTTGAAAGAGGAAGGGTGGGAAAATATCTTGGGACTATTCAAAGCATAGTCTCATAAGCAATAGGGTACTTCTTTGGGTAAACGTGAAACACATGCAACAAGGTGACCAACCTGGCATGTAGCTACCTAGCTATATGGCACAGAGCTGCTCTTTCTGGGAAAAACAACTACTAACACATGATGGTGCTGTGGTGAGACTGTCACAGTTTTCTCATTCATGAAGATGTTTGTGTCCTCCTAAATTTTAAGGGCTCCTGTTATTATACATTCATTATTATCTGTGAAGCACTACACAAAAATATATATAAAAATGTGGTTTAGTACAAGGATGGCAGTATATGATAGGAAAGTGGACTGACTCTGGAATCTAATAAGGCTCAGGTTCAAATCCTGGATTCACCATTTATTGACTCTGTGACCTTGTACAAGTTACCTTGCCTATTGGCCTCAGTCTCCATGGAGTTAAGTAAAACAAAATTATTGTTCCTGAAATACTTAGTAGGTATTCAATAAATAATAGACATCAGTATTATATTCAAACATTTCCAACAAAATTAACTTCCATTGACAAAATACAATCTTAGAGTACAACTACAGTTATAAAATATAAATTAACAAAAAACAGATTATTCATGTATATGTGGAAATTATATTCCCAGATCTTACTTTTCCTCATCACTAACACTGCTCTGTAGGAATAATGATCAAATGGTCCTACAAGTATGAATTTATCTTTATCAGTTCAGTAAGTGCACCAAGTATTCACAATGTACAGTCCGTAGAAAAATAACATAGCAGAAATACAAGCAAATTACTTCCCTCCTCCCCATGATTACAATGAACAACTTATGGTCTTTTTTAACCAATGCTCCTCACATCACTTAGCTGCCTGTTGCAGAATGGGGTGGCTGTGTTGGTATTGTGCTTATTCCCCGCCTTTAAGGCTGCATCTCTTCTTGCTTGCTCAAGCAGAACTCTTGCTCTTTCCTTAAGTTCTTCTTGTCTAGATAACAATCGATGCTTAAAAGCAAAGATACAGAATTAGAAGCCAAAAAAAAAACGGGTAATCTACATTTGTAAACTAATGAAAGGTTAGACAATCTGCTGAAATAATAGAGATTATGAATAAGATTGTAGCTTCATGAGATTACCTATAGAGAATATTAATGTTGACTAGAAACTGTGGAACAAATATATAAATCTTGACATGAGGGAAATACATCTTTACTGTCTAAAACTGGATTAAATTTAATTATAATTTTATTAGAACATATTCTCATTAGGTATGAGGCTAATATATATTCTATATATTCTCAGTATTTGCTCATAAACACAGTATAATCTGACAAAGACATTTTTTAAAGTTCAGAGTTTTATTTTTAGTCTTATAGAATTGATAACAACATGTCTTCCAAATTTGAATGTTGATAAATATTAAATATCTGTGGCGATAATCCTTTAAATCCTTGAGAATGTTTATAGAAAATTCAAAGCTATTATATTTCATTAAAAAAAAGTAAAACTAGTCTTCCCCATTGCTCACTATCCTTATAACAAAACAATTGAAAATATTAGAATTGAAAAAGTATTCTCCTGGATTAATCTGTAATTTTACAATGTAATTTTGGAGAACAACAGATACTGTCCATCAACAGAGATCAGTTCTTAAACCAAAAGCACAAATATTCATACTCCTTATAGTCCAAATTCCTTTTTTTTCTACTAAGTAACCAACTTCTGGCTTTAGATGTCTATTACTATTATCAGATACTTAATTTCTTTTACTTCCCTTTCATTGCATAGTTTTGGTTCAATCATAAGTATCACTGTCAAGGAAAAGAAAATAAGTGTAGCTATTACTTTATTTCATATTATGTGAAACCATCTTTTTTAAGATTAGTTCAGCATTTTTGGGCTTCTTTGTGGTCTTTATATTTTACTACAACTATTTTTTAAAGCCTTTTTTTCTATAAACTTAAAGAAGAAAAGATTTTTCTTAAAGTGTACAATTCAGTGGTTTTTAGTATTTCATAAGGTTATGAACTATCACCACTACCTAATTCCAGGACATTTTCATCACCCAAAGATTTTTAAGAGGATTAAACAAAAATTCTTAACTTAATAGATACAAATAAAATGTATAAGTGATAACGATAAGTCTAAGTTCATGTTGAATAGGACACAATAGAATTTAGTTACAATATCAACAGTGTCTCAAAAACAGACAAAATTAATTAAATGAACACTGAATTTTCAGTCAAGACATCAGGCTGTTAATCCCTCTCCCACTAATAATAAGCAATGTAACATTGAGCAGGTCAGTTAAAAACTTACTGCATTCCATTACATGATGTGGAGTCAGACAGACCTGGGTTCAAATATCAGTTCCACCACTTAATTATGGGCAAGTTAATTTCTCTAAGCCTCAGTTTCCTCATTTATAAAATAAGGATAGAAATAGACCAACTCTCAGAAGGACAGGGCAAAGATTAAATAATAGCATAATGTACTGAGCACTGGCACATGGCAAGCACTGAATAAACATTAACTACTTGTTTTAATCCCTTGATTTCCTAATCTTTGAAATGAGGGATCATCTTTAAGATCTCACTAGCTCTAAATTCTGTGATTTTATAGTCTTTTGGTAATTCCAACCAGCTACATGGACAGTGAAAAGATGTTTTGGTCTTAAGACCAAAATCAAATCACCAAAAGATTATAAAATCACCAATTGTGTTTAACAGCACATAAACACAGTTTTTTTTTAATTTTCCTGGCTAGAAATGCAATTCACTACAGAGATTTCAGAAAATAAATACAAGTTAAAAAGAAAAAAATAAACATTAGTAGTAGTCCTGGTACCCAGAGATAATAACTGTAGAATCATGCTTTTTTTTTCACTTATTCTATTTTGAGCATTTTCTCATGGTCTTAAATGTTTTTTAAACATAATTTTTTTATTATTTTATTTTATTATTTTACTTTTTTGAGACAGGGTCTCACTCTGTCACCGAGGCTGGAGTCCAATGGCATGATCACAGCTCACTGCAGCCTTGACCTCTCAGGCCCAAGCGATCCTCTTACCTCAGCCTCCCAAAGTACTGGGATTACAGGTGAGCCACCATGCCCAGCCTAAAACTTGATTTTTAATTGGCTACCTAACATTATATTGTATAGATGCATCATACGTTAGTTAACTTGTCTTATTTTGCTGAACATTTAGGTTGCACACAATTTTTTACTATCATAAATAATGCTTTTATGAATATCTTTAGAAGTAAATTTTTATTATACCTTTTTTTTTTTTTTTTTTTTTTTTGAGACGGACTTTCGCTCTTGTTGCCCAGGCCGGAGTACAATGGCGCCAGCTCGGCTCACCGCAACCTCCGCCTCCCGGGTTCAAGCAATTCTCCTGCCTCAGCCTCCCGAGTAGCTGGGATTACAGGCATGTGCCACCACCCTGGCTAATTTCATATTTTTAGTAGAGACAGGGTTTCTCCATGTTGGTCAGGCTGGTCTCAAACTCCCGACCTCAGGTGATCCACCCGCCTTGGCCTCCCAAAGTGCTGGGATTACAGGAGTGAGCCATGGTACCCGGCCATATTATACAATTCTAATTATTTCCTTAGGAAAAATTCCTGAAAGTAGGATGTAATGAGATAAAGATTTTTAAGGAATTTGATTCACATTGTTAAATTGCCCTTCAGTAATGTTGACCACATTATATTTGGGCTACGATTATTTTTTAATGCTATTATGGTAAATAAAGATGTTATAAGCATCAAGTGGAGAAGCACAGACTTTGAAGACAAGGTTGCTTTTGAATTCAAACTTTAACATTTATCATGTAATCTTAAGTAACTCTGCAAACCTCAGATTTCCCACATATAATATAGAATTTGACTACTTACCTTATGAGTTGTAAAGTCTAAGAGATAGGTGTAAGATATATAACTGTCATCACATGTATTAGGCACCCAAATGGACAACATTATGACTTTGTTAAGTATATAAAGCCATATTAAAGTTACTAAATTTCCTCTAATCCAATGGTCTTAATTGTAAGAGTTACTATTATTTTATGAACTACTAAGAAAGAACAAACGCTGTCAATTAAACTCTAATACACTATCTATTATAAATAATATATTGATTTCGGAGAAGTTAAAATGTAAAAAGATGTGTATCTGAGAATTGAAATACTTTGTACAAAAGAGAAACAGATTTTTAATTGTCCAAAATTCAGCTGCTATATACAATTTTAAAAGCCTACCAAATGTCAGCACCTATATTACAGTGTTTATTGTTAGACATTACTTTTGCCAATCCAGTGTCAATAAAAACCTTTAAACTTACCCCAAGAAAAATTCTGAATAAGCCAATGGCCAAAGAGAAAACATACATGGAGCTATGAATAGACATTGCTTCTATCATCCAGTACACTTTAATCATCTGAATAGAATCACAGAATGATAGTTTCACAGCTAAAGGGGTTCTTAAAGATTGCTTCATTTAACATACATGGAAAATAAGATCGAGAGAGGCTAAATGGCTAGTTAACATGTCACACTACTAATTTATTGGGAGAGTCAAAACGAGATTCCAGGCTTACTGATTCCCAGTCCAGGGTATTTTAAAATTTTAAACATCAATCAATTCCTAGTTTTAACTAAACATATTTGCCTTAAAAATCTGGTTTTCAAGAAAAATCTGGCCAGGCGCGGTGGCTCACACCTGTAATCCCAGTACTTTGGGAGACTGAGGCAGGAGGATCACCTGAGGTCAGGAGTTCGAGACCAGCCTGGCCAATGTGGTGAAACCCCATCTCTACTAAAAATACAAAAATTAACTGGGCATGGTGGTACACACCTGTAGTCTCAGCTACTCGGGAGGCTGAGGCAGGAGAATCACTTGAACCCGGGAGGAGAAGGTTGCAGTGAGGTGAGATCACGCCACTGCACTCTAGCCTGGGTGACAGGGCAAGACTCCACCCCCCCCCCCCAAAAAAAAAAAAAAGAAAAATTTGTATTGAATATGACAATTTAGGGTCATCAAGTTCTTGAAATTGTCAATCACTAGATGTTTATTGATTATCTACTATGTGTGGACATATGCTGTCCTGAAAGCTTTCAGAGAGATTTAGCTACTTAGGACTTTTGATTTGAGGTTTATGATTAGGAGAACAGGGGCTTGCTTTGGCAGCTATTATATTTCTTTAATTCTAAGATATAAATTCTTTCTTGACACCTCTGAAAACTTATAAATGGCAGAATCTTACACTCTCTGTCATCCAGGTGGCAGTTAAGACATGGTTGTCTACCTATACGTATATTGTTTGATATTTCAGTTGGCATGATGGCAATTCCTTGATGTTTCAGTCAACACCACTTGAGGACTATTTGAGAAAGAAACATAACTCCAGATTACTGTCTAAAAATCTTCTGTTGAAACCTTCTGGTAAAGCCAAGAAAGTGCCATTATCAATCAGTATACTGACTTGGAAGAAAATCCCAGAGACAGTTGTGGAGAAATGCTATAAATTCAGAGGTTCGGGCCGGGCGCGGTGGCTCACACCTGTAATCTCAGCACTTTGGGAGGCCAAGGCGGGTGGATCACCTGAGGTCAGGAGTTTGAGACCAGCCTGACCAACATGGAGAAACACCGTCTCTACTAAAAATACAAAATTAGCCGGGTGTGGTGGCACATGCCCGTGATCCCAGCTTCTCGGGAGGCTGAGGCAGAAGAATTGCTTGAACCTGGGAGGCACAGGTTGTGGTAAGCCAAGATGGCACCATTGCACTCCAGCCTGGGCAACAAGAGTGAAACTCTGTTTCAAAAAAAAAGAAAAAACAACTCAGAGATTTCCCAATTTTTTGGTCTCGAAATCCCCATATATGCTTAAAAATTATTGAGGATCCCAAAAAACTCTTGCTTATACAGATTGTATCTACTGATATTTGTCATTTTTGATATTAAAACTGATATATTTTTAAAATATTTTTTTCATTTAGAAGTAGCCACAATGAACTCATTAGATGTTAACACATTTTAATAGAAAATAATTACTTTAAAAACAAAAATTGAGAAGGGTGGCAGTATTTTACATATTTTGTAAATCTCAATATAAAAGAAAGCAGCTGAATTCCTATATCTACTTTTGTATTCAATCTGTTGAGATATCACAAATCATGTAACTTCCAGAAAATGCCATCATACTCTTGTGAGAGAATGAGAGTGATAAAGGCAAACAATGCCCTAGTATTATTATGAAAATAGCTTTAACTTTGGGGGCTCTCTGAAAGGGACTTGGAGAACTTCAGAGGCCCCCAAATCTGGCTTTGAGAACCATTTACTGTAACAATGCTTTTGATGGCACAGAGGATAACTGTGCAGAAAAAAAAAAAAGGAATACCAACAACTCTAAATCAAAAAGTGATTCAGAAGAGCTGGATTCTAAATGTGAAAAACTTTTAGGAATACCTTAATCAATTTATTTTGCCTAAAATTTCCTCCTTATATATACACGAGTGTTATCTGATCAAATAATCTATGCCTAAATAAGTCTAAAAGAGCTCTTTCAATAGCTATAAAAATTCTGAGTGATAGGAAAACCAGGTATCATAACTTTATTGACAATGTTGTTCTTTTTTGTTGTGGTACATAAAATATTAGTATATCTTATAACTGATGGTACCAGAGATACAAGTAAAAACAGTAAATTATTAATATCATCAGTAAGAGAAAGGTTAAAACCGTACAGTATTCCCTTCATGAGGAGAAATTTGGATGCTGCAGGGATTTTTAACCACAAGTAATGATGGGACTAAATAAACCAACTAAAATACCTAAGGAAAATGTTTTAAATGGGAAATATTTAATTTGGCATTATACATTTTTAGAATGATGTTCTTATTAAATGGAATATTGAAACATCTTTGATTTATTTTATAGTAGAATATTGTTTTTATAAGTAATATTTTTATTTGAAAAGTTGACATTCTTTATCCTTCAATTTTTTTCTCATAGCCTTATTACACAATATCCTTCAGTGTTGAAATTGGGATTTTTAGGCTTAAAATATTATATCATAAACCTTAAATATACAGCAGGTATATTTCAGGTTTTTCTTTTCTTGAGACAGGGACTCGCTATGTTACCCAGGCTGGTTTCAAACTCCTAGGCCAAAGCAATCCTCTTTCCTCAGCCTCCCAAATAGTGGGGACTTAGGCACACATTACTACATGCCTCAGGAGTTTTTATAATAGAAATTACACTTCACCTTTAATCATTTGTAGCATCTATGAATGCAAAAAGAAACAAAAACAGAGAATAACTAATTACTAAATATAGTATTCAGCATTCTAACTCACTTACCTGGACTATTTTTGATGAATGATCTGCATGATTTAAAGTGGTTCTATCAGCATCTGGATCAGACTCCGTCTGCCTCAGGGAAGCATGTTTTTTCTTAGCAAGGTCTAGATCTCTACTATATGAGTATCCAAGTTTAGAAGTAGGAGATAAACTTGTTTTTTTGATAGGAGATTCTGGATCTGATCTGCATTCTAAGGATCTGGAATTCTCTAATTTTTCTTTCTCCAAGTTACTACCGATGTCTAGAGTTTGAAGCTTTTGTTCATCTGTCTCCTCACAAATAAAGGGTGGAGACATATCCTTCTTCTTATCACTAACATATAAGTCACTCAATTCTAAAGTCTCAGCTTTCAATAGTCTCTTTTTGCCTAACAAAACCTGTGCTTGGGTTGAATCTGTATTGGAACATATTCCAGGGTCATCAGATCCTGAAGTCCTTCCAGAGCTCTGCTGAGACTTCTGGGGTTCTGTGTCACTTTTAGTCCTGCGACAGTAAGGGGAGGCTGTGCTTGGACTAAGGTGATCATCAGGAGTTTGATGCTCACTTTCTGACTCTCCAACCCCGCTATCATTTACAAATACAGAGTCATCCTGTGATAAGAAGTCTACTGCTCCGCTGATAGGCTGTTGTAGTTCAGGCTCCCGCTTCAGATCACTAAGCTCTGCATAGAATTTTTCTTGATCAACAGAACTGTTTGTATCTGTTTCATAGTTTCCAACTTTATATGTGCTTTTACTGCTGTTTTCCTCTATCTGAACGACATTTAGTTCTTGGCCACTGAAATGTGCCCTTATTTGATAGAGATAAGTCATAACAGTCAGTTTATCAGGAATTGCTAATAATACCATATCAGAAGGTTCCAATAATCGGGAAATTCCTATGCTGGCAAATCCATCGTATGCCTTCAAAGGAAGGAAAAACAAAAGATATATTGAACAGTTCATATAATTCACACATTTTAAAAAGAGCACATTTTTAATTTTTGTTGTTTGGGTACATGTTATCGACATTATGTCACATGAAAAGAACAAATTTCCAAAAGTCAGACATGTGTAAAAGTGGGGGGAGAGGCAAGAGAAAAAAGTGTAATAAATAAGAATTAAAATATTTTTTCCAATAAATGAAACAAGCAAAAATGAGAGTTAAATTTTTTAAAACTCTGAGAATGGATTTTTAAGATAAGGAACTAAAGTATAAAGAAACATTAGACTAATCCATATTGAGCTTTATCATTTCTATCAACCTCTCTTTTCCACAGTCATGTAATTGCAGTGATTTGTGAAGAAAAGCACAGCTAGATAAGTCAAAAGAACTACTAGATTACCTGATATAAAATACAAATAAATGCAATTTAAGCCTAGAAACAGAAACATTTTTAAATGCTCAATTAAGACTGATTTTCATAATGAAAAGAGTGACTTCATTTAATTCATTCATTTTGGAAAGAATGAAATGTTTTGAGTACTACAACCTAGTTGAGAATGTGAGGCTGCATTGTATTATTTTTGTTAGCCTTTAAATGACTGTGGCACATCAGGTTTTTCTAGTTTTGAATAATCTAAGCTGTTTCTCAATTTACAATTAATTATTACTATCCTGAACTAACCCTTGAAAACAGCATTGTGTTGCTAGGAAGCATTAAAAGTATGGCTAAAGGTTTAGATATACTCTCAGAGAAAGTAAGAACCGTCTAGATATATTCTTGCTCTGGGATGTAAAATGTTTACTCTTTTTAGCAACCTAGATTAAGGATTATAATTCAAAGTTTTTCTTAAAAGACATGTTAGGAAATTATGTAACAATTGAGAATGAATCAGTCTTCTGTACTTACTTGTTAAAGTACATTGCTATGTTTGAATTTAATCTTTGTCTCATATTCTTGTAGTTTAACAAACATTATGGAACAAGTAAGAAAGAAAATGAAAAATAAATTGTGATATTAAAACCTCTTCAATTTTCACAGCACTAGGCTTCATAATATAGGTACCTCAAAATATTTACTAGAGAGAATGACTCAGTTGGTGTGCATGTATAGGCTTGGTTTGTTATTTTACATGTTTTAGGAAAATTGAAGTCATTTTCCTTTTCATGTGTCTTGACAACTTGACTGACAGGCATCAATTGCAGGCCATCAGGGAAAGCACCACAGGCAGTATTCTAAACATTCCCAAATTATCTAAAAACACTGACATATTGGTTAAGATCAGATGTCACAGGAAAATGCCTTTTTTTATTCAGCACTTTTTACAGACCCAGGAAAATGATTAGCTTCCTTGTGGGGAAACTCCTGCTGGTGTTTTGCTTCATGTAGCAATTCATTTTATGTACACTAATTACACTAAAAAAACATTTAAAAACAAACTAGGTTTCTTTTAAGCAAGGTTAAGGCTTTATAAAGGACTTTTCCCATAGGTTAACCTCTTCTGCCATGGTCAACTAACTACCTACTGTTTTTCACCTGTTTGTGTGAGGTGAAAAAAGAGGTCTTTCTAAGAAAATTATCTTATTCATTTGTAGATGTTATTAAATTGGTAAGGAGGAGTTACTGCCAGTTATGTTATGCATCTGTATGAAATTTAAGACACAGGCATTGTTTTCCTATGGTGCTTTAAGTCCATTCAAGGGCACATGGGTTATTGGGAAGAAATGTGTGAAGCTAGAAGTAATTTGCAGGTAGCAACTCAATGTAGCTATCAGGTAAGAAGTAGCAAATGATGAAAGGAAAGACTATGTAAAAACAATTATTTATTGAATAATACAATGAATAGAATCATCAAAGATAAAGCCTTTCAAAAGCCATGATTGTCTGTACTGGAAGATTTAATTGAAAAAAAATTTTAATGGGACAGTCTTCTGTATGGAGTAATATGTAAATCCAAAGTATGCTTACCATTATTAAGTTAATGAAAAGCTAATGTAAAGAAGTGTGACTTAAGCCTTACTGAGATTCCCTATATTCTTTACACATTTATAATGAGGTAAAATCAACAATATTTCTTTTTCAAAATTTTGAACAGTAAGTTGAAACATCCACTTTAAAAAATGGTTTATTTTATAATGCTCATGTCTGTATTTAAATTGGCTTACCACTTTGTTCAAATGTAAGAAAATGGAGGTAAAGCACTGCCACACCCAAAGATATAATTTAATTGTAATTAATGAAAAAGAAGCATTTCACTTTAATAGACACAGGCTCTCCAAAATTATACAAGAATTAATTCATGAGAACAGTTTACTTTGTAACATGCCCATCCAAAGGGTAATTTCTGTAAGAAAACTATACTGATTTTTAAAGATTATCTTTTTTTTGGTGGCATATTTCAATAGAGACTGCCAGGTTTTTATTGCTCTACGGCCAGCATTATGCATTTGTGAAAAAACAACCATTTTTTTGTTTGTTTGTTTGTTTTTGGACACAGGGTCTTGCTCTGTCACCCAGGCTGGAAAGCAGTGGCATGATGCTAGCTCACTGCAGCCTCGGGCTCCTAGGCTCCAGCGATTCTCCCACCTCATCCTCCCAAGTAGCTGGGACTACAGGTGCATGCCACCATGCTGAGCTAACATTTTCATTTTTTGTAGAGATGGGGTCTTGCTACATTCCCCAGGCTGAAGAAACAAAATCTTTTTGATAGCAATACACATTTTTGGTTTTAGAGAGCAATACAAGTGAAAAATTGTTTTGATTTAAAGACTTGTTAATTGAACTTCTATCAAGGTCCCAAGACTTTGTATCACTAGTAATTTTAATTATTTAATTTAAAGTATGTTAAAAACTTTAGACTAGAGGTTATTAACCACTTTGTCTCATGAACCCTTTTGGCAATGGGTCCCTTCTCAGAATAATGTTTTACATGGATAAAATACATAGAATTACAAAAGACATCAATTATACTGAAAAATACACCTATGAAAGTATTACTTAAAATGAATTTGGGAAGTAGTAATATATGTGCTTTTTATGACTGCACTAATTATTTTGAAGAAGTTATAAGTGTAAAAGGTATTTGCAGATATCTGCAGCAACAACTATAGCATGACATGAAAATATCGAAAATATCTGTGATTTCTAAAGGTGACAAAGTCTCAGGCATGGTTAACACTATGGTGGTTTATTGCCTAAATTCATAATTGAAGGAAATGCTAAATTTCAGATGAGGAATTATGAAAGTAAAATGTATTTTTTCCCTCAACCATGTTCAAGGACACCCTGATTTCTACCCACAGTTCACAGGTTAAGAACTCCTGTTCTAAGACAATAATAAATTTCATTAATTTTTCAGTTGAAGAATTCAATTCAGTAGAAAAAAGCATTCAGTGCCTACTGTGTGCTGAGTTAGGTGCTTCCCTCTTTGCACACAGAATGCACATACTGTGTGCTGGGGTAAACAGATAAGTCAGCCTGTGGCCACAGTTAGCTGGCCCAGGGCTCCAGCAACTCAGCCTTACACAGATGCCCTGAAAGCTGAAAGGATCGATATCCCCTTGCCCCATACCAGTTGGGAAGTTCTGATCTCAATATATTGATTAATTATGTGGGAAAATATAGTCATGTGTTGCTTAACAATGGGGATATATGCTGAGAAATGCATTGTCAGGAGATTTTGTTGTTGTGCAAACATCACAGTGGGTACTTACACAAACCTAGATGGTACAGCCTACTACATACCTAGGCTATACCTAAGCTACAAAGCTGCACAGCATATTCCTATACTGAATAGTGTAGGTAATTGTAACACAATGGTATTTGTGTATCTAAACATAGAAAAGGTACAGTAAAAATGAGGTATTATAATCTTACGGTACATCACCATCTATGTGGTCTGTTTTTGACCAAAATGTTGTTTTGCAGCGCAATAACTGTATACGGTTTACCAGAAAATGAAAAGAACCAAGGTTTATATATTTTTGCCTCTCAGAACCTAAGTATTCTCTCTTGCTTACCATTAGGCTCTCGTTCTCATCCCCAACCAGCATATTTTCTAAACTTACATAACAACTATGGCACAACAGTTTTGGGTGCATTTTTAAAAAGCTAAATCTTAGAAAAAAAGCACTATGCTTTAACAAATATTCAACAGTTAAAAAGATAATATGCATATTATAATATGATGCCAACCTGGCACTTGTGGTCTTTAAAAGTCCATGATAAACCAGAGTAAACCATGTATCCTAATGAACCGCAGTAAGCAGACAACCCTCTGTGAGTTGTAGTTATGACCTCATAAAACTGCCTCACTTTCTCCAAATTAATAAAGACCTGCAGAGAAGCCAAAATTGAAACTACGTATTTTTCTTGCTCATCAATTCTTACCTTTTTGTTGTTCTCTTTAATATCTTGAGGATTCAGAGACTTGTAGTCACTGAGGGAGAAAATAGCACAGTGGGTACATATAGTATTTGATAAAAACAGCTGTTTTTAAAACAAACTGAATCTAAAAATTTGACATTCAATAATACTAAAGAGTAACCAGCAATTTCACAGCAATTCAATCAACAAAACTAATAGTGTGGAAAATTAAAGAAATAAATAAATAAATGAATAAAAACAGTGATTACACGTTTCGCTGCCTGAAGCTTTCCATCTAAAAGAGAGGTTAAGGCAGGGGACCAAAGACTAGCCTTGACAACCAAATTTAGTATGAGGTAATCCCTTGTTGTCAATGTAAAGAATTACAGGCTTATTTGTCTCATCTCATTTTAACACTAACACAATTTTCATAATAATTTGAAGTCAGTTCTTTGAGATTAAGGAGAAAAACCATTTTTTTTTTTTTTTTTTTTTTTTGAGACGGAGTTTCGCTCTTGTTGCCCAGGCTGGAGTGCAATGGCACGATCTTGGCTCATCGCAACCTCTGCCTCCTGGGTTCAAGCGATTCTCCTACCTCAGCCTCCCAAGTAGCTGGGATTTCAGGCATGCGCCACCACACCTGGCTAATTTTGTATTTTTAGTAGAGACGGTGTTTCTCCATGTTGGTCAGGCTGGTCTCAAACTCCTGACCTCAGGTGATCCACCCGCCTTGGCCTCCCAAAGTGCTGAGATTATAGGCGTGAGCCGCCACGCCCAGCCACCACTTTTAAAAAGAGAAAAGATTGTTTTTAGGTATGAAAAAGGAAAAGCTTTCTGACATATATCTCTCAAAAGCAAGAGGTGGGGTAATAAAACAAATATAAATTATTTCAGGATGTGCTAAGAAATTATTTTATGTTCTTTTCAAAAATGTCTATCACTTACAAAATATAGGGAATGGAAAATGTTTCTACTTACATTAAATCTGGTCTAAAGTGGTGTAATATTGCACAAAAAGATAAACCATTTCTCCACGATGTAGTAAAATTGGTGATTTTTACTCCTCGGTAGTTCTTTGTAACTTCTTTACACCATACAAGCAAAGACTGACTAGCATTTGGCTTTCGCCCCAAAACAGGACTTGGTATAGGGCTTGGCTAGAAAAAAATGAAAAGGGGAAAACATTAAAAGAATTTAATGGAAGATGAAAATTAACATTAATTGACCTAATCAGATCATTTGAACCCTTTGATGTCAGTTTAGATCCTTCACAACTGTCAATTCACGACAACTGTAACCTCCAAGAGGGAGACATAAATCTTAAATTATCTTCAGTTTTAGCCCTTGGCATTTGCCTGACAAGGATGCAGATATGCAAGATTTTAAACTTATACATAAGAACAGGCCAAGAGCTTTGCTGATGGAAACATCACGTTAAAGTTTTGAAATACTTAAGGCTAAATACCTATGTAATTCTCACACCCTCAAAATTTCCCCCAAATGCAATCATGTACAAATACGGTTTCTTTTTGACTAGGTTAAAAATAATGTATTTCGAGGTCCAAATGTAACACAAATTTTTAACAGTGGAAAGATTAAAATTATCATTAGTTTTAAAAATACAGTAATCATATATGCATTTTAAGTAAATAGCACAATGATAACCATATTCAAACATGCTTCTTATATAAATTTAATGATGGCAAAACAGTTTTAGAGTTATTAGCAACAGTCAGGTGTTGGTAGCAACAGCACACAACAGTATGTATTTTGGATATGCTCAAAATACTTTCTAATTATCATTGAGAGCTACTTTTGAATACCAGGTGAGTTAGTAGTGTGTGTGTTTTAAATGGTAAGTATATACTTTTACCCTTGTTCATATACTTAAAACATCAATAATAATAACAAACCTAAGATTATATATTAACAATTTTATTCTAAAGTTTTATTATTATTAAAACCATATCATTTTCTTTTACTGAATAACAACTGCAATTTGTGATGGTAACTTTAGAGGCTAGTACAATTGAAAACTACAAAGAAAACTGCTAAATGTTTCCGGACTTTAAATCTTGCTACTAATTAAAAGTGCTAGCTATTATAAGAAACCTTACATATTAAATACAGGCCCTCTAAAGTAAAATGAAAAGAGAACAAGTATTTACTCCTAATACCATTTAAGTTTAAAAAGCAAAGCATTCTTACTACACTGCTTACCTAAGAAAGATCAATGATGCCCCCACTTGACAAAAGCATGTTAGTACCAAACAATTAAAATCATCAACCCCACATAATTATGATTTATGCATTCACTGCTTTTGTGAGAATACTACTAAGAAACACCACTAAAATAACTTCTCATTTTTTATTAACAGTCGGATTAACAAAATATTATGTAAACAACCATAAATCTAGCAAAATACTGTTCTTTAAATGATCATCTCTACAAAGTCAATGCTGAAAAGCTCACAGGTCATAAAAATCAACGGTTTGGATCAATTCGACTTAATATAATGAAGTAGATAAAAAAGGAATCCCAATATACTACATTTACTTTAGAAAAAATAATAGCTAACTAGCAATCTA
Source organism: Homo sapiens (assembly GCF_000001405.40). Taxonomy (NCBI): domain Eukaryota; kingdom Metazoa; phylum Chordata; class Mammalia; order Primates; family Hominidae; genus Homo; species Homo sapiens. The sequence continues at coordinate 62,941,285 of NC_000002.12, read as the reverse complement.
GTGTAAAAATGAACTATTAAATATCTTTTCATGTAATGATCCACTGTGACCTTCAAATCCCTCTAGGCATTTAACCTGGAAGTAAAGTGAAGAGTGGTTTATGGATGAGTTAGGGGAGCACTGAACTAGGTAGGCATAAACATTTTTTTCTTAGACTTTCTATCATTTAAATAATTGTCTTTATTAAAATGTTTTTCTATATCAAATTATATTATTAAGGTATTGATTCAGTCCAAGCATGGGTAATACATACATGGGCCAGATAATCTGTAACTATCATTACATCGATTCAATTATCAGTAGCATGTCCATAGGTAATGTATAAATGACATTAGCACTATATTATGATCTAGATGGCTTTCTGTATGTAAGAACTAAAGAAAACATATTACATCATTATGATTATGACTGTACCTCTGTTTCTAAGAAGGCTCAATATGAAAAGGCTAGAAGAACTAAACCAAAATTTAAATTGGTTCTAATATAAAAGCCTTGTATTAAGGGATGCTTACTGTACTTCCAACAAAAAGAAGTCACATGCAATTGAAGAAACTTTGATGAAATTACAAGCCCTATAAATGGTCACGGTGGTTTACAAAGAAAGAAAATCATAGAGCCGTTGTTAAATGAAATCATCTACTCCAGAACTGACCTTTTACCTAATATTTTACAGAAAGCCATAAAGGAATTAGCAATTAAATCATTTTGAAACCTTCAGTACATAATTGGATGAAACTGTTTGTTGTTACAGCTGGCTCTTGATTTTACAGATGTGGCAGGTTACTTGACTTGTTTGCATCTCAGTTTCCTCATCTGTAAAGTGCAGATTATAACGGTACATATCTCATAGGGTTGTAGTAACAAGATCTGCCTCACTCTCCCCATGTCCATTTCCTCTCTGATCTTAACCACTGCTCTCTCCCTTAAACACTTTGAACCATACTGACCTCTTAAAAAGAAAAAAACAACTGATAATCAATTTATTAAAATAGCTGACCTAAGCATCTGCAATGGTGACTTCAACCTCAACTCTTGGCTCAATACTGACCGAATAAATCTATTTAACAATCTCAGAAGGACTGTGCAAGTCAATAAACTGCTTGCGGATGCTCTTCTGGGAGTGATTCCATGTCTTAGAACCTTTACCACAGGCGTTTTTCTTGTAGTGATTCTCAAAGTCTTGGTAGGCATCCCAACTGGTCCTTTCACTTTGAGATTCTTTTCCTTTGTGCCTCTGATCAAGTCAGCACACACTTCTTCAGGGATTTTTATACTGCAGCTGGTTAGGGGAATTCTAATTCAGTGAATCACCACCTCTGGTTCCTCCAGTGCTTAAACCCATGGCTGTGATACAGTTTCCTAACCTACATGTTCCTTGGAGAGAGCCAACAGCCATGAGTCAGGAGTAGGAGCCAATGGACTGTGGTTCCATCATGCCTGAAACCATATCTTCCTCAAAATGGCATCATATTAATCTCTTTGTTGTTCCTTGGATATCGCAGACATGTTTCTACCTTGGGGCCTTTGCACATTTCCCTGGTACTCTCTCAGATTGCTCCATTTCCCTGGTACTCTCTCAGATTGCTCCATTTCCCTGGTACTCTCTCAGATTGCTCCATTTCCCTGGTACTCTCTCAGATATCTGCATGGTTAACTCCAATGCAATCTTCTCCATTAGGCCTATTCTCACCATCCTACTTAATAATGCAATTTGGCCGAGCGTGGCGGTTCACACCTGTAATCTCAACACTTTGGGAGGCTGAGGCGGGCAGATCATGAGGTCAGGAGTTCGAGACTGGCCTGGCCAGCATGGTGAAACCCCACCTGTACTAAAAATACAAAAAAATAGCTGGGCATGGTGATGCGTGCCTGTAGTCCCAGCTACTAGGGAGGCTGAGGCAGGAGAATTGCTTGAACCAGCAGGCAGAGGTTGCAGTGAGCTGAGATTGCACCACTGCACTCCAGCCTGGGCGACAGAGCGAGACTCCATCTCAAGAAGAAAAGGAAGAAAAAAAAGCAATCCATTTCCATCATCCAACCCCAATTCAGCACTCCTGAATCCACTTACCCTGCTCTACTTTTTCCACGGACTTATCATCTTCTTAGAGTCCATATACTTTATTTGTTATGCTTACTGGTTATTATCTGTCTGCTCTCACTAAATAAAATGTCCACAAGAGCAAGAATTTTAGTTTGTTTCATTTATTAACCTAAATCAAATGCCCAGAACAGTGCCTGGTACAGCATAGGCACTCAGTAAATACTGTTATATGAAAAAAATGCATGTAAAACACTTAGAACAATGTATGGCAAACAGTACCATTCAGTAAATATTAATTGCAATTATTATTACCACCACCAATGCATTATCAGCAGGAATTCCTATTTTTTGAGGCTCTTCTAGAAATTTCAAAGGCCATGAATTTCTTCAAGATCATAAAAAGTTTTTTCCTTTTCTTCTTCTTCTTCTTTTTTTTTTCCCCCACAAACAAAGCTTTCACTAGAGATAATCTTGACACCTAGATATTCTATGTGGAAAATATGGTACTTGTAATGCTTGGCAATGTATCTATTTCTATAAGGTGGGTGAAAAAAGAAGCTCTAACTGACTTTGTAATTTATTGCTTTCCAAAGGAAGAAAGACACAAAAATCTGTCCATAAAAGGTAAAACTACACTTGCAAATATAATGAATTTTAATGCATTATTTCTGTTTAACATAGCAGATTACATGTGAACGGTAATAAAGCTACCTAGTTATTCTTCCTAACAATGGTAATAGCTTTCTTTCAGAAAACCTAGTCAAATAACTTGCAAATTTTCTTAAATTTTAATAAGAAATGTCAGTTCTATTTTTTCTGCTCTATCCCTCTAACTATAGTTTCCTTCTCTTTTGCTGTCTGCCCTTCTTCCACGGATACAGCCACATATTCCTCTAGGCATTGCTCTAAATAGTTTTCCACCACACTTTGAGCTGATTCATTCCCAGGATTCCAACTATTACTTCCATGCAGATGATTCCCAAATATTTATAGTTCAAACTATCTCAAGTTGACATTTCCAGTTGGCTGTCCTTTCTATCATACAAAATTCAAACTCAATGTGTTCAAAACCATAATGGTGATCTTTCTTTACAACCTGCTCATTTTCATTGTGTTTGCAAATGATACAGCTATTGTCCCAACTGTTTAGATTTTTAATGTCAGAATCACCTTTGAATTCTTCCTTCATGTATCATCTCTTACTAGTTAATTTTGCAGGCAGTTTTGCTCATATTTTGTAAGGTTTTTGTAATCTATCTCCTTTCACCACTGCAAAATCTTCCTAATAGGTCTTTCTTCTTCCAAATCCCCCCTCGGTAACCAACCCATGTCATAGCATCGTTCTCCTTAAAGCACGGCTTAAAGTCTCTAATGGTTCTCAAGAACACACAAAATGATGTCAAAATACTTCGAAGTATTGAATCCCAAATCTTTTTCAATGTATTTACTCTCTAGTATTACTCACCATCCTTTAAAATCCCTATGCTTTCCTGCCTAAACCCCAGGTCTCCCACCTCCACCCAGTCTTGGATCATACACATCATCACCTCTACATGAAATATCTTCCGTCCCAAGCACAACTGCTGCAATTCCACTCTATCTTCAAATCTTCAAGATTTAGTTCAAATGTCATCTCTTACACGAAATCTCCTCGCAATTGCCATTCAGTAGGAAGCCCTTTTCAGTGTTCCTTTGACTCTTTGTGTCCTTCCTATGGCACTTAATAGATTTTCATTTTACTATAATATATTCAGTTCTTCTCTCTACAAAAAGGCTTATTAATTTTTCATTAATTCATAAACTATATACTGAGCACCTATTATGCCCCACAAAGTTAAGACCTTTACACAGATTAGCTAATTTAATCCTCACAACTCGTTTGAGATAGGTACTCTTACTTCCAATTTACAGTTGGAGAAAGTGAGGTTACTCAGGAAGCAGAGGAGTTCCTATACCAAGGAATTCCCACTCCAAAGCCTGTGCTTTTAAACAACATGCATTTCACATTTCAAGAAAATACTGCTGTAGCACTTCAGCAGAAGTTGTAAATTTTTCAATCCTAACAAACATCTCAGTCAACTTCTTATTGTCTTCAGAGGTTAGATCGCTGCCCTCTATATGTTTAATTAGTTGATTCAAAAAAGGCAATTAACCCAAACAATTTCAACTTCAAGAGTCTTTCTGTTAATAAACCTGTCCATTCTGTTGGATTTCAAATTACTGGCTAGAACTAGAACAAGAGCTAATTAAGTCCAGTGTAACGAGACATATACTAACATTGCTAAAGTTGTAGCACATTTTGGTCTCTCAACTACTAATTCTTGGAGACTTTCCCCAGTTATTGCAAATCATGGTTGAGGGAACTTTGAATATATCTAAGCATTTGGTGAACCCAAAAACTATCAACAGTGAGAATGAGAACACTTACATTTATATTGGTCTTATTATTTTTTTTTCAAAGTGTTTTCATTTAAATCACTTCACTTTATTCTCATGGTAAAACTGAAGTTAGGCCTTGTTATTCTACTGCTAGAAAGATTGTGCCATAATTAAATTTTTTTTTTAATCTTCTACAAAACATCAACCAACTTTCTCCAAGCCAAGACATGGAGAGACAGGAAAACTAGAGAGTAAGTGAAACTCTCTGCTGTTTTTATAATGGTAGTCTAGAAGAGTGAGTTGAGAGGTAGAGTTGCACTTTTGGTGGACTCCCAAATAGCAATATGAGCCTCATCCCCTCCCCTCAAAAGTAGAAACAGTAAAATAAAAAGGTAAAAGCAAAAATAATAATATAGTACCTAAGCATATAATAGAGAGGATCAGCAAAGCCAAAATTGCTTCTTTGAAAAGACTAAATTAAACCTGTAGTGTGACTGACCAAGAAAGAGAGAAGCAAATTCCTAGAAAAGTATAGCTTACTGCAACAGACACAAGAAGAAATAGAAAACCCAGAGAGTTCTATAACTGTTAAAGAAACTGACTTTGTAATTAAAAACCTTCTCACAAAGAATATTCCAGTTGGCTTCACTAATAAGTTCCACCAAACATTTATTCAAGGAAAAAAAATCTCCAATATTACACAAATTATAGAAAACTGGAAAAATGAGCTTATTCTCTAACTCATTTCATGGGCCTTTACACCAAAACTCAATAGGCAAAGGCAAAATTAAAGAAAATTCTCATGAATATAGAGGCAAAAGTTTTAATGAAAATATTAATTTATTAAAAAAGGATAACACGTCTTGAACAAATTAGACTTATCCCAAGAACACATATTTGGCTTAATGTTAGCATATCTATTGAGGTAACTTGACCAATTAACAGATTTGGGGGAAAGCTATATAATATAATCATCTAAACAGATGCAGAAGAGCACTTAATAAAATAATGTCCATTTATATTCTAAAAAATAGTCTTAGCAACCTGTAATACAGAATCTTCTTTCACTTGCTAAAAAGGCCCCAGCAAATATTGCAAGGGTGAAATATTTGAGATTGAGCATCTATCATCACTTTTATTCAACAATGTCCCAGCTGGTACATTAAGGTCAGAAAAAGACATCAAAATGTATTAAAAAAGAAACAAAATTGTAAAACGTTATTTACAAATAATATAATTGAGTATGTAGAACATCCACAAGAAGTTACAGTTTATTAGAATTAATAAGAGAATTTAGCAAGGTGTTGGATACAAAATCAATGTACAAAACCAACTGTATTCCTATAAACTAACAAAAACAGAAACTAAAAATTTGAAAACCATTCATAGTGGCATAAAAATGTCAAGTACTTGGCACAAATCCAAAAACAATATGCATGACTGCTATAAAAAACTATCAAGCTTTATTGCGAAAAAGTAAAGAAAATCTAAAGAGATGGATATATATATATATATATATATTTTTTTTTTTTTTTTTGAGATGGAGTCTCGCTCTGTCGCCCAGGCTGGAGTGCACTGGCACGATCTTGGCTAACTACAACCTCTGTCTCCCGGGTTCACCGGATTCTCCTGCCTCAGCCTCCCGAGTAGCTGGGACTATAGGTGCACGCCACCACACGCAGCTAATTTTTTGTATTTTTAGTAGAGACACGGTTTCACCATGTTGGCCAGGATGGTCTCCATCTCTTGACCTCGTGATCCACCCACCTCAGCCTCCCAAAGTGCTGGGATTACAGGCATGAGCCACCGTGCCCGGCCAAGATGGAGATATTTATTCATGGCTTAGAAGACTCAATTTTGTAATGATATCAATTATTTTTCCAGAGAGAAACGGCTAACCAACAGAAAGGGTTAACTAAACTCTTTCTCCATGAAGAAATGCTCTCAAGTTTACCTTCTCCTAACATGAATTCCATGGAAATATATAGGATTATGCTAAAAAGTGAGAAGTCAGCTGTGTTTCCAGGCAACATTATTTACTGTAAAACTGACCCCAGTTTGGTGAACTGTATCTAACTCGAAGGCCTATGAATAAACTACATATCCCTATTGAAAAACAAAGGCAGCAGCTTCCCTATGCTTAGTGTGATTCACGTAACCAAGCATGTCCCTTGGGAATCTGACAGTTGTGTGTATGGGCTGCTACAAGATCCTGTGTTTTGTAAGGCAGAGTGGTCCACACTTACCCACCTGATCTTTCACCTTAGAACTGACATGAGGAACTAAAATATGGCCTAGCATACCTGATGCTGTAATGCTAATATGCTATGTTTCCTGTCCTGAAAGTTAAGTAAACCTGGTGCCAAATTAATTGTATACATTTTCCGTCAAAAAAGGGTTTGTAGCTAGAATTACAAAGAATATCCACAGATCAGTAAGAAAAGGAAAGTTAATCAATAGGAAAAGGGGCAAAAATTGAATGTGCACTTTATAAAAGAAGAAATTCAAATATTCAGTAAATGTGAAAACTTGCTCCGTCACATCAGTATTCAGAGAATTACACAAGGTACTACTGCACACTTCTCCCCAGAAAGGCCGAAATTTTAAGAAGTCTCTTAATTGAGATTAAATTTTAGTGAAATTAAAAATACCAAGTATTGGCAAGGATGTGGAGCAAAGGGAGCTTTCTTACAGGGCTGATGAAAAAAGTTTGGCATCATCTATTATGCTAAAATTGAAAATGTGCATATCCTATGACCCAGCAATTCCTAGGTTTATATCCTATAGAAATGCATGCTTATATAGCACAGAATAGAATACATATGCAAAAATGTTCACAGCAGCACTTTAAAATTTTCCAAATCTGAAAATAATGTAAATGTTCGGCAACAATAAAATGGATTTAAAAATTGTGATCTATTCAGATAGTGAAATACTAGACACACGCACAAAAGAAATACATCCTAAAACATAATATTGAACAAAAGAAAACAGGTACAAACATGCATATATCATATGATTCCATTTATGTAAATTTAAAATCAGTCAAAAGTAAACCATATTGTTTAGGGGGGTCATACTTAAAACAATAAAGCAAAGAACAAACTGATTACTATAAAATCATGATACCACAAGAATTGGAACTTTGCCAACATTTCAGAAACTAGCCCACTTTTATGCTTCTTTCTTATCCCAATCTCTTTCCTCTTCCCTATAATCGGTGGTTATATTAACAAATGTTATTTTTCAATATTGTGTAATCAAATGTGACAACATTTGGAAGATCTACATGAGTACGGGAATCAATGTTTTCCAAAGAAATAATGCATGATGTTACAAAATCACACATCAATAAAAGATGCAGTTGAAAATACCACATAGGCCAATGTATGGTTTGATTCCACACTGAAACTAACTTAAGAAACTATCATTTGTGAGTTTTGGTGTAGTATCAAAAATTATAATCTCTAATCATTTGAGAAGTATTTAAATTCTCTTTAACATTATATATTTGATAAGGTCAAATTTTCTTCATAGAGTACAACCAAAACACATTACAACATATTGAATGCAGAAAGCTGTTTTCAATTAAGCCAGATATTAGACCCTGGAAAAAATGAAAAACAATGTCAGTCTTCTCAATAAACTGTTTTTGTTTTGAAAAATATAGTCATTTTTCATGAAAATACTATATTATTTATGTTAATATGTGATATAGTTTAATATAATTTTAAATAAATTAATAAAATTTAAAAACTTCTCAGTGTTAATTTCTAATATTGTAAATAGCAATAGGTATAACTCACATAAACAGAAGTTATTTGGGCTCCTCAATAACTTTTTAATAATTTCTTTTTATTGTAGTAAAATACACATAATATTTACCATCTTAACCTTTTTTTTTTTTTTTTTTTGAGATGGAGTCTCACTCTGTCACCCAGGTTGGAGTGCAGTGGCATGACTGGCTCACTGCAACCTCCCTTTCCTGGGTTCAAGCAATTTTCCTTCCTCAGCCTCCGAAGTAGCTGGGATTACAGGCTCATGCCATCATGCCCAGCTAATTTTTGTATTTTTAGTAGAGACGGGATTCCGCCACGTTGCCCAGGCTGGTCTCAAACTCCTGATCTCAAGTGATCCGCCCTCCTCGGCCTCCCAAAGTGCTGAGATTACAGGTGTGAGCCACCATGCCCAGCCCTTAACCATTTTTAAGTATGCAGTTAATAGTATTAGTATATTCACATTGTTTTGAAACAGATCTCCAGAACTTTCTGATTTTGTAAAACTGAAACTCTATATCCATTAAACAAGTCTCTGCCCCTAGTAACTGCCATCCTATTTTCTGTTTCTGTGATCTTGATTTCATATAAGTGAAATCATACAGTATTTGTCTTTTTGTGATAAATTCATTTCATTTAGCATTATGTCCTCAAGATTAATCCATGTCATAGCATGTGACAAGATTTCCTTCCTTTTCAGGCTGAATAATATTCCACTGCAGATATATACCACATTTTGTTTCTCCATTCATTCATCAATGGACATTTGGAATGCTTCCACCTCTTGGATTTTGTGTATACTGCTGCTATGAACATGGGTGTGCAAATATCCCTTCTAGACTCTGTTTTCAATTATTTTGGGTACAGAGTAGTCTTCTCTTCTCTGTGGGAATATGTTCTTTTTTTTTTTTTTTAGATGCCGTCTCGCTCTGCCACCCAGGCTAGAGTACAGTGGCACAATCTTGGCCCACTGCAACCTCCACCTCCCGGGCTCAAGTGACTCTCCTTCCTTACCCTCCCAAGTAGCTGGGACCACAGGTGCATATCACCATCCCTGGGTAATTTTTATATTTTTAGTAGAGATGGGATTCCACCATGTTGGCCAGGCTGGTCTTGAACTCCTGACTGACTGATGCTCCCACCTTGGCCTCCCAAAGTGCTAGGATTACAGGTGTGAACCACTGCACCTGATGGGAATATGTTCTAAGACCCCCAGGGGACACTTGAAACTGTGGATAGTATTGAGCTGTCTATATATCATACTTCGCTTTTTCAACTGGATAACTGAGATGTTATCCCAACAGCCACTACTAAGTGACTAACAGGTGGCATATACAGCATGGATACATTGGACAAGGGGATGATTCACATCCTGCACGGAAGAAGAGGGATGCTGTGAGATTTCATCACATTACTTAGAATGAGGCACAATTTAAAACTTATGAATTATTTCTGGAACTTTCCATTTAATATTTTTGGATGACGGTTGACTATGGGCAACTGAAACTTCAGAAACTGAAGCCACAAATAATGGGGTGGAGGTGCTACTGTATACTCAGAAGTGAAATCGCTGAATCATATGGTAACTCTATTTTTAATTTTTTTGAGGAATCATGATACTGTTTTCCACAGCACTGTATCATTTTAAATTCACACCATCAGTGCACAAGGGTACTAATTCTTCTACATCCTCACCAATACTTGTTATTTTCTGATTTTTCTTTGGGGATTGAAGATAGTAGCCATCCTAATGGGTGTGAGATGGTATCTCATTATGGTTTTGATTTGTATTTCCCAATAATTAGTGATGTCGAGCATCTTTTCATATACTAGTTGGCTATCTGTATGTGTTCTTTGGATAAATATCTATTCAAGGCCTTTGCCTATTTTTGAACTGGGTTGTTTGGTTTTTGGTTAAGTTTTAAGAGTTTCCTATATATGCTGGATATAAATCCCTTCTTAACAGATATGTTATTTTAAAATATCCTCCCATTTTGTAGGCAAGAAATATTTTCCCTCTGTTGATTGTGTTCTTTGAGGCACAAAAGTTTTAAATTTTCATGAAGTCTAATTTGTCTTCTTTCTTTTGCTGTCTGTGCCTTTGGTGTCTACCCAAGAAATCACTCCCAAATCCAATGTTTTGTTTTTGCCCTATGTTTTATTCTAAGAGATTTATGGTCTTAGCCCTTACATTGAAGTCTTCAATCCATTTTGGGTTGCTTTTTGTATATGGTGTTAGGTAAGGGTCCAACTTCATTCTTTTGCATGTGACATCTAATTTTCCAATATTATTTGTTGAAAAAATGGTCTTTTCTCCATTTTTCTCCATAGTCCTGACTCTCTTGTTGAAAATCACTGACCTTATTATATGCAGAGGTTTGTTTCTGGACTCTCTATTCCATTGTTGGTCTATATGTCTTCATGCCAGTACCATACTGTCTTGATTACTGTAGCTGTGCAGTAAGTTTTAAAATCAGAAAGTGTGAGTCTTCCACTCTTGTTCTTTTCGAGGCTTGTTTTTGGTTATTCTGGGTTCTTTAAAATTCCAAATGAATATTAACATGGATTTTTGTATTTTTACAAAAAACATTATTGGGATCTTTATAAGAATTGCATTAAATCTTTAGATATCTTTGGGTGGTATTGATATGTTAACAATATTAAGTTTTCTAAGCCAAGAACACGGGATATCTTTCCATTTATTTCTGCCTTTTTCAGTTTCTTTCAGAAATGTTTTATAGTTTTCAGTGTGCAAGTCTTTTACCTTCCTGATCAAGTTAATTCCTAAATATTTAATTCTTTTTGATGCTACTGTTTTTGTTTTTTTGTTTTGTTTTGTCTTGAGACAGGGTCTTGCTCTGCTGCCCAGGCTGAAGTGCAGCAGCATGGTCACAACTCACTGCAGCCTTGACATTCTGGGCGCAAGCAATCCTCCCACCTCAGCCTCTCAAGTAGTGGGACTATGAGTGCATGCCACCATGCTTGGCTAATTGTTAAAATGTTTTGTAGAGATGGGGGTTTCGCCATGTTTTCCAGGCTGGTCTTGAACTCCTGAGCTCAAGCAATCCTCCTGCCTTGGCCTCCCAAAGTGCTAGGATTACAGGTGTTAGCTTCTGTGTCTGGCTGATGCTATTGTTAATGAAAGTACTTTCTTAATTTCCTTCGTGGATTGCTCATTGTTGGTATATAGAAATACAACGGATTGGTTTTTGTATCATGCTACGTTGCTGAATTTATTAGTTACAACAGTTTTTTTTTTTGTAGAATCTTTATAGTGTTTTTTATATACAGGATCTTCTCATCAGCAAACAGAGATAATCTTATGCCTTCCTTTCTGATTTGAATACCTTTTACATCTTTTACTTGCCTAAGTGTGATGGCTAGGACTTTCAATACTATGTTGAAGACAACTGGCAAGAGAGGGCATCCTTGCCTTGTTCTTGATCATAGAAGTCTTTCACTATTGAATATGATATTTTCTGTGGGTTTTTCATATATGACTTTTATCATGTTTAGGTAATTTCTTTTAATTCCTAGTATGTTTAATTTTTTTTTAATCATGAAAGGGTATAGAATTCTATCAAATGCTTTTTCTGGATTGACTGAGATGATTACATGTACTATCTCCTTCATTCTGCTAATGTAGTGTATTACACTGATTACATATGTCTAATCATCCTTGCACTCCAGGCATAAATCCCACTTGGTTGTGGTATGTAATTCTTTTAATATGTTGCTGAATTTAGTTTGCTAGTATGACATTGAGGATTTTTTGCAAAGTTCATAGGGATATTAGTCTGCAGTTTTGTTTTCTTGTAGTGTTTGTCTGGCTTTGGTATCAGGATAATGCTGGCCTCAAATAATGAGGTAAGGAGTATTCCCTCTCCAATGTTTTGGAAACGTTTGAGAAGAATTAGTGTTGGTTCTTCTTTAAGTGTTTGATAGAGTTCACTGGTGAAGCCATTAGGTTCAGAGCTTTTCTTTTTTGGGAGATTTTTGATTACTGATTCATTCTTCTTACGAATTAGAGCTCTATGCATATTTTCTATTTCCACATGGTTTCATTTTGGTAGGTCTTCTGTTTCTAGGAATTTGTCTATTTCACCTAGGTTACCCAATTTGTTGGTGTAGAATTACTTAGTACTTTCTTATAATCCTTTTTGTTTCTGTGGAATAGGTAGTAATGTCCCCACTTTATTTAATTTCTAATTTTACTAAAGTGAGCCTTTTCTCTTTTTTTTTTTTTTTTGTTCTTAGTCTATCTAGCTGAAGTTTGTCAATTTTGTTGATCTCTTCAAAGAATCAACATCTGGGTTCATTAATTTTCTCAATTGTTTTTCTAGTCTCCATTTTGTTTATCTCTGCTCTAATCTTTATTATTTCCTTCCTTTTTCTAGCTTTGGGTTTAGTTTGTTCTTCCAGTTCCTTAAGTTGTAACATTAGGTAGCTGAATTTGGGATCTTTCTTGTTTATTTTTATTTTTTTCCCACTGGAAAATAATATTAATAAGATCCCATCAGCTATACAACATGTTCTTGACATTAAGCTGCATCTTCCATTACAATTTGCTCTTTCCTAAGTGGTTCCATGAATGCTGTCCTCTTTGTTATAGTCTACAAGCAGCCATTGTCAAACTTGGAGGTAGTGTTGATAAAATTAAGGCCAGTCTTTTCTAGAGGCCACCAGAAAGGACTTGGAGGGTGAGTACTTACTTTTTGATTCCCACCACACAGCCTTACAAGCAGAATAAAGTTTTTGGTCACCTTAGGGCAGAGGACAACGCCTCCCTAGGAAAAGCTAGGCCATCGGGTTAGCACAGATAAAGCATGAGGGCTGGAGACAGGTAAGAAAACAGAGTACTATCTAACAGGCATGACACTTTCAGGTTCAGAGGTTGTTCTCAGCCCTCTACACTACCCCAGCAACCTCTAACCACAGGGGTGTTCCCTTTCTTGTATTTGAATGTGAGTGTTAATTGCTAAAAATTTCCCCCTAAACACTGCTTTCATTGTGTCCCAGAAGTTTTGGTATGCTGTGTTTTTATTTTCATTTTTCTCTAAGTCTTTTGTGATTTCTTCTTTGATCCATTGTTTATTTACAAGTGTGTAGTTTAAAATCCACATATTTGTGATTTTTTTTCAGTTTTCCATCTGTTATTGATTTCTAACTTCATATGTTGTTATCAGAAAAGATACTTTGCATGGTTTCTTCTTTTAAATTTTATTGTAACTTAATTTGTGGCTTAACATATATCCAGGAAATGTCCCATGTGCATTTGGGAAAATGTGCATTCTGTTGTTGCGCAGTTTTTTGTATGTTTGTTAGATCTAGTTCACATACTGTGTTGTCCAAGTCCTCTACTTTCCTAATTTTACCTGATTCTTCTATCCATTATTGTGAGTGGGGTATAGAAGTTTCCAACTATTATTGTACAAGTATGTGTATGTCTACTTCCGATTCTGGCCATTTTTGCTTCAGATATTTTGATGGTCAGTTATTAGGTGTGCAAATACTTTTAACTGTTATATCTTCTTGATGTATTGAAAATTTTCTTAATATATAATGTCCTTTGTCTCTTGTAACTTTATTTTTTAATTGACAAATAATAATTGTTTATTTTCAAGGGGAACATGGTGATGTTTTGATACATATAATGTATACTAATCAGATCAGGGTATTTCACATATCCATCATCTCAAACATTTATTATTTCTTTGTGCTGGGAACATTCAATATCCTCCTAATAATATATAGCTTTAAGTAGCTATATTATTGTTACTTATAGCCATTCTACAGTGGTATATAACACAAGAATTGAGTAATCCTATCTAGCTGTAATTTTGTATCCTTTAACAAATCTCTCCATATGCTCCTCTCCCCACCACCTCCCCTGCCTTCCCAGCCTCTAGTATCCTCTGTTCTACATTTTACTTCTATGAGATCAACTTTTACTTTTAGCTTCCACATTTGAGTGAGAACATGCAGTGTTTAACTTTCTTTTCCTGGCTTATTACAGATAACATAATATCATCCAATTCCATCTGTATTGCCATGAATGGCAGGATTTCATTCTTTTTTTTCTAGCTAAATAGTATTCCATGACGTATATACACCACATTTTCTTTAACCATTCATCTGTTTTTGGACAAATAGGTTGAGTCTATATCTTGGCTAACATGACCAGTGCTGCAATAAACACGGGGGTGTAGATATCTCCAATATAATAATTTATTTCTCTGTGGATAAATACTCAGTAGTAGGAGGACTGCTGGATCATATGGTAGTTCTATTTATTTTTTGTGAGACCTCCATAGTGTTCTCCATAGCGGCTATAGTGGCTTGCATTCCCACCAACAGTATCTAAGAGTTTCCTTTTCTCTGCATCCTCTCCAGCATTTGTTTTTTTGTTGTTGTTGTTTTTGTCTTTTTGATAATAGCCATCTTAACTGGAAAGAGATATCTCTTTGTGATTTTGATTTGCATTTCCCTCATGATTAGTAATGTTGGACATGTAAAAAATATATTTTTTGGTCATTTGTATGTCTTCTATTGAGAAATATCTGTTCAGGTCATTTGCCCATATTTGAGTTCAATTGTTTTTTGGCTATTGGGATGTTTCAGTTTCTTTTATATTCTGGGTATTAATCCTCCATCGAATGAGTAGTTTGCAAATATTTTCTTCCATTCTGTAGGTTGTCTTTTCACTCTGCTGTTTTCTTTGCTGTGCAGAAGCTTTTTGGTTTGATGTAATCCCATTTGTTTATTTATGCTTTTGCTGCCTATGCGTTTGAGGTCTTGAAGTGTTTCCACTATGTCTTCTACTAGTAGTTTCAATGCTTCAGGTCTTACATTTAAGTCTTTGATCCATTTTGAGAGGTGGCAGTCTAGTTCCAGAATATCCAGTTTTCCCAGCACAATTAATTGAAGAGACTATCTTTCCCCAATGAGTGTCCTTGGTGTCTTTGTCACAAATCAGTTCACTGTGGATATGTGAATTAATTTCTGGGTTCTCTATTCTATTTCATTGGTCTATGTGTCTGCTTTTATGCTAGTACCATGCTGTTTTGGTAAGAATAGTTTTGTCATACACTTTGAGGTCTGGTAGTGTTATACGTCCAGCTTGGTTATTTTTGCTCATGATTGCTTTAGCTATTTGAGGTCTTTTGTGGGTTCATATAAATTCTGTTTTTTATTTTCTATTTCTGTGAAGAATGTAATTGGTATTTTGATAGATATTGCATTTAATCTGTAGATCGCTTTGGGCTACATGGTCATTTTAATGATATTCATCTGATCCATGAGGTTGGGATGACTTTCCATTTTTGTGTATCCTCTTCAATTTCTTTCATCAGTGTTTTGCAGTTTTCCATGTAGAGTCTTTCACCTCCTTGGTTAAATTAATTCTGGGGAGCTATTGTAAATGGGATTGCTGTCTTGATTTCTTTTTCAGCTAGTTTTATTGTTCATGTATAAACTACTACTGATTTTAATATACAAATTTTGTATCCTGCAACTTTACTGAACTCGTTTATCAGTTATAAGAGTAATTTGGTACAGTCTTTAGATTTTTCTTATGTCTTTTTTTAATAATAACATTTTATTTCCTGAGAGCACAGATTCAACTTCCCCTGAATATATGCTTCTGGTTTTTCTACATATAAGATTATGTCATCTGCAAACAGGGACAATTTGACTTGTTTCCAATTTGGATGCCTTTTTTTTTTTCTTGCCTAATTGCTCTCCTTAGAACTTCTAGTAGTATGCTGAATAGAAGTGGTAAGAGTAGACACTCTTGTCTTGTTCCACTTCTGACAGAAAAAGCTTTCACCCTCATTCAGTAAGATGTTAGCTGTGGGTTTGTCATATGTGGCCTTTATATATTTAGGTATTAACCTTCTATACCTAATTATTAAGAGTTTTATCATGAACAATGTCAAATTTTATCAAAAGCTTTTTCTATACCTATTGAGATGATCATATGGTTTTCATCCTTTATTCTATGGATGTGATGTATGACATTTATTGACTTGTGTATACTGAACCATTCTTGCATTTTTGGGCTAAATTCCACTTGGTCATGGTGGAGTTTCTATTGCCATCGTTGATGCACTGTTGCGCTCAATTTGTTAGTATTTTGTTGAAGATTTTTGTGTCCACGTTCATCAGGGATACTGGTCTGTAGTGGGTTTTTATTGTTGTATCCTTGGCTGGTTTTGATGTCAATGTTATGCTGGCCTCATAGAAAGAATTGGAAAGGATTCCCTTTGCTTCCATTCTTTGGAGTAGTTTGAGAGGAATTGGTATTAATTCTTCTTTAAGGGTTGGGTAGAATTCAGCAACGAAGCCATCTGGTCCTGAACTTTACATTGTTGGAATACTTTATATTACTGATTCAATCTTTTTACTTATTGGTCTATTCAAGGTTTTCTATTTCTTCTTGGTTTGATCTTGGTAGATATGTGTCCAGGAATTTATCCATTTCCTCTAGGTTTTCAAATTTATTGTCATAAAGTCATTCATAGTTGTCTCTAATAATCTTCTGTATTTCTGTGGTATCTGTTGTGATGTCTCCTTTTTCATTTCTGATTTATTTGGGTCTTCTCTCTTTTTTCCCAGTCTAGCTAATGGTGTGTTGATTTCGTTTATCTTTTCAAAAAATCAACTTTTTGTTTCATTGAACTTCTGTATTTTTTCAGTCTCAATTTCATTTATCTCTGCTCTGATCTTTATTATTTCTTTTACAATGTTTTGGTTTGCTCTTGCTTTTCTAGTGCATTGTTAGGTTGTTTATTAGAACTCTTCCTCATTTTTTGATGTAGGCATTTATTGCTATAAACTTGCCATTTACTACTGCTTCTCCTGTGGCCATAGGTTACTTTGGCTGGGAGAACAAGCATAGGGCTGTTCATTGAACCTGGGGGTATGCCCACCAGGGGTTGCCTGTGGGGCTGTTTCTCAGGCATGATATGCTGGTACATGGCTCCTCAGCTGGCCTAAAGGCATGTTTGCTGGGGGCGATCCACAGGATGGCTGTTTCTCAGGCTTGGGATATGGGTACAAGCTGTTCAGCTGGCCTTAGGTTGTGTCTACTGGGTAGGGACCCATGAGGCTGTTTCTCAGACTTGAGACACAGACACATAGCTGCTCAGTTGGCCTGTTGATGTGTCCACTGGAGGTGGATCGCAGAGTTGCTTCTCAGGGCCATGATGCAGTCAGCTGGTTTGGGGGTGTGTTTGCCAGGTGTGGCCCACAGGACTGTTTTGCAGTCCTAGTACACAGGTGCAAGGCTATTTGGTTGGTCTGGGGCATGCCTGCCAGGGGTGAACTGCAAAGTTGCTTCTTAGGCCTCGGAGTGTTTCTTGGGTCATAGAGGGTTGGTGGGTTATGGGGACTGCACACCTTATGCTCCTAAGATTGCCTCTCAGGCCTGGGATGCTGGCACATAGCTGTGTAGGCAGCCTGGGAGCTCCTTGCCAGAGGCAGCATGTAGAGCTACTTCTCACTCCTGGGGCATGGGTGCAAAGCTGCTTGGATGACCTGGGAGTGTTTCTGCCAGGGCCAGCCTGCAGAGATGTTTCTCAGGCTCTTGCTGTGGGCATGGGGCCAATTGGCAGGTCAGGGACTTTTCTGTAGAGGGTGGGGCACCTCAGTGTTATTTCTCAGGGTGCAATCACATAGCTGCTCTGCCAGCCTGAGAATGTCAGCTGTTCAGAGGCTTGAGGGCCTCTCCCCTATGAAGATGGGCATGTGGCTATTTGGCCAGCTCATGGGTAGGTTCACCCTGGGCAAGACTGCCAGGCTGTTCCTCTGGCTGGAAGTGAGGGTAGTGAGAGTTGGTTTTCATGCTTTGCAGGACCAATGTCATAGCCAATCTTGGGTCCAGATTTTGTATTGCTGAGGTTGTGGTGTTCAGCCACTGGTGTAGGTTTGGAGGAATGAAGATGGAGCCCCAGTGTTAGACAGGTGCAGTGACTATGTGCCCCCAGAGAAGGGCACACTTCAGAGGTGTCCCTGGTCTCAAGATGTCACCATGCTTCAGGAGCTTGGCTCATAGGAGGTGGGTGAAGTATGGGGAGTGCACACCTTATGCTCTTAACTGGGGCAATGCAGCTGCATGATTTCCTGGTAGCTATCCAAATGGAGACTGTGGGATTCTCCTGTTGTAACAACTATACTGTTGTAAGGTGTTTGCAGTGGCAATGGGGGTTAATGGAGATCTTCTGCTTACCTGTTACCCACAACAAGAAGTTCTCTCCTGACTCCAGGTTGATTAAATCCTAAGGAATGGAAGGGAGACAGGACTGCAGAGACTGGCTGCCTTCATGCTGCCCTCCTGGACTTCCTATCACCATAGGTGTTTCTCCACTCCACTGCTGTACTCCACTGCTCTTTCTTTGACACTCCTGTCAAATCTTGGCTATTTATTCCTTGTATTTATTCTTTCTTGTAGGGAAGATGAATGCCAGGTGTCTCTAGTCTGCCATCTTGCTGATGTCATTCCTGCATCTTCCCTATAACCTTTTTAAATTTAGTCCATTTTGTCTGATATTAGTATAAGCATCCTGGTTACTATTTACGTGGATTATTCTTTTCTGTCTTTTCACTTTCAACGTATTTGTGTCTTTGGATACAAAGTGAGTCTCCTGTAGACAGCAATTATTAGATCACGTGTTTTCACCCATTCCACCAAAGTCTACCTTTGGAGGGTTTAATCCATTTGAAGTACAGATGACTCTTGAACAACATGGGTTTGAGCTGTGTGGGTCCACTAATACTTGAACTTTCTTTTGCCTCTGCCACCCCAAGACAGCAAGACCAACCCTTCTTTGTCCTCAGCTTACTCAACATAAAGATGAAAAGGACAAAGACCTTTAATACTGAATATATTTTCTCTTCATTATGATTTTTTTTCTTTGAGACGGAGTCTTGCTCTGTCGCTCAGGCTGGAGTGCAGTGGTGCGATCTCCGCTCACTGCAACCTCCACCTCCCAGGTGCAAGCGATTCTCCTGCCTCAGCCTCCTGAGTAGCTGGGATTACAGGTGCCTGCCACCATGCCTGGCTAATTTTTGCAGTTTTAGTAAACACGGGTTTTCACCATCTTGGCCAGGCTGGTCTTGAACTCCTGACCTCATGATACACCTGTCTCAGCCTCCCGAAGTGCTGGCATTACAGGCGTGAGCCACCACGCCTGGCAGATTTTCTTACCATCTTCTTTTCTCTAGCTCATTTAACTGTAAGAATAAAGTATACATACATAAAACATACAAAATGTATTCCTTGACTATTTATGTTATGGGTCTGTTCTGGTCAAGAGTAGATAATTAGTAATTAAGTTTACATGGGGACAAAAGCTACACACAAATTTTCAACTGCATGGGGGTTGGTATCCCTAATCCCTACATTGTCGAGTGGTCTACTGTAATTTGTGATAAGAAGGGACTTACTTCCATCATTTTGCTAGTTGTTTTCTGTATGCCTCATAGTCTTTTTTGTCCTTCATTTCCTACATTATTGCCTTCTTTTGTGTGTATTTTTTTTTTCCAGAGTGAAATTTTAAAATTTCTTTCTCATTTCCTTTAGCGTATGTTCTTTTGTTATTTTCTTTGTGGTTATCATGGGGATTACTTTTTTTTTTTTCTTTTTTGAGACAAGGTCTGGCTCTGTCTCCTAGGCTGGAGTGCAGTGGTGCAATCTTGGCTCACTGCAACCTCTGCCTCCCAGGCTAAAGCCATCCTCCTACCTCAGCCTCCTGAGCAGCTGGGGCTACAGGCACATGCACCATGCCTGACAAATTTTTGTATTTTTTGTAAAGATGGGGTTTCGCTATGTTGCCCAGGCTGGTCTCAAACTTGTGAGCTCAAGTGATCCGCCCGCCTCAGCCTCCCAAAGTGCTGGGATTACAGGCATGAGCCACCATGCCCAGCTTTGGATTACATTTAACATCCTAAAATTATAACACTGTAATTTGAATTCATACCAGTTTAACTTCAGTAACTTCTAACAGCTTCTCTTCTAATAGCTCCATCAATAACCTTTTAGCTGTTGATATCAAAATTACATCTTTACACACTGTTTATCCAAACAGAATTTTGCATTAATTAATCTAATTATGATTAATCAGGCCAGGCGCAGTGGCTCATGCCTGTAATCTAAGAACTGTGGGAGGCCAAGGCAGGCAGATCATTTGAGGTCAGGAATTCGAGACCAGCCTGGCCAACATGGTGAAAACCCAACTCTACTTAAAAAAACCCCACAAAAATTAGCCAGGCATGGTGGTATATGCCTGTAATCGCAGCTACTCGGAAGGCTGAGGCAGGAGAATTGCCTGAACCCAGAAGGCAGAGGTTGCAGTGAGCAGAAATCACGTCATTGCACTCTACCCCAGGTGACACAGAGAGACTCTGTCTCAAAAAAAGAAAAAAAAAATATGATTAATCAGAATATGCCTGAATCTCTTAAATTAATGCATTCATCTCTTAAATTATGTTTACACCATTGTTACAATAACACCAGCTTTTATAATTGCCCACCTATCTACCTTTTCTGGGATCTTTATTATTTTACATGTCTTTGGGTTACTAATACCCTTTCATTTCAACATTTAGGATTCCATTTAGCACTTCTTGCAGGGCAAACCTAGTTGTAATACATTCCCTTAGCTTTGGTTAATCTGAGAATGTCTTAATTTCTCCCTCATTTTTGAAGGGCAGTTTTTTTCAGATATAGGATTCTTGGTTGGCAGTTTTTTTGTCTTTTAGCAGTTTGAATATATCATATCAGTCTACTGCCTTCTGGTCTCAAAAGTTACTGATGAGAAATCTGCTGATATGAGGATCCTTTCTGATGAGTCACTTCTCTCTTGCTGCTTTCAAAATTCTCTTTGTCATTCAACAGTGTTGAATGATTATAATGAGTTTTAGTGTAGGACTTTTTGAGTTCATCCTACTTGGAACTTGTTAATCTTAGATGTTTACATTCATGTCTTTCATGAAATTTGGGAAGTTTTAGCCATTATCTCTTCAAATATTATCTCTCCCTTTCTCTGTCTTTTCCACTCCCGGGAATCCCAAAATGTGTATGTTGGTTTAGTTGATGGTGTCTCACAGGTACTTTAGGCTGTGTTCCCTTTTCTTCAACCTTAACTTTTATTGTCCTATGATTCTCTCTTCTGCCTGCTCAAATATGCCTTTGAATCCCTCTAGTGAATATTTTTTTGTTTCAGTTATTGTACTTTTCAGTTCCAGAATTTTTTTCATTTCTTTTAAAGTTTTTTCTTTATTAATATTTCCATTTGGTTCAGGTATCTCTTTTTATAAAATTCTCTCCATATGTTCAGTACTTTGAGTGTCTTTTAGAACACTACTTTAGAGTCTTTGTGTAGTAGATCTGACATTAGATCTTTCTCAGGTACAGTTCCTCTTGGTTTCTTTCCTTTGAATGGGCCACAATTTTCTGTTTGTTTGTATGCTTTATGACTTTTCATTAAAAAACAGACATTGGAATCTAATAATGTGATAACTCTAAAAGTCATTATTCCCTTCTAGAAATCAGATTCTTCCCTTTCCCCACCTGTTATTTGTTTGTGCTTAAAAAAAATTGTAGGTGGTTCCTGTACTGAGGATTAGTCTGAGGTACAAACTAAAATCATCTCAGGTCTTTTCTGTACCTGTGCCTTTCCCTGGACAAACACAGTGACTTCATAATTTCCCCTATATATATGGTTGCTTTTGAATAGTCTAGTCTTCAATGCCTGTCTCCCAAAAGGGGAAAAAGAGATAAATGAAGAGAAAAACAAAAGGTGCTTGCCCTTTAAGTCCCCCGGAAGTCACTTCAATCAGCAAGAGCAGACAGGGGCTTACACCAAAAAGAGGGAAGTACAGCAACAATGGCCACCACCTCTTTGCCTGCACTTCTGTATCAGAGGCAGCAATCAGCAATAAGAGAACAAATTTCGGATATTTGAAAGATAAGGTCCTTATTTCCCACCTTGGCTTCTACAAGCTCTGTGCAAGCTATTCCAGGAACACCTACATGACTGCCTGCCATGAAGCTGGAGAATCAGGGATGGATAGCCACTGCTGAGCTAAGAGCTGAAACCGACCAAAATTGACTACAATTACTATCTAAGGGCTCTCCTGGAAGGCTTCAATAGACCCCAGGTTTCCAAAATAGTTACATCTGGCAGATTCTGCCAGTGCAAATGTTGTCTCGGTTGGGAGAGAGATTCCTGGTGCTTGCTACCCCGTTATTTTCTCAGAATCCTCTACCTCCTTAAAAACTTTTAAGAGCATAAAGAGGTCTTGAGACCAATAAGTTTGAGAACCACTATCGTAGACAATGCAGATATGCATGTCCAGGAATTGTCATATTTTTAAATGACCAAATCAACCAACTTTAGCTTTCAGTGAATCAATGTAAAATGAGGATCATAAGACTAACTAGGGGCATAAGTTTAAATTCAAGACCCTAAACTAAAGCACCATTTTCAGAAAAATTTCCTTGTTATGTCATTAGAGAAGAGTAAAGAGGATGAAAAGATGTAGGGCACAGCAAACTAGAGATGCTTGCAGGTTATATTTATATCCCTGATGTTTCCTTTTGGGGCCTTGAGTAGTCTGTAGCCATTAATTTAATATATTGTGATGCCGAGTTTGCTAGAATCACAAAGGGATACTGTATGATTATCTGCCTATAAAAACAGCAAATAAAATATGCAAAATTCTATTCCATAACAGAGCATTTGGGCTCTATAAGTGCCTCATTTGGACCAGCAGCCCGTACTACAATTATTTATTTTAAATTTACTACGGTAGTTGTAAATCAAAGAGTAGTAGAGAGAAAGAAATTCCAGGTTTAATGATTATGATATAGGCAGTGAAAAAAAACACAATAGGCCGGGAGTGGTGGCTCACGCCTGCAAACCCAGCAGTTTGGGAGGCTGAGGCGGGTGGATCACTTGAGGTCAGGAGCTTGAGACCAGTCTGGCCAACATGGCAAAACTCCATCTCTACTAAAAATAGAAAAATTAGCCGGGTGTGGTGGCAAATGCCTGTAATTCCAGCTACTCAGGAAGCTGAGGCAAGAGAATTGCTTGAACCTTGGAGGCGGAGGTTGCAGTGAGCTGAGATCATGCCACTGCACTCCAGCCTGGGCGACAAAGTGAGATAACATCTAAAAAAAAAAAAAAGAAGGAACACAATAGTTCCTAAAAACTAAACAAACGAAACCAGAATAAATCAGAAATCAAAGTGCTGGGAGACATTCCTCTGTAGGTCTGTTATGCTCCTATACATTTTGCTGGTCCAAGAATGAAAAAGTCTGGCTGCTTTTATTCAGGCAATTTCTCACAGATAGGAAAGCATGATTTAGCCATGCAATTTCTTCCTATGGCTGATTTTGTTATAAACAAGTGAAAATCAATTCAGTTCTGTAAATTTAATATAACTAAATCATATATAAACTG